>NC_000007.14:132506779-133131779 GCF_000001405.40 Homo sapiens | reverse complement strand
CCAGCTTGCTTTGATCTTTCCATCCCCAGGGGCTAGTGCAGTGAGGAACACATAGTGGGAGTTCAAAAAGCATTTGTTAATACTGCCATGCATATAAAACAAAGTTTAAAATTTCCTAAAGTAATAAAAGGAGCATAGCTCTAGTATCATCTATTTTTTATTACGTTGTGTTTACACGCCTCTGGTTAGTAACCCAAACCTGTTTCCATGGTGAATGTGACAAGACTATGTAATTATGGGTCTGTAACTTTTTCTTTTTCTCTTTCTTTGGAAAAAGCTATGTGATTGCAGGACTATAACTGTATCTTCCTTTGTAAACTATTCCTAAATGTTATCTTGTAGCTAACCTGTCACAGCCAAGGGCCTCCTAGAGTAGGCTTCTCCTGCCAGAAAGTTGGCTATTTCGTGCAAAGTTCTTATAAATGTTTAAGGAGAACTAAGGCAGAAAAATTAAAGGCCAGAATGAGAAAAAGAGAAATAACATTTTTGTGGAGCTAACTTATGCCAGAATCTATATGGCCTCATTTAATCCTCACAACCCTTATTTCACAGATGAGAAAACTAAGGCTCAGAGAGGTTGCCTGAAGAGACGCCCCCATTGAATCCCCTGCGTTCCAGACACACTCCTCCCTACTTTATTTATTTATTTATTTTGAGACGAAGTTTTGCTCTTGTTGCCCAGGCTGGAGTGCAATGGTGTGATCTCAGCTCACCACAACCTCCACCTCCCAGGTTCAAGCGATTCTCCTGCCTCAGCCTCCTGAGTAGCTGGGTTTACAGGCATGTGCCATCACACCCAGCTAATTTTGTATTTTTAGTAGAGATGGGTTTCTCCATGTTGGTCAGGCTGGTCTTGAACTCCCGACCTCAGGTGATCCACCCGCCTCGGCCTCCCAAACTGCTTTGATTACAGGTGTGAGCCACCGCACCCAGCCTCTCCTCCCTACTTTAATCGTGTAGCAGTAGCTCCTTGTGGCAATCAGGGTCCTTTACCCTTGCTAGTGTAGTAATTCCTTTCTTAGTTACCTCGTCCTTCAGTATGAGGATCCCAGAGTGATCAGGTGGTAGTGGCCACTTCAAGTTCAACGAGTAAGTCCCATGGCATTCATTCATCCACTCCGCACTCCACCACGGATACTAGCTGTGGGGAAATAGCACCACATGCCTTGTTTTGGCTCAATGCATTTCTATATCATAGCGCAAATCCAGCAGAGTGTTATCTCTGAAATGGAGCCTTACTGGGGATGACACTGTATTGGTCCGTTTTCACACTGCCATAAAGAATACTTGAGACTGGATAATTTAGAAACAAAAGAGGTTTAATTGACTTACAGTTCTGCGTGGTTGGGGAAGCCTCAGGAAACTTACAATCATGGCGGAAGGTGAAGGGGAAGCAAGGCACGTCTTACATGGCACCGAGACAGAGAGAGAGAGAGCGCACAGGGGAAACTGAAACTTTAAAACCATCAGATCTCATGAGAACTCCCTCACTATCATGAGAACAGCATGGCGGAAACCGCCCCCATGATTCAGTCACCTCCCACCAGCTCCCTCCCTGCAATATGGGTATTACAATTCAAGATGAGATTTGGGTGGGGACAC
Organism: Homo sapiens; assembly: GCF_000001405.40. NCBI lineage: Eukaryota > Metazoa > Chordata > Mammalia > Primates > Hominidae > Homo > Homo sapiens. The sequence goes on along the minus strand of NC_000007.14, from coordinate 133,130,177 downwards.
AGAGCCAAATCATATCAGACACTCCTTAATAAGGTGTTCTATTAAGGTGGTTGCTTCTGAATAATGGGGTACATTGTCAGACCAGAGGATTCTGGGTTATGTGTCCATTGTTGCACTCTCCCTGCCCTTTATTTTATTTTATTTTATTTTATTTATTTATTTATTTTTGAGAAAGAGCTTCACTCTGTTGCCCAGGCTGGAGTGCAGTGGCACAATCTTGGCTCACTGCAACCTCCACCTCCCAGGTTCAAGTGATTCTTGTGCATCACCCTCCCAAGTAGCTGGGATTACATGTGCGCACCACCACACCTGGCTAATTTTTGTATTTTTAGTAGAGATGGGGTTTTACCATGTTGGCCAGGCTGGTCTCAAACTCCTGGCCTCAAGTGATCTGCCCATCTTGGACTCCCAAAGTGCTGGGATTATAGGCATGAACCACAATACCCAGCCTGTTGCACCCCTTTGTCATAAAAATGGGCCCTTTCTTCTGAGACAGTGTTGTGCTGTGTACCATGCTAAGAGGCCAAGCATCTTGTAGACCAATAATGGTAGCTCTTATGGAGGCATGGTGGGCTGGAAAAGAAAATATAACTGGAGTAAGTATCAATTTTGTTAAGGGACAATTTCTACTTCCTCTGGCATAAAAGAGTCTGAGATAATCAACCTGCCACAAATGTCCTTGACGAACTTTGTGATATCAACGTTTCAAGGTCAGTTCTTGCTGTGGGTTAACCTGGGTGAGAGGGAACCCATGTTGTTGGACCCATACATAGCTTCCATCCCTGCCACCACAGGCACTCTGTTTGTGCATTCATTATGCCACCACTGGAGTGGCTTAGGAGACAGGCTGGCTGACATCCATAGGATAAGTCATCCTGTCCATCCACCTGGCTGTTGAGAGCCTTCTCTGCAAGGGATGCTCCCTGTTGGGCATCAATGTGAGATCCAAAGATCTAGATGCTTTTTACTTATTCCCAGAAGTCCATCCACATGCCCTTTCCCCAGACATCCTTGTCCCATATCTTCCAGTCTTACTCCTTTCAAGTTCCTGGCCAACCAGCCAAAGCATTCATTGCCGCCCCCAGAATTCTTGTTAATCCACACCTTAGGCTAGTTTTCCTCCCATAAAAAATGAAACAATTAAATTTACTACTGTTCTCTGCTTTACCTACCAGGAAAATGTTCCTTTAACCACTGTACTTTATAAAATAAATGTTTGGCCAAAACCAATAATTAATGCCAACTCATCTATGAGAAAATTTTCTCTCCCTTTATTGGATATAGGATGAAAGGGACTAGGACCCCTCTCCCCCACCAATAAAGCCAGTGATGTGAGTTGAGAGAGACATACTGTTGCAACAAGGGTACTGAGTTGGGGGCAGGGCCAACTGATCATAGAATGGGCCTGTGAATTCTAGACCTGCTTTGCCATGATACTCTTATTGTTTGGAATGCGTAGTGGAACACTGCTGGGCCCACCTGACTTTATGACTTGGTGGTTCTGGTAACTGTGAGCTTAGGATAGTCAGTTTGGGTCTCACCATCACTTTGTGTCCCAGGTGTTAGATATCTACTAGGGCCAAGGAGCACATGGGGAACTACTTCTCAAAAGGAGAGTAATTATCTGCTTGGAGGATATGATCCTGCTCTAGAAACCTGCCATAATCCTTATGTTGGGGCTTGCCAGAAACTTCACACAGCATTCTTCTTTTTTTTTTTTTCCGAGACGGAGCCTCGCCCTGTCACCCAGGCTGGAGTGCAGTGGTGCGATCTTGGCTCACTGCAACCTTCGCCTCCCAGGTTCAAGCGATTCTCCCGCCTCAGCCTCCTGAGTAGCTGGGATTACAGGTGCCTGCCACCATGCCTGGCTAATTTTTGTATTTTTGTAGAGGCAGGTTTCACTATGTTGGCCAGGCTGGTCTCAAACTCCTAACCTCAGGTGATCCACCCACCTTGGCCTCCCAAGGTGCCAGGATTACAGGTGTGAGCCACCGCATCCGGCCTCACACAGCATTCTTATCCACCAGGGATCTCCCTAGTACTATTGGATCTGCTGGGTCATGAGGCCTAAGTGGCAGGGCAGTTTGCAACACAACTTGGATCTGTTGCTGAATTTTTTTTGTGTTCTGAATCCCACTTGAAAATGGAAGCCTTTCTGGTCACCTGATAAACTGGTTCAAGTACAGTGTACACTGCTTCCAAAATCCAAGAAGATTAATCAAACATGTGCCTCCTTCTTAATCATACAAGATGCAAGGTACAAAAACTTGTTCTCTACCTTAAAGGTATATATCCCGGGACATCCTAGACTCCAGGGGCCACTAAAAATGGCATCAGCAACTACGTATTTACAAAAAACATAGAGGAATATGTCAAAAGACAACATAGGGATGCAATTAGCAAAATCCACCCTGCAGGAAAAATGACCCAGTTTCTTTAACAAATAAACTGCAAAGAATAAAACCAAAGAGATGGAAGGAGAACTAATAAACTAGAGGAGACTATTAAAGCATATCAACCAGTTGCAATGTCGAGGTTTTATTCGTATCTTTTTTCAAACAACAAACTTTTAAAAATTATGACATTTAGGAAACAATTGGAAATTTCAATGACTGAATATTTGATGGTATTAAAGAATTATTAAGTATCTTAGATGTGATAATGATATGATAGTTATGTTATAAAAGAAGTTTTATTTTTTGGGCCGGGTGCAGTGGCTCACCCCTATAATCTCAGCACTTTAGGAGGCCGAGGTGGGAGGATCACTTGAGCCCAGGAGTTTGAGACCAGCCTGAGCAACATAGCAAGACCCTGTCTCTACAAAAAAAAAAAAAAAAAAAAAAAGTGGCACTTTGGGAGGCCGAGGTGGGAGGATCACTTGAGCCCAGGAGTTTGAGACCAGCCTGAACAACATAGCGAGACCCTGTCTCTGGAAAAAAAAAAAAAACAAAAAACTGCCGAGCATGGTGGTTTGTGCCTATGGTCCCAACTACTTGGGAGGCTGAGGTGGGAGGATCACCTGACCCCAGAAAGTTGAGCCTGTAGTGAGCTGTGATGGCACCACTGCACTCTAGCCTGGGTGACAGAGAGAGACCCTGTCTCAAAAAAAATAAAGTATCTTATCCTAGATGTGATAATGATATGACAGTTACGTTATAAAAGAAGTTTTATCTTTTAGAGATCCATATGGAATATTTACGAATGAATAGATGTGGGATTTGTTTCAAGATAACATCGGAGGAGGAAAGGAATGAAGTTATGGATGAAATGAAACTGGCTATAAATTGGTAATTACTGAAGCTGGTTATATATTACTTATAACAAATATATTATTTGTTTTGTTATTTTCTCTAATTTTTTATATGTCTGATATTTTCTATAAGAAACCTTTTTAAATGTTTTAATTCAAATAACTTTAAATTTTTAGTAAATAAGTACATTAGGAGTGCTTGCCACTTGAGTCTTCATAGGATTTATCTTCACAAACAGGCTCACTTACAAGGCATCCAACATACCTGCCATCCATTCTCACCAGAGCCCATTAGTATGACGTCATTAAGTTCTGGTAGAACATTAAGGCAATCAAGTCCCTGCAGATTCTACTGGGGCAGGAAACAGGAACGTTAACATAGCCCTGGAGCAAGACAGTAAATAATGCACTTCTATCCCTCTCATGTTAAATCAAATGGATTCTGATTCTCCCTGTACTGATCTGGATGGGGAAGAAGGCATTTGCCAGATCAATAGCCACATACCAAGAGCTAGAGACTGCTGATCTGCCTTAGTAAAGATACAACAGCTGACATGGTAGTTGCTATTGGGGTTACCATCTAATTAAATTTATGATTGTCATCTACCATGAGCTATATTGTTGTTATTGCTGTTTGCTGCATGCAGGCAGGTGCATTGAATGGAATAATTGTGGGGACTTCTACTCTTATGTCTTTTAAACCTTTAACGGTAGAATTAATCTCTATAATTCCTTCTGGGATGCATGATTGCTTTATTATCTCCAGTAAGGTGGAGTAGAAAGCTCTCTACAGGTCAGAGAAATAATGTGAAGATTCTTCCAGTTTCCAAGTACATCTATACCAATGACATACTCTGGGATTTTTTCCTAGGATTCCAAGTCGCGGCATTAATAAAGAAGCTTCGGGGCAGGAAGTAAGAGGTGTGTGGCACAGTATTGGGAACAAGTGTCACCAGTTTGCATCTGCATAGGACAGGTCACTGCAGCAGTGGTTAAATTAGCAGATAGACAATGCCGAGGGGATTTGAAGTGGTGTACAGATGGTGTCCTACATAGTATCTTTATCAAAGAATTGCTGGGAAGATTAAATGAGATTAAATGAGAAAACCATAAAAAACTGCATTGCACATTACATAATTAAGTACTCAAAAACTGTAAGCTACTCTGTCATTACTGTCGTTGTTATTATTATTATTATTTCCCTAAGGTAAGAGTTTTTATTTAGAGAAAGAGCAAGGTGCAGAAAGCTTTTTTCTGAGACCAAGTCTCGCTCTGTCACCCAGGCTGGAGTGCAGTGGTTTGATTTCGGCTCACTGCAGCCTCCGCCTCCCAGGTTCAAGCGATTCTCCTGCCTCAGCCTCCCGAGTAGCTGGGATTACAGGCGCCCGCCAGCATGCCTGGCTAATTTTTGTATTTTTAATAGAGGGGGGTTTCGTTATGTTGACCAGGCTGGTCTTGAACTCCTGACCTCAAGTGATCTGCCCTCTTTGGCCTCCCAAAGTGCTGGGAATACAGGCATGAGCCACCATGCCCAGCCAGAAAGCTTAGATTATACCACCCACCTCCCACCATCTTTGAAATCTTCAGGAATTCATTTGCTCTTTTGGCCCCATAAGGCATGTAAGTATGATTAAAAGTACTGCAGCAATTGCCATTTTACCTCTGCCACCAGAATCTGTGCTGATAATAACAAGTTATTCTCTTTCAGCTATCTTCCGTTCCATTATTAATTAATTTTCTACTCAGTAGCCATGCTGGATACTTCACATTCCTTAAATTCTCTTTTCAGAGTCCTGTTGTGATTTCATTATAGCACCTGGATTCTGGTCTATTCCTGATTCTGAATCTTGTTGACTATATTATCAGGTTTACAAAACTTGCTTCTTTAAAGTATAATAGACTAGTAACTTCCAAAGTAGTTCAGATGGAACATATGAAAAAACAAATAGTAATCAATTTAAAAGAAAGCCAAAAGGGAAATAAGAAGTAAACATTTTTAAAAGTTATGTGTATGTTTTAGAGACAGGGTCTCTGTGGCCCAGGCTAGAGTACAGGGGCATGATTATAGCTCCCTGCAGCCTCAGTTTCCCTGTGCTCAAGTGATCCTCCGACCTCAGCCTCCTGAGTAGCTAAGACTACAGGCACGTGCCATTGGATTTGGCTAATATTTTATTTTAGTTTTGTAGAGATGGGGTCTCGCCATGTTGCCCAGGCTGGTCTCAAGCTCCTGGCCTCAAGTAATCTTCCCACCTCAGCCTCCCAAAGCACTGGAATTAGAGGAACTCACCACTGCACTCAGCCTAGAAAAAATTTAGAAACATACAGCAGAGAGAAATAATATAAAGATGAAGTAGTAGATGTAAACCTAAACGTATCAGCAATTGCTTAATAAAAGTGGACTAATTGCTTCAGTTAAAACACAAAGACTTTGCAATTAGATTTAAAAGGTCCAAATATACATTATTTACAAAAACCACACATAAAACCTGAGTCAATAGAAAGATTAAAAGTAAAAGGATGCAGCCAGACATGGTGGCTCACGCCTATAATCCCAGCACTTTGGGAGGCTGAGGCGGGTGGATCGTGAGGTCAAGAGTTCAAGACCAGCCTGGCCAAGATGGTGAAATCCTGTCTCTACTAAAAATACAAAAATTAGCCAGGCGTAGTGGTGGGTGCCTGTTATCCCAGCTACTCGGGAGGCTGAGGCAGATAATTGCTTGAACCTGGGAGGTGGAGGTTGCAGTGAGCCAAGATCGCATCACCGCACTTTAGCCTGGGCGACAGAGTGAGACTCTGAAAAAAAAAAAAAAAAAAAAGTGGACTAATGCTTCATTTAAAACACAAAGACTTTGAGACTAGATTTAAAAGGTCCAAATACACATTATTTACGAAAACCACATATAAAACCTGAGTCAATAGAAAGATTAAAAGTAAAAGGACGCAGCCAGGCACGATGGCTCACATCTGTAATCCCAGCACTTTGGGAGGCCAAGGCGGGTGGATCACTTGAGGTCAGGAGTTTGAGACCAGCCTGGGCAACATGGTGAAACCCTATCTCTACTAAAAATACAAAAATTAGCCGGGCGTGGTGGTACGCACTTGTAATCCCAGCTACTTGGGAGGCTGAGGCAGGGGAATCACTTGAACTCAAGAGGCAAAGGTTGCAGTGAGCCCAGATCTCTCCACTGCACTCCAGCCTGGGCAACAGAGTGAGACTCTGTCTCAGAAAAAAAAAAAAAAAAAGAAAAGAAAAGAAAAGAAAATAAATAAAAAGGAATGATCTATTGATACATATAACAAGGATACAGTTTAAAACAATTATACTGAATGACAGAGCTGGATTTTTTTTTTTAAGTACATCATGATGGCTCCAATTATATGAGTTCTAGACAAAGCTAACTAACCTATAGTGATAGAAGAAAAGCTCAGTGTTTGCCTGGGAAGTGGTGGGGGAGGATGCAGGGAGAGTAGGGGAAAGAAAAGGGGGCAAGGAGACTTTCAGGGATGATGAACATGTCCATTGTTTTGATTGTGCTGATAATCTTGTGTGTGTTATGTTAATACTTATTCATCTGTACATTTTAATTCTGTATCTTTTATTATATGTTAGTTATATTTCAGTAAAGCTGGTTTTTTAAAAAAGTAAAAATATGTACAAAGTTATACTGGACAAATACTAGTGAAAAGCAAGCCAATTTAATTATACTGATATCTGGCAAAATAGACTTTTAGTTTAAAAAATTACTAGTGGTAGGCCGGGTGTGGTGGCTCAACACCTGTAATCCCACACTTGGGAGGCCGAGGTGGCTGGATAGCCTGAGCTCAGGAGTTCGAGACCCAGCTTGGGCAACATGGTGAAACTCTGTCTCTACCAAAAATACAAAAGAAAAAAAATTAGCCTGGCATGGTGGTGGGCTCCTGTGATCCCAGCTACTCTGGAGGCTGAGGTGAGAGGATCGCTTGAGCATGGGAAGTGGAGGTTGCAGTGAGTGGAGATCACGTCACTGTACTCTAACCTGGGCGACAGAGGGAGACACCAACTCAAAAAACGACAACAACAACAAAAAACTACTAGTGGTAAAGATGATCACTTCTTAATGATAAAATTGCAATCGCCAAAAAAAAGTAAATTTAAATTAATATATATCTAATAACATCATCTCAAAGTATAGAAAGCAAAAATGGACATAACTAAAAAGAAAAATAAATCAATTCACAATCTCAGCATGAGGTTTTATTTATTTATTTATTTATTTTTCTTGAGATGAGATCTGGCTCTGTTGCCCAGGCTGGAGTAAAGTGGTATCATCACGGCTCACCACATGCTCCACCTTCTAGGCTGAAGAGATCCTCCTGCCTCAGCCTCCTGAGTAGCTGGGACTATAGGCAGGCACTACCACAACCTAGCTAATTAAACAAAAAATTTTAGTGGAGACAAGGTCTCACTATGTTCCCAGGCTGGTCTCGAACTCCTGAACTCATGTGATCCTCTTGCCTTGGCCTCCCAAAGTGTTGGGTTTACAGGCATGAGCCACTGCATCTGGCTAGCAAGAAATTTTAACCACTTTTCTCAGAAATTCATAGAAAAGGCAGACAAGAATCAGTAAGAATATAGATGACTAGAACCAGCAACAATTTAATTAACCAACTTGGCCTAATGGCCAATAGCACAGCACCAGCATCTTTAGCATGATGACGCTTTTCAAGTACTCATGGAAAATTTACAAAAACTGACCACATGATAGGACCAAAAAAGAAATCACACCTTTCAAGAGTACTGAAGTCATATAGCAATAGCATTAGCAATAGCATTACAAGTTGCGTTCTCCAGGAACATACTCTGAGATGGAATTTTAAGTTAACTTGGGCGAATCTCTTCTTTGAAACTCAGATTCTAATTAAAATACATATATGTTGACAAATAGGGTGTCAATTACAGGAGTGAGAAGGGATAGTAGTTTAAATACCTTTGGAAAGTACTGGAGCATTAGTGATACTTGAGGCATATGGCACGAGTTCTTTTGTTATTTCTCAAAGGGTAGAATAAATTTTAGTAAGAAAGGAAATCTTCTAAATGCTGGAGTTGATTGTGATCTGTACTCTGTAACGTAGCCATCTGTGCAACAGCTCTCTGCCCCCGGAAGCTCAAGTCCTACGCATGATCCTCCCACGTACCCAAGTAAATAGTTCAGATCAACTTTCCATCTTGAGTCCAAAACCAAAAAGTTGGAGAGATCATTTTCACAATCTGTTCAAGCATCAACAGACCAGAGCAACTTAATCCCCAGAAATGTTGGGCAAAAACAATGCTGCCACCTCCCACTGAGAGTTCGCACAATTTCCATCCAAAAGTACTACCCCTTGGGGTTGAGCAGTTGATTCTTTCTCTGCAATGTCTCTCAGATACATCCCTCCATTCTCAATTCCTGCCTTCTTAGATAAGGATTCCATATGGCCAATGTAAACTATAGTCTTCTGAAAGACTTCCTTCCCCCCGGATATCTCCACCGCTATATACTGTGTTTGCAGAGTAGGCCATTTAGACTGTCACATTCATCATTTCATTCTCTTGCTCAGTATCTAATCAGGCTCTAATTTTTTATCCAAGGCTCCATACTGGCTTTCAAAAGTCTGGCCCTTCCTTATCTGTCTGCAGTCCTCTGTGCTTGATTCCCACCATGTAGCCTGCACCCTCCCTTAATCTGATTTGCTTTTTCACTGTTGTCCAAATGCATAATGTTTTTTCTTGCTGTCAAATAGAACATGATGGGCAAATGTCTATTTACCACCCACTCCTAACATATCCAAATATTACTAAATGAGATTATATGCATGGAAGAATGAGGTCCTCTGCCTGACATAGTCAATTCTCACATACTGGTCCCATCCCCATAAACTTCACTGATTAAAATTTGGGGTGCACCAGTCATGAGACCTTGACCTCCATAGAATGAGGGAGGAGGGAAACTGATTTCAAACTTTGATCAGTGGAGTCTTCTAAACCAATCAACCTAAAAGCCCTCCCTTCCACTACTCTTTCATTCTGTTTTAATTTCTTCCTAGTATTTATAATTTGAAATTGTCTTATGTATGTACTTTTTTTTTTTTTTGAGACAGGGTCTTCACTCTATCGCCTAGGCTGGAATGCAAAGGCACGATCTCAGCTCACTGCAACCTCTGCCTCCCGGATTCAAGTGATTCTCATGCCTCAGCCTCTTGAGTAGCTGGGATTACAGGCCCCTGCCACCACGCCCAGCTATTTTTTGAATTTTTAGTAGAGACGGGGTTTCGCCTTGTTGGCCAAACTGGTCTCGAACTCCTGGCCCCAGGTGATCTGCCTGCCTTGGCCTCCCAAAGTGCTGGGATTACAGGTGTGAGCCACCATGCCCAACCTCATGTACTTTTTGATTGTCAATCCCTGCCCACTAGAATGTGAGTTCCACTGCAACAGTGCCCTGTCTTATCTAACACTTACATATATATCTCATGTAGAAGCTTGCTGAAATTATTTGTCTGAACTTATTTCATACATGTATTTGTCATTTTCCCACCTAGATATACTTTTTGTCGGCAGGAATTAAAGGTTGGCAATGGAGATCACTGGTTTTGGAATAAGACAGAACTAGATTTTAATTTCATTTATTAGCTGGGTGACTTTGAATAAGTTACCCAACCTTTCTGAGCTGCAGAGGAACAAGGAAAACAAAGTACTTCCCTCAGAGGACTGGTGGGAAGATTTAATGAGATATTCATGCAAAGTGCTCATTAGAGTGCCTTAGACAGATTCATTATGTTATATTCTTTTAATGTGAAAAAAATTACCTTTAGAAAATATAATGCATTTTTATGGCTGGGCACAGTGGCTCATGCCTGTAATCCCAGCACTTTGGAAGGCTGAGGCAGGCGGATCACTTGAGGTCAGGAGTTCAACATCAGCCTGGCCACCATGGTGAAACCCCGTCTCTACCAAAAAAAATTCAAAAATTAGCCAGGCATGGCAGTGCATGCCTGTAGTCCCAGCTACTCGGGAGGCTGAGGCACAGGAATTGCTTGAAACCAGGAGGTGGAGGTTGCAGTAAGCCAAGATCGCACCATTGCACTCCAGCCTGGGTGACAGAGTAAGACTCTGTTTCCAAAAAAAAAGGAAAATATAATGCATTTTTAATGTACATTATAATATATACTCTAAAAATATAATGTATGTTTTAATATAATTATAAAGTATATATTATTAAAATATAGTGTATATTTTTAAAAAGAAAATAATATGACAACCATGAGGTCACCATTCAGAATCAACAACTGCTAACATTTCATTCTTTTTTAGATCTTTTTAAATAAATAAAATATTATAGATAAACATAGATAAGTCCCTTTTGCTAAATGTTATTATGATAATGATTATTATTTCCATCCAGAAATGTTCCTTGAGAATAATAATCATGTCATACTTTTTTTCCATTCCTGCCTTCTTCCATTCTAACCCTTCTAGAACAAATAATGGTATAGGTGCTTTAGGAATATTTGTTGAATTAAATTGAAATGATGGTTTATTTACACTGCAGAAATCTGATTTAAAGAGGATATGAGGCTTCCTGATTTTCAGAGCCAGAAATAAATCTGCAGTGTTTCTAGATTATCATGTAGAAAAGATTTTATTAAGTTTATCAACCCTGTGACAAAGCTGGAGATAAATTCTCTCCCTGCAAGATCTCAGAGAAACAATACAATAAAAAAAAAAAAAGCAAACAGGGGGATGGGACTTCCATTCCACCCCATCTAGAAAGCCTTTGAAAGCAGCATCCAGTGAGCTAATAGGAGTTAGAAAGGCTTCCAGCAGGGAAGAAATGATTAAGAAGAGCTGGTCTGTTCAAGGCAATCTTCTTTCGTGAACCAAACTAGAGGTAGCAGGATTCTGACAACCAGGTACAGCCTGAAAATCTGGGCGCTGGTGTTACCAATCTGGGCAGCAGCACTGAAGAGAACCAGCACCGAAGCAGGAGTCAGCAGACCCAGGGCACAGTCTAGCAGTGGCTAACGAGCTACAGAACAAGGTGCTTGGCCTCCCCTGGGCTCAGGCTCCTCACCTGTCAAATGAATGGAGGGGAACAGTTGATCTCTTGGGTTCCTGTTAACTGTAAAGTGCTATTCTCAGTCTAGTCTGTTTCAGAACTGAGTCTTGCTTCTTCACAGTTTAAAATTGTTTTGGTTATTTACTTCCATGTAGTTTAAAACAACATACATTGATCATCTTACAGCTTCTGTGTGTCAGGAATCCAGGCACGACTAGTTGGGTGCCCTGACTCGGGGCCTTTCACAAGGTTGCAAACAAGGTGTCAGAAGGGGCTGCAGTCATCTTGAGGCTGGAGACAGGGAGGAGCTGCATCTAAGCTCACTCTGGGGGCTACTGGCAGGCCTCGGGTTGTTTCTGCATCCAAGCTCAATCAGAGGGCTATTGGCAGGTCTCCAGCTGTTGGCTGGAGACATCAGTTCCTTCCCACATGGGCTTCTCCATGCGGCTGTTTGCAACACGGTAGTTGGTTACCCTCAGAGGGAGAAGGAAAGAATGGTAGGGGCTTGAGTGTTGGTGAAGAGAAGAAAAAATTGAGTGCCCAAGATGGACACCATAGTCTTTTTTTCTAAGATAATCTCAGAAGTGACATCCCTTCACTTCTGCGCTTCTTAGAAGTAAGTGAATAAGTCCAGCCCACTCTCTAGTGGAAGGGATTAGGCAAGGGTGTGAATGCCAAGAAGTGTGAATCCCTGAGGCCATTTCGGATCCTTACCATAAAAGTGGAAGTGAAACAAGGTTGGATGAAGACACAGGACAAGGAGGAATGTACCAGTGGGGACTGGCATGGGGATACAGGTAGGGTGGTCAACTCATTCTAGTTCTTTGACTTTCTTGTTTTTAGCACTGAAAGTCCTATGTCCCAGAAAACTCCAAGATGGTTGGTCACCCTAGGGGGTGTTCTAACAATGGATAGTTCTCCTCTCCAGAGTGTGTTCTGTCAGTACCACAGAGTGGCTGCTGAAGAAAGAATTGTTCTCTTTCATCGTAGCTCCACATAGGCAGGGCTAATGTGACCCATGGGACAGGGTCTGTACAGGAATGGGCCATGCATGACTTGTCATAATGAGCAGCATGCCTCTCACTTGGCAGCTCATGGCTTCCCTGGGAAGACCTTCTTGCTGAATCGGTACACAGTTTATTGTGTCATGCAGGGCATTGTTGCTAATGCCACATTGGCTGGCACTGGGGCTGGTGGCTATTGGCATGTCATCCTACAGAAAGGGCACCTTGCCATTGTGACAGATGGATTCGTGTGCTGGCATGTTGTGGAATCAACAGGTCCATTAAGTATGAAAGTGATAAGCTGGGAAGGGATTTCAGAACTAATACCGAATCCTAGGACATTTAGCGGTATTGTTGAGGTAGTGCTGAGAGCTTCCAAGTTTTTTGTTTGTTTCGGTTTTGGTTTTTTTTTTTGAGATGGAGTCTTGCTCTGTCACACAGGCTGGAGTGTGACGGCGTGATCTCTGCTCCTGCAGCCTCTGCCTCCCGGGTTCAAGCAATTCTCCTGCCACAGCCTCCTGAGTAGCTGGGATTACACGCACACACCACCACACCTGGCTAAGTTTTGCATTTTTAATAGAGACGGGGTTTCACCACATTGGCCAGGCTGGTCTTGCACTCCTGACCTCAGGTGATCCACCTACCTTGGCCTCCTGAAGTGCTGGGATTACAGGCAGGAGCCATCGCACCCGGCCCCAAGTTTTTTGAGATGAGTTTTTTGAAAATGAAATGAAGTATACCAATGTTTTTCTGAAAGGCTGTGCAATAGAATTTGGCATCAAAGAAAAATTCCACCCACCATTGGTGTTTTCTTCCTCTTAACGGCAACAAATGCCCAGACAGAAGATCATCTCCTTCTTGCCATCAGTACAGGGAATTATGGCAAAACTGAGAGGGAAAGAGAGGGGAAAAAATATCTTCTCGATCTAATTTGATTTTAAATTTCTCCTCTGTTTTGCCTTCTGTGTGTGTGTGGGGAGGGGGGGCGGGGGAAACTAAATTGGGTGTCAAATTAATAGAAAAATCCTTGGGTGAAATCTCCTTTAAGAAATACTTTTGCTAAAAATAATAAAAGATATTTCATACATCATTACTTCTTTTTTTAACCTAAGAGTGCACTGCATCCCACTACAATGTAATTCGATTTACTATTGTGGCTATCATCCCGTGCACTTTTCCTAGAAACCTTGGGAAATAAACGCTCAGCGAAGAAAATGCATATCAGGAATAGAAAAGGGATAATTTTTAGTTTCAATGCAATGTTTTTCTTAGAGACAAGAAGGGTGTGGGGAAAAAAGCTAGTAAGGCAAGCGTTGCACTAGACAGATGTGATGTGCTCACAGTTCGGGAGGCTCTAGAGGTTTTATTTGGCCTTCTTTAGCCCCTGTGGAGAACGGAGACAGAAAGAATGATTACAGATAGAAACCACTAGAAGTTGTAAGCCTGGGAAGGTAATCACAGAATCTCTGGCCAGGGCAAAGCAATTTCACAGAATCTGTTAATTATTCTATCCAGTGCTTTCTCATCTAGAATCCCACCTTGCAGAGGAAGTAGGGAAGGTATTATTAATCCCACTTTATGAGGAAACAAAGGGGTGAAGCACTGTATTAGTCTGTTCTTGCATTGCTATAAAGAACTACCTGAGATTGGGTAATTTGTAAAGAGAAGAGGTTTAATTGGCTCACATTTCCTTGGGCTGTATAGGAAGCATGGCTGGGGAGGCCTCCGGAAAGGTACAATCGTGGCAGAAAGCAAAGAGGAAGCAGGCTCCTCTTATGTGGCAGGAGCAGGAGGAGGAGAGAACAAAGGGAGGTGATAAACGCTTTTAAACAATCAGATCTCTTGAGAACTCACTCAGTATCACGAGAATAGCAAGGGGCATATCTGACCCCATGATCCAATCACCTCCCACCCCGCCCCTCCTCCAACATTGGGGATCACAATTTGACATGAGATTTGAGCAGGGACACAATTCCAAACCATATCAAGCAACTGCTGCTGAACATCTCAACTCCCAGCCAGTGCCTGTGGCCAGCCCAGAGCCCTCACTGGAACACTGCCCTAACCAGAGCTGAGCCACGTGCCATTCAATGCCCAAGTACCCCTTATCTCAGCACTTCACACCCACTTAACCCCCATCACTTAATGTGACAAAGGAAAAAATATTTGTCATTTCCAAACCCTCTCTCCTCTAAGGATGATGGAGGAAGCAGCTTTTTGTGAGGAAGCAAATTGAAGATGCTGAGAGAAGCTCTAAACGGCTTCACAGACAAAAAAGGGAGCTAGAGAGGGAGTGATGCTGAACTACCGGGAAGAGCCATTTCAGGTGCAAAAGGCCCTTGGATACTGTATCTCAGGAGCTGGAAGAAATACAGCGGCATTTTGAAAGGTTGTCATTGGTGAGTCGACCTTGATTGACCTCAGACAGAAGAACAGGGCAGTGTTTCAAGACCCCTTTCAATCCGGAGCAGCCTGGTAAGTGTCCCCGTGTGAGGAGCTAGATGACCTTGTGGCTAATTTTTCCTCCTTTCTCTATTCCTTTTCCTAATGAAATGCCAGTTGCGTAAAGTGAAATGATAAACCCTACCCCTACCCATGCAATGATTTGGACACTTCTGGCCCCGGATTCTAGTGAACTAACACTTTCATCACCAAGGCTTAAAAACTCCAGCTAGCATTAACCTGTACTTCCAAATCAAGCAAATCAAACCTATTAGCAACAGAAACTTGAAGTAAGAGTCTTCGCGCCAATCTCTGACTGCGAAAATAACCTGTTGTAGCTGCTGGCAATTAATCAATGTGTTATTTTGTGCAGGATGCAGGGGCTTTCATGGTTTCCATAGGCTGGTAGCATACTACATTTATTCTGAATAGACAATCAGTTCTCCATCAACCCTCTGCCACAGCTAAAGTAGATCTGAAGGGACAGTGCCCAGAAAAGAGAATGTGTGCTCAGTACTGTGGGGCCAGGGGGACTGCATGCTGCAGCCCCTCCCCCATGGGCTGGTGCTAGCTCTGAGTCCCAGAGAAAAATTGGGCTCCCAAATGCCAATGAAGCATCTGTGCCCACTGCAGCAAAACCCTGCACTCCTTCCCTCTGCTTTTTGACTCATTGCAGGAATCTCATTATGAACTCATTTCATCTCTCCAGGGAGCAAGCTGATGGAAGACACTGTTCAAATTGTATTTCGGTGTCTTGAACCTATTTAAAGCAGACTGCTGGGAGGCTATTATCATTTCTGTCATTAAAAGTGGAAACAATGCTAACAATAATATTTTTATTGAGCACTCAAACCATGAATACTTATTGAATAAGTATTATGCCTACCTAGCACTGTATCAGGCACTACGGGAGCTTTTAAAGCAGCTTGGTGTTTTGACCCCATCTCAAGAGATTTGCAAGATAATTGGAAGCCAAGACAGACTTTAAACTATTTTAAGTAGAGCTGGATGGGATAGTGGAGAGATATCAGCCCAGGGACACAGAAGATCTGGCTTCTAGCTTTGACCTCACCATTTTCTCACTGTGTGGTATGGAGAAAGATCTGTGGCCTCTGTGTTCTTATTGGTAGAGTAATAGACTTATCCTATTTTATTTATTCCACAAATATTGGTTGAGCATGTATGTGTCAGGCATCAGACGGCAGTTATAGAGATAAAATAATCCACATTGTAGCGTGAGCAACAGAAAAGTCAGTAGATAATTGACTACTCTGTGCAAGGTAATAAAACAGAGATTAATTCATTCAATCTTTCATGCATTCACTAAGCACTCCTGTGTGCTATGCACCCAGGGTGTGCTTTAGGGATGCATCAGTGAACAAAATGGACAAAAGTTCCCTACCTTCACAGATCTTATATTCCGGTAGGAAGGAGACAGAAAGTAAATAATAAATAAAAATAAATAGACAAATTGTATAACATGTTAGAAAGTGATAAGTTTGAGGAAAACAAGCTAAAAGCAATGTAGATTGGTAAATGTGAGGATCAGGCGGGGTGAGTGATACGGTTTGGCTGTGTCCCCACCCAAATCTCATCTTGAATTGAAGCTCCCATTATTCCCACATGTTGTGGGAGGGACCAGTGGAAGGTAACTGAGTCATGGGGACGGGTCTTTGCTGTGCTGTTCTTGTGATAGTGAATTAGTCTTATGAGATCTGATGGTTTTATAAAGGGAAGTTCCCCTGCACATGCCTTCTTCCCTGTCGCCATCCATGTAAGATGTGGCTTTACCCCTACTTGCCTTCCGCCATAATTGTGAGGCCTCCTCAGTCATGTGGAACTGTGGGTCCATTAAACTTCTTTCCTTTATAAATTACCCAGTCTTAGGTACGTCTTTATTAGTAGCATGAGAACAGACTAATACAGCGAGGAAAGCTAAAAAGGGGACCTTTGAGCAAAGGCTTGAAGAAAACAACAGTCAATCCTGCAAAGAGCTGGAGAAGGAAGATTCCAAGTAAAGGATTCAGCCAATACAAGTCCCTGTGATGGTGGGGACTGCAGTATTTGAAGGATGCCAACAGTGTGGTTGGAGCAAGATGAACAAGGAGCAGAGGAGTAAGTGAAGGTAGAGAAGTAATAGGAGGTTGCAGATTGAGTTGGATCCTGTGAGATGCTGGAAAAATACTGGCTTTTAACTCTGTGTGAAATGAGGAGCCGTGGGAAGGTTCAGAGCAGAGGAGGACACATTCTGACTTATGGAGCATATAGCAGCATCACCTGACCCCACACCCCTAAGGAGCTCTGACTGTGGACTGAAAGCGGTGGAGTATTTTAGGCACTGGAGAGACATGAGTGCAATATGAATTTTAGGGGGTTACTTCTGCCAGCAGAGTAGATAGTGAATGGGAGCCAGAAGGCTGGAAGGATAAAGAGAGCCTCTTCTAATACTGCAGGAGAGAAGCAATGTGGGCTGAAACTAAGACCATATTAGAGATGGAGCGGGAAGGCTAAACCAAAACCTGTTAGGATAACAGGATTAAAAAGACTTTATGACCAATTTTATTTAGAGATAAAGGGAGAAGGTGGCCACCAGCTTTGGTCTTGGGCAACTGGATGGATGGTGTCAATCTCCAAACAAGCACAGCACACCCTACCTTGGGGTAGGGTGGGGTGGCATGGAGTGGGGAAGATGACTTTTTCAGTCTGAGACTTGTTGAATGTGAGGTGCCTGTGGACCATTGTGTCAGAGATGTTTGGTCGCTAGCTGTTGACAGGCATTGCTGGTGCTTGTCAATACCTGCTTTTCCTCTCCTTCCAGGTTCATGAAAGACTACACTTCACAGCCTCCTTGCAGACGAGCAGGGCCATGTGATTTGTTCTGACCAATGGGCTGTACATGACAATGACATGTGCCATGTCTGGGCTGAAGCACTGAATCTTTGGGCAGACCCTGCAGTTCTGTCTTCCCTGGCCCATGCCCACTAAGAAAGGTTCCATGTTGCAGAGAGTGCCTTACCATACTGGAACCTCTGTCAACACAGGCGCCTGTTATGGGCTGAACTGTGGCCTTCCAGATTCCTGTGTTGAAGTGACCTCAGCATGTGGCTGTATTTGGAGACAGGGTCTTTAAAGAAGTGATTAAGGTAAAACGAGTTCAGATGGTGGACCCTAATCGAATATGACTGGTGTGCTCCTAAGAAGGGGAGGTTAGGACACAGACATGCAGAGGGAAGGCCATATGAAAACAGAGGGAGAAGACAGACATCTACAGGCCAAGGAGAGAGGCCTCAGAAGACACCAACCCCTGCCCATATATTGAGCTCAGATTTCCAGTCTGCAGAGGTGTAAGAAAGTTAATTTCTGTTGTGTAAGCCACCCAATCTGTGGAATTCTATTATGGCAGCCCTTATTGACTAATACAGTCCCTGAGTAACAGGGTAAAGGAACACCCCTCCCTCCACCTCCCACTGCTGGCCCATATTGCACCTTGTGGGGGGAAAAACTTTGATTAGTGAAAAATGGGTCAAAGCACTGAATTTTGGGGCTTGTTACACAGTATAAACTGGTTAATTTTTTAGTATGCAAGGCTGGAGTTCAAGAGGGAAAGTTGGGCTGGAGATAGAGCTTTGGGAATTATACACATATGGGTGATATTTGAAGATACAGATGAGAGATGATTGCCATGGGACTGCAAGAAGGGTGGCGAGGTTGGAAAATCTGTGTGATGTCATTAGGGCTCCATTCTGAGCAATGGTTAAAACATATTGATACAAATAATTTCCCTGGAGTAGAGTAGATGAATCTTAATCTTTTTCAGTGTTTCTTGTGGACAATCTGGAAAAATTATCTAAACACTTTTAACTATATATCTTCATTGGCCAAGCAAGCCTACCTTTTGGGATTGTTTTTTCCTAAAAGGAGATGGCTGCAAATATTTAGCTGCTAGGGTGTTTGTACAGTTTCGTTTATACCAAGGAAAAACTAGAAGCAATCTCTATGTCAAAAAAATGAAGGATTTTTTTAATAGTGTATCTGCCAAATATAACACTGTGGTCATTAAAAACAGTGTTTAGGGGATTTTAAAAATTTGAGGTGAAGTTCACATGCCATAAAAATAACCATTTTAGGCCAGGTGCAGTGGCTCCCGGGCACTTTGGGAGGCCAAGGTGGGCAGATCACAAAGTCAGGAGATTGAGACCATCCTGGCTAACATGATGAAACTCTGTCTCTACTAAAAATACAAAAAAATTAACTGCGTGTGGTGGCGGGCACCTGTAGTCCCAGCTACTCGGGAGTCTGAGGCAGGAGAATGGCGTGAACCTGGGAGGCGGAGCTTGCAGTGAGCTGAGATCACACCACTGCACTCCAGCCTGGGCGACAGAGCGAGACTCCGTCTCAAAAAAAAAAAAAAAAAAAAAAAAAATTTTAAAGTGAACAACCTAGTGGCAGTTAGCACATTTATACTTTGCACAAGTAATACCTTAATCTAGTTTCAAAATGTTTTTATCATCCTAAAAGGAAACCCACAAACATTAAGCCATTACTTCTCATTTCTCCATCCCTCCAGCACCTGACCCCACAGAAATCCTTATCTTGATTTCTGTCTCTACAGATTCGCTTATTCTGGATATGTCAAATCAATGGAACCATATGATATTTGAGCTTTTGTGCCTCGCTTCAGAGTGTTTTATAGGTTTATTCATGTTGTAGAGCTGTATTAGTTTATCATTTCTTATTACAGCTAAATAATATTCCATTGTATGTATATACCACAATTTGTTTATCCATTCATCCATTGATGAACATGTGGGTTGTTTCCACCTTTTGGCTATTGTGAATAGTGCTGCAAACATGGATGTACGTGTATTTGAGTATCTGTTTCTAATTCATGTGAGTGTATACGTAGGAGCGGAATTGCTAGGTCATACATTAACTTTTTGAGGAACCAAAAAGAAACTGTTTTTTTGTAGCAGCTGAACCATTTTACATTCCCAACACCAATGTATGAGGGCTCCAATCTCTCCACATCCTTGCCAACACTATTTTCTGTGTTTAATTTTATTTTATTTTCGAGATAGGGTCTTGCTCTGTCACCCAGGCTAGACTGCAGTGGTGTAATCATAGTTCATTGCAAACTCAAACTCCTGAGCTCAAGCAATCCTCCAGCCTCAGCCTCCCAAGTAGCAGGGACTACAGATGTGCACCACCATGCCTGGCTAATTTTTCAAATTTTTTGTAGAGACAGGGTCTTGTTATATTGCTCAGGCTGGTCTTAAACTTCCAGCCTCAAGTGATCCTCCCACCTTGGCTTCCCAAAATGTTGAGATTACAGGCATGAGTCATCATGTCCAGGCTATTTTCTGTCTTTTAAAAAAAAGATTTATTATAGCCATTCTAGTAGGTGTGAAGTGGTATCATCTTGTGGTTTTGATTTGCATTTCCCTAATGACTAATGCTATTGAGCATATTTTTATGTGCTTCTTGGCCATTTGTATATCTTCTTGTGAATCTGTCCTGTCTCCATTTTTTTAGTTTGATTGTTTTACCTTTTGTTGTTGAGTTGTAGGATTTCTTTACATATTCTGGATACTAGATATATGATTTGCAAATATTTTCTCCCGTTTTTATATGCTGTCTTTTTACTTTCTTTTGCAGGTAGGTATCTATTCAGTTGTCTCAGTAGTGGAATTTTTAATAATGTGAAAGTCATTCACAGTTACTTAGTGGAAAAAAACATGATGCATAAGAGCCCAGTATAAAAATGGTCCCATTTTTCCTAAAATATACATATATGTTTATGTAAACTAAATATCACATTTTTCCACATGTAATGCTTGTTCTCATACTGAATTGTATAGATGACCAAGTAGCTCTTGAATTTTCTGAGAAAGAGCTTACTAATTTAGGTAACATTGAACAATACAATAAAGTGGGTTTACACTTCACATCCTTAAGCAAGCACTGATCCATCAGTCAGGTCTAGTTTTGAAAATCCTTTTTTTTTCTACCTTGATGCCAATAGGAGTTTTTTTGCCATCCATCTTTAATACAATACTCAACATCCCTGGCCTCTGTACACTTTCTCCTGGCTTTCCCTCTAGCCCCAAATGCATTGGTACCACCTTTAATTATGTAGAATAATCCTCTGTTTCAGCTTCTAGCTCCAAATTTGCATTACCCCTCCCATTATAGTGTTTCACAAAAGGGATCTCCTGTTACCAGCATCCTTTCTCCCACCCCTTAATAGGGGTAGCAGTGGGTAACAATAGTAATGACAACTTTTTTTATGTGACATACAGTAAAAAGTGCTGGAAAAATCCATAGTCACAATTACTTTCTCTAGGCAGTGGGATCACAGGTGATATTAATTTTCCTTCTTTTGCTTACTTGTGTTTTATTCAATAAACATACATTAACTTTGAAATAAGGAAATGTTATTTAAAAACAAATCCCCAATGGAAAAACAGTAACCAGAAGTAATGTCTTTCCTCTGTTTCTTAAAACTCTACTAAATAATAAAGAGTAAATAAATTTTTTAAAAAGGGATAAACTCACAAAGACCAAAAAAATTGGAGATGAAGCAAGAATAAACAGATTTCAGGTTATTTTTGGGAAATGGCAGGAAGATGGAAGAGTAGCAGCTGATTAGCAAAGAAGGCCACACCACAGTGCCTGTGGGAGTAGGAGGGCTGATTCATTCCATGGAGCCTTCAAAGCTCTGAGTGAAAAACAATACTCATTCTAGAATTCTCTACCTACCCCAAATTATCAATCAATAATGGGGTGGTATAATAAAGATCTTTTTAGACACACAACCACTCCCCAAAAAAAGACCTTTCCCGGGAAGATCATCAAGGATATGCTCCATAAGAACAAGGTGGTAATCCAAAAAAGGGGAAACATGGGATCAAGAAAAAAAGAACACAAGACAGCAGTAAAGGGAATTCCCAAATGAGGTGAGGGAGGTAGAGATGGGAATAGAAGGACAGAGGGCTTCAGGAGGTCAATCCAGAGTCTCCTAAATAGGAGAGAAGATGGGACTGACATGTTTGAGCACATGAGAATGGGATGAAAGCATATGTGACAGTAATGCTGGGACACTTGGGAATTACTAATGGGAGGTTCCTAGAAAACTAAGCAAATGGGTTACATAAGAATCAAACTGCATCATAGCAAACTGTGCAGCTCAAAAGGAATCAGAATTTGCATATTCATTCAACAGTTCTTCATTGAGTTTTGTGTGCTTTACCAAGCCTGCAGCAGTGAAGAAAACAAACAAAGTGCTTGCTTTTATGGATCTGATATTCTAATGTGTAGGGAAGGGGGACTGACAAAACGTTTTTGTTTTACATGTTGCTATTTCTGAAACTGGGATGAAACATATAATTGATGGTATGTCATGCTTAATTGGCAACATTTTGTCTTCTCAGTAGTATATACAATAATAGTACAGGTTACCACAGGCTAGGAGAGGTAGTTGGCGGGCAGGGGGTGGTGGCGGGTGGAAGGGGAGGTTTGTTAATGGGTACCAAAAACAATAGAAAGAATGAATAAGATCTAGTGTTTGATAGCACAAGAGGGTCATTATAGTCAATAATAGTTTGATTGTACACTTAAAAATAACTAAAAGAATGGCTGGGCACAGTGGCTCATGTCTGTAATCCCAGCACTTTGGGAGGCCGAGGCTGGCGGATCACCTGAGGTCGGGAGTTTGAGAGCAGCCTGACCAACATGTAGAAACCCCATTTCCACTAAAAATACAAAATTAGCCAGGCGTGGTGGCACATGCCTGTAATCCCAGCTACTCGGGAGGCTGAGGCAGGAGAATTGCTTAAACCTGGGAGGTGGAGGTTGCTGTGAGCCAAGATCACACCATTGTGCTCTAGCCTGGGCAACAAAGAGTGAAACTCCGTCTCACCAAAAAAAAAAAAAAAAAAAATACGACAACAACAAAAAACTAAAAGAGCATAATTAGATTGTTTGTAATACAAAGAATAAATGCTTGAGGGGGGATGGATACCCCATTTTCCATGATGTGCTTACTTCACATTGCATGCCTGAATCAAAACATCTCACGTACCCCATAAATGTAAACACCTATTATGTACCCACAAAAATTAAAAATAAAAAAATTAACACAAAATAATATATCTTACAATTGATGACAATCTCACATTTGATGAGATATGGTTATAGGTTATAATAGTCACAATAATATAAAAAATAACTATTGGCTGGGCACAGTGGCTCATGCCTCCCAGCACTTTGAGATGCCAAGGTGGGTGAATCATTTCTGCTCAGGAGTTCAAGATCAGCCTGGGCAACATGGTGAAACCCCATCTCTACAAAAAAATACAAAAATTAGCCAGGTGTGGTGGTGTATGCCTGTAGTGCCAGCTACTCAGGAGGCTGAGATGGGAAGATGTCTTCAGACTCGGGGGTTGAGACTGCAGTGAGCCGAAATCAGGCCACTACACTCCAGCCTGGGCAACAGAGCAAGACCCTGTCTCAAACGAACAAACAACTATTGATTGAACCAGAAGTTCTGATACGTGATGCTGGTGGGGGATGGGAAGAATGAGAGCAAAGGCAGTATAAATGAGCAAAGTTCTCCTCTGCCCTTGGGGGACGTCAGCAGATAATGCTTAAAATGGAAATAATGTATGCTTGCCATTGAAATCGTTGACATAGGTAATAGGGAATTAGAAGAGTCGAGATTAATTGCCTCCCTGACTGGGGGTGGAGAAGGGTTGAGCAGGAGACTGCTGTTTACCAGCAAAAACCTCTTCATACCTTTTTGCTTTTTAACCATGTAATATATTTATTTGATTAAAATGAGAACTAATTTAAAAAAGACTATATGTCTTAGATTGTATTCCCTAAAAGCAGAGGCCAAGGCAGGAATTCAGGTGCAGGAAATGTACCGAGGGTGCCAGGCGCAGTGGCTCATGCCTGTAATCCCAGCACTTTGGGAGGCTGAGGCAGGTGGATCACTTGAGGTCAGGAGTTTGAGACCAGCCTGGCCAACATGGTGAAACCCTGTCTCTACTAAAAATACAAAAATTAGCCTGGCATGGTGGCATGCACATGTATGTAATCCCAGCTACTCGGGAGGCTGAGGCAGGAGAATCACTTGAATCCGGAAGGTGGAGGTTGCAGTGAGCCGAGATTATGCCATTGCACTCCAGCCTGGGTGACAGAGAGAGAGTCCATCAAAAAAACAAACAAACAAACAAAAAAACGGGAGTATACTGAGGGAAGGCTCTTCAGGAAAATTGTAACAGGGCAAGAAAAGCAGATGCGGAAGGGGAGGAGCTGAGCACTGTGTGGCCTCAGGTAAACTCCAGCCTTGGCAGATCTCTGGGGAGCCTGGGCTCAGAAATTGCTCTGCAGAGCTGTCCCACCTTGCAGCAGAAGTGTATCAGTTAGTGCATGCCTGACTCCTGAGTGGGATGTAAATTCCCACGCATTTCAGGGTGAGGGTACTTTGTCATTCAAGGGCAATCCTCCAGGACAGTCACAGGTATAAGTCATTAGACACCACTCACAGCAGCTGGGAGATGAGGCCACTGGCTGCATCAGTAGCATCCACTCCACCATGCCATAAATCTCAAGGACAAATGTATAATCTGTATTGCTCAGAGTTCTTTTGGTTGCAAGTGACAGAAAGCCACCCTCAACTAACCTAGGGGCAAACAGTCTATGGAGGGGTTTTATTTTATTTGAGACAGGATCTCACTCTGTCACCCAGGCTGGAGTGCAGTGGCGCAATCATGGCTCACTGCAGCCTCCTCCTCCAGGGCTCAGGCAATCCTCCCACCTCAGCCTCCCAAGTAACTGGAACCACAGGTGCATGCCACCATGCCCAGCTCGTTTTAAATTTTGAATTGAAGAGGGAAGGATCTACTATATTGCCCAGGCTGATCTCAAACTCCTGGCCTCAAGTGATGGGACAGTTTTTATGGACTCATGTAATTAAAAATCAGACTTGGCTGCATTCAGGGCTCAAATATTGTCACCCGAGGTCCATCTATCTTTTCCTAGCTCAGGTAGGTTCTTTCATCGTGATGATAATGATGACACCCCACAGCCCAAGATTCCCCTCCTGTTGGTTTAGCAATCCCAGGGGAAAGAGAAGGTTTCTCGTACCTCTGGCAGAAAAGTACCAGGGACATTATCGACTGGCCCCTTTAAGGCATGTGCCTATATGCCTATCTAGTAGCCAACTACTCCAGGGCTGGGGATCAGGCTGGGGCGGGGGTGGGTGGAGGGGGCAGTGTGGAGGGGTTAAGAAAAGGAACCCGAGTACTCTGATTGTGGTAATGGGCAGGGGCAACTCTATCCAAACCACACATAAAGAGTTTCCCATAGAAAAGAGGGATTCAATTACCGAAGAAGAAAGAGATGTTAAATGGACAAAACAAACAAACATACAAACAAAACAATAATCATCCAGTACCACTCATTTTTCTAATTCTTCTTATTCTCCTGTGGTCAGAACCTTAATTATCAGAGGAGTGGAGATTTCACAACTTTATTCACTCTATCCGTGCAGCTCAGGAGTAATATCCACTCTCCTAACCTTGGCTACCATCTTTAAGAAGCCCAGGGAACTGATGGGAAGTAATATTTGTGACCCTGCTTAGTTGGTTTCAATTCTGTTTTATGCCGAGGAGCCCTAGGGAGAGAAGAGGGTTTATGGAAGGTCAAAACAGAAGCAACAATTTTTTTGACCCAATGATAAGACGATAAATTCTTTAGCTATGAGGTCTTGAATCAGGATGTGATGGCCTTTTCAGTGTTCAAGTTGTGTGTCCTGCCAACCTGGCTATTAACACGAATTGAGGGAAGCCTGGGGGCTGGGAGAATGAAATGTCCCATCATACTTTCAGCAATTACAGTTTAGCTAAACAGGACTCATGCCTTTTTTTCTTTAGCACTAAAACTGTTTTAATGAAATAGAGGATGACATTTCTGAAAAGAACATGTAATTCACTTCTACAGTAGATTTTTTTCTTATCCACATGAATATTTCTTAGCTCAGAATCCCTAAGCTGCGTTTAGTAAGTGAATATTATACCTTGCATCAAAATTAGATTCTGATTTAGACTTTAAACATCCACTTCCCTGTAATCTTGCTCCTCCGAACTTGTTTATTGTTATTATTTTGAGACAGAGTCTCACTCTGTGGCCCAGGCTGGAGTGCAGGGTTGCGATCTCAGCTCCCTCAATCTCTGCCTCCTGGGTTTGAGTGATTCTCCTGCCTCAACTTCCCAAGTAGCGGGGATTACAGGTGTGGGCCACCACTCCCAGCTAATTTTTTTGTATCTTTAGTAGAGATGAGGTTTCACCATGTTGGCCAGGCTGTTCTCAAACACCTGACCCCATGATCTGCCTGCCTCAGCCTCCCAAAGTGTTGGGATTACAGGCGTCAGCCACGGCACCCAGCCTCAAACCTATTTCTATCTCAAGTCTGGACCTTGCAGGACAAATAGGAAAAAGTAAAAATTGAGTTTTAATAAAGGCACTATATAAAAAGTCAATTCCGAAAAGTAAAATGACAGATAAGTGTCAAATGCTGCACAATGGCACTTTCTAGTGTAGGCGGACAGGAAGGCCACGAAGGAGATTTTCACCTCTGGAGGGGTGGCGTAGGCTGCAGACTATTCTCAATGGAATCATCTGGGATGCTTGTTAAAAGGCAGATGCCAGAGGACACACCCCAGACCTAATGAAACACAACCTCTGGGGATGGAGCCAGGTATTTACATGTTTAAAAAGTATCCCAGGCTGGGCACGGTGGCTTGTGCCTGTAATCCTAGCACTTTGGGAGGCTGAGGCAGGTGGATCATTTGAGGTCAGGAGCTCGAGACCAGCCTGGCCAATGTGGTGAGATCCCTGTCTCTACTGAAAATACAAAAATTAGCTGGGCATGGTGGCAGGCACCTGTAATCCCAGCTACTTGGTAGGCTGAGGCAGGAGAATCGCTTGAACCCAGGAGGCAGAGGTTGCAGTAAGCCAAGATCAGGCCACGGCACTCCAGCTTGGGTGACAGAGCCAGAATCTGTTTCAAAAATAAATAAATAAATAAATAAACAAATAAATAAAAAGTATCCTAGGCCAGGTGTGGTGGCTCATGCCTATAATCTCAGCACTTTGGGAGGCCAAGGTGGGTAGATCACTTGACCCCAGGAATTGGAGAGCAGCCTGGGCAACATGGCAAAACCCTGTCTCCCCCCACCAAAAAAAAAGAAAAAAAATTAGCTAAGCATGGTGGTGCCTACCTGTAGTAGTAGGTACTCTGGAGGCTAAGGTGGGAGGATCGCCTGAGCCTGGGGAAGTCAAGACTACAGTGAGCTAAGATCATACCACTGTACTCCAACCTGAGCAACAGAGTGAGACCCTGCCTCAAAAAAGAAAAAAATGTATCTCAGGTGGTTCTGGTGCACATTAATACATTAATGCTTAGAACTGCCACCTCAAACAGAAAGCCATTGCAGGTAGAGCTGTATCTTTGGTACCTGACTGCACATGGCATCTCATAGGCACTTAAATTTTAAAGCTGCTTTGGAAAGCTAAACCTTTGTAAGGACAGATAAAGAAATTAGCAATACAGTTGCAATGTCATTCTTCCTAATCTGATCATTTTGTAAAAAGAGGGAAAGGAATGCTTAGCATGTGATTTAGTATATTTAAAGAGAATGTACTATTTGATGAGGAAACACTTACCTTGGGTTTCAAACGATAAAAGAAATGAAAGAATTGAGGGGTACTTAAAAATGCGTTCCTTTGAAAAGTATATTTAAAGTATCACTTGAGTATTCAAACTTTCTGCTAGCCAGCATCACGAGATTGTGTATATAACCACCCTAAATCTATTATGGAACAGATCCGTCTCAGAGCAGTGCCAAATCAAAGAAACATTCACAATCAAAATGCTACCTGCTCCCCAGTGCCACTCCACTGAATCCTTGCAGAGGTAAGCTCCCAGACAGGAGGCAGTCGTCTCCTGTACTGCTGGCTGATCTATAGGGAAGTGTGTTTTATTTGTGTCTCATGAAGGTTTATAATTTCTAACCCAGCCTTAGTACCCTTTTGCAGTTTGGATTCACTTTCGGTAAATTCCAGCTAGCATGAAAAGAGAGCTTTTGGTCAGCTTTTTTATTTCTGATTCTGCCACTGCTGTTCCCTGGGGAACTTGATACAATGTCATTCTCGGTAGCCATGGCTTAAGTTACATATGGCCTGGCCAAGGCACATCCAAGGTAAAAGGCAACACTTTCATATTTACAAGCCACTCATATGCTGTCCGCAGTTCATTTTACTAAGGATGGAACATTCTGGTACAAGTGGGAGCTCAGTTGAGTGTTAAGAGGATGAATGAAAGAGAAATCAAGCCATTTGCCTCTGTTTGCTTAGTAAATAAAGTATAAGAATGCATTGTATTCTGGTGCTATGTCCATTCACAAGATTAGCTGTATCCACTTCAAAATGATCGACTTCTGTTGTTACTGGATCTGAACCATGAGTTCAGTCTCCATCTCTCCCAATGTCACCAGCTACTCATAACCAACATCTCCCAAAATTGAGCCAGTGGCTGTCAGAGAAACCTGGCAAGTGTTCGTCAGTAGTTCTTTGAGAAATCATCCCCATTTTTAGACAAACAACTCAAGGTGCTTTAACAACTGATGGTATGGCTTTAAAAGCTTTGTTCTAAAACAGAAAAGTAAAGAAACAGCTTCATCGTCACATTCAAATGAAAGAAACAGCATCTGGGTATCACACTTTCTTAGAAATCCCGGGAGGGAGACTGCTTGGTGCTGCCTAGATTTGATATTCGCTAATCATCCCAGGACCTTATAGGCCACAGGTGTCCTGTACTTGACCAGACCTGCCCTGCATGGGAAAGGGGAAGAAGTCTAAGGGGAGATTCCCCATCACTGTCTCTTTTGCCAACATCCAGAAAGGAACCAAGTGCTCCAGAAAGAGCCCGGGGATGGCAAGACATGTCCGTTCTCTCTTTTTCAGTTCTAAGTCAATCAATAAGCAAGACATTTACTTATTAATTGGTTAGTTGGTTGGTTTTAGAATTTTAGAAATTATAATACTTGTTTGTATTCTTTTCAAATAATACGGAGGTATATACAGCAAAAAACTAAAGTCCGCAGTTTATCACCTCACATTCCATTCTCCTCCTCAAAAATGACCAATTTAATGTTTGTTGTTCTAGACCTTTTTCTTTACAGTAAAACTGTCAAGGCTTTTATTTGTACTAGTGCTTTTGAAAAAATGATTTTGTTTTATTTTTGAGACAGGGTCTCACTATGTTGCCCAGGCTGGTCTCGAATGCCTGGGCTCAAGCTATTCCTCCTGCCTCAAGCCTCCGATGTAGGACTACAGCTGGCACCACTGCACCTGGCTTGTACCAGTGCTTTTGTATAAAGCTTGTTGACTTCAGCAAAACACTGGTATTTTCTTTTTCTTTAAGTTTTTAAAAATATATATCTTTTTTGAGACACAGTTTCACTCTATCGCCCAAGCTGGAGTGTAGTGGCGTGATCTTGGCTCACGGCAACCTTTGCCTCCCGGGTTCAAGCGATTATTGTGCCTCAGCCTCCTGAGTAACTGTGACTACAGGTGCATGCCACCATGCCCAGCTAATTTTTATATTTTTAGTAAAGATGGGGTTTTGCCATGTTGGCCAGACTGGTCTTGAACTCCTGACCTCAAGTGATCCACCCGCCTCGGCCTCCCAAAAAAATATTGAATTGTCAAATAAAGATAGACCATATTCAAGGTGTATAATGTGATGATTTGACATATATATACATTGTGTAATGGCTACTGCAGTCAAATTAATTAACACATCCATCACCACCCATGCTATTCATTAGATCCCAGAACTTGTTCATTTTATAACTGAAAATTTGTACCCTTTGACGAACATCTCCCATTTTCCCCACTCCCCAACCCCTGGCAACTTCCGTTCAACTCTCTGCTTCTGCGAGTTCAACTTTTTTAGATTCCACTTGTAAGGAGATCATGCAGTGTTTGTCTTTCTGGGCCTGGCTTGAGACTGACCTGACTCAGTGAGTGAAGAGTGCAGTAGTCTTTTCAGGCTTCTAGATTCCAGATCTAGAAGAGTCATTATTCCAGTTGCTATGCCTATTCCAACAAAATTACCCTATAACTTTATGGCTTGAAACAATAGGGCATTAATTTTGCTCACAAATTGCAATTTGAGCAGAGCTCAGCAGGGAGAACTCATCTGTGCTCCACCCACATACGCTGGGGTGTGCCCAGGCTGGAATCATCTGAAGTCTCACTCCCTCCCAGGTCTGGTGGGTGCTGCCAGCTGGAAGCTGTGACCTTAGCAGGGACTGTCAGCTGGAACAACCATACATGGCCTCTCTATGTGGCCTGGGGTTCTCCACAGCATGGTGACTGGGCTCCAAAGCTTGGCATCTTGAGAAAGAGGGAACCAGGCAGAAGCAATATTGCTTTTTATAACCCAGACTTGCAGAAGCCATACAGGATCTCATCTGCTGCACTCTATTCACTGAATCTGTCAGAAAGCCCAACCAGGTTCAGAGGAAGGGAAAGCAGACTCCACCCGTTAATAGGGAGTGAAAAGTTCAGGAAAAGAACATGGGACCAGGAATATTGGAAATATGGCTCTGGCCATTTTTTGAAAATATGATTTACCATATTCGTGATATTAAATCAGGGCTATAATAGTGATGTACTTCCTCTCTGTCAAATGGGCTCTAGCACTCTGGAGTCTACTTAAACCTGGGAGGGGACTGTGACCAGGCTAAAAGGGTGAGGACTGAGTTTCATCACCATACCAGATCCCTAAGAGGCTGGGGAAGGCAGGGCAGAAGAAATGAAGTAGGGTGAGGGGTGGAGGGAGCCGACAATAGCTTTTCCTCCTGCGCTCACAGCTACATTGACCATTTAACATTCTAATAGGAGAAGGCTGGCATTTGTTGCAGGCATTTTGTTTATAATTGAATCCCTCTGTCTCAACACACAGGCAGCACAGTCCCGAGTATGGTACTAATATCGAGATGGATAAGGCTCATCACAGCTCAAGATTAACTATAAATTCCTAATGTGTTCAGGTAAGATGCATCTCTACCTCCCGGCAGACAAAGAGGCAAACACAATGATCCATGAAAGAAAGAAACAGAGATGCTGCCCAAGTGAAATGAGCCTTGATATGTCACCTTCCTCACCTTGTGTTTTTGTAGCCATACCTCCAGACTTCCAGATCTCTGCCTGAGGTTTACTGATGGTTTCTTTCAGGGATCATTAAAAGTGATTCGTGGGCTGGCAAGGCTTTTGTTTTCCATGCTAAGGATTCAGTTTATAGCATGCAGCTTGGGAAGGGGTGTCTGGAGGACGGCATCCCCATCCAGGAAATCTACTCCAGGAAGGCCAAGAAGGCTTCAACAGTCCATGGGTGATCCGTGATGCTTGAGTGGGAGGAAGTGGTTCCATGGGGATGGGGTGAGGGTAGATGGGGGCCCAGGAAGTGGCTGTCTCTCTTGCCTCCTGTCAGGCTGCCCTCTCTATAGAAGAGGCCCTGGGGCCAGGTGTGGTGGCTCACACCTGTAATCCCAGCACTTTAGGAGGCCGAGGCAGGCAGATCACGAAGTCAGGAGTTCAAGACCAGCCTGGCCAACATAGTGAAACCCCACCTCTACTAAAAATACAAAAAATTAGCCAGGCATGGTGGTGGGCACCTGTAATCCCAGCTACTCGGGAGGCTGAGGCAGGAGAATCGCTTGAACCCTGGAGGTGGAGGTTGCAGTGAGCAGAGATCGCGCCACTGCACTCCAGCCTGGGTGACAGTGTGACACTCTGTCTCAAAAAAAAAAAAAAAAAAAAAGAAAGAAAAAGAAAAGAGAAGGGGCCCTGAGACACAGGGCTTTGAGCAGCCTGCATTCAGGACCCTAAAGAAGCCAGTGCTCAGGAAGGAGAGCTCTTCCTCAGAGGACTGGGCTACGGGCTACCCAAGGAGCCTTTGGAGCATTTTCTTTCTTCCATTGCTGGAATCAGCTTGCTTCTCTGTGTCCCTCCTGGCCTTCTCTTTCCTCTTGGGAGGTATTTTCGTTTACAAATGAATAGATCACTTGGACTTTGCAGATGCTTGGACTAAGTTACTACACACATGTCAAGCACCAAAGTGCCCTATGAAGACACCAGTGCTCCCTTTGGGTCAGCTTTGCAGGCCGGGATGTACACTTTTAGATTGCCCACCCTCAGAGAGAAGGCTCTCTCCCCAGAATCCCCTAAGGACACAGCCAGAATGCCCAGCTGCCCAATTACTTTCTCTTCCCCTTTTCACTCTATAATTTTAATCAGCAAAAATATTGAAGAAGAGTAATTGGGGTTGAAAATAATGGCAAAAGCAGCAATTACTTTTGCACCAACCTAATACTTGCACAGCACCTCCTTAATCCATGGAGTGATGCTGGTCCTTGTATTTGTTTTTATTTTATTTACTTTTGTTTATTTGTTTTTTGAGGCAGAGTCTCACTCTGTTGCCGAGGCTGGAGTGCAGTGGCGCGATCTTGGCTCACTGCAACCTCCACCCCTCAGGTTCAAGTAATTCTCATGCCTCAACCTCCTGAGTGGCTGGGACTACAGGCACACACCACCACGCCCAGCTAATTTTTGCAGTTTTTAGTAGAGATGGAGTTTCACCATGTTGGCCAGGCGGGTCCCGAACTCCTGACCTCAGGTGATTCGCCCACCTTGGACTCCCAAAGTGCTGGGATTACAGGTGTGAGCCACCACGCCCAGCCAGTCCTTGTATTTGTATGCATGGGGCTTTACACTCATTATCAGAAATAAATCCCATTGCACTGTGTAGTTCAATCTCAGATCAGGGTCTCACTCAAAGAAACAGCCTAGCAGCAAAAATGTAAAGCAGATCCAATCTATACTGGCGTGATGGTCAGTTTTCTGTGCAACTTGGCTAGGCTGCAGTACACAGTTACTCAAGCACAAATCTAGGTGTTGCTGTGGTGGTATGTTGGAGATGTGGCTTTAAGTCAAGGAAATTATCCTCAATAATGTGGGTGGGCCTTATTAGTCAGTTAGAAGGCTTTAAGAGTAAAACTAGGTTTTCCTGAGGAGGAAGGAATTCTGCTTCAAGACTGCCACATCAGCTCCTGACCCAGAGGTTCCAGACTGCCAGCCTGCTAGCTTGTCCAGCAGATTTCAGATTTGTCAGCCCCCAAAACTGTGTAAGCCAATTCCTTGGAATATACATATACCTCACACATATATACATGATAGATCTATATCCACATCTACTTTCTCTCTCTCTCTCTCTCTCTCTCTCTCTCTCTTTTTCTTGGAGACAGAGTCTCTGTTGCCCAGGCTGGTCTGCAATGGTGCGATCACGGCTCACTGCAGCGCTGACCTCCTGGGCTCAGGCGATCCTCTCACCTCAGCCTCTTGAGTAGCTGGAACCACAGGCACATGCCACAACTCCAGGGTAATTTTTAAATTATTTTTTTTGTAAAGGTGGGGGTCTCCCTATGTTGCCCAGGCTGGTCTTGAATTCCTGGACTCAAGGGATCCTCCCACCTCGGCCTCCCAAAGTACTGGGAGTGAACAGGCGTGAACCACCATGCCCGGCACACATTTACCTCTCTACCTCTATCTCTATCATCTACATCTCCTACAGGTTCAATTTCTGTGGAGAACCCTGACAGGTACAACTGGCATCTACTGAAAAAGAATAAAGTGGAGCCAGTTCATAGTCCACAGAAAGGTTGACTGAATTTCCCTATCTCTCTTGTCACTCCATTTTCCAACCCCTGACCCCTGGGACCTTCTCTGCAGCCTTCCTCCATCACATCTTCCCTGCCCCTGAGGCCTCTCTTATCCTCTTCCCTCCTCCCCTCTGCTGGTCTCTCTTGGAGTCAACCCAGGCCTTTCCTACAGAGATTCACCCAGCCTGGTGCCTCTGCCTCCACTGAGTAGCTCCATCAGGTGTGGGATGGAGAAAAAGGACAGTGGGACTGAGACAGCCAAGTAAAAAGGGCTCCCTGGAAAATTTCCAACTGGCCTGCACACTGGGAGGATGGGGTGAGGCCTCAGGAAGTTTGTGCCATTTGCAGTGGGGAGGAGCCTGGCTTCTCCTGTTCCTGGGTGGTGACCTGAAATTCAATCTGTAAGATGGGGGCCTGTTAACAGGAGCCCCTCTTGCTTTGCCGAGAGTCTTTTTCCTTTTCCCTCAATAAATTCTGTAACCCCTCACCCTTCAAAGTGTCTGCGTGCCTAATCTTTCCTGGTCGTGTGACAAGAACTTACAACAGGACCTGCTGAGTGGACCAGCCACACCTGAGTATTGGGCAAGAGTGAGGGAAAAGGGCACTCATATCTTAGTTATTTTGTATTCTAATTAAATTTTCCCAAACAACTTTTACATTTAAATGACTTAAAAACTTCTTCTGAAATCTCCATAACAACCTATAGGGTTTTCCTTATTTTACCCTTATAAAGTAAATTGGTTAGGTATTATCCTTTTTTTAGAAACGAGAAAGCCAACAATTAGAGAAATTAAACATTATATCCATGATCTCGCTATAGGTCTTACTTTACTAATTATAAAGCTGGAGTTACAACCTAAGATTTCTGACCCCACCACACGATGCTGGCCCTTTAGAAAAGAGAACATACTTGGTTCACGTTAATTAATTCATTTAACAAACATGCGTCGGAAGACTAGGGATCCAGTATGGACTGAATATAAAGTTGAAGAAGACAGAGTCCCTGCGTTCAAGGAGCTCACAGTACAAGGAAGGAGAGTGGGAGCTGTTCTAGAGATGCGACACCCCTTGGTTTCTCTCCACAGTTAGGAGAAAGGCAATTTGCAGAGTGCCCTTCCCTAGATGTCTTCTTCTGCCCACCTTCCCCTCCTTTCTCCTGGGATATCGTTGGCACAGCTTGCCCCAAATCTAGTGGCTGTGTGTGTCAGGGACCCCGCTGATCATCTCATAGCTCTCTGTGAAAGGTGTGGAGGCAGAGGTCCAGAGACAATGGCATTCCTACATACACACACACAGGCTGTGGTCAGGAGGATTGCTCTGTGGGTCCCTGAGGGCAGGGAAACCAGCCTTGGAAGGAAAGGAGGTCCAGTGGAAGAATAGCCTCGGGGCAGCCGGGGAAAGAAGGCTCCTAAACTCTCTAGAACATCATGGACTCTCCCCACACTTACTATTTCTCTTCCCACTTTTTCTCCTATTAGTTTAAAAGTCATTGAAAGAGATAATTAAAAACAGAGGAGATGATTTTCAAGAGAAATAAGAAGGGGATAAAAAGAATGATATAAGGCAATAAAATGATTGAAAAAAGTATTTCAAAAGGCTCAAATTAGATAACAGCAATTATAAAAAATGAGAACAAATTTGAAAGATTAACAAAAATAGATATAAAATGGCTTAAAGTATAAAGTCGTAATTAGTAGTATAAAAAATTGTAAGTAATGTTATAAATTAAAATAATTAATTATACATTTTAAAGAT
Organism: Homo sapiens; assembly: GCF_000001405.40. Classification (NCBI taxonomy): domain Eukaryota; kingdom Metazoa; phylum Chordata; class Mammalia; order Primates; family Hominidae; genus Homo; species Homo sapiens. Next base: position 133,094,863 of record NC_000007.14, on the reverse strand, counting down.
GAATAATTAAAAAGTAAAGATAAATAGTATTAAGTTAAAAACCATAATTAATTAAAATAATATTTTAGAAAAGATGAGTACACCAATAGAGAAATGGACAAAGAACATGAATTGACATATGCAGAAATACAAATAAAAACATGTATGTAAAAAAGTTCAACCTTGCTAATAATAAAATAAATGCATATTAAAACTTTGAGCTATTGAGCTCTGCTTACCAAATTGGTAATGGTTTGAAAAGCGATGTATTCAGCGTCATTAGGGATACAGGAAACAACTATTGCATGTCCCTAAACCATAAATTGTTTCAGCATGCAGACGTAAGACACATGAGAGAGCTGACACTGTACATACTCTTGTCCCCCGTAATTTCATTGCTAGAAACTTATCCTAGGGGATAATCATAAATATGCACAGTGAGTTGCCTGCAAGAATCTTCATCAGCATAATTGTTAATAATGTTGATGTTTTAGGCCAGGCGCGGTGGCTCATGCCTCCAATCCTAACACTTTGGGAGGCTGAGGTGGGCCGAACACTTGAGGAGACGAGTTCAAGACCAGCCTGGCCAACATGGCAAATCCCCATCTCTACTAAAAATACAAAAAATTAGCCGGGCATGGTGGCACAAGCCTGTAGTCCCAGCTACTCAGGAGGCTGAGGTGGGAGAATCACTTGATCCCAGGAGATGGAGCTTGCAGTGAGCTGAGATCGCGCCACTGCACTCCAGCCTGGGTGACAGAGCAAGACCCTGTCTCAAGAAAGAAAAAAAAAAAGGGTTGGGTGTGGTGGCTCACGCCTGTAATCCCAGCACTTTGGGAGGCTGAGGCGGGAGGATCACCAGGTCAGGAGTTTGAGACCAGCCTGGCCAGTATGGTGAAACCCCGTCTCTACTAGAAATACAAAAATTAACCAGGCGTGGTGGCAGTCGCCTGTTGTCCCAGCTACTAGGGAGGCTGAGGCAGAAGAATCGCTTGAACCTGGGAGGCAGAGGTTGCAGTGAGCCGAGATTGCGCCACTGCACTGTAGCCTGGGTGACAGAGCAAGACTCTGTCTCAAAAAAAAAAAAAAAGTTAATGTTTTAAAACTTAGAGAAAAAATTCCTAAATGCCCAATAGTAGGAAATTTGATAAATAAGATTTTTTACACAAAGAAACACTACACAATAATTAAAAATACTATTGTAAAAGAACATTTCATAACATGGAAAACAGAATCACAATGCATTAAGCAAAAAACCCAGCAGGTTAAGAACAGTATATACAATATGGTCCCATTTTTCTTGGAGAAATAAAAGGTTATGTGTGCATATTATTAATATATTAGGAGTAGTTTTTTATGGGTAGTTATTTACAGGTGACTTTTGTTTTTATTTTTTGAGACAGGGTCTTTATCACCCAGGCTGAAGTACAGTGGTGTGATCATGGCTCACTGCGGCCTTGAACTCCCAGGCTCAAGTGATCCTCCCACCTCAGCCTCCCAAGTTGCTGGGATTATAGACGTGTGCCACCACGCCCAGCTAATTTTTGTATTTTTAGTAGAGATGGCGTTTCACCATGTTGGCTAGGCTGGTCTTGAACTCCTGACCTCAGGTGATCCACCCGCTTCAGCCTCCCAAAGTGCTGGGATTATAGGCATGAGCCACCACACCCAGCCAAACAGCCAAGTCTTGGGAGTAAATGACTTTCCTTCTGTCATTCACCAGCCATCAAGAAACAATACATTCAAATAATTCCTCAGGCTCCAACCTATTCTCTATAGTTTTTGTCCCTGGTCAGTGCCCTAAGAGACCCCTGTAACCCCTGAGCCAGTCTCTACCTCCTACCCCAGAATCCAAAGGGACTAAGTATTCCCGGCCTTGTGCAATGACCACCCTATGCTACCCTAAAGACTGGGAAAATGTGGGTGACTTTGGTACACAGGTGAGGTGTACACAGTTTATCAGTAAGTATGCTTTATGTGGCAACATGCAGAAAACAATGCACAAAGGCAACCACTTCTCTGATATTTATCACCAAAGATTAATTTTGCCTGTTCCTTCCTCTTTAGTGTAGTGGTGAGTATAGTAATAATAATAATTTTGCCTGTTCTTAAACACTATGTAAATGGCCTTATGCAGCCTGTATTCTTCTATGTTGGACTTCTTTTGTTCAACATTATGCCTATGATATTCACCTATGTTGTTGAGTATAGCGATAGTTTATTGTTTTTTGTTGTTGTTGTTGTAGTATAGCATTCCATTCTGTGAATATACGATTTATTTATCTATTCTAAAGCTGATGACATTTGGGCTATTTTCTGCTTGGGGCTCTTGTGAATAAAGCTGTAATAAATATTCCTGCATGTGTCTGTTGGTAGAAATAAACATTCGTTTCTATTATGTGTACCCAGGAGTAGAATTGCTGGGTCATTAGCTAATGAATTGAATGAAGCCAGTACTCCTTCCCCAGTATTCCCACAGGGAATGTGTATTGATTTATGCCAGGCCCAAGTCACCCCTGTACCAGAGGCCTGCATTGCCACCTCACAATTGTGCACCATCCCTCCACTTAGCAATCATGTTTGCCACAGCTCCAGTAGCTGCTGCAGTATCCTTTATCCACCACCAAAGTCCTGCACATAGGGCTCATGAGGGCAGTTTCCCATGAGAGAGAACATAGCTGGCGGCAGAGTACTAGACAGAATGCCTGGAGATACGGACTCTTGCCAGGCCCTGATGTCACCAGGCTGTGTGGCCTTGGGCAACTCACTCAGCCTCTCTGAGTCTTGGTTCTTTCATGTGTGACATAAAGAGGAAGGTTAGATGGTTGTTAAGGTTGCTTCCACTTGAAAGTCCTGTGAGTTTTTGTTTTTGAGACAGGATCTCACCATGTTGCCCAGGCTGGAGTGCAGTGGTGCTCACTGCAGCCTCGACCTCCCAGGCTTAAGCGAGTATCCTGCCTCAACCTCCCAAGGCTGCACCACCACGCCCCTCCCAATTTTTTTTTTGTAGAAGGGGGGCTCGTTTTGTTACTCAGGCTGGTCTCAAACTCCTGGGCTCCAGCAGTCCTCCTGCTTCAGCCTTTCAAAGTGCTGGAATTACAGGCATGAGCCACTGTGCCCAGCTCCATTAGTTTTTTTTTTTTTTTCCTGAGATGACAGAGTCTGGCTGTTGCCCAGGCTGGAGTGCAGTGGCACAATCTTGGCTCACTACCGCCTCCACCTCCCAGATTCAAGCAATTCTCCTGCCTCAGCCTCCTGAGTAGCTGGGATTACAGGTGCGTGCCACCACACCTGGCTATTTCTTTTTTTTTTTTTTTGAGGTGGAGTCTTACTCTGTCGCCCAGGCTGGAGTGCAGTGGTGCAATCTCAGTGCAAGCTCAGTGCAAGCTCTGCCTCCCCGGTTCATGCCATTCTCCTGCCTCGGCCTCCCAAGTAGCTGAGACTACAGGCATCTGCCAACACACCCAGCTAATTTTTTTGTATTTTTAGTAGAGATGGGTTTTCACCATGTTAGCCAGGATGGTCTCGATCTCCTGACCTCGTGATCCACCCATCTTGGCCTCCCAAAGTGCTGGGATTACAGGCAAGAGCCACCGTGCCCAGCTCACGCCTGGCTAATTTTTGTATTTTCAATAGAGGCGGAGTTTCACCATGTTGGCCAGGCTGTCTCAAACTCCCGACCTCAATTGATCTGCCTGCTTTGGCCTCCCAAAGTGCTGGGATTACAGGTGTGAGCCACCGAGCCCAGGCCCAGCTCCTTGAGTTCTAATAAAAGAATTGCATTGTACCAACTCTTGTTCCAGGCCGAAAGTTGGAATCCACTATGCTTTGGAACATGTGAGTAAACCAGAGTTTCACTGGAGTTGAGAGGCTCAGGGTGTGCCCATCTTGGGTGCCTCCCTGAGCTGCTGCAAAAGTGGAACCAAACAAGGCAGCACACTCGGGTGAGGACCAGCTGTGTAGAATGTGTACTTAGGGACATTTCTACACTATTACCATCAATAAACAGGCATTTCTCTGCCTGTCCAACATCACAGCAGAAATGCCCATATAACCTTGATGCATTTCAAGCATTTGTTATTTGGAAGTAAAGAGGCTAACAGCCTGCATTTCAGAAATCTCTCAAGCTCCATGACAGGTAGACATTGTTAAAAGGTTAGGAGAATGTCCCTGTGCTCTCAAATAAAAATGGCTTGAAAATTCATCAAGGACAGAGGAGCCATCAGGAGAGATGACAGATGGAATGTTTGTGCTTGTTTAAGGCATGGAGATGAGAAATGAGTCTCTTCTGACTCGGTCTCTGTTTTTCAGAGATGATCACTCTAAATCCAACACAAAGGAAATCAAAAGACCTTGGAACTCTGGCAGGGCTTGAGTTTCGAAGATGCAGGAGCTGGGCTGAGTTTTCTTCTTACTCCGTGCACACTTGTCCCCACTCACTGCCACCCCTCCTTCTATGCCCTTAGACTCAGTATTTCAGCCACTGTATGTTGATGAATGTAAGATGAGGAGAAAAGAAATAAGGTGTCAGAGAGAAAAAAAAGTAAAAATGAGAAAAGCAAAGCAGAAGAATGTCCAGGAAAGGACAGAGAGTGGACTTTTAGAAACCTGCTGTTAATTTGGTGAGGCTTTACTCTAGAATAAACTTTATGCCAGAGGTAACAAAAAAAATCTTCCTGGGGAACTGCCAAGTTATGACCTGTGTGTAAGATTTACTTTAGCTATCGAGCATTAAGTGATGTCTGTTAAACTGAACGGTCACCAGAGCCCATCCTAAGACACGGCATGGCATAGCATATACAATTTACCATGAACAAGGACTTAGTAGCAAAGTGTATTCATCCTTTCTTACACTGTTAATAAAGACATACCGAAGAGTGGGTAATTTATAAAGGAAAGAGGTTTAATTGACTCACAGTTCAGCATGGCTGGGGAGGCCTCAGGAAACTTACAATCATGGTGGAAGGGGAAGTAAACACATCCTTCTTGGATGGCAGCAGCAAGAAGAATTGCCGAGCTAAAGGGGAAAAAGCACCTTATAAGACCATCAGACCTCCTGAGAACTCACTCACTATCATGAGAATAGTATGGGGGAAACTGACCCCATGATTCAATTATCTCCACCTGGTCCCACCCTTGACACGTGGGGATTATTACAATTCAAGATGAGATTTGGATGGGGACACAGCCAAACCTTATCACAAAGGTACTATTAGTTGAAAGCCAAAGATAGATGGAGTGGTTTCTGAAACATGGGGGGATCTCTGCCTTATGATTTCACTAGACACACGGGCAGTACAGTGAATCAGTTCTACCTGATCAATGCACTAAATCACTTGATCATTATGGCTACTAAAGGGAGACTATGTGATTAATGCCATAGCTGTGGGTATTTTCAAAGTCGCATAGTTATACTGTACTTGTAAATGCCTTCTAATTATTGATGACTTGTTTTATGCCATTTTGAGTTTTTAATCTTTTCAAGCGTGCTGCTCAAAATTCTTGTTTCAAGATATGTCACATAAGCACATGTGCATGCATCCGCATGCATGCTCTCTCTCACACACACACACACACACACACAATACTGTTTTAGGACTTCATTTTTTTATATGATTCTACAAACAATAATTGGTGGAAAAAGTTTTAAAGCTGATGCGCTATTATGGCTTGTCAAATATGTCTTAGTCCATATTTTCAGATTGTCTCTGTATTGATTGCACTACACATGAGGCACTTTTTGGTGATTTTAATTGGTTTGCTATAACTATGGCAACTATATGTCCTAGATTTTGCAGGATAATCCTGATTTCAAGGACTGATTTCATTGTCTCTTTAAGTTCACAAATAATAGAGCAATTGCTTCAATTTTTAGCTCAGAAAACACCATCATTAGATCTATATTCTATTTCAGCACAGGTCATAGAATCCAAGTGCTCTACTGTGCAGCTAGCATGCTACTCAGAATTGCTGGGGAGGGAGGGGGCTGTGATGAACAGCACAATGATTAGCTTTTCTAGCTGGGGACCAAGAGTGGGTCTCTCTCCTCCCTCTCCCTCATTATCCCATGTCACGTTCTTTCTATTTTTACCTTTGCTTCTCATCCATATCTTTCTACATTCCCACCAAGTAGAGCAGGGACAGTCAAGTGGTGTGTGAAGGAGTAGCAGAAGTGAGGTCGCCAGGATTAGGCCTTTTCCTACTTTTTGTTTAAAGGTGCGATTGAAAAATTGGCGTACATAGAGCAAACCTTCTGTAATTTTGTCTGTTTGAGTCATTTGAAAGTTTATTTTTATTCATTTATTTATTCTGAGACAGGGTCTCACTCTGTCACCCAGGCTGGAGTGCAGTGGGACGATCATGGCTCACTGCAGCCTAGACCTCCTGGGCTCAAGTGATCCTTGGACTTCAGCTTGCTCAGTAGGTGAGATGACAGGTGCACATCACCACTGAGTAAATTTTGTATTTTTTGTAGAGATGGGGTCTTGCCAGTTTGCCCAGGCTGGTCTGGAAGTTGCCCAGGCTGGTCGTGAACTCCTGGGCTCAAGTGATCCTCCCATTTCAGCCTCCCAAAGTGTTGGGATTACAGGTGTGAGCAGCTGCACCTGGCTGATTTGGAAGTTTAGGTATATATATATTTTTCTTTTTAGGGGAAGGAGATCATTAGGGATGACTGAATTTTTACTTTCTCCCTCTCTCCCTCTTTTCCTTCTTTCTCTTTTTTCCAGCATTCATTGCAAAGATTTGACGTGGTGGAAAAGGGAAAAAGAACAAAGGAGTTGGAAGGTAATATTGCTTAGTGGTCAAGCTAAGATTTGTGAAAAACCAAATTACTGCTCAGTTCTCAGCTCTGTATCAAAGTAAACTGCTGACATTCAATACCTAGAGTGCTTGTTTCCTGGGTGGAGACTGAAGAAATATGTTGCATTATTGTTATTGATATTTGGGAAGTCTCATATAATGAGGAAGATCCTCTGGTAACGCTGTATGTGCCCCAGAACCTAGGAAGCATTGCACGACTGGGCCTCCAGAAGCCCAGCAGCCTGGGCAGAGCCGGCCATTATAAAGACTTCAGTTGGAAGGCCTTTCTGAATCCTAGGCATCCCTAGAAGCTTCTGGAGTCCTGGGTCTTCACATCAGTGCTCTGTATTTGTGAGACTAAACTATTTTTTTTTTTTTTTTGAGACAGAGTCTAACTCTGTTGCCCAGGCTGGAGTGCAGTGGTGCAATTTCAGCTCACTGCAATCTCTGCCTCCCAGGTTCAAGCGATTCTCATGCCTCAGCCTCCCGAGTAGCTGTGATTACAGGTGCCTGCCACCAGACCTGGCTAATTTTTGTATTTTTAGTAGAGACAGCGTTTTACCATGTTTGCCAGGCTGGTCTTGAACTCCTGATCTCAGGTTATCTGTCCACCTCAGCCTCCCAAAGTGCTGGGATTACACGTGTGAGCCACCGTGCCTGGCCAAGACTAAACTAATTTTTAAGGGCTTGCTTTATGCTAGTCTCCCTTTTAACTGGCTTGTATTTCACTATTACAAAGCTGCTCACAGTTTTTTTTTCTTCTTTTTTTCTTTTTCCTTTTTTTTCCAAAAAAAATATTTGGACTTTAAAAAATGATAATTTCTATCATGTTTAACTAACTATACATTCTTTTTTAAAAAGTCTTTCTCAAGCTATCTTAATAACTATACATTCTTTAACAGCTTTACTTATTTATTTAGAGACAGGGTCTTGCTCTGTTGCCCAGGCTGGAGAGCAGGGGCGCATTTATAGCTCACGGTGGCCTCCAAGTCCTGGGTTCAAGTGATCTTCCCACGTCAGCTTCCAGAATAAATAGGACTATATGTGCATACCACTATGCCTAGCTAATACTTTTAACGGTGTTATTAATATGTAATTTACATGTCATAAAGTTCATCCATTTGAAGTGTACATTTCAATAAATTTCAGCATACTTATAGCATTGTGCAACCATCACAATCTAATTTTAGGCATTTTTATCACTCCTCCAAAAGAAACTATGTACCAATTAGAAGTTAAGAAACTATGTAACAATTAGAAGTTACTCTACATCTCACCTCCTCCTACCCTCTCCAAGCCTAATCTTCTTTTGTTTTCCATGGACTTGCCTATTCTGAACATTTCAACCGCCTTTTGTGTCTGGCTTCTTTCACTTGGCATAATGTCTTTGAGGTTCATCCATATTGTAGTATATATCAGTACTTTCTTCCTTTTTATTCCCCATTAATATTCCATTTTCTGGATATATTACATTTTGTTTTTCCATTCATCAATTAATGAACATTTGAATTGTTTTTCATACTATTATAAGTGGAATTGCTCTCCTCATTTCATTTTTGGCTTGTTAATTGCCAGTGTATAGAAATACAGTTTTTGTGTGTGTGTGTGTGATGGAGTCTCACTCTCCCTCCGGGGCTGGAGTGCAGTGACGCGATCTCCGCTCACTGCAACCTCCGCCCGCCATGTTCAAGCGATTTTCCTGCCTCAGCCTTCTGAGTAGCTGGGATTACAGGTGCCCACCACCACGCCTGGCTAATTCTTGTATTTTTAGTAGAGGCGGGGTTTCACTATGTTGGCCAGGCTGGTCTCAAACTCCTGACCTCAGGTGATCTGCCCGACTTGGCCTCCCAAAGTGCTGAGATTACAGGTGTGAGCCACAGCGCCCGGCTACAATTGATTTTTATATGTTGATCTTGTATCCTGCAAACTTGCTGAGTTTTTTTATTAGTTCTAATTAGTTTTGCAGTGGATTCTGTAAGATTTTTCTATTTGTAAGATCATGTTATCTTCGAATAGAGGTAGTTTTACTTCTTCCTTTCCAGTCTGGATGCCTTTTATTTTTCTTGCAGTTTCTTATTCCACCTATCTTTAGTTTGCCATGATTCTTCATGGTACAGACTCAGTGTTATAACTTCTCTTCTTGCTATCTTTTTGTATGCTCTGAATTTTCAAGTTTAAATTTGAGAAAGTGAATACAGAGATACAGAAAACGGAGAAAAACATGGAGAATCTGAGTAGCTGAAGTATTAGCTATTATTTTTCTTAGGGCAAAGCTTTGCATTCTAGCTCATAGGTGTCTGGCTAGTAAATGCTGCCTTTGGATTAGATGACTATTAATAAGCTGTAGCCAGAAAGAAAGGGAGGCCACAAGTTCTGGGTAGCTCAAGAAGGGATTGTATAGGCATGACTGGCCTAGAAATTGACATGGATAGAACAGTATTGTTAGAGAAGGCATTTTGTTTTAAAGAATACATTGAATTTTTTTTAAACTCAGAAGGCATCTTTGTAATGTTGGTTAAAATGCATTAGGATGTCTAAAACATTTTTGGATTGTCTGTTTGATTAGACCACTTATATGTGTTTGAATCATAAAACATGAAGGCACTCCACTACCTTCTCATGCTTGGCATTCATCATCTTTAATATATTTGGTTGAAAGAACTCTACTTAATATTCTAACTGGAGATATATATATATATATTTAAGACAACTAGTGGTTTCTTCATCTCTCTATTCTCTCCAAGGAACGCTTTCTTTGTACTTGGTTATTTTCGTAAGTGCTTGTTGAGCATGTGTGTTATATAGAACCTCCGATATGCCCTATATATTGGGGTAATAAGTGAGAGTGTGTTTGTGGAGGGGAGGGTCCCCAAAAAATGAAAGTCATAATTCCTTGGAGCTTTAGTTCCCAGTAGAAGAAAGAGTTAGGCTGGGCATGGTGGCTCATGCCTGTAATCCCAGCACTTTGGGAGGCTAAGGCAGAAAGGTTGCTTGAGCTCAGGAGTTTGAGACCAGCCTGGGCAGCATAGTGAGACCACAGCTAGGTGTGGTGGCACACACCTGTAGTCACAGCTACTGGGGAGGCTGAACTGGGAGGGATTGCTTGAACCTGGGAGGTTGGGGCTGCAGTGAGTCGTGATTGGGCCACTGCATTCTAGCCTAGGCAACAAAGCAAGACCCTCTCTCTCTCAAAAAAAAAAAAAGAAAAAAGAAGGAAACTTGAGAACAAGTACAAAGTAGCACGTAGTCTCATAACTGCAAAGTAACATAGTACAATTTTAAAAGAATATAATGATGAGATGTAATCAACACTCTGCTACTGACCAGGGATATAGAGATTAAAAAGACATAGTTTCTGCTCTAAAGATTCATACAGTAAGGTTGGGAGCGGTGGCTCACGCCTATAATCCCAGCACTTTGGGAGGCTGAGGTGGGAGGATCATGAGGTCAGGAGATGGAGACCATCCTGGCCAACATGGTGAAACCCCATCTCTACTAAAAATACAAAAAAATTAGCTGGGTGTGGTGACACGCACCTGTAGTCCCAGCTACTCCGGAGGCTGAGGCAGGAGAATTGCTTGAACCTGGGAGGCGGAGGTTGCAGTGAGCCAAGATTGCGCCACTGAACTCCAGCCTGGCGACAGAGCGAGACTCTGTCTCAGAAAAATAAAAGATACATACAGTAATAGATCAGCACATAATTGGATTCATACAGTAATAGATCAGCACATAATTGAAGCTCAAAAATGCGACTGCATTGTAGATGCCTTTGGCATAAGAGAATGCCATGGTGTGTTGTGGCCTGCTGCTTTTAATGTTGAGAGGGATTAATTGAAGAATAGTACCATCATTAACCTAATTTCTATTGAGAATCATCTGCCTCTGTAAAACTAAGGTCATATGGCTAAACTTATGTGTAACAGTGTGTTTAGCAAAAAAGAAATATGTAGATGAATAACCTAATAACTATGTACTGGTCTCGTAGAGGTGAAATGTTGAACTATTAATAGGAACTTTCCACAATAGATCATCTCAACTTTTCTGATGTAGTTTTAATTCCTCCACTAATTTATGCCATCTTTGGCAATCACTTAACTTTTCTCTGCCTAACCCTATTATGGCCTAACTTATGTAACTGAACTAGTAGTAGAAGGAGACACAAAAGTGGAAAGTAAATTCTCTACATACTTGGTGCAAATAATTTATTCTATGAAGAAATGTATTTTCTCATAGACAGGTTTGAAAACCATAGTACTTAAAATTTTACTTTACAAAAAGAAAAAAATACAGATACTAGTTCATGAGACAAGAGACATGGACCAAACACACGTTTACGTTTTTTATTTTTTTATTTTATGGCTACTACTAAAATGCCACCATTCATGTACTGCATAACAGTGTTTCAGTCAAAGAAGAACCTCATTTCTGGCAGTGGAATCATAAGATTATAATGGAGCTGGAAAATTCCTGTCTCCTAGTATTTACTATACTATGCTTTTTATCTTTAGGTTAAAGTGCATTCTTTCTACCTATATAAAAAAGTTAACTGTAAAACAGCCTCAGGCAGGTCCTTCAGGAGGTGTTACAGAAGGTGCTGTTATCATAGGAGATAGCTCCATACGTGTTATTGCCTCTGAAGACCTTTCAGTGGGACAAGATGTGAAGGTGGAAGACAGTGATATTGATGATCCTGACCCCGTGTAGGTCTAGGCTAATGTGTGTGTGTTTGTCTTAATTTTTAACAAAAATGTTTAAAAAGTAAAAAGTAAATAATTTCAAAAATAGAAAAAGCTTATAGACTAAGTATATAAAGAAAGAAATATTTTTGTACAGCTATATAGTGTGTTTGTGTTTTAAGCTAAGTGTTATTAAAGAGTCAAAAAGTCACAAAAAAAGAAGTTTATAAGTTTAAAAAGTTACAGTAAGCTAAGGTCAATTTATTCTTGAAGAATGAAAATATATGAAAATAAATTTAGTGTTGCCTAAGTGCACAGTGTTGATAAAAGGTACAGTACTGCATAGTTGCGTCCCAGGCCTTCACATTCAACTCCCCACTCACTCACTGACTCACTCAGGGCAACTTCCAGTCCTGTAAGCTCCATTCATGGTAAGTGCCCTATAGAAGCATACCATTTTTTATCTTTGATTTTTTTTTTAATGGAATGCTTCAGAAATTCATGTGTCAACCTTGCTCAGGGGCTGTGCTAATCTCTGTATTGTTCAAATTGTCCTAGATGTGTTGCCAAAGCAATCACTTTTACACTGTTTTTGCTGTAGCTTTTCTATGTTTACATATATTTGTACACACAAATACCACTGTGTTACAATTGCCTACAGTATTTAGTACAGTGACATGCTGTACATCTTTGCAGCCTGGGAGCAATAGGTTACACCAAGTAGCCCAGGTGTGTAGTAGGCTACACCATCTGGGTTTGTGTAAGTACACTCTATGATGTTTGCACAACCACAGATATCACAGGGTCACCTAACGAGGCATTTCTCAGAAGTAGTCTTCATTAAGCTACCCTACGACTGTAATGAAACGCTAAGTTTTGAGCCAGGAATTTGTGTATAGAACACTAGGAATGGCTTCATTAGTATCATGCATCTTTTTCATTAAACTGTGAGTCCCTTTGAGAGAAAGATTGTGTCTCTGAACTTAGTGGCCTAAATTTCTAGAATTATGTCTTCAAAAAGTTGCCCAGTTAGGCGTCTCTGGGGAGTCAAAACCACAACTCCCAGAATGCCGTGCTCCCTTAGCGCGCTCAGGCGCGGGGAGAGAATGTCCCATCACCCACCGCGCCAGATCGAGACCACAGTTCCCACTACACCCAGGGACTCCGCGGAAAGCTATCAAACACCACCTGTTGCCATAGCATCCGGGTCGGGTGAACCAATCCGGGCGCCCTCGCCGAACAGAGGCGGGCAGTTCGCATCGCCGACCAACCTGAGGCGTTTTTGTTGTGGCGCGTGACCGGAGGAGGCGGGAGCTCAGGACCGGCGCCTTCTCCTTGCTTCTGGGGGTCGTGGCCTTGCTCCCGCTGTGCGGGAAAAGAATCCAGGCCCTTCCACGCGCGTGTGGGTGCGGGGGCCCCGAAGTGCTCGTGGTTCCCCGCTAGGTCTCCGCTGGGGCAGGAACCGGAATCATGGGTGGGACCACCAGCACCCGCCGGGTCACCTTCGAGGCGGACGAGAATGAGAACATCACCGTGGTGAAGGGCATCCGGGTGAGTGCCCGTGGACGGGCGGAGGGCCAGTGGTTGGACTCGGACCCCAAGGCCCCATCTTCTCCGGACCCGCTCAGCCTGGGTTTCTCCCGTCCTGGACCCTAGCGTATTAAGGCCAGAAGCCCAGGTGTCTGGGAAGAAGCCTAGAGTTTCAAGACGTGGGACATTCATTCAGAGATAGTTCCTGGTTGTGCCAAGTGCTAGGCACTGCTGGGGCGGGCGGGGAATGCCAGGTTGAATTATACCCTGCAAGGGCTCACAGTCTACTCGTAACTGTACTGCTCCCTTGTTGCAGGACCGTATTTGAAACCCATACCTCGGTGTACTTGTCTGTGAAATGGTTTTCCTGGGTTCAGGACCCAAACCCTGCTTTTCCACTGTGCACACCCTGTCTCCCAGGGTGAATTGGCATTTTAAGGATTGCCTTTGCTTTGTGTCATTTAGTGCTCTCCCTCTGATAACACCCCCTCCTCCCACCCACTCCCCACACCCTGTCATCCTCCCTCCCAGCCCCACAGTCTTTTCTGACCTGCCTGGGGCGGCTTCTGGCTTCTCCCTGCTTCACTTTCACTTGATATCTCCTCTTTCCCAGGCGCCTCCTCTGTGACCTGCTGCGCCGAAGTTTTGGATTAGGCCCAGTTGCTTCAGGACTAGTGTCTGCCAGTCTGATAGGGGCTGAGATGGGTTTGCAGTTTTTCATACCAGTAGAAGTAATGTAGTCATTTCTGACCAACGTTGTAGAGCACTTTTTTTTTAATGCCCTTTGCATGCACCTGATACATAAACTGAAAACCTGGTTTTTCTCTAGGGTGTCAGTATACCAGCACTAACTTCATTAACACACTCTCCGCTGCGCCTGAATTTGGAGCCTCACATTTTTGGACGTATGATGCCTGAACCTAGTAAATAAAGCAATTTTGACTTCAGAAAGTTTTATAATAATTTATATATTTTTTTCTGTTATCAACCAGCGTAAATAAATTACATTTGTAAATTATTTTTAACAGTTGTTACCAGGAAATAAAACTTCTTAAATATTTAAAATGTTTAAAAACTTTTTCTTCTGAAACTGTTACCTTGAGAATAATTTATTAAACTTTTCTTCATAGAAACTCAGACTGTCGAACTCAGTTTTTGGTCTGTGACCAGTATTTCTTTATATCATGCTAATTAATGGTAGTACTACATTTTGTAATAAAATATCTGAGGCTGTATTCTTTGAGTTATTGTGTTTCAGTTAGTACTCTTTGGAGTAAAAAATTACTGTAAACTTTAAGTTTTATGCAGAGATTTTAAGACTCTTGCCATTAGGCTTTCAGTACGCAACTCAGAGTGAAAAATAATTAAAAGACAAAGCAAAATAAGTTTTGAGTGAGAAGACATTGGTTAGAAAAAAATGTATAAATCCATATTCTCGTGCTTTAGTACAGACACAGTGCTAACAGCAAACAAAATCGAAAGAGAATGTGGCCACAGCACAGAGATTCATATCAAGTATTAGATAAGGTTGGATGGAATAACTGTGACAGCAGGGATAGGTATTCTATTAAAATGGAAAAATTGTCTAAAAAACCTTTTTAAGATTTTTGTTTTTTAAAAAGAAATGTCCTTTGGTCATATAACTTGACAGCATTCCTCATTTTTTTCCTTTCTTATATAGTACATTTTACCTGTATTGCTAACAGTTCAAGCATGATCATTTTTACCTCTATGCTTTTCTTCAGAATATACCCTTCACCTGGAATGCCCTTGCGCTGGTCTCCATTGCTTCAAATCCTCCTTTTACATGAATGTTTTGCAATCTCTCTGAGCTTCAGTTTTCCCATCTGCAAAATAATGCAACTGAGTACATCCCTCAGATCTCTAATATTTTCCAGTCCTGAAATCCTGTGAGTCTGGTGGCACTGTAAGTTTCTTGTAGCCATACTTAGCCCATTGCAGTTTCCTCTAGAAGTGACATCCATTGAAGTATTGAGTACACAGAGGTCATTCTGATTTCTTTGAGCTCATGATCAAAAGAGTATCAACTTGAAATTAAACAGACCTCAGTTTAAATCTCAGGTTAGATATTTATTACTTAACCTGATTGCCTGTGTGATTTTTGTCTGGGTCTTTTGTAGATGTTTTTCAGTTGATCTTAGTATTTTTCTTGGCTTGAATTAAGCAGACATCAGTTTAAATCGCAGGTTAGTTATTTATTAGCCTGTGGCCTTTGACAATTGACTTCTTTTATTTCCTTATCCATAAACGGTAATACCATCACTTCCCTTGATTGGTTATTGTAAGAAGATGAGGTAAGGTATGTAAAGCACCTGGCACATTGTAGATTTTCATTAAAAAGGCAGCCATTATTATGATAGGGTTCCTTTCACATGCAAAGTTTTAAGATTCTTTGAAAGTGCTGTGCTGTGTAGTGGAAAGAGCATGTGCCTTGGAACCAAGCAGACCTGGGTTGGATTCTATCTCTGCCTCTCACTAGCGGTGTCGCTCTGGACAAGTCACTTTTCATTGTGTTTCCGTATTTAGTATTTCTGGACAAAGCCTACTTTGAGAATTTGACATAATGTATATCTAGCACAGTGTCTTGTACTTTGACAGTGTTTGCACTTGTGAATAATAGCTGTTATTAGAGCTGTTCAAAAGAATGGATATGTGAACTTAAGTGAACTTCAAATTTTAATAAAAATAAGAGCATGTTGTGCCCCAACAGGTGTACCTAAAAGGGTATGGACTGGGAAATGGGAGTCTTACATTCTGCCCTAATTGAGGGTGTTTTTTTGTCTAGGTCTGTTGTAGATGGTTTTTATTTCTTTATATTTTTCTTGGCTTTAAATAGTCACTTTGTTCCCTTCTGAGACATGGGGAAGGATAAGAAACCGCATTCTCAGTATGTCCATAAGCCATTGTTTTTAGCTTAGTTTGTTAGAACATGGTGCCGATGAGGCACCAAACTTCAGTTTTGAACTGCAGTTAGGTTAGTTCAGCTTGGCTGAAGAAAACGTTCCAACTTTGACCAGTTGTCTAGCATTTATGTCATTGGTTGTAAGAAATGAAAGTTTACCAAGCTTACTAATTCAACAGAGGCAGTCACTGCTGGAAAGCTAATTCTGTGTTCTGTTACACTGTTAAAGATAGTACAGACGGTCTCCTGTTAGGATGGTTCGACTTAGGATTTTTTGACAGTGGTGTGGAAGTGACAAGCGTTCAGTAAACTCAGCTTCTGGCATTACCTTCAGCAAAATCCGTTGTAAACCAAGGAGCATCTATAATTTCATCTTCCTTTATTTTTTTCATATAATGACTTGGGTTCATTCCCTTAATATAAATATGTTGGCAATTATGAGGTTTTTTTGAGTTGGAGTCTCCCTGTGTTGCCCAAGCTGGTCTCAACTCCTGGGCTCAAGCTATCCTCCTGCCCCAGCCTCTGGGACTACGGGCATGTGCCGCTCCACCAGGCTCAGTCATCATTTATCTTAATGTATAAAGAATAACATTTAGTGAACAACATAAGGCTTTTGGTAACTATGCTGAATATTTATTTATTTATTTGAGACGAGTCTTGCTCTGTCACCCAGGCTGGAGGGCAGTGGCATGATCTCAGCTTGCTGCAACCTCTGCCTCCCAGGTTCAAGTGATTCTCCTGCTTCAGCCTCCTGAGTAGCCAGGATTATAGGCCTGTGCCACCATGCCCTGCTAACTTTTTTGTATGTTTAGTAGAGGGGGGTTTCACCATGTTGGCCAGGCTGGTCTCAAACTCCTGACCTCAAGTGATCTACCCACCTCAGCCTCCCAAAGTGCTGGGATTACAGGTGTGAGCCTCCACACCTGGCTGAATTTATTAATAGATTGTGTTTCTCTATATTGTTGAGGTCCTTAATAGCAATGAAAGGACCTACTTCAAATTTTAAGTTTAAAATTTCTTCTCACCTACCAGGTGTTATTTTTCATGGTATTGTAGGGTCTTGTTTTTTCCCTTTATCCTTAGCAACTGATAGCTTTTCTTCCCTCTTCTGTAAAAGTAACCTATATTTTTACACCTGATTCCAACTTTGAATCTGAAACTACTCTTATGGATTGGATGAGAGGTCACTCTTTTGCCTTGCCCTCTTCTCAAGGCTAAAATAAATTCCTAGAGAGGAAAGACCAAGCATTTTCATTACTCATATTACATGTGGTTGATAGGATTTTTGTGAGCACCTGCTGTGCCTGCTTGGAAAGTGTGCTTACAACTCTATCTTTCGCAAGTTTATCTGAAACATCAAAGCTGTGAGTGAACTCTTCTGGAGCAAATGTCAACTTCAATGAGTATCATTTTCAAAGATATATTTATCATGCTTTCCAGACATAAACGAATGTCCGCAGCTGGGCTTTAAAGTTGCAAGCTGAAATTCACAGGAGCCAGTTATGGCAGTATGGATACTTAATATGGAACGTAACTCATGCTTTGGGAAGTGTTGGCAGTTGAGAGACCGTAAATGAAGAGATTACTTAATATGCGGTATTACTGAGGATTCTGAAGAGAGTATGTTATCAGAGACTACAAATTCGGTCAGCCCTTGGGAGTGTTGAGGAATGTTGTGCAAATTTAGTTAAGTAGTGGATGATTAGTTTCTTTCAGCTTTAGATTCTATGAAGTTTTTGGCTACCATCTTAAGTTATCTAGGATTTTATAAAGGTAGGGATAATGGTTTCTACTAATGACAAATGTAAAGAAACACAGACATAAGCTAAGCATTACATATTTCATATATATCTATCAACATATATATGGGTTCCCTCTCCCCCTTTCTCTTAACTAACTATTTGGGAGTAATTTCTCCCAAATAATAATGGCAGTTTTTGGAGCCTATGTCTTAAAAAGGTAATTGTGAAGCAAACTAATACTCACACAGAAAATGACCTATGCTAAGTGGAAGGAGGATCAAGAGAGAAAAAATGGGTCTGAGTTCTTGAATCAATTTGCTAGGACACATCTGGAAGAAGATAAGATAAACTAATGGAGGCAGGAGGCTGATTTATTTGTCTCATGTGGCTCATAACTTTACCTCTTAGAAGGGCCACTGAAGAATTCCTCTTTTTTTACTCTGTTACCTGGGAGTAGAAATACTTTCTCTTTGTCCAACTCACCCAGTCTCCTGTTTCTGAGAAAATTCTTTCTTTTGGATTGGTGGGTAGTGTTTCTGGCACGGATTTTGGATAAGACCAAACAAGGTGGGTAGGAAGAGATGAGTGGGAAGACTGTAGGAGATGACACATGGCCTTTCCCCCTCTGTGGAGCACATTGGTGTGGTGAGTACCACAAATTTAAACTTGGCAAGCTCTGTTTGCTTAAATTTGTCTTTAGGAGCAATAGAGAATAGGGTGGACAGTCAAGTTCAGTGGGCTGAATATCGGCAGACCTGCTTCTTTTGATTGCCCCTTATATTAGAATGGTGGCTCTTTTAGTTCATAGAGCACTGTGGATCTGTAAGCTGTGGATTCTGGCCAGAACCATGCAATAAGCAGACAGTTTTGCATACAGTTGAGTAATTGACCCACGGACTACTCAGTCTGTGGACCTCAGGGTGTAATTCCCAGTATCAATGTGTGTGGGGATTATTTCACTATTCTTTGCTACAAATAATTTCTGTAAATTGCCCTTGGTATTTGCCTTGATGCAGATTCCAGAGATGTCTGGAAAGCAAGTATAATAGGTATAGGTCATTGTACAGGAAAAGGCTTTGCTTAAACAAGTGCCCGGTTCAGGAAAAGATATGTTTCCTGAAGAAGATACTTTTTTTTTTTTTTTTTTTTTTTTTGAGATAGAATCTCATTCTCTTGCCCATGCTGGAGTGCAGTGGTGCGATCTCGGCTCATTGCAACCTCCACCTTCTGGGTTCAAGCGATTTTCCTACTTCAGCTTCCCAAGTAGCTGGGACTACAGGCACCCACCACCATACCTGGCTAATTTTTTATATTTTTAGTAGAGATGGGGTTTCACCGTGTTAGCCAGGATGGCCTTGATCTTCTGACCTCATGATCTGCCTGCCTTGGCCTCCCAAAGTGCTGGGATTATAGGCGTGAGCCACCACACCTGACCGCAAGATACTTCTTACACAGAGGCTGCCATCGCAGAAGCTTGTGTTGTACTATCGACCCCCATTTTGGGTCATTTTTTATCAGAAAGATGAGTTGTTCTGCAGCTACAGATTGCGTGTATAATCCTGGCCAGCATCTCTAAAGCTTGTCAGCTGCTTCACGAGTGAGTACCCCTGTTCACAGAGGAGATCAGGTGAGTGTGCAGGTCTGAACTTACTACTGCAATGGGAAGGTCAGCTCAGAGAGCATTAACTTTGGATACAGATGATAACACAACAAAACTATTACCTCATATCTACGTCGCTATGAGCAGACTGGGAATAGGGTAATAGTGCTTGGAGTTGGCAGAGGTGCAACAGTAGATGGCCATGGGTGCTGCTTTGGAAGGGCCTAAGGATACAGTTGTTGAATGATTGTAAGAACAAGAGAAAGGTGGAGTCTCAATAAGGCAGCCGTACAATATGTTTATCAAGCCTTCAATAGGTTTAGTATATACTCCTTTGGTGCATGCTTACAAGTTTACTGAACTATAACCAAACATCCCACTGGGAAATGTTTTGAATTGATGTGAGAATTTGACATTAAGTAGCAACTTGGGACATCAGAGAGGCCTCAAAAAGAAAAAAAAGTTAACAAGAAATTAGTGATTAGGTTGAAAGAGACATTCTACTCCTACTACCTAGAGAGCATAGATAGAGAAAAATAAGCACCTTCTATACCCATACCAGGACTTAGGCAGCTGCTGCTTGCAATAGCTGCAGGCCTGGTCCTCATGCACCTTACAGAGAACGAGTCAGTACAAGCTCAGACCCAGTTGATAAAAATGAACCAAAATGAATTAAAAAGTCCCTGTGGTTGGAGCTATATGGGTAATAGCTTTACCAAATATTTGTGTAGCCAATTGTAGTTTATGGTGCAAAACACTAAAATCCCTCCACAGAATCTCTGGGGTAAACATTATTTTCATTTTTTTCAGATGAAAATAGTAACTTTTCAGATGAAAGCTTATAGCTAACACTTGATTTTTGAGATTTATATATATTATATATCAGTTAAAATAGCTTTAAGATTCTAAAAATGTAAGCTTATTTTTTCCTCTTTAAGAGGAAGTGATATTTTTATTACATGCATGGGATTGAAGGGGTGTGTTATTAAAAGTAGAGCATTGGACTAGAGATTGGGGAATTACTGCTTCTGGTCTTGATGCTGCCAGTAACTGAATATTACTCAGGGTCTCTTTTTTTTCTCAAGTATAAATTGAGTCAGTCTTACGGGGATTTTTCTAGGATGTGTCTCAGTTTCTCAGTTTCTCAGATGGGTTTCAGCAACATTCCCAGTGGCTGTCAGTTGTTAGAAGGATGCAGCTGGCTCTGGCATTTTCAAATAGAAAGTCTTCTTGTCTTCCAAGAAGGGAGTCGTAGTTTTTTCCTTCAAAGAGCACACACAGCATTTGATCTGTAGCCTTTCCCTTTTCCATCTTATTTCCATTCTGGTTTGGGCCCTGAGATACAAGTAACAGTTGAGGTATAGACTATTTAGTTCACTGATGTATCACAGGGCCTTGATTAGTGCCTGGCCTGGGAGACATTTGTTGAATGAATGACTTAATATATAGGAGCTTGCAATCTAGTGGAAAGGCAGAAAGGTGAATGTGGAAAGGCTAATTCCTGTTCTTTCATTGAGACTGTATTGGAAGTTTGAGAAAGGAACAGCAGGCACAAGGAATGGTAGCTTTAGGTAGGCAGGGTTGGAATGGAGTGGACAACTGTTTTGGTCAGTGAAGGCTTGGATGTTTAGACTGCGTCTTGAAAGGTGACTCCCTCCCAATGGTACAGGAGAGAGGGCAATGTAGGCGTGTGTAAAGGCAAGGAGATGGACGTAGAACAGGATATGTAATATTAAGGAAAAAAACTGTAGAATTTGAGGTTGGAGAGTTAGGCCATCACCAAATGATGAAGTCTTGAATGCTGTACAAAGAATTTGAATTTTTCTGTAAACAGACAGTAGCTATTGAAGAATTTGAAGTAGGGAGTTACCATTATCACATTTGCATTTTAAGCGGATGGTACAGGAATTAGGGCAGGAGAAATGGGATGAGAGAAGAGAGGAATTCATTAAATATTTAGGGATTGATGAAGTCAGAGCTAAGAATGAGAGAGAAAGAAGAGTTAAGAACAAGCCCTATGTTTGAATTTAGGAAGCTGGGTGTTGGTGGTGTCATTAATGAGGTAAGGAAGGCAGGAGAAAGAGGAGATATGCGGCAAACGTGAGATCAATTTTGGACACTTTGGGTGTGAGGTGCTTCTGGTTTGCCAGAAGGAAGGTGTTCATTAGGCACTTCAGTGTGGAGACCGGGCTTCTGAGAGATAGGTCTTAAGCTCGAGTGAATGCATTTATTAATGGAATTTATTAGTTTATCAACAACAGTTAGAAATCAAGAGATTGGATGAGAGTGCCAGTACAAGGGCACATAGAATGAGAAGGGCCCTTCAGCATTGAAGTGCAGGCAGGAGAGGGGAAGCTGCAAAAGAGATAAAATGTGGCCAGAGTCCTAGGAGAACCAGGACAGCAGGATGTCAGAAAAGCCAAGGGAGGGCTTTCCAGAAGACGGGAGTGGCCAGAGGTGTTAGATGCTAAAGGGAAGCCATATAAATAAGGCATTTTATAAATATAAAATATTTATTTACATAAATATCAAAAGTTATTTATTTGGTCATTGGTGACTTCTACCAGAGAATGTTCACTGTTGCACTGAGGGTAAAAGCCAGAGAGTGGTGAGTTCAGGAAGTGGAAATGGGAAGGAGACCCTTGATACAGGAGGAGGATCACTCAGTTACTTGAAATGGAAATCCTGGGGTCTTCCTTGATGACTTCTGCTTTACTCCCACATCTACTCAGATACTGGGTAGTGATGCTGAGGGATGTTTGAGTGGGATCTTTTTTTTTTTTTTTTGAGACGGAGTCTCACTCTGTTGCCCAGGCTGTGGCGCGATCTCACTGCAAGCTCTGCCTCCCGGGTTCACGCCATTCTCCTGCCTCAGCCTCCTGAGTAGCTGGGACTACAGGCGCCCGCCACCACGCCCAGCTAATTTTTTGTATTTTTAGTAGAGATGGGGTTTCACCATGTTAGCCAGGATGGTCTCGATCTCCTGACCTCGTGATCCGCCCACCTCGGCCTCCTAAAGTGCAGGGATTACAGATGCGAGCCACCATGCCTGGCCTTGAGTGGGATCTTGAGACTCAGACTTTTTGGGTTTGAATCCTTCCTCTGCTACTGATAAAGTATCTGATCCAGGGCCAGTTATTTAATCCGGCTATGCTTCAGTTTTTTCACCTATAAAATAGAGATACAAAAGTATCTATCTCATAGGCCTGTGAAGGAGTAAATAAGTGAAGTGCCTAGCTTAGTGTAGCGCCTGGCACATAATAAGCACTCAGTGAATGTTAGTATTTTAAATCCTAAATACCTTTTAAGTGTGTTCTCCCCTGGATTACCATAATAGCTTTTTTTTTTTAAAGTTTATTAAAGTAAATTGTTGTAGAGTAATTTACATGCCATGAAATTCATCCATTTTAAGTTTACATTCCAACACTTTTTTTTTTTTTTTCTAGATAGGGTCTTGCTCTGTTGCCCAAGCTGGAGCACAGTGGCATGATCATGGCTCATTGCAGCCTTGACCTCCTGGGCTCAAGTGATCCTCCCTCCTCAGCCTCCCGAGTAGCAATTCAACACTTGATGAATTTACTGAGTTGTGCAAACATCACTACAATGCAATTTTAGAATATTTTTATCACCCCAATAAGATCTCTTGTGCCTGTTTACAGTTAATCCCTATTCCCACCCCAGCTCTAGGCAACTACTTAATCTACTCTATAGGGATGCTTTTTCTGGGTGTTTCATATAAATAGAATCATTCAATATGTGGCCCTTGTGTTTGCTTCTTTCACTTAGCTTAATGATTTTTAGGTCTATCTGTACGGTAGCACATGTCATAACTTCACTGCTCTTTATTGCTGAGTTGTATAGTGTTGTATGGATATGTAAGATTTTGTTTATCCATTCACCGTAGATAGACATGTGTTTGTTTCCACCCTTGCTCTTATGAATAATGCTGCTATGAACATTCCTGTGCAAGTCTTTGTGTGGACATATGCTTAATAGCTTCTTAATTGGTCCTTTAGCCTCCTTCAGGGATCCTGCTTCTGTTCTTGTCCCCCTCCAATCTGTTCTCTACATTGTAGCCAGAGTGATTTTCCTAAAGTGTAAATCTGATCGTGCCATTCCCCTGCTTAAAATCCTTCAGTAGTGCTCAGGTACCCTCAGGGTCAAGTTCAAACTGTTTCAATTGAAGAGTTCACTAAGAATCTTCAAAATTTGGAATCTCTACCTTCCCTCCCCACCTTCTCTTTCACTATGCCCTCTCTCTATTTTCTTGCTTCAGCCATTTATTCATGTTGTTTCATTCATTCATTTAACATTCATTCATTGAATTAACTAGGCTTAGTGAGGCTCTGGGAGTATAGCGATAGGACAGCCAAATCCTTGCTTTCAGGGAGCTTTCTTTCTAGTGAAAGGCAGATGGTAAACAAGCAAGTCTCAGGTAGTGGTTAAGTGCTGTAAAGAAAATAAAAAAGGATGACGCGATAGTAACTGTGGGAATGATGACTCTCAAATCCGCAAGGCTGTGTGTTCCTCAGAGCCTCTGCTCTATTGCCAGCTGCCTACTTGATATCTCCACTTGGATGTCTAACGGTGGCAAATTCTGGTTTTCATCTGTACTTTAATGTGATTTTTCTCACCCAGGAGCACTTTCATCCTACTGCATCTCTTCCTATCTTTTACTCCTCCTTACCTTGTAAATCTTCCCTAATCCTCTGTTCCAGCCCTGCCTTCAAAGCCTGGCTACATGTGCTGCCCATTGTGTTTTCTGTATACTTGCATTACATGCTGACTCACTCAGGTAGCACTCTTCATGTTGTATTTAAATGCCTGATGGTTGTTTATTCTGTTATGCTTTAAGCACTTGATAATTTTGAATACTCAGAGTCTAGCCTAGTTTCTGGCACATAGTTGATCCATCATGAAATCTGTTGAAAGAGCGATTGTATGTGGTTAGCTTTGAACAGGAGGGAGGGAGGGAGGGGAGAGGGAAGGAACACTTTCCTTCGGGACTAGAGGGAGGGAAGGAGCTAAGGCCCATTAATGCATGAATAAGTGTGTAGGATTAGGGGAGGAAAGTTGAAGTTTATATAGCATACATTTCCCCAGAGATTACAATTTTGTGCATAGTATAAAATGAAGAGTGTAGTTATTTATAATGAACAATTAGCAGTGCATTAGAAAAAATAAAGGAGTAGTGCTGTGGGGTGCATCTCGAAATCTTAAAATTATTCTTCCTTCTGGTTTTATGGCTGTTAGATTTAACCTAATTTCTTTAGGGCATTCGTCATATGTATGGATATGGATGACTAAATTACTTGGATGTTATTGCACTGGTTTTTGATCTTGCTGTTTTATAATTGATTTTATTTTGATGTTGCTTTTCCAGCTTTCGGAAAATGTGATTGATCGAATGAAGGAATCCTCTCCATCTGGTTCGAAGTCTCAGCGGTATTCTGGTGCTTATGGTGCCTCAGGTATTGCTGAATTTTAATTTTAGGGTTTTTAGGAGATAAATTATAAGTGGAAAAAGTTGACTCAATAGTCAAGTTCTCTAGCATTCTGTCTTTCGTTATTTAGATGTTTAGCTTTTAATAAGGAATATTAGAAATCAGTATTGGGGTTTCTTTTAAAATGTTTTGTACTAAGAATGAAACTATTTTCAAACAGTCTTTGAAAATTTTGTTTTCTCTTCCCACTCTTGAATCCTCTACTAGGCTTTGGAAAGTTACTTCATATCTTTTTGTGTAAAATGGATTGCTTATAGGGATATTAGAGATTTAGGAATAAATATTTATTTAAAAAATCGAACTTAGAAAATATTGATTTGCTATTTTCAAATTGTGAAGTATTCCAAATGATTTTATTTTCTAATAAATTTCTTCTAAGTTTATAAAAGGTTTAGTTTGTCACAGTCAGTCTTAGTTATTGATGGAAATGTGGTGGTAAATAAAATCCATAAAGAATTATTAAGCCTAATTTTATCTGTAGGTCCTGCTGGATAAGAGACTTAATGCTGTTTCTTCTCCCTTTTCTCTCTCCTGCCACACTCATCTGTTTATCCAGTATTTTACTAAGCACCAGCTATGTGTCCAGCACTGTTCTTGATACTGCCCAGTTGATGGATAGATACGCTATTTATTGTGAAATGGCAACAAGAAAATAATTGGGATGATTAATTTTGGACTAAGTGAGATTTTCCTGTACTTATTAGAAAGGGGGAAATCTGGCTATAGACTGTGAAATTGAGAAAGACGAGATCCTGCCCAAATGCCATTCACTTGGGCCAATTGTGACCCCCCCCGCCCCGCCCCTTACTAATCATTAAGTCAGTAAACATGAATTGAGCTTCTGATACGTTTAGAGGAAAGGGTACCAAGATGAATAAGAATGACTTCTTGCCCCTTTGAAGCTTCTTGTTTAGTAGGAGAGTTGAGGATTCACAGTTAATTAACGCTAGATAGAAAGTGAGCATGCCTTCCTTGTTAGAAACCCTTGTTTTGGCTTCTGGACCACACTCTTGGTTTTCCTTTCACCCTACTTGCAACCCTCAGTCCAGGGTTCTTTGTTGATTTCTACTAAGTAATCTTGTCCCAATATACGGTTTTGAAATCGTTATCTAGATGCCTGTGACTCCCAAAATTATATCTCTAGCCCTGACCTTTCCCTGAAATTCCAGACATTATAATAGACAACTGCCTACTTAAAATCTCCCCTTACAGATTCCTCAACTTGACATATCCCAAATCAACCTTTATTTTCACCCCCAGACTTGCTTTTCTTCTCTGTCTTTCCCACTAAATGGCACAGGTAGTCAGGTCCCCAATTGGGGATTCATCCTTGTTTTCTTTTTTCCTTACACCTTACATCAGACTGTTAGCTAGTCTTGTCAACTCCATCTCTAAAACATGTCTAAATATGTTCCTTTTGCATCTGTCTCCTCTGCTATATCTCCAATCCAGATAGATAACTGTCGTCTTCTGTGGAAGTCTCTTAACTGGCTCCCTGCTTCACTCTTTCCCCCTGTGCTGTGCACACAGAAGTCCTCACAATCTTTTGAAGAAAAGCAAATCAGGTCAAGTCATGTCCCAGTGGTGGCTCTCCATGGTACACAGAATATAGTCTGAGCTGCTTCCCTGGGCTTCCATCATATATCATGACTGGTCCCTCTCTGCCTTCCAACATCATCACATTATTCATCATCTCCTATCACCTTTCCTCTACTTATTCACTGTGACTGCTATCTTCACTAGAAGAGAAGCTCCAGGGACCTTATTCCTCATTTGTTTGTTCACAGCTGAATTCTTAGCTCCTAGGATAGTGTAACCTGCTTCTTAGTAAGTGCTTATTATCGTTTGTTGAATTAATTTAAGGGCATTATCCATTTTAAAAGTAGCTACTTTTGTTCATTCTGGAGAGTTCTATACATTTAATTCAGGTGACATATATTGAATGTTTCTATTATGTAAATAAATAAGCCACGTTTTTATTTTTTTTTTTCTTTTGAGATGGAGTCTCGCTGTCTCCCAGGCTGGAGTGCAGTGGCGTGATCTTGGCTCACTGCAAGCTCCGCCTCCTGGGTTCATGCCATTCTCCTGCCTCAGTCTCCTGAGT
The DNA here is from genome assembly GCF_000001405.40 of Homo sapiens. Lineage (NCBI taxonomy): Eukaryota > Metazoa > Chordata > Mammalia > Primates > Hominidae > Homo > Homo sapiens. The sequence goes on along the minus strand of NC_000007.14, from coordinate 133,068,004 downwards.
AGCTGGGACTACAGGCTCCCACCACCACGCCCGGCTAATTTTTTATATTTTTAGTAGAGACGGGGTTTCACCGTGTTAGCCAGGATGGTCTAAATCTCCTGACCTCGTGATCCGCCCGCCTCGACCTCCCAAAGTGCTGGGATTACAGGCGTGAGCCACCGTGCCCGGCCAAGCCAGGTATTTTGAAAAGATGCAAAAATAGGAAAAAGTTTTTTTTGACAGATAAACTACATATATAACAAGACTGTAAGGGAGGTAGAAACATAGTATAAAAGAAACCTAGGAGATACTGAAAATAAGTTTATCAAATATTTTGGCTTAAGAAGATGCCTTGTCGTGCAGAAACAAATGGCTGTCCAGTTTATTAAAATGCCCAACAACTGCACTTCCAGTCACTCGGGTCTTGCATATAAATACCACTGCATACAGTGAGCACATCTAGCTGATGATAAATATACCTTTGCTTCCTCCTCTTCCTCAAAATGGTGAATCTGTTCTTATCTACATGTATGAACTTAAAATACGGAAAATGTTAAGGGAGCAAATGGTTTGTAACTTTGTAAGTACTTATGACGTGTATCTTTTTGCTTATGAATATTCTGTGCTATAACCATTGTTTCTGTAGTTTAATTAAAACATTTTCTTGGTGTTAAAAAAAGAATGATGATATATGGATACATTTAAAATTGGAATTTGTTCTAAAGTATGATTTGTTGTAGGTAGATTTTTTTTCCTACCTCCTGTGTTACGGAGTTAGCGTGATGATCATGATGATTCAATATACTGAAGTAATGATAGATGACACTTAAAATTTATTACATTGTAGGTACTCTGCTAAATCCTGTGTACGTCTTATCTCATTTCATCCTTATAACCCTATGAAGAAGGACCTGTGATAACCCATTTTATGTAGAAAGAAACTGAGACTTGAAGTGATTAATTATTTTGCCCAAAGTCACACAGCTGGTGAGCAATGGAGATGAGAGTTACATTCAAGTTTGTCTGACTCCAGAGCAAATGCTGTTAACCACTTTGTCTTATTTTAATTTGAATGACATCTTGCTTTAGAAAGGACGTGATAGAAACTAGTTGGAATGAAGGAGCTGCTTTTTAGTGATGTTCTGCTTGAACTAAGGAAAGAACCCGTTGTCTATAAGTAATTGTTGGTTGTTCTAGCTTTTTCCCATATTGGCCTGAGTGGAAGGAGAGAAAATGTTTTCTCTCTTGGGTTGTTTTGATATTTCGAGAGAGTGGGGATGGGTCGGGAGGTTTTCTATGAGTGCCTGTGGTGTGTCTGGCCCGAAGAGCATGCCACTGATGTGAAGAGTTCTGGCTTTGCTGAGGGACCCATCCCTTCTCACTCCCCATTTGAAATGACTGATGAACTCTTTGGTCCATGACCAGCTGTGACCAGCCTGGGCACTGAAAGCTCTTAGAATGCCATCTTGTGGGCCAGGCTTGGTGGCTCATGCCTGTAATCCCATCACTTTGAGAGGCTGAGGTGGGAGGATCACCTGAGGTCAGGAGTTTGAGACCAGCCTGCCTAACATGGTGAATCCCTATCTCTACTAAAAATACAAAAAATAGCTGGGCGTGGTGGCACATGCCTGTAATCCCAGCTACTCAGGATACTGAGGCATGAGAATCGATTGAACCTGGGAGGCGGAAGTTGCAGTAAGCCGAGATTGTGCCACTGCACTTCAGCCTGGGCAACAGAGTGAGACTCCATCTCAAAAAAAAAAAAAAAAGTATGCCATCTTGTGTTTTAGTGGTCAGGCTAGAACTACACTTTCCAAATGGTAGCCACTAGTCACATGTGGCTCTTAAAAGTTAAGTGAAAATTAAGTCGATCAAATGAAAACTTTAGCTCTGAAGTTGCACTCTTCACATTTTATGCTCAGTAACCGCATGTGGCTTTTGACTACCATATTGGAAAGTGTAGATATAGGGCATTTCTATTATTGCAGACAGTTCTGTTGCATAGCTCTGATCTGGAACACACCAGTGCTTTTTATTTTCTATCTGCACCATGATGTGAAAAAGACTCAACAAGGCTCATAGGACAGGTTCTTTGAGTACATGATTTCTCTCACCCTTTCCAACCTAACCCAAGAAAAGAACTAAAATTTGGCATGCTATTTTGAAATGATCTTGCTTTAGGTTAAGAATGCAATTCAACTATGTGTAAATTAACAAAGATTTATTCTTCTTAGAATTAAAAAAATAGGCTTATAAAAGCATGAAGCTTGAACATTTATGTTTTGTTCTGAGTTTGTCTCATTTAGGAGTTTTAGTTAGTACTCAATAATAGATTTCTTAGGATTTAAAATTTAGATGTGTTATGAAATAATTTTTCAAGCCTACAAAAATGTATTGATAAAAATGTCACTCGCCTTTTTTACATTTTTCAGTGTGAAGTAAATTATATATTAAATGTGAGTTAAATTTTAAGTATTTATTAAAAAGCCTTCTTTCTCACAGGACTCTTAGTCATACCAGCCCTAGGCTATTCATATGTGTGAATATAGGGCAGTGTATTTGATGAACTGAGAGCCCTAGGATTTCTGTATATAGGAACTCAATTTTGTCATAAAAATAGTTTTGAGAATACATTTTATACTATAAGAAAGTGGGTTCCTCTGAAGACTTTACTGAAACTTTTTTTTCATAAAAAATATAATTTTTTTGCTAAACCTTGAACCAGATCAGTGGCTCGTTGCAGTAAGTATTCGCATGTAAAGCTGTTTGGGCAAAATAATATACTGTGTGACACACAGCAGATTGTAATGCCACTTTAATAAATGAATGTGCTCTCAATAACTTAACTGTGTCCTTGCTGCCTCAATTTTTTTGCTGCGTTATCTCAACTATATTGGTTTGCTTTTATACCAGATAATTTTTTTCTTAGGCTGACATAAGGAGATGTCATTGCATATAGTTATAAACTTACCTTTTCATTAACATCTTGCATCTTTTGATTTTAAAAAATCAATTTTGGGTGCTGATTGTTTCCTTTCAACCTGATCTTTTAGTTTTTCTGGCTTATAATGAGGTCAGACCTCTCATGGTTGACCCTACCTACCGCTGAAGAATCTGTCCCCAAATCAATATGAAGAAACAGACAGGAAATGATATTAGGAGATGTTTTGTTGTTTTCGTAAGCTACTGGCAACCAGATAAAAATGATGAATCTGGAAAAAAACAAGACAAATGACCTAACTTTTATTATCATCCTCACTGTAGAAGTTTCTCTGTAAATTTCTCGTCATTGTGAAAAATAAGAAAGATTTGCCAGTTTGTGTTAAGTATATCACTGAGATCACTAAGTATTTGGCAGCCTTAACAAATTGCAGGAAACCAATTTGAGCAGGAAATAACACAGCCTAAACTAAACAGCCAATTTTGGGAAACAGATTCATGTATAAGTTCTGTGTATTTTTCTCCCAGAATCTGGCCCTCCTAGTTATTTTTAAACAGCTCTTTAAGGCTCATTTAGACATAACACTGTAGGGAGAGTTCAGAGAAAATAAGCTTATTCCTTTGACTCGAGTTACAAGAACTGAACATCTAGGTTTCCAACTTTTAATATGTGAAACTTTGTGGATGCCAGTGTCTCAACTGTGTACTTTTTTTGTGGGCTGTAATGGTTGATTTGCCTGACTGTTCCTAATAGTAAGAAACCTAATTGCTATTGAATTAAAGGCATTAAATCTAATTCTCTAAGTCAGCATATTCTGCTCTGAAAAAGAAATCTGCCAACAGTCTAGGGTTGAAGAACTCATGGTTGGTTCCATCAGTCAACAAGTGTTAGCATGGCCGCCATCTTTGACCTTCAAGGAATTACTAGTTTGGTCAAAGCATATTTAATGTTACAGTGTAGTGAATGAGTACTAGTTTAGTCGCCTCCTCTGTTAATATTTTTGAGAAGGTGAATCAACATGTGAGTGAGATAGAATGTATAAGAGGTATGGAAAGTGCTTTAGGAATTTAGAGAAAGAGTGTCAGGAGCTTTGGCAGGCAGGCCTGGCATCAGGGGAAGTGAACTTGAGCCAAACTTGAGGCTAAGAGGGATGGGAGGGGGGTTAGAGTAGAAGGTAATCCTGGTAGAGTTAGCACACAGACCAGATTAATTCAGATAAAGGTTTCTTGTAGGGTCTCATGGGTGGGTAGGTTGAAGTCAATGAGTTTAATTCTATCCTATAGGGCCTGGGCAGCTTCAGAGCTGTTCTATCTCATTTTAGGATGCAAGTCTGGAAAGTTACATTAGTTGTGCCTTCAGATATACCCAGATATTAGTAACATTTTTATTCGTAAAGATATAGTGCTGGTTTTCTTATTGATATTTTTATATCCAATAAACAAATCCGAGTGGTAAGAATATGTATTTTCCACCATAGTACTAAATAAAACCATTTTCATCTTCAGTTAAGTAAAGAAGCAGCCCCATAAGCATTTTTGTTTGTCCGTAATTGGCCCTATTGCAGAAAGAAAGAAAGAAAGTTGCCCTCAAATGCGTGAGACAGCATGGCAGGCTAGGGTGTAACAGATGAGTTCTGAGCAGGGAAGGTGAATGAAGCAAGTGGATCCTTGGAAAGATAAGGTAAAGAAAGGATGTTAGTTGGAAACTAGCAATCAGGAAGGTCAGCTGCTGCCTGGTCTAGGTAGAGTGGCAGGGCAGAGGAGGGCTTGGCTGGATATGGTAACTACTGCTCCATGGATGGGTAGTGACAGTCCTTGACTCACGCTTCAGTCCTTTTCTCCCCAGGCCTAGGACACCTTTTCTCTGTGCTACTTGATTCATCTCTATGTTGGATTTATTTTTGAGAATCCAGAAAACCTTTAGGCTGACTTTATTTTAAAATTGAGAGGAGGGCATAGAAAACTTCCTTTCTTGTCATTAGCAATGTGTTTTGTATTCCGTGGTATTTTAGAATGGTCAAAAGGGAGTCACACAAAGAAAGTGCTGCAGTGGGAGAGAGAATGAACTAGAGATAAAGCTTGGTAGGTTCTGAAACATCAGTGAGTTACATCTTCCGATCGTTTTCTGTGACTAGGAACTTCCACCCATTGATTTCCTAGTTAACGGATTAACCACTGGCTTCAGCTGCTTTATATTATGTCTTCAGAGGTCCCTGCCCTTGTTACTGCAGGGACTTTGCATTGGTGCTTCTAGGTGGTATGAAATCAAGTGGGCCGGACACTCCCTACTTGCCCCTAAGTTACTAGAAAGAAGCAACTGTTTTCTTAGGTAGGTTGTATAATGTAGATTAGAAATATAGTAATGTCGTGGAGTCACAGTACTCAGGAGCTGGAAGTTAACTCGGGAGTTATGACCTAGTAATTTCAATGACAGCAGAGAAAAAAGACGCTGTTTTAAAGAAGCTCCCCATTTTTGCTGCTGTAGATTCTGGACACTAACTTTAAATGGAATTATGGGATAGTGGATTGTATTTTCTCACAGAACAAGTGTTGTTATTTGTCATAACCAAGCAAATCATGGGTGTCACCAAAACTATATTAAGAAAACTAGATAAAACAGTGATATAAATTTTGTAATCATGCTTCAAGATTTGTGAAATAAAATACGGCATTGGTTAGTCAAGCAAAACTAATAGAATATAAAGCATAGGACATATACTTAGCAATACTATTTTTGATTTAAATTTCATACATTTGTTGTAAACAATATTAACAATATTTTTGCCTTTCTTGGAATTTGACAGATTTGAGAGCATCATCTGGATGGCCCAAATCTCTTATAATAAGTTGCCCAAGGGAGTTTCAAATGTACATTTTCCTATTGCAAGCAGAGAGGTTCAAAATCAATCCATTGACTTTCCAGCTGTCAGCCAAATAGTAGGTTATTGTTGTTGATGATCTTGTTTTTCCTTGTTAAAAAAAAAAAAAATTTAAAAGTAAGGTCTGACCCAGCATTTCATTTCTTTCCTTTACCCTCTCCTGCCTCCCTGGTTTATTCAGAGTCACTCCTATAGTGTTCTGTATTAGGCCAAATCAGTGCTACCAGGGAACAGTAAGTGCTTTTAAGTCCCCCTTTTAAACCTTCTCTGCCCCCAGGGCTACTTGACACTTTGTTGACAGCTGTCACTGTACTTGAGTATTCCTTGAAAAGCCTCGGGAACCCATGTGGATCATTATAGAAGGATCTCCAAACTTTATCACCGAATTGCTATGGCATGCTTATGACAATATTCTGGTTCTATATGCCCTGCTTCCCCTGAATGAGTGGTTGATTGAAATATGGGTTTTAATTAGCCAGCATCAAATGATTGGAGCTTGAAATTACTTTCAGTTACAGGGTAGTCATGATAACTCACATTACTATAAAGATACAAGGTGTTTGAAACATCTGACAGATTGCAGGGTGGGCAAGTACACGGCTGCCAGCAACCAACCCCTGTGTACTCACTGTGTTGGCAGGACTTCTTTCCTTTGTCAGCTGAGTGAGTGCAGCTGCTTTCCTCCTCACTTCATGCACATGCACCTTGCTCTTTTCTCATAGGGTTTTTTTTTTTTTTTGCTTGTCCACACCCATCATTGCTATAGTCCTGCAAGGGTCACTCGCAGACCTTGTCTGTATTTGATGAGTAGCAGTAGAGCCTTGCTCTGCATTTCCCAATTTATTATGTTACGCTTTGCAGTTTCTCCCATCCCTGGTGTCATTGCCCTAGTCTGGCCACCATTATCTTTTTCCTGCATTACCCTGACAGTCTCTTGCTTGGGGTCCCTGCCTTTAGTCTTGCATTCCCCGGTCTATTCTCACTGCAGCCCTAGTTTCTTTCCAAAGCATGAAACTAATCATGCCATTCCTCTGTTAGAAACTTGAGCCCTCCACCCCACCCCGGCCTTCCTCTTAGGATGCAGCCCAAATCTCTTACATAGCCAGCAAGGTCCTGTACAATCCATCTCCTGCTCGAGTCTTCTCTGGGAATCTCATGGGATTGAGCCCAAATACTGCTTTTGTACAAGACCTTGCTGGCAGACAGACCTTTGTCTGTTGTGTTGAACTTCTTTGTCTAGTCATATTGTAGTTCTTGTATATCCTCAGACTTATCCTTTTGAGTTTTTTTATTTTTGAGTTGGAGTTTTGCTGTTGTTGCCCAGGCTGGAGTGCAATGCCTCAATCTTGGCTCACTGCAACCTCCACCTCCCAGGTTCAAGTGATTCTCCTGCCTCAGCCTCCCGAGTAACTGGGATTACAGGCTCCCGCCACCACGCCTGGCTAATTTTTTGTATTTTTAGTAGACATGGGGTTTCACCATGTTGGCCAGGCTGGTCTCGAACTGCTGACGTCAGGTGATCCACCCATCTTGGCCTCCCAAAGTGCTGGGATTACAGGCCTGAGCCACCGCACCCGGCCTCCTTTTGGGTTTTTGACCGTGTTGTTCCTTCTGTCTGAATACTGTTCCACCTTCTAGCCCTGCCCCACTGCTATCTCACCTCTTACCTGCCTTTTGTCTAGCAAACTCCTGCTCATTGTTCAGATCCCTGCCTAGAAACCACTTACCCCAGGAAACTTTTAATGACACCCAGTCCTGGTGAGATGCCCCACCTGTGTGGGCCTGTGGTACCTGTGCACGTCTCTCGTAGCACACGTCACGTGGTTCTGCCATTGCCCGTTACACACCCCTCTCCTCCAGATCCCATAGCTTCTATTTTCTCATTGGTCCTCCCAGGACCTCCTCTTCTGGCACTTCCTTCAGCACTCCCCCTTGCTTTGGTGCTGAGCTCTCTTTGCCAAGGCCGTTATAGAACTGTGTGTGTTTGCTGCAGGTAAACATTGACCTGTTGAGACCAGATAATTAGGCAAAGCAGGAAAAGAAGAAGTCTCAGAGGGTCGAGGAGATTTCCTTCAAGAGCCATTTCCTCATTTTCTCAGTGTGGACTTTCCAAGTTGATACCATTTTGAAGAGTTTCCTTTTCTTGTGTTACTAATTCTCTTTAGTACTGATCCTTGTAATAGTATGTACTTCATTGTGTTACAATTACATGTTTACTTGTCTGTTTTTCCCATTTGATTATGAGCCTTTGAAAGAAGTGTATGTTCGCTTCCCATGTTCTGTACGCTCAGCCACAGTGACCGTATTATAAAGTTAGGTGCCTCATAAATGTTTGTGGAATGCGTGAGCTAAAGCAAATCAGATAATGAAGCCTGATATGTACAAGTGCCTGTGTCCACTAAGAGGCAAGCAGGAAAAGGGGTCTTTCTCTTAGGTTGGTTCCACTGGGCATGGGTGTGAGTGTCTTCACCAGGCTCCTGATGGTGCTTATACAATGCCAGTTTCAGGTCTCAATCGTAGCAGACCCAAGGAAGCCCTTTTGGAAGAGGCACTTTCTTGAGTACCATCTGGGGAAAAGTACGAGTCTGTGGAGGAGTGGCTAGGGAGCGGGGCTCTGGATTTGGAAACATTGATGTGGAGGTTCATGTCCTCCTCCTAGTTACTAATTTAGTTTAGAAAGGAAATCATCTGTGTAGACTTGACAAGTTTTGGTGAGTGCTGTAGTGAGTTGGGATTTTCCCTTCTCGGACCCTCCCGCTCTCAGTTCCTGCTACCCTCCTCACTTTCCTCCTCCATTGGGTCGAAGTTAATCTGACATTAGTACCTTTGTCCCCTGGAATTTTAGGCTAGGAGTTTTAGGTGAGGTTTGGTTAGGGTGTCTAGAGGTAGGTCCCTAACTTGGAAACCAAGTTACCCCTGGCTTCCTTTTCTAGTAGAACCCGCTGCTCTCTTCCTGTTGTCAAAACTCTGGGACACTTGAGAGTGGAGCTTTTCTTCACTCTATCTTCTCCTGTGTGGCTTTTCTCGTGTCTGATCTCAGCTTCTCACTTGAGGATCATGACTTATTTTCTTCTTGAAAGAGTGGTCTTTCTGCCATCATTCATTTCCTCAAGCCTCTGAGGCCTGCTCTTTGAAGTCTAGGGACTTTGGTGTCTGGAAGCCCAGGAAGGTTGCGGTTTGGTTTGGCTTCTGGGTAGGGGTTGGAAGGAAGGTCCAATGCTTGGGCCAGTCCTCCCAGTGTGGGGACGACTGGGAGATCAGGGAGCTAGCTCAGGGAGCTCCCCGTGTGCTCAAACACACAGAAGCATCTGAGGAGCCCTAACTAATAAAGAGCTAAGAAAACCTCTAGAATTTGCTTTAGCTCATATGGGCTTTTACCCAGTGCTTCCTTTTCACCTCATCACCGTGTGCTACAGTCACAGGGAATGCGTATAATGATGTCGGATTGGCTTCATTTGGTAGTTACGCTAAATTCTTCAGATGCAATTTGTTTTTTTGTTGACATAGTGGTCATCTCATGACTTTAAACAATAAGATAAAATATTGATTGCTGTGTGTCAGTTTTGAGAATGGATCTGAGGAATGAAATGAAAATCAGTTATTAAAATCAGGATAAATTTGATTTAAATCAAAAATATTAAAGCAGCATTTAAGGTCAACAGCTCCCCCAAAAACATTGTTTTGTTATGCAACCAGCTAGGTTACGGATTCTGAATATCATCCTTATAATCATTTAAACAAATTATTTTAACAAAATACCTCTGGCAGCCCTCAATTCATTTCCCTTCTTGAAACTTGTACTTTTTGGTGTGATGGCTCAGGCCTGTAATCCCAGCACTTTGGGAGACCAAGGCAGGAGGATCCCTTGAGCCCAGGAGATCGAGCTTGGAAGTGTACTATGTTTGCATCCCTGCACTCCAGCCTGGGTGACAGAGTGACACCCCATCTCAAAGAAAAAAAAAAAAAAGAAACTTGTGCTTTTAGCAAGAAGAGATGGCTTTAACTGTGCATGCATACTTACAGTAAAAAATAAGGCCAATCACCTGTTTCTTTTTCCTTGGTAGGAAAAATGAGGCCAGCTAAGCAGCTTTTGTTTAATTTTGTGGGACAGCAAAGATACTCATTGAGCACAATATGTTTCTTTAATTTTTCTTAATAACATGTTGTCTTCTCTGGGAATCTGATGGGATTGAGCCCATACACTGCTTTTGTGAAATTTTTTAAAACTTTTCTAAAAATGTTGCTTTAATATTCCATCTCAGAAACTTTTGAGAGTGGGCATTATAAGATTATGGGAAGTTATAATCCTGTTTTCATGATTCTTTGACCTTTGACATATTTTATTTTTTTAATAAATCTTTAAAGAAAATTAAATATATGTATGTGTATAATGAAAAAGTATTTTTGCTCAAGCTTGATAAACATACAAATAATAAATTTTTCCTCTAATTATTTTTTCCTGTCCTATTAAACATACCTCTACTGACATAGGCACTATTTCATAACCCGTGTTCATCTTTTTTGCAAAAATGACATTTACAAAAGTGATGACATAAAACTTGTTAAAAATGGTGATTTTAAAAATTGTTCATGATTGATTATAGGACTTTGAGCTGAAACCTTTTTTCTTTTTTTTTCTTTTTTTGAGACGAGGTCTTACTGTATCACCCTAGCTGGAGTGCTATGGTATGGTAATGGCTCACTGCAGCCTTGAACTGCTGGGCTCAAGGAGATTCTCCTATCTCAGCCTCCTGAGTAGCTGGGACTACAGGCAGGTGCCCCCACACTGCCAATTTTTAATTTTTTTTGTAGAGACAGGATCTTGCTATGTTGCTCAGGCTGGTCTCAAACTCCTGGCTTCATTCCATCCTTCTGTCTCAGCTTCACAAAGTGCTGGGATTATAGGCATGAGCCATTGAGCCTGGCCTGAACTGAAACTTTTTAAGGCTATGTTATATTTTGATTGAGAACTACCTTTTTCTCTCCATCCAAGTAAAATTCTTTTAGTTGAACAAACACCTCCCTATTCCCAGCCCTGCAGCATCATCTGTGATGTGCCTCAATAGGTGTAACTTGAACCAGCCGAACCAGACCCAATTGCAAAGGCCAACTGAAATCACCATCTGTGCTTTACTGGCAGTGATGTAATGTGATTGCATGCTTTCAGAAATAGGGCTACAGAGGAAATGAACCCCAGTTCTTCACATGGGAAATGGAAAGGTGGTAGTTAAATCACCACTGAATAGAGGAGAGAGAGAGAGAGTGAGCTCATGTGGTGTATATTTAGTGTTCAAAGGGCTTTTGCCATTTAATAGTTGTGTGATCATGGACAAGTTGTCTCATTTTTCTTCAGAATAAAATGGGGAGACTAATGCCAATTTCTCATGGTTGCCATGGAGACTAAATGAGAAAATATACAGGTGCTGAGTGAAATATAGCAGGTGATCACTAAGTATCCTTTTCTTTTTTTCTTCTTTAACACAGAAGCATCCAGGGCCATAACTTCACTGCCACCTTTTACCTGTTCCACATTGACTCTTGCCAAGTGAACTACTTTCTGTCTACCCTCTTTGGCTTTCATTTGGTTTTCTGTGCCCTTGTTCCAACAAACATTTATTTATTTATTACTGGCTATGTGCCAGACACTGTACTAAGTGCCAGAGTTTCAAAGATGAATAGGTCAGAGATGTGACTGCCGACTAACTCTGCATAGGGCGGTCAGGGCAGACTTCAGGAAAGGGGTGGTGATGATGTTTGAGCTGAATATTGAAGGAGGAATAATAGGAGTTTACCAATCAGACATGATGGAATTGGTGGTGGGGGCGAGGAGGAGAAAGGGCATTTCTTGGGAGAAGGATGATGTGCGATGATGGGTGCATTGGTTACAGTCATAAAGGGCTTGGTGATTTCTGTGAATTATAACTAGTTATATTTATTTGAAATGCACGTACTTGGTGGGAGATGAGGTTACAAGGAGTAAATACGAATAGACTGACAAAGCTAAGGAGTGGGGATTTGCTTCTATAGTAAATGGCTCTAACCCTACATTTTTTTTTTTTTGAGGCATAGTCTTGCTCTGTTACCTAGGCCGAATGCAGTGGTGTGATCATAGATCACTGCAGCCTTGACCTTCTGGGTGCAAACAATCCTCCCTCCTCAGTTTCCTGAGTAGTTTGGGTTACAAGTGTGTGCCACCACCACATTTGGCAGACTTTTTTCTTTTTTGTAGAGACGGGGTCTCACTCTGTTGCTCAGGCTGGTCTCTAACTCTTGGGCTGAAGTGATTCTTCTGCTCAGCCTCCCAAAGCACAGGCGTGATTACAGGTGTGAGCCACTGCCCTGGCTCTATCCTTACATCTTTATACTATTTTTAATTAATATATATGTGTGAGTATGGTGGGGGAGGAGTGAGGGAGAGATATCACCTCCAAAGTCACCTCAACAGAACTTTTCTTGATCCTATTTGCCTTCCTCTAAACTCACATGACATTTTATCTATATTTTTCTCTTGGCAGTCAGTATTTTATGTATACACACACATATAATTATATATAATTAACTATAATATAATTAAATGTATAACACATGTTATAATTAATTATAATTTGATATATAACACAATTATATTAGAATTAATTATAATAAATACATAATAATTATAAACAATTATAATTAAATATGTAACAATTATATTATAATTAATTATAATAAATATATAACAATTATAATTAATTACATAACATAATTATAATTAATTATAATAAATACATAACAAATATAATTATGATTACTATATAACATAACTATTATAATTATATAACATAATTATAATTAATTATAATCAAATATATAATACAACTAATTATAAATATATAACAATTATATATAATATATTCAACTAATTATTCTAATTAAATAGATAATATAATTATAATTAATTATAATATATAAGTATATTATAAACATATAAGTATATGCAAAATTATATGTGTATATTTTATATACATATCATTATATATTAAGAATACATAATTTTTGTTTTTTTAAAGAGATGAGGTCTCACTGTTTTTCCCAGGCTGAACTCAAACTCTTGGGTTCAAGTGATACTCCCACCTCAGCCTTCCAAGTAGCTGGGATTAAAGGTGAGTGCCACCATGCCAGGCCCCTCTACATTTTAAAAACGGTTACTTATTTATAACTCTGTTAGCACCTTTACTATACATTAAGCTCCTTGTGGGCAGAAGGCATACCTGAGAGCCCCTGGTTCCTTTGTGACCCATATGGCATCTGTCTGACCTGTAGAAGGTGCTCAAGAAACACTTGACAATGGAATGAATGAATGGATGGGCCTGTGATCATCCCCAGCTTCTTCAGAATACTTTCCACTTCAAAAACATGTTTGATGAAAGCAGTCAGTCACAAAAGACCACATACTAAATGATCCCATTTATAGGAAATGTCCAGTATAGGCAAATGTATAAAGAGCAGAAGTGGTGGTTGCCTAGGGCTGGGGTGGTGGTGGTGGTAACAAGGATAGGGAGTCACTGCTGATTGTTGCACAACTCTGAGGATATACTAAACACCATTGCATGGTACTTTAAATGGGTAAATTTTATGTTATACACATTTTGTGTCAATAAAGCTTTTGAAATACTTTTGAAATTTTGTCAAATTTTAACAAAAGTATCTTTAAATGCATTTTTTTCCTGTTTTTATGTTTACCGTATATACATAGGGACTTGCATTATATAATATTTATTGTTATTTTTTGAAGTTTGGACTGGGAGCTCATAGCATGTGCTTTGGGACTTCATTAACCATTTCAGAGATGCAAGGCAGTGTGAGAGGGAATTCTTGTGAGCCTATGCAGAATGACCTCATTCTCTCTGTCAGAGAAATACTGCACTAAGTTATTTTAGTATTAGCAGAATGTCGTTGTTGGATATATTTGGACAGTATATTTTTGTTTCAAGTCATTGAAGAAGTTTGTCTTCATGGAGTAATATATTGCTTTATCTTAATAAATAGGCATAGCATTGGCAGAAGTACAAGGAATGGTGCTATTTTTCTGTCACCTTCAGAATGAAGAGGTAGGTATAGTTTGTTTTTTAGCCTGTTGATCTTGTACTTCTCATTAACAGGTACTTTATTTTTAAAAGTATGTTTTACATTAAAATAGCATTTGTGCACTAATGAAGCAATACTTATTAATAAAACATGCCCTTAGATAAATTGTTTAATGCAGTTTTCTTTTTTCTTCCACATTGTGGGGACTAGTGGTTTCTGTGTTGATGAAAGAGCAGGGAGCATCTTTTCTTGTGTGTTCATTCATGCAAAATTTTGCCCTCTTGAAAAATGAACAAAGATCATAGCCAGAAGGTATTTATCATGCAGTTAACCACAAGAAATCTTGAATGAGATCATCATCAAGTAACTTAAATAAAACAGTTATTTTCTGACACTTTATCACCAGAGTCATTCTTTAGGACACTTAGCATTATTATGTATGCATTTTTCTTTTTCATATAATTGCCAACTATTTTGAAGAATGGGATGCTTCAGATTAACGTCTTGGGAGGGAGACACAATCTACTTGACCCTGATTTAAAGGAATAGTGGAAGTGGGTGGTTCTTCACCACACATGTGATTGTTACTAGGGATTCTTCATAGACTCTGTCATAGCAAAAGTATTATATTTGGCTTCTCATGACGTGTCCCGTGACTAGCAGAGTGTTGCTCAGTGGAATGGCTTGGGCTGAATCAGTAGGTCTTTCCAAGTATAAATTTGAGTGCTCACTAGACCAGAGAGAGGCAGAGGCGTCAGGATTTGGTGGGAGATTCTCTGAGTGTTGCAAATAGTCCCCATCCCTCCTGTGCATGACCCAAGAGTTTGCTCTGAGACACCTATTGAATAAATGGCCAGCCAGCACTGTGGTTAGGTGAAAGGAGCACGAATATTGATAGATATTTAAGCCCTGACGTGACTGAGCCTGGCCTTCAGCTTTGCCTCTTACTATATTTGTGATGTCCAAGAGTGACAGGGGCTAACATAGCTATAAATAAGCAACTATTAAGAAATTGTAAAAAGCAGTGACTGCCAAGAGAAAAATATAGAGAAAATGCCGTGTGAATTTGGAGGAAGTTTAGAGTGATAGGAGCTGTGTGCCAAAGCCACTAGTCTTTCTTGGGCAATTCCCATTATGGAACAAAGGGATCCAGAATGCATTTTCCCAAAGAAAGAATGAGTACAGATGAAATATTGTTGTTAGAATAATTCTTCAGGCTTATCATGGGTTTTTGGGTTAACTTGGAAACCCAAATAGCATTTTACTTTTTAATGACGAATATACAAATGAGCTATGGCACCCCTGAAGAGTTGGCATGGTTTTCCATAGCTGCGGTCAAGGTTGGCTCCTTTCTGTACAGGTTTTCCATATGTCTTGTGAGAGGGTTTGAAATATCAACTTTGGATTCCAACATCTGAGTTCAGTTATTGTCTCTATGCAGTTTTGATTACAAGCAAACATTTGTATACATACAAATGTGTGTCTGTGTATGTGTGTTTGTCACTTAAGAAAATAATGTGTCAACCACAGATATGTTAGTATGAGCATTTTAACAGTTCGTTAGTCACTGAAGTTTTTTTGCAGTACAGGCTAATGCCAAAGGCAAGCTTTCTCCTGCTTGCTGTTTTGCCCAGGGCTGGCATGGCTGGTCAGTGACATCAAGGGATTGTAACAATTCACTTTTATAATAGTTGATATAATTTTGGTTGGCTTTTGTTTATTCACTATTTCAAGTATGATGGTGGTGGTTTTTTGTTTTTGCTTTTCTCTGCTTCAAAGCTATCAACGATTGCATTCCTCTCCTCCACTAAACTTTATGTAGGAGGGAGGGAGGATTTAGTACCTGCACATGGAAATACTTTGATGCTGTGTCGGGTCATTTTTCAGGGAGACAGAGGCCAGAGTCTGTGAAGGTCTGTAGCTGCAGAATGGTTAGCACAGAGGCAATTGATACAATGAGGGGGCTCAGGTTTTGGGACCAGCCAGCCCTGAGTCACCATGGGGCTCTTTATAACATTGGAATAATACTTAACTCAGGGCTAACCTAATGCCTAGAACATTGTAGAATCAGTAGAGACTAAATTGGCATGGTATTGGATTGCTGACTAGAAATACTTCTATCTCAACCTTATAACCAACTGGCTGTTTTACCTTGGGTATGTTTCTTTATTTCTCTGGGCCTTAGTGTTCTTATCTGTCAGATGGTGGAATGGACTGTTATCTCTAAGATTCCCTTGATAGATTCTGAGCTTTTTAGATAAGAACCATTTTCATTCGTCTTTGTTTCCTAACACTGCGATTATACTTGGACAAAACATTTTTTTGAACGAATGATTAGATTTGCAGCTATAGTTATATAGCTACATATAGTTATAATTATGAGCTTATTTGTATATGTCTGTGAACATTTATAAATGAGAATTGTCTTTTTTTGAGGTTATCCTCAAGCAGCCTGAAATGCAATTTTATCTCTAAATGTTCATTCATACATATACATATGTGTGTATGCCTAGAACTAATATATAAAATTTAAAAATTAGAAAAAAATAAAAATGATCAAGGTGCAAGAGTATACGTTTAAACAAATCTATTGCTTTAGAAGAATTTATTTATGTTGCATTATTTGGATATGATGCTTAGAATAACTTGGCTAGTAGAAAAATGCTGTTGGCAGCTTCTAGGTTTAAAAAAAGCACCCCAGAGAATTAGGGAAAAAATAGTAGTTAAAAGGGTACTGTCAAGGTTGGTAGGTCTAAATTTAACAGAGCAGCTGTGTTTTGGTTTGGAAGGGTGTGTGTGTCATGCTATCTCCCCGCGCTGTTTGCTTGCCCTGTTATGAGGCAGAAACATGTTATAATGGAGATAGAGATCCTGCCTTTTGAAATGCAGCCTCAAGAAGTGGCTGCTTGAATGTTGCAGTGCCCCCACTGGCTTACAAGAACCTTGTCAGTGTTTGGAGAAGTTTAAAGCTAGCAGGTGTAATTGTTGTTATGCTTTCTGGCTTGGCTGTGGTCTTTTTCTGAAGGAACTCTTCAAGAACATTGAGCAGTATTCTCTGTGCTTGAAATATTGTGTTTTATTGCATTTAAGATGCCAGTAATTATAAGATTTTATTTTATTTTTTGAGATGGAGTCTTGCTCTGTCACCCAGCCTGGAGAGCAGTGGTTCAATCTCAGCTCACTGCAGTCTCTGCCTCCTGGGTTCAAGTGATTCTGGTGCCTCAGCCTCCTGAGTAGCTGGGATTACAGGCACGTTCCACCACGCCTGGCTAATTTTTTGTATTTTTAGCAGAGACAGGGCTTTGCCATGTCGGTCAGGCTGGTGTCAAACTCCTGACCTCAAGTGGTCTATCTCCCTCATCCTCCCAAAGTACTGGGATTACTAAAGTCATGAGCCACTGCGCCTGGCATATTTTTAAGATTTTATGTTCCACTAAGAAATAACCTTGACAGTTAAGCTGTGATAAAGTGCTTTCCTATCCATTAGAATATTCATTTTATGTTTATTGGAGTTGTTCTATCTATGTTCATAAATAAAAAGGAAAATTTAAGTGAAATGAATTGGTAGCAATATTCTTGAAGCTTACATTCAGAGCCCAAGTCTTCTGAATCATTTTCTGCCTCCATGTTGTCCATGTGAGTGTTTTTTCCTATACTGTCACCCTGTGTGCCATTAAGAGTGGTAGTAATGTAGCAGTTGTTAAAAAGTGTGCTCTACTGTCTATCCTGGAATTTTCTTCCAAGCTGCTGACTCTCATTCTGCATTTTTTTTTTTTTTTTTTTTTTTTTTTTTTTTTTTAAGACACAGCCTCCTCTGTTACTCAGCTTAGGTACAGTGGCAAGATCTTGGCTCACTGCAACCTCCACCTTTCGGGTTCAAGCAATTCTTGTGCCTCAGTCTCCTGAGTAGCTGGGATTACAGACATGCAGCACCACACTAATTTTTTGTATTTTTAGTAGAGACAGGGTTTCACCATGTTGGCCAGGCTGATCTCGAACTCCTGGCCTTAAGTGATCCTCCCGCCTCAGCCTCCCAAAGTGCTGGGATTACAGGCATGAGCCACCACGCCTGGCCCTTCATTCTGCATGTTTTGATGCTACTGCCTTCTTGATCTCACATAGATAATGTCATGAACTATGTTATGACTACCACCTGGCCCACAGTGACAGGAAGATACCGTCGGTATCAGAGACGAATAAATGTGTACCTTAGAAGCAATGGCATGTAGCAGCAGTGCACTAGCTGTAAAAAGGACTTTGACCAAGGAGTCATTGTTCAGAGGTTCACAGTGGAAGTGTGGATTATGGAGTATTTTCTTTATTCTAAATGGTTAAACACCACAAGTAAAGAAATTGTTTCATGTTCAGACACTATTATTCTCTAATTGTATTAATGTACAGTTACCTTTTTTCTTTCATGGAGAATCTTAATGGAGAGTTTAACCTGAAAAGAATAGCCCTGCTGTTTCTATTTTTTTGAAACATCTTTCAAACTTCAAACATACTTTGCTTCTCAAACATTCATAGTGTGTATAAATTATGAGGAATACAAAGATGAGTAAGGCTTGTTGCCCTCAAGCATTATTGGTTAAGTATTGGCGGTTAAATGAGAAGTGGTAATAAACATCACTAACAAGCACATTATAGTCTTCAAAGTAGGATAAAATTGTTGGGTACTGTTTACCTTGGATTTATTAAGTTTAATTAAGTCTGCCTACAATAAATTAAAAAATCACATGTCTAAAAATATGTGCATCATCTTGAATCTGAATCAGATTTCTTTCCCTTTAGAAGCTCTATTGTGGATAATTGATTCAAAAGAATATGATCTGTACATTATAGTATTTATGGCTGTTAATGTCCTAATTTGATCATGGTGCTGTAGTTATATAACAGATTGTCCTTGTGTTTTGGAAATTACGTTGGAATATTTAGGGGTAAAGGCATCATGTCTGCAATTTATCGTCATGTGTTTCAGAAGAAAATATTTGTGTGTGTATGTGCGTGTTATGTTTGTATAGAGAGAATGATCAAATATATCTGGTGAAATGTTAATTGGGAAGTTTGGGTGAAGGGTATACGCGGATTTTTTATGGCATTCTTACAACTTTTCTGTGGTTTGAAATGATTTTAAAATAAGAGGTTATGGAATTGAAAAGCTATTGCTAAGATATCAGATGCCTGGTACTTTTAAATCAACACATTTATTTTATGTGACTTTAGGGCAGATGTGTGCATATTTTAAGAAAAATTCCATTCTCTTGGCGGAAACTTGCAGAATGTCTTCAACTCTGCTTCCTCTTGCTTTCACACACCCCGAAGTGCTTGCTCTCTCACTTTGTGGATTTATATATCTTTTGCGGCCCGCTTGGGGGGAGTATTTGCACATACATTTCTATGTTACTGCTGTTCTCCAAACACTCTATTATTATTGTATCTGAGAGGTTTTCAATTGTTTTAGGGGGGAGTTTCCTACACTTACCCTTTGGTAGTGATTTTCCAATTGTCTATGACTAGCTATTTTGATGACTTAATTTAGAATGGTGGTCCCTTTTGTTTATTTCTAAACTAGCTGCTATGATCCCTGCTTCCCTTCTGCCTCTTTACCCCTCCCTTATTTGTCACCCTTCTCCTCACTTCTCTATTAGGCCGGATTCATCTTTGGAATTAGTAAAAATCCTGCCTCTTCCAGGAAGCCTATCCTGACTATCCCTATGGAACTCTGATTACTTCTTAATTTGCCACTTACTGCACTCAGTTTTGTATAGTTATATTTTATTGTTTTATATTGTTCTCAATGATGGATTAAAATTATTGTTGTTTTGTAGTCACTTCAAGTTATATGTGCATATTATTTTCCCAGCCCAGTGTCAGAGTACTAGCAGATATAAGCAGATATAAACTACGCTTTCCCTCCCCCGCTGACTTTATCCCCACAGCTCATGGCTGTCTCCACGAAGTAAGTGATTCTGTCTGAGTAGGTATTTTTTTTTTTTTTATTTAACCTAGGATCAGACCTAAGGGAGTTTTGTTGTTGTCGTTGTTGTTTTTGAGACAGAGTTTCGCTCTTGTTGCCCAGCCTGGAGTGCAATGGCGTGATCTCAGCTCACGCACCCTCCACCTCCCGCATTCAAGCGATTCTCCTGCCTCAGCCTCCCGAGTAGCTTGGGATTACAGGCATGTGCCACCACACTTGGCTAATTTTGTATTTTTAGTAGAGACGGAAGTTTCTCCATGTTGGTCAGGCTGGTCTCGAACTCCCGACCTCTGGTGATCTGCCCACCTCCGCCTCCCAAAGTGCTGGGATTACAGGCATGAGCCACCGCGCCTGGCCCTGAGTAGGTATTTTTTACTGGGTCCAAAACTGAAGCCACTGTCTGACTTTTGGGATTATCTGTATCTCTCCTTTCTTCCTTTTTACCTCCAATCTCTGAGGATTAAAGATTTTTTTTGTCTGCATTAGCTGAGATATTAGTTTCATAATGTAGCCAATTCATTTACTATTTTTAATTCAGAATGACAAATAAACTGGATTTTTTTCACCTGTAATTTGATCTGTGATTGTTGAAACACGTAAAACATATTTGAACAAAAACATTCCAACACAGTTTATAAATGTGTTATCCTCTGTGGTAAGGACAAAGTCATGAGACTCGTTTTTGCTCAAGGATATACCACATTTGCATCTTAAATACAACTGTTAATATTCTCTTCTTGTTAATTCAGGCAGGGTAGCTTTTCCTGAGTGACAGAAATGTAGATGATTATGTGAAATAATGAGTTGATTGGTTCATATCTGGGTTGTCATTTTGGCTTTTTGGATTGTCTTATGAAAATTTTCTGAGGGCAGTACTCTTTTTTGTAGAGTTGGGATTATAAAACTGTGAAATGTTCTCTTTTACCTTTGTCTTGCCTCTGAAACATTTTTTGGGTTAAATTCTTTAAAAAAAAAGAAGTCCCATTGACTGTGTATGTGCTATTAACTCTAGCATCGCTTCCATGATCTGGTGTTGTCTAACATTTGATTCGTCCCCTTTTGTACATTAGCATATCCCAGCAGCTCGTGGAAGCATTTGTGAACGAAGAAACCGAGGCTATGAGAGATTAAGTGATTTACTCTAGACCACAGGTAACAATGTCTGATGTAAGTTTGGGTCTTCACTCCAAACCTGTACATTCTACTGGATTAAAGGTTCTTAACCTGCTTTGTGCCAAGTTGCACTTTGGCATTCTGGTGAAGCCTGTGGATCCATTTTACTTTTAAATACAAAAAATATGGCCGGGTGCGGTGGCTCACGCCTGTAATCCCAGAACTTTGGGAGGCCGAGACGGGCAGATCACGAGGTCAGGAGATTGAGACCATCCTGGCTAACACGGTGAAACCCTGTCTCTACTAAAAAACACAAAAAATTAGCCGGGTGTGGTGGCGGGCGCCTGTAGTCCCAGCTACTCGGGAGGCTGAGGCGGGAGAATGGCATGAACCTGGGAGGCTGGAGCTTGCAGTGAGCCGAGATCGCGCCACTGCACTCCAGCCTGGGCGACAGAAGGGAGACTCCGTCTCCCCCCCCCAAAAAAATACATAGCATTACAAAAGAAACCAATTATATATAATTAAAAAAACCCAAGTTTGTAATATACACTGACTTACTAGCACATTAAATAAAATGACCTGGTGTTGGGTGTATTAACTACTATTATTTCAAAGTAGTGATGAGCATGAATATTTGGAATGTCTGAAACTATTGTAATGTGTTATGAAAATGTGTGATTTCTATTGGTGACAAATCACAGGTACTGTGGCTAATACTACTAGGTTTTAGGGTATCATTCATATTTGAAGGAAATGCATACTTTATTTAGAAGTTAGTGAGAATAAAGATGCATTTTTTTTCCTATCCAAGTTTACAGATCTCTTGAATTCCCAGGTTAAGAACTACTTCATCAGATTATACCGGTCTCTCATGTTTATAAACATTTATGCCACCTGCTGGATCTGCTCTTAAAAAACAGAATAAACAATTACAAAAGCAAAAATATATGCAAACAATGTAAGACCTCACTAAAAAAAGTAAGATTCAGGCTTAAGTATTAGTTCTTGCACTGCTATAAAGAAATACCTGAGACTGATAAAGAGGTTTAATTGGCTCATGAGTCTGCAGTCTGTAGGCTCATGACTCTGCATGGCAGTATCTGCTGGCTTCTGGGGAGGCTTTGGGAAACTTACAATCATGGCAGGAGATGAAAGGGAAGGGGGTACATCACATGGCTGGAGGAGGAGGAGGGGCAGCGAGAGGTGCCACACACTTTTAAACGACTAGATCTCATGAGAACTCACTATAAGAATTGCACCAAGAGGGAAATCAGCTCCCATGATCCAGTCACCTCCCATCAGGCCTCACCTCCAACACTGGCGATTACAATTTGACATGAGATTTGGGCGGGGACACAGATCCAAACTATATCAGCATATACATATGTTGCGAGATCCTGGAGGGTAAAAATTAAAATTTACTTAATTTAAAATGGTTAGAACCTATAAGTTTAAATTATTTGTGTTTCTTAATGTTCTAGTCAGTTCTCTGCCTACCTCTCCCCTAAAGATAAAATGATCATATTGAAGTTTGTTATTTTCTTCATTAAAAAGCCTTTGCCTTCTATATTTCAGCTTCTTCTGGGCAATTTGTTTTAATGAGGGTGACTGTCATAGAGAGTTTCAGTTCAGTTCTCCATTAGTGATGACTGGTAGGTAGAGCAGAGACAGGACCTGAAATAGAATGTTAGAGTGCACTGAAATGGCATGTCTCTCCTGTGCGTCGTGTAAGCCTGAAAAGGTTTGTTTTATTGCTTTTCACTGGGTGAGTCTGAACCTCTTCGTCAGTTGTCAGGCCTGACAGCTTAAGTGTATTGTAGTTGCTTCCATCCTTACCTAAAATCTAGTTCTACTCTTTCTTTTGTTAATTAAATGGGAGGCATTCACTTAAATGCATTTTATTTCCTCTCTTAGGTGGGGAATCATAAGCTGTTTCTTCTAAACTGTTAAGCCCCTCTGTCTGAGTTGCTCCAGAGATACTAAGTAACTCGGATGCTGTTGACAGGAAAAGCTTTAGGTAGAGGGGAAAAAAACGACTGAGCACATTTACCGCTCAGCAGGGTTGCCATGCTCCCCTAACCCCGCATCATGCAGTGAGTATGTGCGTTGCTTTCCCCAGGCCAGCATCCTGGATCAGAGCTGCAGGACTTGGGAGGCAGTGCCTCAGCCCTGCTGTCAGCCTCATCTCCCGCCTGGGGAGGAGAGCTGCAGATTTGTGTGAGCTTCCATGCAGCTTCCTGGATTCCCTCTCCCAAGTCTGCCCTGCAGACCCATCCAGTGGACTGCTCTTCTGCCATATACATTCTCTCCCTTGACTCTTTCCAGCCTTGGGCTTTCTAATCATTACCAACACTTTACAGTCTTTTTGTATTTCACAAAAATAGCTTGCAAAAGCTTTTGGCCTGAATTTTTGTAACAGTCTTTTGATTACAATAGGGCTGGAGAATACTATTAACTTCTGATTATCTGAGGACAGATTATTTTAAATTTGGCTTATAAATTGAATGGTATTTTATTTTCCTTTAGTACTTCTTGTATTATTATTGTTATTATTTTGGGGTAATTATTCTCCCCACCCATTAACTTTTATTTTGCTGCATCCTATCAGGAAACTTACAAAACCTAAAAATGTAAGCATTTATTCAATTATAGGTAATGTTTGAAAGAATACAGGTCTGCCTAGGTTTGTATTTTGTACCATTCCCAACTGGGAACTTAAATGACAATGTTTTGGAGAGCGCATGCTGTTAAAAGCGCTAATGGAGAACATTTTAATTTCTATTAACAAATCAACCAATAAAACAATTATTTAAGTATTTTCTTTAAATGTCTAGTGAGTTTTGTGATTGTTAGTAGAGATCAGGCAAAGGGGTTTCAGCCCTTCAGTTGCTTTATCCACAGTTGGTTTATCACACATGCTGCTACCTGCCATGGTGATTAGACATTTACATAGTTTAAACTTTTTATTCATAGTCATGCAGTGTTTAATTTATGCCCATAATAGATTATTGGTAGAAATCTGGAAACATACGGGACACTGATGCTGAAAAGCAGGTTAATGAGCATCATAAATGTGATGATGCCTCTGAAAATTAGCGTCAGGATGCTTTTCACTAGACTACTAAAATGTATTCATTTGCTAAAATGCTCATATAGCACATTGGGGTGTGTCTCATATTTTGCTACTTAATCTTAGAAAGGTTGCTCTTCATTTATTAGGAATAAAAACTATCCTCCCCCAATTTTATTTGCATTTGCAAATAGTACCCTGAAATCTTTTATCCTGTCATAAATAAAACACAAAAGTTCTAAAATCAAATAAGTTAACTTCCCTAAGTGCAAAATGTGAGAATTCTGAACAGTAGAGCATGAAAGGGAATTTTGTCTATTTTTTTTTTTTTTTTGAGATGGAGTCTCAACCGGTCACCCAGGCTGGAGTGCAGTGGCGCTATCTCGGCTCACTGCTACCTCCGCCTCCCGGGTTCAAGCAATTCTCCTGCCTCAGCCTCCCGAGTAGCTGGGTGGGACTACAGGCATGCACCACCACGCCCAGCTAATTTTTATATTTTTAGTAGACACGGAGTTTCGCCATGATGGCCAGGCTGGTCTCAGACTCCTGACGTCAGGTAATCTGCCCGCCTTGGCCTCCCAAAGTGCTGGGATTACAGGTGTGAGCCACCGTGTCCAGTCGATTTTGTCTATTTTTGAAACTGTAACAGTTAAGTCAGTTTTGTCCACATTAAAAAATATGGTTGGTCCACAAATGAAATACAATATAGTGTCATATTTAAATTTTTTTCATAATTAAAGGCTGCAACAAGTTAAATTTTATCTTGATATAAATGGTATAAAAAGATTATTACAATAAACTTTGTTATTAAGGGTTGGGTGTGATGGTTCACGGCTGTAATCCCAGCACTTTGGGAAGCTGAGGCAGGCGGGTTGCTTGAGCTCAGAAGTTTGAGACCAGCCTGGACAACATAATGAAACCTCTGTCTCTACAAAAAATACAAAAATTAGCTGGGTGTGGTGGTGCACACCTGTGGTCCAGCTGCTCGGTGGGGCTGAGGTGGGAGAATCACTGGAGCCCTGGCCATTGATGCTACAGTGTGCCGTGTTTGTGCTGCTAGGCTCCAGCCTGGGTGGCAAAGTGAGACCCTGCATCAAAAAAATTGAATACCCGAAGCAAACAAACAAAAAAAAACTTTGTCATGATCTTTATTAATAATATTCATTATTTAAAATAAAATGTTTTAAGTAAAATCACTTATGTAACATACAAGTTACAGATGTTTAAAAATATTACCAAAGGTTTCTTAAGATTGTGTTATTATGAGAAATGCAGTTGTCTGTTGGAATGTGTAGCAGAGAGAAGAGCCTTGGGGTAGGGACATGGAACATCTTCCCGGTTTCTGCATCAGAGAGTGATTGTATGAAAATGTGTACACATTGGCACAGACTAGAGCCAGTTTTGAATGATTTCTGCAGTATATTGGCCTTGCCTGGTCCCCTGTGTCATCGCAGAGTTGATTATAATGATGAGTGTAACCTAGCAGGGATGCCAAGCTCCCTACATCTTTCTGGGATAAGGATGGTTTGAGTAAAAGGTTGCCATGGTTGTCTGGAGGCAGCAAGCAATAAAAGACTGTCTCAGAATGTGTTCTCTTGGTGTTAAGCCTTGGAGGTGTGTCTTTGTGAGTATTCAAAGGGAAACGTAAGATAGTTGGAGAGAATCTTAGGGACATGCAGAAATACTACCGCAGTGTGATGAAGAGAAGCCTTTTTAAGATTGTAAAAGTATAAATATTGCTCATAAAAAAATAGATGTGTTTCAACCAAGCTTGCTTTTAAGTGAATATGTATAAGTGGATTATAGTTCTCCATTTACATCTTTTATAAAATTGGACATGCTATGCTGGAAAAAAAGGGCCCTTGGATATAATTTACATTTCCTAGGAATGTGGCAGTTCTGTCATTGCATGCTTAAAAATAATTATTTTCTTACAGAACTTTACACTAATGCCAAAAACATTGCCAGCACCTCTTATGTATTCGTATTTTACCTAACTTATGCCCAGGCAGACTGCTTTAGACCTGAACTATGTTTATTTTTTAGCTGATAGTCGAAGTCCTCATAGGACTATTAGCGTATCAAAGGCAGTATTGAATTAGAGCAGTTGTTTGCTTTGGGTCTTAGAAATTCCCAGAGTTTAGCAGCAGAACATAGAATAGTGAAAGTGGGTTCTTAGATGGGGACAGCCAGGACAGGGTGTTCTAAATCACATTCAAGTTTTGCGTATATGACTGGAGTAGATGGAGATGGGGGAATAATGAAGTTATGACTCAATCAGTCCTTTCATTTCATTCTGCTTAGTGAATTTTGAATAAAAGAAAACCTGTGAAAAAGGAAGATTTAGGAAGATTTGTACTGGACCCTTGCTGCTATTATGCAGAATGGTACATGGGAAGAAAGGATGGAAAAATAAATCAAGAGCATCGCTTCACTTAGGTTTTCAGCAAACATTGGGATAGCTGAGACATTTTTTCATTAAAGGTTAGCTTGCCAGAAAGGTGGTTGAGAGTGAGTGAATTATTAGTATGTAGGTACTATGATTGTTAGATTATCATTAAACAGGAAGTAGATGACTGGATGGAGCCTTGAAGAATTACTAGAGTAGGAAAGGTAATTTAGTCATTGATGTGCAATCTATAAATTCCTTGTTATTTGAAATTTGAGTGTTATTTATATAGGGATTTGGGTAAAGTAGGTTTATGGGAACTAAAATGTAATCTAATGAGGTAATGGTATTTATCAGAAGGTGATATAATTCTCACAACAATCTTATTACCTGGATACTTGTATAATTCCCACTATACAAGCAAGGAAACTGAGTTACGGGGAAGCTAATAAACTTGGCCAACAATATACATAAACACATGGCATGGCAGGGTTTTAGATCGAGGCATTCTGATTCTACAGGCGACCTTCTTAGCTGCTCTGCTGTGATGCCATGGGCAGAGAACCACAGTTTCAGAAATACATTTACCAGCAGGGACACTCGAGGTGATCTAATTCATGGCCCTCATTTTAGAAATAATAAAAGGGCTCTTCGACTGCGACTGAATGGCTTGTTTTATGGCTTACTTACCCTGGGATGGAAAAAGCATTTTAATGACTCTTTAATTTCCTCTTATTATGGATAGCTGGGTAGTATAGGGGAGTGAGAGATCATCTCTGACTCCCCTTTTTGCTCTTGTGTAAATGGGCTCTTTGGCTGGATCTGCAAACTAAATTGACACCAGGCATATTAACAAGTGAAAAGCATATACATCATCGACGTGTTCATGGGGATCTTCATAAGAGAGTGAATCCGAGGAAGTAACCACAGCAAGATGCTTGTATACTTTTTTGACAAAGAACAATGAATTTGAGAAGAAATGACAGGACAAGTAAACTTTGGTGAGGGGCAATAAATTTTCTAGGGGAGTTACTGAGATATATAGAGGGGTGTATAAAACTAGTGGAAGATAAGGGTTACTTCATTAAGTATATTTATTCAGGTCTGTTGCAGCCCCAGTTCTCAATGTCTGGTGGTAAGGGCTGTTTTCTCACCCCAGTACTGGAAGGGTACCCCTCCCAGAGGAATCTTGATGGCTTACTGCATGCGGGAAGAGAAAGGTCAGCTAGCCCCTTCTGAAACTACAATTCCTCCAGTGTTTTCAACTTGAAATAGTCAATAGGCCATTCCAGCATATTTTGGGATGGCATGTCCTTCACTCCTTCAGTAGGGATAATGAAAAAAGAGACTTTCCTGGGGCAGCTATAGGCTTCTGCTCTGAGGTCTCTTCCAGCTCTTGCAAGTATACCCAACATAGCTGATTTTTAGCTTTTCTTTCTAAGTCTGCATGTTTTTGAGGCTATCCTTTGATTCTTCTAGGTCTGACAAAGGGTAGAGTTGGACATACGTTTTAGTAAGATATGTGGGGTCGAATATAGGTTCCACTGTTCTAATGGAGACCCTAAGTTACATGGCTCAAAAAGTTAAAATTTTATTTTTCTCTCATGTAACATTTTGGATAATTTGATGATTCCCTAATGTTGGGACCCAGTCTTTTCTGTCTTAGGCTCACAACTATCCTTGAGCCTGTGTCATGGGGGATGACTCTGAAGCTGCGTGCACCCTGTTCATTCACATTTTCTTGGCCTGAACTTAGTCACTAGGCTATTCCTAACTGCAAGAGAAGCTGGAAGATGTAGTCTTCCTTCTGACCAGCCATGTGCTCAACCACAAATTGAGTTTCAGTTATTGGAGGGCAGAAAGAATAGATATGGGGCTGCTTTGTAGGCTGCTGCTCGGGGCAGCCTCTGCTGTGTTATTTGAGATTTATAATTTTCCTTGGCTTCCCAGATGACAGTGGAAAAAGGCATAGTCAAGACTTCAAGTGCGGAAAATGTTGGCAACTCTGACATGCAAGTTCTTTTCCATATAGAGCTGAGTTATGCTGGAGTATTTTGGTTACAAAGACTTCATTTTCTCACCTGTCTGAATTCCTGTTTGGATTTTAGTTACTCTTGATTTATCAGCATGGATTAAAAATTGAAAAGACTTGGTATTTTAAAATTATATCTGAAATGGCAGAGACAGCATCTGAGGATTCCTCTTGCTACTATAAGGAATGAGTAATTTAGTTTGATTTTTCTTTAAATCCAAATAAATAAGATGATTAAACTCAAGATAAAGCTGTAATATCTCTTATCGTGTCCTGTCATTTGTCATTGCTACCATGTCTTGAAAGCTTTGTGGAAAAATAATGGTTTTGATATTTGTTATTGAGATAGAATACCCACAAATAGGTATTTAAAATATTTTTGTCTTAGCCAGTTGATTGTGGCGTGTGCATGGACTAAGCAACTTAAAAAAAAAGAAATTGGTTTGTTGAATAACAGCTTTCACTAGAGACACTAAAGTCCACAAAACCTCAGTGAGCAGTTGTCAGATTCCATTTTAAGGAGGCAAAGCTAAACTTTATATGCGTTTCCCACCATGTGTAAATCCAAACAGCAAGCAAGGACTATTAAATGTTTTATTTTGCTAGTGGCAGCAAAGAATGTAATGTTGGATATAATATAGTTTACATTTACAGTTGAAGTTATATTTTCAATTGTATGGAATAAAATGAATAGGTCTCTATTTCATAGCCAAAGTGGACAATTTATAGAGTGATTTTCTAGAACACCCCAATATGTAGTGACATTTTGTGGCAGTGATGCCACATGTAGGAAGTGGATCTCTATAGAACTTTGCTATTAATGTTGCGGGGTATTTGTTGCATGATGTAGAAAATGCTATCCGGGTTACCTTTCATTCCTTATATCTGACTTAGCTTAACCTCAGCTGATGGCTTAAGTCAGTGGCCAAGAATTTTTCATCAGCTGTCCTTGGTAACATATATCATTCATCATACTAGGATGATTGGTGTTATCAATTGAAAAATCTAAATGGAAGACAAAATTAAATGCTACTTGAGAAGCTAGAGTGAAAAGAGAATGTCTTGGCTCTCTAACATTTCCTCTCTTTTCTACCTGTATTCAATATGGCCATGAATATCCTTTTGGAGACACTTTGAATCTCATTGTGTTCAATTACAGAGGAACTCTTCAGCAAATAACCCTTGTATGGTGTGCTTCTAGATAGTGTACATAAGAAACTGTGTGCTGTAAATTCTGCTTTCCCAAATGTTATAAAGGTATATGATTGCATTTTTCTATAATATAATATATCATATAATATAATACAGATGTTTGATTGTAATTTACCTTTTAAGAACACATAGTCTTATAATGGTATATGGGCAGGATACCTGTGGGGTCAAAGGAAAAGAACATGAACCAATTTTGTTTTCTTAGAGCCTGTGCTACCTACTTTTAGATACTTTAATCCCAGCCAACTCTCTTTGGTATAAGAATGGTTTGAACTTCTGTTAGCTAAACTGATATACTATGTAATGTTCATGATTGAATTGATAAAGGTGTTTTTTAAAAACTGAAATTATGCCTCATTATGCATTGTTTAAAAATAACTTTTAAATGATTATGAAAGTAAAAATGTGTTCTTGGTAAACACTGCAACGAAGTATAAAGAGAGAAAGGAAAATGATCCATTTCTCCCAAATATAAAGGTAATCATTAGTATCATTTTGGCATATGTATTTATGTATGTATGTATTTATTTTTTCTGAGACAGTCTCTCGCTCTGTCGCCAGGCTGGAGTGCAGTGGCGTGTTCTC
This sequence comes from Homo sapiens, assembly GCF_000001405.40. NCBI lineage: Eukaryota > Metazoa > Chordata > Mammalia > Primates > Hominidae > Homo > Homo sapiens. Next base: position 133,037,761 of record NC_000007.14, on the reverse strand, counting down.
GGCTCACTGCGACCTCTGCTTCCCGGGTTTGAGCAATTCTCCTGCCTCAGCCTCCCTAGTAGCTGAGACTACAGGTGTGCACCACCACGCCTGGCTAATTTTTGTACTTTTAGTAGAGGTGTGGTTTCACCATGTTGGCCAGGCCGGTCTCGAACTCCTGACCTCAGGTGATCCGCCTGCCTCAGCCTCCGAAAGTGCTGGGATTACAGGTGTGAGCCACTGTGCTGGGCTATATGTATGTATTTCTTTGTGATGGTGTCCTTAGGCTTTTTTCAGTACTGTACATATAGAAAACAAAATGAAGACCAAATAGTGTGTTCAGCCTGGTATCTTTTCACTTGTGAGAAATTTTTCGTGGGGTTTAAAGCATGTTTTTTAATGTTAGCATTGTATTATTTGACCATTTCACTGTTTTTGGACATTTAATTTGCTTCTAGTTTTTCATTGTTTTATATATAAAATGTATATTGTTCTCCCTCATTGTCTAAATCTTTCTCTTTGCCACACTACACTTCATGTTTCTTAGGAGGAAGATTTAATAGTCTTTTAAGCTTGTCATGAAGATGAATTTTTAGAAAATGCTTGATCAACATCAATTTTACTTTAACCTTTGGTCTCGTCATCATTCATCATATTCTATTACTTTAGCAGCATTCAAAGATAATGAAAGAGATTCAGATAAATTCTTGTTACTCTCAGATCAAATTCATTTACAATAAATATGTGAATCTTGATGATCAGAAGCTAAAATACTTATTGAACCTGGACATCAAGCCAGATCCTAAATCTTTATGAAAATGCACCACAAATTCTTCTTGTTACATAATCTTTTCTGTAGGTTAAAAAAACCAACAAATCCTAGCATGTTGACATTCTGAAGAATATATGGCTTTAAACAGTCTCTTGCAAACTATAGTACTGGCTCAATGAAATGTTATACAGCATCAGTCAGGATTTTTAATAAAATGCTGTTGGTTCTCCAATTGAAGAGTTTCATTCTGTTTATGTAATGATGTTCATGTTTGACCTGAAAATACCTCCTCATTCTACGGCATTTCATCTTCAAGAGAAACCTTATTAGTAATTTGTAGATTAGAAATAAAGTCACAGAGGGTAGTCAGGAGAACACAGGTCTCTGTAAACCTGACTCTTTTATTAAACATACTTTGCCATGAATACTTTTCATTGAGCTGTTTTTCTACCTATTTAAGATGAACCAGATATGACATATTTCTGTATTTTATTTCACAATCCTATGGTATATACCCCCAACACCCACACAGTGGTTATAACTGTAAAATGAAAGTTTTGCATGTGTAACATGTCGTAACATTCTTATTTCACTGCCTTGTTTGAAATGCATATAAATTTAAATGTGAACATTTTATACTATTCTTTTAAAGATTTTAAATATTATATATGTATAATGCTTTATTAGATTAATTTCTTCCTGTTAAATTCCCTATGAACTGTGTAACTTGAGATAAAAATGTTACAATCATTTAAAAGTGTTAAAACATGCAGTAAAATCTTACTCATTTGGATTCATTTAATTTACAATTTGTCAGAAAATTAGAGAAGAATTATGTTTACTTACACTAACAGGATGGGAAAGGGGTCATGGGGTGAGAGTTGGGGAGGGTTTGGTAAGAAAATTCCCCTAAAGGAAATCTCAATTGCCTAGCGAATTATTTTATGAAATCATCATGTGTGTTGGATGTTACTATTTATGGAGAATAAGTTGGTATTCTAATTACTAGTTTCATTAAAACAGTTCCCCTAAGGACCCCTACCTGATAACACTTTTAAGACTGGATCCAGCCTTTCTTTGCGGAATCACCATGGCGGCTGGGACCCTGTACACGTATCCTGAAAACTGGAGGGCCTTCAAGGCTCTCATCGCTGCTCAGTACAGCGGGGCTCAGATCCGCGTGCTCTCCGCACCACCCCACTTCCATTTTGGCCAAACCAACCGCACCTCTGAATTTCTTCGCAAATTTCCTGCCGGCAAGGTCCCAGCATTTGAGGGTGATGATGGATTCTGTGTGTTTGAGAGCAACGCCATTGCCTACTATGTGAGCAATGAGGAGCTGCGGGGAAGTACTCCAGAGGCAGCAGCCCAGGTGGTGCAGTGGGTGAGCTTTGCTGATTCCGATATAGTGCCCCCAGCCAGTACCTGGGTGTTCCCCACCTTGGGCATCATGCACCACAACAAACAGGCCACTGAGAATGCAAAGGAGGAAGTGAGGCGAATTCTGGGGCTGCTGGATGCTTACTTGAAGACGAGGACTTTTCTGGTGGGCGAACGAGTGACATTGGCTGACATCACAGTTGTCTGCACCCTGTTGTGGCTCTATAAGCAGGTTCTAGAGCCTTCTTTCCGCCGGGCCTTTCGCAATACCAACCGCTGGTTCCTCACCTGCATTAACCAGCCCCAGTTCCGGGCTGTCTTGGGGGAACTGAAACTGTGTGAGAAGATGGCCCAGTTTGATGCTAAAAAGTTTGCAGAGACCCAGCCTAAAAAGGACACACCACGGAAAGAGAAGGGTTCACGGGAAGAGAAGCAGAAGCCCCAGGCTGAGCGGAAGGAGGAGAAAAAGGCGGCTGCCCCTGCTCCTGAGGAGGAGATGGATGAATGTGAGCAGGCGCTGGCTGCTGAGCCCAAGGCCAAGGACCCCTTCGCTCACCTGCCCAAGAGTACCTTTGTGTTGGATGAATTTAAGCGCAAGTACTCCAATGAGGACACACTCTCTGTGGCACTGCCATATTTCTGGGAGCACTTTGATAAGGACGGCTGGTCCCTGTGGTACTCAGAGTATCGCTTCCCTGAAGAACTCACTCAGACCTTCATGAGCTGCAATCTCATCACTGGAATGTTCCAGCGACTGGACAAGCTGAGGAAGAATGCCTTCGCCAGTGTCATCCTTTTTGGAACCAACAATAGCAGCTCCATTTCTGGAGTCTGGGTCTTCCGAGGCCAGGAGCTTGCCTTTCCGCTGAGTCCAGATTGGCAGGTGGACTACGAGTCATACACATGGCGGAAACTGGATCCTGGCAGAGAGGAGACCCAGACGCTGGTTCGAGAGTACTTTTCCTGGGAGGGGGCCTTCCAGCATGTGGGCAAAGCCTTCAATCACGGCAAGATCTTCAAGTGAACATCTCTTGCCATCACCTAGCTGCCTGCACCTGCCCTTCAGGGAGATGGGGGTCATTAAAGGAAACTGAACATTGAAAAAAAAAAAAAAAAAAAAAAGACTGGATCCAATTGCTGAAAGGACTTGAAAAGAATTATAGATGCATTTTTTTAAAAGTATCATATATGTTTAGATTTTACTCATCCTTGTTGCTTTCTTACCATTTATTCTAGATAGTTTAATATTATATGCTTTAGTGAAAGCTAACTTATTTTTGCTGTTTATAGAGAAATTATTTCTTATTATACCCTCACTTCCTTAATTTCAAAAAGGAATCTCTGTGAATTATTATAAGTTAATTCAGGATGAGTAGCTTTAAATCCTTTTTCTTTTTCCTTCATTATAAACATGATATGGCCTTATTGAACTGTTTGTTCAGTATTCATTCTGATATTGTCATATATAAAACATAGTTTTAAATGGTCAAGCGCTATCCTGTGTAGATAATTTTGATGGGAAATGTGTCAGCTTGAAATAAATCGATGTTTGGGAAATTGTTCTCTTAAAGACGGTAATCTGAAAATGTGAATGCTAAATAATGAAAACATTTGTACAGTTTGGGGGTAGATGAGTTTTAATCTGTTTCTGGCATCTGTACATTCTTGTGATATCTCACAGAGACCTGGAGTGTTTAGGTTGCAATTTGTACCCACCTTTTCCATTTCTATTGAATTAATAATGGAGCCCTCATCCCTCTAGGACATCAGGAGAGAAAAAAAAATAGACAATGTGATGATTAGCAGAGAGTAATTTTGATTACCCTAAGGAAAATTAAGATGATCTTTATAAGTGGACCGGGCAAAATGTGGTTTTGGTGAGTATGGAGCTAGAGAAAGCTAGTCATGTTTGGGCACCTTAAGGCAGAGATCATGTTGGGGAAAGATATTTTGGTGTCATCCAAATGTTTATCTGTTTGAAAAATCCATATAAATATTAGTAGATTATTTGTGACTATCTATCTGTGGTCATACAAACCATAAAATAGCTAGATTTCCCACTTTTTTTCATTTATCAGGGTGAATATTTTAGCCCTGTCTAAAACAATGGTGCGCAGTGGTGGGGCAATACTGTACCACTTTAGAAAGTGTTTGAGTAGTACCCCACTTGAGGAGTACGGCACCACTTCAGGCACTTTAGGAATTTGAGGGAAGCTGTGGTGTTTAGTGGCACGGGGAGGGATCTTCATGGCTAGCAGTGCCTGGGGGTAGTTTCCCATCTCCAAGAATTGTCCTGTGCCCTCTAACTTCTGAATGTCCCATCAGAGATTCATGGAGCTGAAAACCTATTTACCTGGCTGAGAACTTAGTTGTTTTATATATAAACAGAAAGTATGTTTTGCATGGTTTTAAAGTATACTGAATTTTCCAAGAGTGAAACTACTGTGTAACAATAGCTTTTGCATTTGTGATGATTTAGCACACAAACTCAAGATTCAGACTGTTTTATTATGTCTGCTAGGGTAGTTATGTTTGAACGTTTACATAATGAGATGCCATTATTTTATTATAAATTAGCTTGTTTTATTTAAATATTACACTTAGGGCATTATATTGATTACTTTTCTTGGTCACACAGGACCATTTGCGTGAAATGGAAAAGAGCTTGGGTGGTTTCTGTACTTCATTTAGTTTGGAGAGTTAACACTGTATTATAGTTTTATCTCCAGTGAACAAAATATAATCATTTTTGAAACAAAAAAATTAAGCTATGTATCAGAAAGCAATATCCAAAGGTAATTATTATTTTTTAATTTAAATTATAGATCTTATTTTCCTGGAGGCTGTGTGAGATCTTGCAACTATTATTCAGAATATTAAGACATGAAATACTAGATATATCTGATTCTCAATACGGGTTTTAGGAATTGTCTACTTAAGATGTCTAAACTGTAGAATATGAATTACGAGCTTATCTCTTGCTATACGGCTATAGCCCAGTATTGATGTTTTCTTTCCTACATGGAATGGAACATGGAGCTAGTTTCTATGGGTGCTTATTGTGAAGCAAACAATAAAATGAACATTATTTGCGTAATATGCCATTCAGATGAGAAATTTACAAAGGTATATACATCCTGATGGAGTGATAATGCTACAAAATAAGCCATTAACTTGATGCTGTTGATGTTCAGGTTGCCAAACTCTTCCTAACACTGCCTTCTGGTACAGTATTTATGATTATGAATGTGCAGTGCAGAACTTTCATTCTACCATCTTCATTAACTTTAATGCGTAAGTAGCCACAGTTACCCCTGCCAGGTAGTAGACAGATGCCATTTGTTTTGAAGGCACTCTTAAGATACATTCTCCTTATAGGATGGTGAAGGTAACTGTCAGCTGAATATACCTATATTCTCTGTGTGCCTGGTTTAAATCAGGTTTATTTGTCTGCCAACTAAATGGTGCCACAAATGGATAATAAACATGTTTATTTCTAACTCTTGAGATTTATCCTAGTCATCTTTTGGCTCTTCTTCCAATCAAACCCTGTAGCTTTTAGAAGATAAGGAGCAGGACAAGATTTATCCTGTAACCTATGCTGTTAGTCATTTAGCTCTAATATACTTGGTGTTGTATTTCATTGATTGCATGGATGCTTTGATTATTATTTTCTTAAACAATAATTGCTCTTCATTTTAATGAATTTATTGAAATTATAAGATTAATGAGTATTTCTATTGAGCTGAAAATTTAATTTGGCTATATCTTATGGTATAACTTTTTGCTCAACTATCTCAATCCTGGGAGAATCAGAGTCTTTATCTGAAATCTGCTGCTTATATTATGCAGGTACATATATTTATTTTGTTCTCTTGGAAGATCTTCATGGTTTCTCTTTAGTGTGTTTAAACTAGCACATGAAAATAATAGACTTTACAAAATTGGCCATGACCTATATCAGCAAATGGTGAAACCAGAAAGAAAAATACATTAAAGGAAAAATCCCAAAGGAACTGATATTTCTCTAAGAAGCAAGGTATAACTTTTATTAAGCAACTTAAAGAGATTGTTTAAGAAATACTGTAATTGGGGAGGGAATTATAGTGTAAGGATTATGCAAAAAAAAAATGAAGTAAAAGGGAATTACAAGTGGGAAAAGTTACAAAGGAAATTAGTATGTTCCTTGAGGTTCAGGGAATCTATGTATATTTCAGATCATGGTTGCATTTTCAGTCTTCTGTTTTTCATGGTTGATGAGTTCATCAAGTCCTTCCATCTTTTGGAGTCATTTCTATTCACCATTCAAGGATCTATCTAAAATGTATAATTATGTCTCCCCGTACCATTCCCTCCCTTCATATCTTTAGTTTAACCAGTTTCGGTAAACACAGGAATTTGAGCATCACCTGTCACATAGAAGACAGGTGATGTGTATTGAACTTATGTTACACTTTCTTTGAGGAATAAGAATTTCCTCACATTTCCTAAGAATACTCAGGATCAAGTATAAGTTTAGGAATCTTGGACTTTCTTATTTGATCCTGAACTCAAATTTATAGCCCAGAAATTTTGGTGGCTAAGTGGGTCAAAAGATTCCTAGGCAAACCTTAAAGAAGACCCTTGGACTAGCCAAAGCATTTGTTTAGAATATTGTTTAGTAAAGACAAACAAAAATTTGTTAGGAATCCAGAGCTGCTTTCAATCATCCAAGTATTTATTATTTTCAGTAATGGTTTCAAGTAAATGGTTTAGAGCCACACTTGCTAGAACTAAGCAATTGCAATGCTTGGCTTTTTCTGACATGTTTTATGATCAGTGTTTATATCTATAACTAATTGACAAAATGCCAGTGTTTGTGTTCTTTAAGATACATTCACCATTGAGAAAGAAATTAAAATGGTTTCTGAGAAGAATTTTAAAAAGTACAGACTATACAAGTATGGAAAGAAAACATTCTTTTGTCTTAACACATTTCTAAAAGGAGAGTATGTGTGTATATAAAAGCCATGGAACCATACTTACTGAACTTGAAATAGTTTTGCAAATTTCCATGGCAAATGGGATTTATATTGCTTGAACATTTTTTTGTTTTTACTCCTTTTCTCATTTCACAAACTTTGCCAGTTCCCAAAGATTTGCTTGGAAACTCACTGTGCTAATAGGCAAAGTTGGCCTTTCTTGTGCTTCTCTTAAACTAGCCCTTCCTGAAACACTGACCTTTTAGTTTAATAACAGTTTTATTTGAGAAAATGTTCAGATCCTGGGAGCTGAAAAGAGTGTTTTCAGAAAGGCCATTTTAAATAGTGGTCTCCAAATGCTGTATCTTTTTCCCTCATGCACTTTGGGTCAGACCTATCAGAAGAAATACAGTATTGCTTTATGTATTCTATTGATTTAAAAACAAATACCATGAAGCTTAGATGTGCTCAGAACCCATTACCTCACTGGTTTATTTTCCTGGCTGTGCTTTGATTTGCTATTTTAGATTTCAAACTCTTTATGCTAGGTCATGTTTTTATTTTCTGTTATTTTAACTTCTCATTTGTAGCTAAGGTAATTACTTTTTCAGTTGTGACCTTGGACTTGACCCAAAAGTTGTGATTTTTTTTTTTTTTCCTTTTCTGGAAATAGGTAGGGCATTAGAAAGATAGCTGTGCTTTGGCTCCTTTATGGACCAAAAGTGATGTCAACCAGCTGGTCACTTGGACATGTCTTTTTCAGTGGCCATGGGAGTGTTCCTGTCCCTTTCATTGCTGTTGTTGTCCTCTTCCCACGTTTTTCTCTCCTCTCATGGCCTACCTGGACGATGCCACCTGTAATCTGTATCTCTTTCTCACCTCACCCCACAGCAAGTGGCAGGGCTGATGATAGTAGGGAGAAGGGGATAGAGAAGGAAACAGCAAGCCTCCAGTCTGCATTTTCTTCACCCCAAACCACTTCCTCTCCACATTCTCACCTGGATGGCTTCGTGCCTATCCACCCAGCTGGTCACCGTTTGATCACACTGGAATAAACAGCTCGCTGCTGATTTGAGCTTTTCCTCTGGTAGGAAGACATCCCTATGTTATAGGCATAAAGTGCACTATGAAGATATGACATTGTGCCAAGTGAAATAAGCCAGACACAGAAAGACAAATACTGTATGTTCTTACCTATATGTGGAATCTAAAAAAGTTGAGCTCTAGGAAGCAGAGTAAAAGAGTGATTACCAGGGGATGTGGGATGGGGAAATAGGGAGATGTTGATCAAAGAGTACAAGCTTTCAGTTATAAGATGGTGACTTTAGTTAATAATATTTTTTACTTGAAATTTCATAAGAGAACAAATTTTAAGTGTCCCCAATGTTCCCCACCCCAATGGTAACTGTGTGGTGCTCGATATATTTGTGGTAATCATTACATGATTCATATCAAATCATCACATAGTTCACCTTGAATATATATGATTCTATTTGTCAATTATACCTTAATAAAGCTGGAAAAACCAAACTGCTTAATCTCTTTTCTGTTGCTTATAACAGAATACGTAAAACTGGGTAATTTATAAGGAAAAGAAATTTGTTACTTAATGTTATGGAGGCTTTGAAGTCCAAGGTTGAAGGGCTGCATATGGTGTGGGTCTTCTTACTGGTGGGGACTCCTGTAGAATCCCTAGGTCATGCGGGGCATCACGTGGTGAGGGGCTCAGTATGCTAGTCCAGCTCTCTCTTCTTTTTCTTTTCTTTTCTTTTTTTTTTTTTTTGTGAGATGGAGTCTTACTCTGTCGCCCAGGCCGGAGTGCAGTGATGTGATCTTGGCTCACTGCAACCTCCGCCTCCCGAGTTCAAGCGATTCTCCTGCCTCAGCCTCCTGAGTAGCTGGGATTGCAGGTGTGCACCACCATGTCTGGCTAATTTTTGTATTTGTAGTAGAGACAGGGTTTCACCATGTTGGTCAGGCTGGTCTCAAACTCCTGACCTCGTGATCTGCCCACCTCAGCCTCTCAGAGTGTTGGGATTATAGGCGTGAGCCACCGCACCTGGCCTTCTTTTTCTTTTTAAGGTACCAGTCCCACTATCATGATAAACCATTAATCCATGCATGGATTAACCCATTCATGAACCCTCATGTCCCAGTCTCACCTCTTAAGGGCCCCACCTCTCAATACTGCCACAGTGGGAATTAAGTTTCAATGTGAGTTTTGAAGGGGAGAAACATTCAAGCCATAAGCACAAACAGACAAAAAACCCAAGACAACAATAAGAAAGATGTGATACAATTTTATTAGTTTACTTAGAACACTGATCCCAGTGCATCATAGTTACTCTCTGAGGTTTTACAGAAGCCTAGTTTTAATTGAATTAAATTAAATTGAATTTTGATTGAGAATCCTGTTGAATTTTGCCTGAGAAGTATCTTGCTGTTGTAACTTGAAGTAATCTAGGAGAGGCAGCATGATTTTACATATACCATTTGACTGTGAGTTGATACTAACTGGTATGATCAATCATACTAATTATGTTAAATATTTGTTTCAGTTTTTGCTACAAATGGAGCTACTGGTTGTATGCAACTTGAAAAATTTTAGTGTCAGGTTGTTTTACTTTTTTATGAGAAGTAGATGAAAGTATGAAAATCATTACCTTGTGAAGTCTATAGTCTAGAATTTCATAGCTAACAGGTGTACCCATATGTCATATTTTTAGGTGGGGAAACTAAAATTCAGTTAGATTAACTGATTTATCCAAAATTTGGCTAGTTGAAAAGCAGACTATTTGGACTTTTTGTGGAGCTCTTACTGCCTGAAATTTCTCTGCTTTTATTTGGATCGTTTAAAAATCTTTCATACTTTCATAAAGAGCTCTAATACTTGCCTGAATGCAAACAGAATTCTGTTCTAGGGGTTTCCTAAGTTTTGTTTGACCCCTTCAAAGTAGAGGCTTATATTTTTCTCATGCTATATAGACTATGAAGTAGGAGAGAGGCAAAACAGAAGCATAGTATACAGTTGGAAGGGTCCCTAAACACCCATTTGAGAAAAGGTTGTTCTCTTGCTGCCCAGAGAGGTTAATACCTTTCCCAAAGTTCCCCTAGATTGTTGATGGCCATGGTGGGATTAGACATTAAATAGTTTTTCCTCTATTCCCTGATTCCCTGTATAGTGTTCTTTTTATTCTTTTCTTTCCTCTTCCTCTCCCCCCCTCCCTCCCTCCCTCCCTTCCTTCCTTCTCTTCATTTCTTTCTTTCTCCCTCTCTCTCTCTTTCTCTCTCTCTCTCTCTCTCTCTTACAACTTATTAAGGTACATTTAGCATATCATAATATTCATCCATTCAGAGTGTGCAGTTCAGTGGTTTATAGTATATTTATAGAGTTGTGCAACCATCACACAATCTAGTTTTAGAATATTTTCGTCTGGGCATGGTGGCTCATGCCTGTAATCCCAGCACTTTGGGTGGTCGAGGTGGACAGATCACCTGAGGTCAGGAGTTCGAGACCAGCCTGGCCAACATGGTGAAATCCCGTCTCTACCAAAAATAACACAAATTAGCTGGGCATGGTGGCGCATGCCTGTAATCCCAGCTACTCGGGAGGCTGAGGCAGGAGAATCACTTGAACCCAGGAGGCGGAGGTTGCAGTGAGCCAAGATCACGGCACTGCACTCCAACCTGGGCAACAGAGCAAGACTCAGTCTCAAAAAAAAAAAAAAGAATATTTTCAATATCTTAAAAAGAAATTCCATAATTCCATACCCATTAGCTGTCATTCTCTATTTTCTGCTTTCTCCTACTGCAGGGAACTACTAATCTACTTTCTGTGTCTATGGACTTTTCTATTCTGGACATTTCACATGAATGGATGTAGCAGGTGACCTTTCATGTCTGACTTCTTTCCCTTAGCGTAGTGTTTTCAAGATTCATCATGTTGTAGCATGTATCAGTAGTTCATTAATTTTTATGGCTGAATAATATTATATCGAATGGATATACCACATTTTGTTTGTCCATTCATCAGTTGCTAGGCACTTAGGTTGTGTTTAGCTTTGGGATGTTGTGAATAATGTCACTGTAAATACTCATGTATGAGTTTTTGTATAGACATGTTTTCAAATTTTCTTGAGTATATATAGTACCTAAAATTAGAATTGCTGGGTTATATGGTAACTCTTTAGCATTTTGAGAAATTGCCAAACTGTTTTCCACAGTGGCTGAGCCATTTTGCATTCCCACAAGCAATGTGTGAGGGTTCCAATTTCTTTACATCTTCACCAACACTTGTTATTGTTTGTCTTTTTTATTATGGTGGGTTTGAAATGGCATATCATTATGATTTTGATTTGCATTTTCCTAATGACTAATGCTGTTGAACAACTTTTTATGTACTTATTGGCTATTTGTATATCTTCTTTGGAGAAATACCTATTTATAGCCTTTGCCCATTTTAATTGAGTTGTCTTTTTATTATTTGTCTGTAAGAGTTCTTTATATATTGTATATCCTATATACGTGCATACTCTGGATACGAGTCCCTTGTCAGCTAATGACTTGCAGATATTTTCTCCCATTCTGAGGGCTTTTTAGCTTTTTGATGGTATCACTGGATGCTGCTGTTGCAGTCTGATAGTCCTCAACTAAGGGAAGTCATCCTTCTGATCTTTCATGTATCTTCTTTGTGATTGCCTCATGCCAATGAAATATTTGAAAGGGCTTTTGCATATCCTATTGTAAATAATATTTTTGCATATGCTGTGGGACTAAGCATTTATAATGTCGAGGTTATCGAAAGAGACACTGCTGTCTAGTTTTCCATCTGATAGGCTCAACTATTTGAAATAAAACTTAGGTCCTGGCCAGGCGTGGTGGCTTACGCCTGTAATCCCAGCACTTTGGGAGGCCAAGGTGGGCGGATCATGAGGTCAGGAGATTGAGACCATCCTGGCTAACATGATGAAACGCCATCTCTACTAAAAATACAAAAAATTAGCTAGGTGTGGTGGCACATGTCTGTAATCCCAGCTACTCGAGAGGCTGAGGCAGGAGAATTGCTTGAACCCAGGAGGCGGAGGTCACAGTGAGCTAAGATCGTGCCACTGCACTGCAGCCTGGGCAACAGAGCGAGACTCTGTCTCAACAAACAAACAAAGAGAAAAAAACCAAAAAAGACCTTAGGTTCTGTGGATATTCCTAGATCCTCCTAAGTGCTTCTGGTGCTTTCTTGTTCGTAATTTTGGGTAGTAGGTCTGTAGTGAAGAGGAGTTAGTCTTTGTTTATTTCTTGTGGAAGCCTCTTAAAGACGTGTGTGAAATTTGTCCATTTTATTTACCATCATAGCTGTAAGAAACTTTACAAAACATACCACACACAGTCTTCTAATTGGAAAGACCAGATGTTTCAAATCCAGTCACCAGGTATTTAGAAAGCTCCAGCTGTGTTATCAGCACTCTTCTCTGTCTCTCTCCAGTTGCTGGCACTTGAATTTGAATGACATGTATTCCAAAAAATAGGGTTTCAAAATTTTCATAAATGACAAATGGCTTTTTTCATAAATAATGGAAAAATGAATGTAACTATAAATGATTTGCTCTTTGTAGTACATGATTTTGTTAGTTGTTTAATTATTGAAATGAGAAGATTTTTTTTTGTCATTTTCTTCTCCAAAGTCCCTTTCTTACAGCGTCTCCTCTCCTTACACACCGTTGTCAGACTTTAATGTTAGGACATCATCTTAAAGAATTGGTCCTTACTGACTCAGTCCCCACTGTACAGTAAGCAGTTCCTTGAGTTTGTTATAAATTTTGGCAGGAGTGGAAATCTAGGTCACTAGGGAACTCTTGATTAAATTACTCCTGAAGTGCACTAATTGGCCTTTTCCACAGTGCTTGAGAAGTTCCAAGGAGACGCTGGCCACTTGGCAGAACTTTGCCTGTTCAAATCTAGTCTCAGCCGGGCTTTCCTGAGTATTTTCTTGCTTTTATTTTTAAGAAGTCACCTATTTTATCTCCTTCTGCTCTTTATCGATTCTAGTTTCTGATGAAGAATTGAAAAGAAGAGTAGCTGAGGAGCTGGCATTGGAGCAAGCCAAGAAAGAATCCGAAGATCAGAAACGGTGAGTTTTGTGGTATCAGAGAGAGGTTTTGGTGGGTTTTGTCATATTTACCAGTATTTTTAGAGAAGAATGATTGTGATAAGTCTCATTATTTGTGTATGACTGAACTTCAGAATGTGCTGAACACATGAACTTGGCCATTTTCGGTTTTAGATTGTGCCTCTTAGAGCCTTGGGTTACCTGCTTCCCAAAGCTGACTGTGAATTACCATTATATCTCTTGTATTGGTTGCTTGAATATTGAGCCGTGTTTTCTCAATATGTGAGAAGGAGTTTTTGAGTATTCTCCAGGAATTTCCCAGTCGATCAGCAAATGTATGCATCATTGAAAATTATATTGCCTGCCACAGGCACTAAAGTAAATATTTTGGCTCATGATGAATATCGTGTGTGATACATAGTGCCCGGATTAACAAATAGCACTAATTATTATTCTGTTCACGTAAAAAAATTAGGATGTTACAGACATAAGTAAGGTTGGAAATAAAAATCCTGTTTCCATCCTCTGAAGTTAACCACTTTTTAACATTTTATTGCTCGAGATTTTTTCCTCTGCACACACTTCCATCTGATTGTTGCCATTATTAATACTACTAACAACAGCTAAAAGAATGTTCATTGAAGTGTTTTTGTAACAGTAGAAAATTGGAAGCAATCCAAACCGACCATCCTCGAGGACTGGCTGAATTAATTATGGTACATGCCTGCAATGGAACACTAGACCATCAGTTATAGCCCTGTGTGCTGATTCAAAAAGATGTTGACGAGCTATCCACTGAAAAAAACACCATGAAAGGATTTTAAAAAAGCATTTTTTTTAAATACTACTTTTTGAAGTTTTAGAGTAGGTACTTATTCATAAAAAGATGGGAAAACATTTTAATCTAAGATAAAGTGCTTCCCATCTGTACTATTTCTGGAGTTTGCACATAGCTTAGAGAATTATGATTACATGATCATGTGAATGTCTTTTTACTGTGAGCACCAAACACATGCTTGCCACTGAGCAGGTGCTTAGTTTGTATTTGTTTTGTTTTGAACTGCCCAACTATTTTGCTTGAGAGATCTAGAGGTAAGGAATCTTTGAATTGGATTGTAGTCCTCACTGGCCATAGGACCTTCACCATATAATTTAACCTCTTTGAGCCTTAAGTATTTCATCTTTAAAATGAGGGTTGTGAAAAATTATTATTTAATATTTCTTTTGACAAACTAACTCCCAATTTACACAAAATATACAGAACAGAATATGAATTTTAGATTAAGACTGCTATTTTCTTAGGAAATAGAGAAGGCTTATGACTTACAATTTAAAAAATCAAGATTTAATTAGTACTGCCAGAAAGGTCTCTGTATATTTCCACAGTTTCCCATGCAGTGCTTTATAATTATTTAATTGGGTTAGGTTGATAGACTATATAATTAGATAGTGAAGTTTAAATATTCCAAAAAAATTCAGAATCAATTTTTAAAAAAAGAGAATCAATATGTTATGGTAGAATTTCTTGTCTTTGAAATTTTGTTATTTTTAATTGAGTTTTATTTTAATAGGGGTTTTTTGGTTAGATTCTCATATTTAGTTTGCTTATTATATTTCACATAGGATTTTTTTTTTTTTTTTTGGTCTTCCCTTCTCTCCATATGGTGCAGGCTTTTTGTTAAAATAACTCACTGTGGGTTTTTTTTTTTTCTTCTTCTTCATTATTCAGCTTCCATTTGCTCTGCCTTGGCTCATGAAAGGGAAAGGGCAGATGAGATGAATAAAAGGTGCCAGTGAAAGCCAATTTCATATCTCAGGTGGAATGGGGTGGGCAGCCTAGCTGTAACCTGGACAAATGACTATTGATAAAGAATTTATTTTCTGTCACCTTTAAGGAGAGCAGAGGGTGGTACAGCCTTTGTATTATTTTTTCTTTTTTAAAAAAAGTTTTGTTTGAAGCCTCCTTCATGAAAACTTCAGCTGTCAAATCTTGGCAAAAAATGTGTGTTCATCTATATGATAGTTCTTAGGAGAATCAATAGCTATATTTTTCTTTCTTTTTTTCTACCAGAGAAGAAACTTCAGAAACAGCATTAAGAAAGTTTTGTGTGCAGTCTTTTAGCAGCAACTTTTTGGAGTCACAGAACATGTATACGTTATTGTATGTATTGCCTGAATTGAATCGAGATTTATAGGCAGTTTTAGAAAATAGCTCCTCTTGCCTTTGTACTGTTACTCATATGGTATATACCCTGCGTGCCAAGTTTTCTCTTTTCCCTCCAAATGCACACAAACCTGTTGACCAGTTCTCAAGCACTTCATAGCTGGACATACGCATCTACGTACGTACATTTTGAAGAAACTTGTTCGAGAAGGACTTTGTAATTAATTTCGATTGTGATATTTTTCTTTATAGAATATCTATTATCATTGTAACCCTTTTTAAATGGAAATTTTTTGTTTGTTTTTTGTTTTTTTTTGAGATGGAGTCTCGCTCTGTCACCCAGGCTGGAGTACAGTGGTGTGATCTCAGCTCACTGCAACCTCCACCTCTGGGGTTCAAGCAATTCTCCTGCCTCAGCCTCCCGAGTAGCTGGGATTACAGGCGCCCGCCACCACACCCGGCTGATTTTTTTGTATTTTTAGTAGAGACGGGGTTTCACCATATTGGCCAGGCTGGTCTTGAACTTCTGACCTTGTGATCCACCTGCCTTAGCCTCCCAAAGTGCTGGGATTACAGGCATGAGCCACCGTGCCTGGCATTTAAATGGAAATTTTAAAGCTCCATGAAAAATATAGTATAGTGAATCCCCATATCCCATGACACAGTTGTAACAATTCTTGTTTCATCCACATATCTAGTCACTCTACATATGTGGTGAGTGGTGAGGAAAAGTAGTACAATTTTAAACAGGTTGGTGAATTTTATGGCAGGGAAATATTCCAAAATGTCTTCTATCAGCATAGTTGAAATAAGTACTTTGTTTCAGTTAGATTTATTTAGTTGGAAGACTGAAATTTAACTCCGATTAGCTTAGAAAGCAAGGAAATTTTTAGGAGCATAAAGGATATATAGCTCAAAAGAAACAAATGGAAGACTTAGAAAACCATTAGCAAGGGGAGAACTGGATGTTTCTAAAACTGTGTGTGGTGAGGAAATAGTTCCCCAGCAGGAAATCATGATGAGCATTCCATAAGGAGGGGGAACGGATGCCGGGTGGCTGAATTTCTTTGCATGCCCCTGATTTTAAGATTTTAGTGTATTTGGTGTACCCTATGAAATATATTGCTGCAAGTTTTAACACAATACTTTATCTCTTAGAATTTTCTTATTGAAACAATTCATTAACACTAATTTTGAATTTTTGAAAACATATGTATATTCATAAGAAGGAAAAAGTAGGCAAAATAAATTGATTAAGGCAGTGGTTCTCAGCTGGGAGAGCATTTGATCCCCAGGGGGCATTTGACAATGTTTGGAGATATTTTTGGTTGTTAAAATTTGTCAAATGTTATTGGCATCTAGTGGATGGAGGCCAGGGATGCTGTTTAACATTCTGTAATGCACGTGACAGTCCTCACCTCCTGCTGCCCGCCGGCCCCCCTCTTATCCGTTCTCCCCCCACCAAAAAAGAATTATTTGGCTCAAAATGTCAGTTGTACCAATAGTGAGAAACCCAGGGCTAAGGTATTCTTCAAACCAGCCCACATTGGATTTAATTGTTCTGGATCACTTTTGGACTCAGGGTTTGATGTCTTTGTTTTTCCACACAATATCATATTCTATGCCGTCAAAACCTCGGTGACACAACATTCCTTAAAAGATTGCTCCACTCTTATTCCTGGAATTTTTCCGAGCTGCTGACAGCAGTTCTGCAAATTTTGATGCTTCTGTGCAAGCAATGACAACAGCAGCAGGACTGCCGCCTGGCAGATAGCAATTTTCAGATGCTTTTAGGTTTGTGAAAACGTGGAAAAATATGCATCCTAGAATTGATAAAATGCAGTCCATGTACACTTCAGACCATAAAATTTGTCAGCTCGGAATGACTTCTTGAATGTCTTACTTTACCTTCTACTTAATGCAGAAGCCCTTTTTAGGCATCTGTGACTGGTAGGGCCACATGCTTTTAGATTCCATTCAAAATCATCGAAACTGATGATATTTCATTAGGTCATCTAAAATTTACCCCAACCCCATTAAATCTCCACTCCTAAATCTAATGCAGACCTGCCATACTTAAAAGTTGCCTTAGAGGAGGTTTCTTACTAAGGCCACAGTGACAATACAGTTGCTAATTATTAGCATGATGACTATATATATTTTCATTTTTACAAAACATTTACATATGGACTCCCAATTCATTTTGTCTTAGATTTATCCTGTTTTATGGGGATCTTAAGTGATTTGCTTCCACAATCATGTCCCGCACAAATCGCTGATAGATTAGTGCACACACGAAAATTTTTGGGTCTAATTTGAAATCATGGTTTTGCTTATCAAAACATCTAGTAGACAGAATAGTTGCTCAGCGTACCGAGAATCCAGAGTAAATGCCTCTGTCGGCAGTCTGTTTTTGCTGTGATACTCAATGGTGTGTTTGGATTATAGCTGACCATATTGTGTTGTAACTGTGTAGGCCAATATAGCAAGGACATAATATGCTACAGTTTGAGTATAGACTTTAAAAATATGATTTACTTCTCCTCTGTGCCCTACCTCCAAAAGTCAGTCTTTGACAGCTAGAAAAATGTGACTACTTCTGACCTCTGACCTTTGGCATTTGAATTTCACCTCTTTACCTATAAAGGCAAGTGAAAGTGTTTCACTTATAATAACATTTTTTTTTCAAGAAACCAAGAAGAAAGGGAATGGCTGCTTGATGTTGGAACTAACTGTACATCAACCAAGATTACTTGCTCGCTATTTTTCAATGGACATTAGTTGAGATTTTTCCCGCACTTTTAGTTATTTGGAAAGTTACATTAGATTTGTAAGACTTCAAATAATCTATCTGGTATAATGAGTGGTTTAATAAATTAGTCATAAATTTTATCAGCCATCTGTGTTAGAGTATAGTGTAGTCCTTTTATTTTTCCATTGATAGCATTGTTGATATCATCAAATAAGGGCTTAAAACTTATTTGTACCTTTTAGTTTCTCATACTAATGGTGAAATTTACAGGGATGGTACCATCTGTTTAAGTTCATTATATATGATAATTTATCTTGATTTTTATTATTACATATGTTCTGCCTTTGAAAAAGGCAGCAAGAAAAAGGCAAAAGAAAAAGCAGAAAAAAGGAGGAGGGAAGAGTTCTGAAACAAACAGGAGTTTGTGGGTAGCATCATGTTTAAAATACATGATACAAGAAATCATGTGGCTGGGCCTGGTGGCTCATGCCTGCAATCCCAGCACTTTGGGAGGCTGAGGTGGGCAGATCACCTGAGGTCAGGAGTTTGAGACCAGCCTGACCAACATGGTGAAACCCCATCTCTACTAAAAATACAAAATTAGCTGGGTGTGGTGGCACAAGCCTGTAATCCCAGCTACTCGGGAGGCTGAGGCACGAGAATCGCTTGAACCCGGGAGGTGGAGGTTGTGGTGAGCCAAGATCGCGCCACTGCACTCCAGCCTGGGCAATAAGAGCGAAACTCCGTCTCAAAAAAAAAAAAAAAAAAAAAAAAAGAGAAATCATGCAACTAGCATGGTGCTTTTCACATAGTAAAGTCTCACAAGTATTTGTTCAGTTGAATGAATCACTGGGTCTGGAAAATCATGATAACCTTTTTTCTAGAAGGTGCAGTTCTATATTATGTATGTGGGCATATATCTATTCTACATTATATTAAAATAAAAACTTAAATTATCTCTTTGAAATTGGCTACTGACCAGAGACTATAGATACTTGTCTTAAAAATCTTTCTTTTAATTTAGTATAGTGTTGAACACTTGTTTTCCTGTCATAGACACAAATTACACAGTTATGAAAATTACATACCTTCAACCTGCATGTAATTTCTAGGTGTAAGTAATTAAAAAAACTTTTCAGGGAATCAGTACTATTGATAACTAATATTGATCAAGGCTTATAAAGGCATAGTTTTGAAATGATCTTATGAGATCAGTTAGCAGTCAGTATATTCTCAATGCAGTCACAACTGACACAGGCAAATGAATTTCACTTGTAATTTATAAATAGTTGCAAAGAAGGTTATTGCAGAAATTTGAGTTGTAGCTCTTCAGCGACACACAGCTGATGTCCAGGTGTAACCTATACCATCCTGCTGTGATGTGAGCATATTTCCCAGGCTCATTAGGCTTCACTGGAGGTAGTAGATGGTTTGTTGGCATTATTTCCAAAATATTCCTTTATATACTCCAACATTTAAGAGATCCTTCTGTAGTATAAAAGTCCCACTATTTTAGATTATTTTTTTATTAATCATATTTTTGCTGTTTTTTTAAATGCTTTATTGCATTGCTGTTGTTTTATACTCATACTTTTCCATTTGATTCTGCTTAACAATTGATAAAAAGACCTAACCAGTTCTGAATGTAGTAGGAACACGTCCTAGCCACCCAGTATTTTTCACTGGAAGGTGATTGGAAGTGCTGTGTCTGTACTAGGTATTGGAATCTTGTGCCATCTGCTACTTTCATTGTTTTTCTTCAGGTGGCAGTTTTCTATTTTTAATAGCCAACTGCTTTTTTATAACCAACAGTGATAGAAGTTTGGATTTTCTAGCTCTGTTTTATTCTTATTGTTTTATTTCTTTTTTCAAATCCAATTTTCTTTCCTACTGATGCTACACTGTTGTAAATCCTGTTTGAGAAGATATTTTTACATGTTAATATCAAACCTGGAAAACCAGAGTCAATCAAGCGTGCCATAGACATCTAACTTTTTTACTGGTTATAATAGCAGCAGTGATGTTTGACCACTTCTTGTTCACATGTTTCTTTTGACAGTAATTACAGTGTTTTCTCTCGTGAAGTGCAGTGTTTGAAGTCATTTGTGCCAAAGTCAATTTCTGCATTTGGAAGTTTCTAGGAATTGGTTTCTCAGTGTTATATAGCTGTAATAGTCTTGTCGAAGTGTCTCCATTACTTTTTGGTCTGGGGATGTGGAGTTTTAATGTACTCAGTCATTTATTATTCCTTGCATAAAAGATTAATGTTTATTGTCAGTATTATCACTGATTTATAAAAACAGATGACTGAGTTAGACACAGGTAATGTTTTTCAGTTAGCAGAACTAGATTAGAATTGGCCTGCCGCATTGCTCTACCTAGTCTGTTGCTGAAGTGATAGAATCATATAGGCTGTCATCATTACATAAACATTTTTCAAAGGGAGTGCAACATGGAACCCAAAGTAAAGCTGATTTAAGTGCTGTCTGGTTAAAGCTAGGACTAGGGACTTAGAGCTGTGTCAGCCTATTTTCTTCTTTTTCCTTCCTAAAGACCCAGGCCCTTGTGCTAACTGGGGCTTTCTTCAAGAAAACTTTGGTCAAGGTCATTTTCTCGCAAATTTGGACACTTTGTGTTTGAGGAGTGTACTTTCCTTACCCAAATAGCATTTGTTGGATAGACTCGATTCTGTTTCTGTTTTAAAAGGTGGGTGGACAGTGGCCTGTTGTCCATTTCCTTAATCCGGAAGTCCGTGTTTATGGGCAGTGGTCCACATAGGCTGGACCTAGCCCTGGCTGTTTCTTAGTCCTGGGCCTTCTGGAAGCCATCTGTTGATCCTGTTGGTAATGCTGTGTTAGGAACACTGGAGAAGAGTGTGAGGTCCTTCTGTGCAGGATCTGGAAATACTGGAGAATATTCAGAGAGAGTCCCTGTTTCCCCTCCTGACCTCCATAGCTTTGCCAATATAGCCTCGAGCTAAAAAGGAATGTGGGCAACACAGTTGTAAATCAAATGTAAATTTTCTCTCCAGATTATAATACTTCCAAACATTGGCACCGTTTCCTGTTCAAATAATAACCTTACCCCCTTCTTTTCTTGGTTGGAGCAAACTGTTAAACAGGAGTAGCCCATCTTAAATTTCTGTTTGATACTTTAGTGAGAGAACCACATTCTTTTGTATCCCATTCTTATTCAGAAGCAGTTGTCATTTGTCTTTGAAAACTTTCCTCACAGTTTTATACAGACACATACATAGAACATGCACACTGGAGTCACATATAATCTGTGAAAACGATTTCAGAGCATAGGATCCATATGCCCAACTACAATGTACCCACATTAACAAACACAGGGGTCATCTCTTACTTACTGTGTGCTAAGCACTGTTCTAAGCATTTTATGTATTTTCATTCATTTCAACTATATAACACCCCTACTGGGTAGGCATTACTGTTATCCTCATTTTATAAATGAGGAAACAGAGAGGGTAAGAAACTTACCAAGTTATATGGTTTGGTTCTATGTCCCCACCCACATCTCATGTTGAAATATAATCCCCAGTGCTGGAAGTGGGGCCTGTAGGAGGTGATTGGATCATGGGTGTGGTTTCTAATGGTTTAGCACCATCCTCCTAAGGCTGTTCTTGTGATAGATTTCTCATGAGATCTGGTTGTTTAAAAGTGTGTGACAGTCCCTCTCCCTCTTTCTCTTTTCCTCCTTCTCTGGCCATAAAAGATGTGCCTACTTCATCTTGCCCTTCTGCCATAATTGAAAGTTTCCTGAGGCCTCCCAAAATGCTGCCATGCTTCCTGTACAGCCTGTAGAACCGTGAGCTAATTAAACGCCTTTTCTTTATAAATTACACAGTCTCAGATATTTCTTTATAGTGATGCAAGAACAGACTAATACACCAAGGTCATATCTATCAAGTAAGTGGTGGGGCTCGGATTTGAATCCAAGTCTGCATTTAAACACCCTACAGTATTACTTTCTGTGTGGACAGGGAATACCTTCTTTAAAGTCTTTCATTTACAATTGTGGGAAGAAGTATCAAACAGTTACTTGGATTTTCTCTTATAAACCTTTAGTAAATAACAGGTCTCTTAGGTCTCTTAAAAATGACCTCTGTTTTGTGCTACTGGTTATTAGATCTAGATAGCTACTCTGTACAGTATTTAAAAAAATTCTTTTATCTTAGGCCCAAGCTGTCTTGAGAACCTGTCTTTACAGTTAATATTCTTTTTGTTGTGTAGGCTATACCTGACATTTATTTATTTATTTATTTATTTATTTATTTATTTAATTTTTGAGACGTTGTCTGGCTCTGTCGCCCAGGTTGGAGTGCAGTGGCACAATCTAGGCTCACTGCAACCTCCGCCTCCTGGGTTCAAGTGATTTTCCTACCTCAGCCTCCCAAGTAGCTGGGATTACAGGTGTGCGCCACCACACCCAGCTAGTTTTTTGTATTTTTAATAGAGACAGGGTTTCGCCATGTTGGACAGGCTGGTCTCAAACTCCTGACCTCGAGTGATCCACCTGCCTCAGCCTCCAAAAGTGTTGGGATTACAGGCGTGAGCCACTGTGCCTGGCTCTATACCTGACTTTTAAATGCTTGTTTGTGCACATTTTCAGTGACAATGGCAGTTTAAATTTCTCATGAGTTCAGTTCTCGTTAGCTTAAGATTGGGACATTTTTCTTAATAGTACAGCGGGGAGTATGTGGAAGCAGCTGGTGCCCTGCCTCATGAACTTTAGAGATGAGGATCTGCTGCTGGTCAGTGAGGCACGTGTGTGCTCACTAGCGATTTCCTGAGTTCAGTAGAGCAAATTGGGCACCTTTCACGGTGGGGGAATTTGTTAACTTCTTTCTTGGAGTTAGGAAGCAATAAAGAAGTGCAGGAATTACTTTAATTAATGATTGCAGAGGGGAAAAATATTTACGTTTCTCTCTATATTCATTCTTAGACTTTTTTTTTTTTAAAATGGAAGACTGGCTTATTCTGTTATTTTATATATTTGTGTTGCTTGATATGCTGGGTTTTTGGCTTGTAGTGTCTGTTGTTAGTATTTATTTGCCTTTTGTATGATAGTCAGTCATCACATTTAGTCTACAAATTTAGATGTTTTGAAATCAATTAAAAACTTAGCTGCTGGGACAATTTGCCGTTGGAACTAGAATATTGAATTTATCTGTCAAAATATTCAGCCACGATGGGAGCAATTGTTAGTTATATGCTATTTACAATTGCTTCCTTACATATAAACAATCTGAATCCTTGAGGCTGCAACCATTTCATTTGAAAGGTTTTTTTTTTTTTTTTGAGTTATCCCCCAAACAATTTTAGTGTGATTTAGGTGTCAGGTATAAAGCATTAAAACACAGATTAACCATGTAAATGTTTCAATTCTTGATTTAAATTCAAGTTTCTTCACAACTTCTCAGAATGGATCTTTTAAATTCCTTGTTTCTTGGTGCCATTTTGTCAAGGTTGATTTAGATTAAAACAAAAATCTCATAAAAATCCGTAAATTACAGGGCATTTTGACTTCCTGATGGGGTTGTTGGATTAAAACCAAATGATACCAAAAAAAGTACCCCACAAAGTCAACTGAAACCACTAATGTGACAAGTGTCTACTAGTTAAGAAACACTTATGCAACAGAGTTTCTGCAATTCTTCCATTATTTCTACCGAACCAGGTAGGTTTGACATAGGAAATTCATTCCTTAAACAACTGAAAACATGGATATTGTGTTTGTTTCTTTAACAAAAAAAAAGAAAATTACCAGGGAAATACATACCTATAAAAGGAATTCAGTAAATACAGATGAATAGTTTTCTGTCTCCCTCCTTTCCCTTATTCTTACTCCCTACAAAATCATTTATACATTCTTACCCTAGATTATTTATCATTTTGTTTTTTTAAAACAAAATGAGCATGTTATATAACGTGCTTTTTTCTACTCAGTCATATATTGTGATCTCTCTTCCCATGTCAGCATATATAGATTCAAGTAGACCGTCTATCTGATAATAAATGCCATTTAAGAAGACTTTGCCTAAGAAAAGTAATATTACTACTACTAATAATATGTAATAGTAAGTAATCATTTGTAATAGTAATAGCTAACAGTTTTGAATACTTCTTTTGTCCTAAGCACTGGTCCAAGCCCTTTGCACATGTGATTATTTAACCTTCATAGCAGCCCTATGGGGCAGGTTCTGACCTGCTAGTCTCCTCACTTTGTAGATGAAGTAGCCGAAACACAGAGGTCACTTGCTTATAGCCACATAGCCAGAAAGCAGAGGAGCTGGAATTTGAACGCAGGCAGTCGGCATCTGGAGTCACCCATACTTACCATCACTCGATCAGACTGTGTTTCAGAGGCTAAATTATTTTCTGATCCAGCAGTAATGTTACCTATTATATGTCTGTCTGAATGTTTTTTTTTTTTTTTTTTTTTGAGGCGGAGTCTTGCTCTGTTGCCCAGGCTGGAGTGCAGGGGTGTGATCTCAGCTTACTGCAACCTCTGCTTCCTGGGTTCAAGCGATTCTCCTGCCTCAGCCTCCCAAGTAGCTGAGATTACAGGCACCCGACACCACATCCAGATGATTTTTGTATTTTTAGTAGAGACGGGGTTTCATCATGTTGGCCAGGCTGGTCTCAAACTCCTGACCCCAGGTGATCCACCCACCTTGACCTCCCAAAGTGGTGGGATTACAAGCGTTAGACACCACTCCCAGCCCTGACCTTTTGATGTCGGTTATTGAAGGTTTGGCCTCCCCTCCCCTCCCTTCCCCTCCCCTCTCTTCTCCTCCCCTCCCTTCCCCTCCCCTCTCTTCCCCTCCCCTCCCCTCCCCTCTCCTCCTTTTCTTTCTTAGTTTTGAGACAGGATTTGGCTCTGTCGCCCATGGTGGAGTGCAGTGGTGCAATCTCAGCCCATTGCACCCTCTGTCTCCCAGACTCAAGCCATCCTCTCACCTTAACCTCCCGAGTAGCTGGGACTACAGGTGCATGCCACCATGTCTGCCTAATTTTTGTATTTTTGTTAGAGGCAGGGATTCACCTTGTTGCCCAGGCTGGTCTCGAACTCTTAGGCTCAAGCCATCTGCCTGCCTTGGCTTCCCAAAGTGTTAGGATTACAGGCGTGAGCCACTGTGCCTGGCCTGAAGATTTATGTTTTATAGGTTTTACCAGTAAACTATGCCTTAATTATGGAGCTCAATAAATAAGAAATTTAGATTGAAAAGAATTTCACAAATGAAAGGACTTTTTGTGTTTTGTTTTTTAACTCACATGACTATGTTTTGAAATAAAACTGTCAAAATACTGTCAAATGGTGGGTAAAAATTAATATTACTGTAGATTTAGCTGTAATAGGTTGGAAATTGTGCATTTCATTATGAATATATCTGTCAGCTGTACAATTCAGTTTTTATAGAATTAAAGAAAAGGAGCCCAAGTGGGTTTCTATAATTTATGTTATTTAGCCCTACATAGGTTTGCCTTACATAGTTTGCCTTAGAAAAGCTCTCTCCTCAAACTACTGAAAATGTGGATAATGCTAGTCTAACAGAAAATTGCGGGTAACAGAAAGTTGAGGGTAACATCAACTTTCTGTAACCCTTATCAACTTTCTGAGGTTGCAGTGAGCCGAGATTGCGCCATTGCACTCCAGCCTGGGTGGCAGAGCAATACTCTGTCTCAATTAATCAATCAACCATTCAATAAATGTCAGGCATAAATAAATAAATAAGTAAATGTCAGTGTTTCTTCGTAACAGAAAGAATATTAACTGTAAAGACAGATTCTCAAGAGAGCTTGGTCCTAAGATAAAATAATTTTTTAAAGATTTTTTATTATTGACGATTCCAAATTCATTCTTCCTGCCTTTATGTCCCTGTTTTCCCATTTCCAGTGAATTGGCCCTAATGTCTCTGCTTTTAAAATATATTAGAAATGAATTACCTCTCACCTTTGCCACCCCTGCCTTAGGCTAAGCCAGTGGTTCTCAGCTGCTGGAGATTTTGCTCCCTTCCCCATGGGACTTCTGGCCATACCTGGAGACCTTTTAGGTTGTCCTAACATTGGGGGTACCACTGGCATCTGATAGGTAGAGGCCAGCAATGCTGTTAAACATCCTACAGTGCACTGGACAGCCCCTCTACAACAAAGAATTGTTCAGTTCAAAATGTTGATATAGCTCCGAGGCCGAGAAACCCTGGTGTAAGCCATTACCATTTCTCATTTGTAGTATTACAAAGTCACCTCCATTGGGCTATTCTTGTCCGCCACATTCTATTTTTCACAAAGCAGCATTAGTTGGCTTTAAAAAAATGCATTTTGAATCATGTCACTTTCTTTGCTTAAAACCCTCTAATGGCTTCATTAGGTTTAGCATAAAGTCCAAGTCCTTTTCTCTGACCTTCAAGTCCTCTACCTATTGTTACACATTTACACCCTCTGATACTTGGATCTCCTATGTTACCACCCTCTCATTGAACACTTCGGCCACATCGGCTGCCAAACCTGTTTGTGCCTATAGCTCCTTGTCCAGAATATTTGCACTTCATATTTTGCATGGCTGACTCCCTCTTACTATCACAGTTTTTCCCAAATAACCCTACAGAGAGGATTTCCCTGGTCATTTTGTCTAAAATAACTCTTCTTTCTTTCCTGTTCTCTCATCCTAGCTGTCCTTTTCCTGCTTTATGTTTCTTTATAGTATTCTTTTTCTGTTTCTTGTCTGTCTCCTGCACTGGAATATAAAAGTTTATGAGGGCTGGGCATGCCTGTAATCCCAGCACTTTGGGAGGCCGAGGCGGGCGGATCACCTGAGGTCAGGAGTTCAAGACCAGCCTGGCCAACATGACGAAACCCTATGTCTACTAAAAATACAAAAATTAGCCAGGTATGGTGGCAGGCATCCGTAGTCCCAGCTACTCAGGAGGCTGAGGCACGAGAATCGCTTGAACCTGGGAGCCAGAGGTTGTAGTAAGCCGAGATCACGCCACTGCACTTTAGCCTGGGTGACAAGAGTGAGACCCTGTCTCAAAATAAAAGAAAGTCTATGAGGGCAAAATTCATTGTCTGTCATATAGTAGGTACCAAAAAGGGATTTTATATTAAATTACGATAATATTTTACTGTTGTGGCTAAATACATTAAAATGGGATAGAATTTGTCCAAAAGTCAAAAGAGACAGGAGAATCATCATATGACAATAGCAACTGCCATTTAATGATTGTCCACTGTGTACTGTGCGCTGTGCATATATTTGTATATATTAGCTCTGAACTCCCCGAGAGCCCTCTGATGAAGCCTGCTTTGGCCTGTATTGTGGCCTATAAGATGATGCTCCTCATATTCCCCTCCAGGATCCAAGGCTAGGTGACCCCCACTCTGCCATCAAACTGAGGAGCAATTGGATGTGGTAGCTCTGCTTTCTACAGGTTTATTTTACAAAAGTAGCTTGGAGTGGGCAAGTACCTTGACCTGACAACAGGCAGCATCAGGTTCAAATCCAGTTCTCTTTTACTCCAAGCCCGTTCCCAACATTTCAGATTTTCATAGTGTTTAGGAAGTGACTGTGATTCATGTCTTCCTGTTGAGTAGGCTTAATTGGCTTTCATTTTCTGATATGAGGACTGCATTATAACTCCAGGAGCAGTGTTTTTTTGGTTTCAGGTCCTGTCCTGAGACAGTTGCTCAGTTTCCTTCATTTTTAATGAGCATTGTCTAAAAGTGGAAACTTGACAGTATATGAATATCATCTAAGCTTTCAGAGTATTTTTATTGTTGGCTAACAACATAATCAAAATTTGAAACGACATGAACAACATGTACTATAGTTTGCACTTACATTTTACATGAGACTGAACCAGAGCGTATGTTGTGTAAGTCTTTAAGCCTTGTCTGTTGGGACAGAAGTCAAGAAGTCTCTTGTGTCTCTGAGCATATACTTTTGCCCTCATGAACCCTGTCAAAGGGATTCCAGATGTCCTTTGAACATTTGGTGCCTTAGATTCAAGAGGTGCATGGCGTAACATGGATTTGTATCTTGAAACATTGCATTCTTTCCCTGGTTTCGTGACAGAGTTTTTTTTTTTTTGTCGTAACCTGAGAGATCATCTCTTCTCTCCTCGTGCCCCCCTCAGCCTCCCTGGCTTCTGGGAATCAGGGCTCTCTCCAGGCACCAGAGAAGGCAAAAGCCCAGAGCTTCCTGGGATGGCAAATTGTTCTGAGTTTCAGTGTGTTCCTGTACTTTTTTTTTTTTTTTTTTTTTGAGACAGAGTCTCGCACTGTCACCCAGGCTGGAGTGCAGTGGCGCGATCTTGGCTCACTGCAACCTCTGCCTCCTGGGTTCAAGCGATTCTCCTGCCTCAGCCTCCCGATTAGCTGGGCTTACAGGTGCACACCACCGTGCCTGGCCAATTTCTGTGTTTTTTAATAGAGATGGGGTGTCACATGTTGGCCAGGCTGGTCTCAAGCTCCTGGCCTCAGGTGATCCACCTGCCTTGGCCTCCCAAAGTGCTGGGATTACAGGTGTGAGCCACCGTGGCCAGCCCTTGTGCGTTTTGAGTTGAAGATTATCTCTTGCTTCTTGGCCTCTTGTATCTGTCCTCCCACTGACTACCTTTGTGTTCTGGTTTTTGTTGTTGTTGTTTTTTTTTTTTTTGGTCTTTTTTGTTTTTTCATTTGCCAGCAGCTTGTCATAGGAATGACACATACTCAGCAGAGTCAGCTTTAGACAGCTTTTTGCAGACAAGAACAACAAATTCACCAGTCAGGGAACAAAGTGAGAGAAAAATGAAGAACAATATTAGAAAAGAATCCTTTGGGAAGCTGCACAAAAAATGTTATATTAAAATCGATACCAGGGCTTGACCTTTTGTGGTAGTGTATATTTTAAAGCCTCCTATTGATTCTCTTTTAATAACATGTTTATTCTAGTTTACTGACATAAGCCTACAGAGAATACAAAAAGAAAAGATCAAATTCTTTATTACGGTGGTCATTTAAATTTGTCTCAGACATTTCATATGGCTAATGTTATATATGTATGTATGTAACATATTCTTATGCATTGTAAGACTTTGAGATGTTATGAAGGTGGCAAAGGGGATTTTTATTTTTGTTGGAAATACTCTTGGCCTTGCTGTGACATATAAATATATCTCCTTCCTTCACCATGAAATTGCTTTTTTTTTCTTTTTTTTTTTTCTTTTCTGCATGTGTGTAGAATACAGAAAAGTCTCATTTTGATTGTTTTTTTTTTTCTTCTCTTAAAAACCATCGATAGCTTAATCTGCCGAGTCTGGGAACATTTGGTGACAGTTCTATGCATAAAGACAGCTGTCTTTTACTGTATAACTAATGGCAAAATGTCGAAGAATAGGAAATCTTCTTACTTGATCCCTTTGATCACTCAATCTTGTAATTTCAAAGACAGAAATATTTATTGCTTTTCACAGTGTGGGGCCATGCACATTTCACTTAGGAAGATAGTCATCTTAAGGGTGTTGTCCAGTCATGAATTGGTTGCACTATTCTTATCTCCTCAGGTTTTTTTCCATTAGGAAAGAAACAGAATCAATTTTCTTACTTCATTCAGATGATTTCCCCCAACATAACAGATATTAAGAGGTATCCAGAATAACAGGAAGGACTTGAGAGACATACCTGGAAAGGTTATCCTGTAAATGGCAAATTAAATGAGATTCAACCTGTAGAACATCTTGTTAATAGGCTTGGGGAGAAATAGGATGCTCGGATCTAATTCATGGTTTTAATATAATAGTCCTGTTGTTTATGGGACATATAATATCAGATGTTGAGAAGCCAGAGAGTAATTCCAGGAAGGCTGTAATGAATTAGAGGACATTTTCAAAGGGCAAGTAAATTAATCAGGAAGCTAAAAATCAGAAAGTTGGGACACGTATATTGTAGCATGGGAGGAGACAGGGAGGCTCAGCAGAGATGTAGCAGGGCATCCCTAAGGAGGTCCAGAGAGTGGCTAGTTTCTCTCTACCCTTGTGTCTTTAAATGTTGGAGGGACCTGGAGTGAGCAGCCGTAGTGATGATACTGCTGCCATTCTGCACACTGCTGGTGCGGGGCCAGCCATTCCGTTAGGATTGGTTTCTGGACACTGACCTGCTTGCTAGGGTCTCAAAAGGTGAGTGTCAGAAAAGCTAGCTTATAAGTAAAGGTAAAATTCAAATAAAACTAAGATTTAAAACTGTCCAACTTAGAAGTCAGTTTAACTAATCCCATGGTAGAATTGAGTTATGGTATATGTCCAAAAAGAGACTGAGAACGAGACAATAACTAAAGACATGGGCACAATCAAGTGGGTCTCTCCTAGGTCTGCCCCTGCTTGCTTCTCTCTCTTACCTTGTGCCATTGTCAATTCTTTATTAGCCTGGTCTGCTCTTCTGTGTTTTATCATTACCCCACCTGTAACAGCTTCCTAGTACCTATCAATATAGATCAAAGTGAAAATCACAAGGCACATGATAGTAATAAGTATTTTTTTCTAGTTACAAAAATAACTCACACTGTTTAGAAAATTAGAGAAATGCAGCCAAACAAAGTTAAGAAAATGAAAATCATCTATAATCTCACTATTCACACAAAACCACGGTAAATATTTTGGTACACAGGCTTATACACACAGGAGAAAAAAAATAACAAGTGGTATTATAGTGTCCTTACTATTTTTATGAGCTGCTTTATTTTTGCTCATAATATATCATAAAAATATGTTGTCAGTACATATATAAATAACTTAATTGTAGTTCACTATTAGACATTTACGGTTCCAAATAAATGGTTCAGAATGTTTCACTTTTATGAACACTCTGCATTGGATATCCTTATTATTAAATTTACACATATCCAGTGTTATTTCCTTAGGGTAAATCCCTAGAAATGGAATTACTAGGTCAAAGGTTATACTAAATATTATTATTGTCAAATTGCCCTCAAGAAATTGTGTTACTTAATTCACCACCAGTATGAATCCTTGTTTTTTTCTCACTGTTGCAAACTTTGGGAACATAGTAGTTAAACCAGTGTTGTGTTATGCCCATATGACCATGGTTGCTCGTATCTGTTTATTTGGCTAGTATTTTCATTAATTTTATTTATTTTTTTATTTATTTATTTATTTATTTATTTATGAGACGGAGTCTTGCTCTGTTGCCCAGGCTGGAGTGCAGCGGCGCGATCTCAGCTCACTGCAACCTCTACCTTCCCAGGTTCAAGGGATTCTTGTGCCTCAGGCTCCCAAGTAGCTGGGATTACAGGTGTGTGCCACCATGCCTGGCTAATTTTTGTATTTTTAGTAGAGACAGGGTTTCATCATGTTGGTCAGGCTGGTCTCTAACTCTGGACCTCAGGTGATCTGCCTGCCTTGGCCTTGCAAACTGCTGGGATTACAGGCGTGAGCCACTGCGCCCGGCCTATTTTCATTTATTTTAGATGGGTGGTTACTAGTGGGATGGAATAGTCTTTTTGTGTTAGTACTATGGGAGTTTAGATACTTTAATTCTTGCCAGATCATTTTAGGTTAATGTTAAGTTAATATAGTTTAAGAAATCTGTAACTTAATAATGTTCTTTGTTAGTTGTCTGTACATACAAAATCCTGTCACTGAGACCTATATGTAGCTGGCGAGATACAACAGATATGCAATAGGTGAGATATGATATAGCTGGGAATACTCTAATTGCCCTGGAGTGGACTCAGTATTTCTAAAATTGCCACAGCAGATCTGGCGTAAATGTGATTTAGTTAACTGGTGAGTATTACACCTTATCTATAAATGTATAATTGTGCCATAAGATCAAATGTCACAGAAGAAATAAAACAGCTTTGTGACATTTCTAGCTTTATAAGTAAAACAATACCCTCTATATAGTAGATACTAAATAAATACTTGTTGATTATTGAATTTGACCATTCCTTCATTTTTTTGAAGGATAACTTGATGTTTGCCTTTTGCTTGTTACATACAAAAAAAGGAAAATCAAATAAATTTGTAGATTGAAATGAAAACTCCATGAGAAGCGAAAATCAGTGACTGAGCTTTGGGCTTAAAAAATTATATAGCGTATACTTTTGTGATTTTTGTTTCTTGATTCTGTATGCTGACCTGATTTTCAAATTCCTTTTTAAAAATGAGCACATTAAACAAAATGAATGTTGATCTTAATTCTGAGAAAATAAGTAAATATGGTTGTTGGATCTTTTCTTGATCCCACACTAATAAGAGATGCATAGGTCTAGTTCCTTGTTCAGGTTCACCCTCGAGTGAGGATGAGCCTAGAGAGACACATGCGCTTCACCCTTAAACCACATATGCTGACTTAATATAATGAATACACCTAAGTGGTTTAGAGATGGAAGAGATTTTAGGTTTGTTTTTTGTTTGTTTGATAACAAAAATAACCCAGAATTGGGAATCAGAAGACCAGAGTCTGGTCCTGCCTCTCTGCTTATTAACTGAGCAGAGATTAATCACAGTTTCTTTAAGCTCAGTTTTTTCATATTTAAAAATGGAAACAATTTTAAAAGCACTAAATACTGCTTCTATTCTACTTTTTTGTAAAGATCAATATATTGAAATAATATATTGAAATTGCATTGAACCCATGTACTTTTATAATGTATTTTTAATAACAAAAATAAGAATGATTATTATTACCATAAATACTTCTACTATAATCTTTGGAATAAACTCCCTCATTATTACAAATATGACAGCAGTGGTTTGATACAAATGTTAAATCAGCAGCATCCCAAACACACATTTTTTTCAGTTTGCCGTGCCATGGTAATCAGGTCACTGAACTCAAATAAAATGTACCAACATTTGAAAATTGTCTTCATTGCAAAGTGTTATGTTATTTAAAAAAGTTTGCCCACTCTCCTTGCCTACTGCAGTTTCCCCTTCACATTGCCTTTCTCCTCTCTTATCTTTCATCTGCTACTTAATTGTTTCAGTGTCTTTAGTTAGTGTCCTGTTCTCATTCTCTTTGGATATACAACTTCTGGGCTTAAGTGGTCCTCCTGCTCTGGCCTCTCAGAAAGCTGAGTTTCTACCATGGCATTAGTTAACCTGACCTCTAGGCTAGATGGTTTTAAATCCCTCTTGTATTTGAATTTTACCTTTACTTACAAGCTAGCTGTGCTGTCACTTACCTTTTGCTTTTACAGCTCACCTTTGCAGTCAGTCCTATCTTTTGTGAACTCTGAAGCCACTCTGGTATGCTCCTCCTTAGATAGATGACTGATAAGATATATGGAAAAACTGATGGATCTGGTTTTGTTTTGGTAATTCTTACCCAGGTACACATTAATTCTCATATTAAATCTTTAAGGCCTGCTGGGTGTAGTGGCTCATGCCTGTAATCCCAGCACTTTGGGAGGCTGAGGCAGGCAGATCACCTGAGGTCAGGAGTTAAAGACCAACCTGGCCAATATGGTGAAACCCCGTCTCTACTGAAAAACAAAAACAAAAACAAAAATTAGCTGGGTATGGTGGCGGGCACCAGTAATCCCAGCTACTTGGGAGGCTGAGGCAGGAGAATCGCTCCACGGCGGAGGTTGCAGTGAACCGAGATTGCGCCATTGTACTGCAGCCTGGGTGACAAGAGCAAAACTCCGTCTCAAAAAAAAAAAAATCTTTAAGATATCTTTCAGGTTCAAAATTCTAAGTGTTGACTTTCTAATGGAAATTATTTTCATCAGGACCCTTTGAAGTTTTAAAAAGGGTTAATGTTAGGGTTAAATTGATTTATAAAGATGATGTCATATGTTTCTTTTCAAGGTATTTTTATCCTCCGTGTATTTTTATCTCAGCAGCTATGTTTGTAGTAATAGAACAGGTGGGTTAGGAAGTAGCCAGTGAAAGGTGGCAGATCACTTTGGGCAAGAGCTTGAGTCAGCATTGGGCCTCGGCAAGTGTAAAACAGAAGACTGTGTAAATTTGAACATGGCAACTGTAAATTGCAATGCATTGTCATAGTAAGAAAAAAGAAGTAAAATTGGTATTTACAGCCAAATGGTGCTTTTCCACTGTCACATATGATGGACAGTGACAAAATTATCATCTCAGCTATCACACTTTTGAGTCATGCCAGATCTTTAAGTTTTCTGTGTCTCATACAGATAAAAATAAAGGCTTGATTGTGGCATTTGTTATTCTTGTTTGCTTTTAAAACTAGTTGTCTATCTTCTTGTCTTCTCCTGGGATTGACCCCAAACCCAGAAAGGTTAATTTACTATTGGAAGCCCATTTTTACAGCACACAGGCCTCAATTTATTTTAAGAGCATGTTTGCCAACTCTGTGCTGCTTTAGCCCTGTAAACATGAGTCTTAAGGGAATTTTTAAGAATTGGCAATAGTGGGAGTTTCACATTCTGCTAGCAGTCTTCTGCAAGTCGTGTTTCACATTGTCTCTGAAACATTTATCTGAGACACTGCCTTCTGAGGTTCATCTTGATTAATTATATATATGTATATAGATCCTTAATGCTTTCAGGATTTATTTTTCATAAACTATCCGAATTGACCTCCTTGGCTGCTTACATTGTTTTCCACCCCATTTCCTTCCTCATAGGCATGTATACATACTGCAACTCCTAGACATTCAAATACATGTTTTATTTTTCAATAACTTGGGCATTTCATTTCACCCTGGAAAATGTAATCAAACTACATAACAGTGTCATTCATTTTCATTTTTATTTTTGCTCAATTGCTATTTAAACCAATGGAAAGTTAGTATCATTGCAACATTTACTGTAATATGAGTGTATTGTATATGAAGGTTTCAGGAGGTGGTCATTATTGTGTGACATTAAATGGAAGAGCAATTTTAGTAAGGGTTCTATAGATATTTGATAAGAAAAAGAATTTGTAAATGTGTTACTATTTAAATATACTCCCACTCTGAGTTAATTCTATTAAGGGAAGCTAAAAATGAATTACAAATTGAAGCTATGTTGTAGCCTCAAATTGTCTTTTTATATGAGTGTTTTTTTTTTTAACAGTGCTTACCTTCACCTAAGTTATCTCTATAAGGAATGCTGTTTGTAAACTGTTACGAACTACAAATAAAATTATTTTTGTACTATGAAAGCCTAATTATCATGGATTTCTACCATTAGCAAATATCAAACCCACCTAAATCTCAGGAAAAAACCCAGGGGCCAAAAGTTAATGTCTTTTGGAGTTGGAGAGATCTGATTTGAATGCCAGCTTTGTCTCTTAGTAATCTGTGATCTCAAGTCAGTGATTTACCCTTCCAGGCTTCACTTTCTTCAGTTAGGAAGCCAAGTTAATAAGAATATCTACCAGATAAGCATGTTTTTCAAATGAAGATTAAATAAGATAACATATATAAAGCACCTGGCACATATTAAACTTTTGATACAAAATGCTTATTCTTACAGATAACTCTTTTCTCTCTTTGAAGTGAAGATCACTAGAGTGTGATGGTTAAGAGTGTGGTCCTAGGAGTCAGACCACTTGGGTTTGAATTCCAGCTTCATGGGTTACTAGTTCTGAGACCACTTAGTAAATTACATAACTTCTTGAGGGCTCAGATACCTCCTCTGTCAGGTGGAGGACAATGATAACTCTAGATGCCTCATCTGTAAGATGGAGGACAATAATAACTCTTACCTCAGGGTTACCTTCAGCGTTGTTTTGAGGATCAGATGGTTCATTCCAGGTACAGTTCTTAGTACAGCACAGCGACTCACACAGAATCAAAGTAAACGCTCTGTAAAAATGATTATCTATCGCATCCATCTGTGTATTCATTCATTTCAGAGAATCGTTTCCTAGTTGTATAGTGTTAAAAATCTGTCTGCTCTCTTCTACATTTGCCCTTTTTCATTTTTTCTTGGCTTTATAGTTTCTGAAGATTGTAAAAGATCTCTTTGTTGATGAAAATGGAAGAAAAACTAGCTAAGTGAAGCTAGATGAGCTTTTTCTCTTTTGTAGGAGCCATTGCTCCTTTCTGGAAAGCTATGCCATGTGTAATTCCAAAAGTGCTAAGTGAGAGAAATAAGAAGACTTTTTTTCTTATCAGATTAACAAGTAATTAAAAAAAACAACTTAGTTTTTAGTTTGAAAAATATTCCTTTTAGTTGACATAAGTTTTCACTTTGCTATTGGTGCTAAATGGTTGATTGTTGTATATTGCTTTTTTGCTTGTTCAGATAATCATTTTCAAGGGCTTGGAGGCCCTCTGTAAAAATCCAAGGATCTCTGCAGCTGGAATGTTGCAGTGTTAGATGTGAGAGAAAGGGATAACATTGTGTTTGGCTTTTAAAAAAGACATTCTGAAAGGAGATCCGGAGGGTTAGCAGTACCTGACTCTGCTAATGTAGTTAATGCCCTGAAATGAAGGTAGTCAGTGGCTTTGCACACAAATATGTAATTTTAAGAATTCTCATTTATATGCCAGAAGGTAACATGCAAGGATTGAGGGCATTGAATAGTAGGTTAAACACAGGCCTTGCAGAGAGAAATTAAATCATTTTTGGTGAGGGAGATGCCATCTAAAGCTATGCCTTAATAAAGATCTTAGAAATTAACAGTCACACAGCTGTATGTTATGAGGCGAGAACTGATGAGAAGTTGTAACATGTACCTCTGTATTGCTTTGAAGTTTTGGAATAGAAATACCTAACTTGTGCCTAGCTATGATTTTGAGACTTACTGTAGCTCTGTGCTGTCCTATGGTCACAGGTGACTATTAAACACTTGAAGTGTGGTTGGTCCAAACAGAAATATGCTCTAAAGTGTATACCAAATTCCAGAGACTCAGTGTGACAAATATAACATCTCTTTACTAGTTTATTGTATTGATTACATGTTGATAATATTTTGGATGTATTGGGCTAAATAAAATACATGGTTAAAATTAATTCGGCCTGATTCTTTTTAGTTTTCTAATGTGGCTTCTAGATGTAGTCTGCATTATATTTGCATTAGTCAGTGTTGCTCTAATATATTTAAACATAAGACAATTGCATGAAAGTGACAACATCACATAAGTGAAAAAAGCTAAATCCCAGTACCCTATCTCACTCCCCAATGGTAACCATCATTAATTTTTTTTTTGTGTCCTTGTAGACATTTTTCTGGTATTCTCTTCTTCCCTTAAGTACGTTGTAGATTATAGAATAATCATAAAAGTCACCTTAATTTAATAGAGATTTCTGGATTGTGCTCGGTAAAAATGTTCTAAATGAACATCTATATGCCTTTTTGTCTCAGTTACTCATACTTGAGAAAAGTCTAATTACTGAATCTGTGTACCTTTGCAGAGATACCACTGTTACCTGATAGGATTAGGACTGGTGCTCAGCACGAATGATTTTTCATTGAAATTGTAGCATCAATTCTTTTAAATGGTTTAACAGAAGAAATTGACTCTCAATGACTCTGGTGGCAATTAAGGTCTCATATTGAACGAAGAGTATTACCTGTCATTGGCAAATGTATCAAGTTTTCTGCAGTGTAAATTTTTAAGCAGTTTTGTTTCTCTTTGTCACTTTTTGAAATAATTGTTGATAAAATTGCTGATCTGATAAAAGTGAGATAGGTGAATTTAGTAGCATTATATAATGTCATGATATAAAAAAGGAATGATACTATATTTGATGGTAAAATCCATCTGATTTTTTAAACATAATGCTTTGTATAATGTTGTAAGCACATAATAAATGCTCAATAAATACTTTAATCAATGCTTAAAATATGTGATATCAAATTGAATAATAGATCATTGAGTGTCACTGACAATTTCCTTTTCTAAATTAAGATACTTTGTGAACTATCAAAATATGACATTAATGAAAGTTTAGACATTAGAAAATGTTTAACCCATGTATTTGTGCTTATTTTTAAATACTTTAATCAATGCTTAAAACATGTAATATCAAATTGAATAATAGATCATTGTCACTGACAATTTCCTTTTCTAAATTAAGATACTTTATGAACTATCAAAATATGACATTAATGAAAGTTTAGACATTAGAAAATGTTTAACCCACATATTTGTGCTTATTTTCCTCCTTTATAGAAACAGAATAAGGCAATATACAAAGTGCCATTTCCTTTTATTATAATAACCATAATGGAAATTTCAGTAAAGAAAGTATAACTAAAGCAGTACCTTCCTGAAACATTGTAGGTGCTCAATAAACAGACTTTTCTTTGTTCCTATTGGTTAATGCTTAACCAAAATGCTTAACAGTATCGTTAATTGGATTCCACAATAATCATTTGACATAGAGTGTACTATTAACCATCTTCATGTGAGAAAACCAATGGTTTGGAGATGTTACAATGCTAAATTCAGTATGTGGCAAAATAGAGTCTAAAACCCAGATATTCTAACTCTAGATTATATTTTAGTGATTGTTGAAATGGCCATTGCGAACTGGAAATGCAGATAAATATTGGAAATTGGGCCTTATTCTTTGAATAGTGTTGTTTGTTTTGAGACAGGGTCTCTCTCTGTATCCCAGGCTGGAGTGCAGTGGTGATCATGGTGCACTGCGGCCTCAACCTCCTGGGCTCAAGCATGAATAGTGTTTTATTTTTAAAATGCTAACATTCCTAACATTCCAGTTAGGAACACTTTAAAGTCCTTTCTTCAGAGCACTGTGATTTTGGGTATTAGTTAACTGATTTGTCAGTAAATCCTCTTCTCCTTGCTGTTTTAATGCTAATTTTTAAGACAGGATTGTTTGCAAATGAGACAAATCCAATAATCTGTGCAGATTACCCATTGATTTGATTAAATTGACTCATTGACCAACTTTGCTGTGTGATATTTTAGATTAGGTACTTCCCTTAGTAGAAGATGTGGAGACAAGTCATTATTTGATCTGAACTTGCTACTTTATTACAGTTTCATGCATTTTTAAAAACAGGAGTAATCAAAATGACATGTTGATGTAACTGGCAGAGTTGATTCCTAAATGCACTTGAAGCTAGACTACCCATTGTTATTTTTTGCACTAACCTTATTATTATTTTTTCCACCTTTGGCAAAACATGTGAGCTTCTAGTAATTCTAAAATTTCTGATGAATGACATTTGATAAGTGGTGTGATCCTGTGAATACTGATAAGCACTCGAAATTCAGTTGGTGAAGCATCAATTTCACACCTGAGACCCCAGTTCCAAGTTTAGGTTAAAGGTTTGCCTGGCGTCCGCAGTCTTTTTCTCAGGTCCCTTGATAAGTGCAGTCATTCCAAACCACATTTTTCTTCTGCATCAAATCCAGGCAGCACTCGGAATCATTAAATATTAAAACTTATATTCAGGAACATTATTCATTCATAAATATTTCATTGCAGCCTAAACTGCATTGTTCAAAACATTTTAGGATGTTATGCAACTCTGTCAAAGTACATTAACAAACTTAAGTCATGTTGAACTAAGCAAAAAATGACAGACTGCATCACATACGTGTTATAGTTGAATTTTTGTATAGGAAGCATTTTGTGTTGGGATATTTGGAAATTACCGTAAAGATAAAATGGATTGCAGAGGAAGCCAGATATAATGAATATTCATCTTCTGTGTAACATCTGCTATACATCTTAATGAAATTTATAGTTATCCCTGAAATTTTTCTTCCTTGACAGTATTTATTTATTTTTAAAATTATTTTAACCGGGAGTTGAATATGAGTTGATACCATTCTAGCTGCATATAAAATGACAGTATTGGATGCAGGGACCATTTTTCAGATCTCCATGATAGCCATCATCTCCACAGAATTGAACTTAGACCTCCTGTGAACCATAGAGTAACTGGGAAACTTTTGATATTCGCAGAGTGTAAGAGAGTGATGAGTTCAAGCATTGGTCTCTGACAAAATTTGTTCTGGATTGCTGTGAACACATTTGGTCTCTTGCTGTTTTTTTTTTTTTTTTTTTTTTTTTTTTTACAACCCTGTTAGTTACAGTGAGAAGCCATAAAATTCTTCCTATGCAGGAAAATGGTAGAAGCATTTTTTGTGTCTAAAATTGTTCTTTCTTAAAAAGAAAAGAAAAGAATCTTTTTCTGGTGTGGTAACAAAAAATTGAAATAGCAAATTCAAATAGTAGAAAGTGTAAAAATTCACAACTGATGAGGTGATAGCATACTTTTTTTTGGTACAGTGACAGTAATATAGCTTATGAGCTTTATCTGAAGTAGGTGAAATACTGATTATATTTTACTTGAGCTATCATTGACACAATGGATTAGAACTTAATGAGGGGGAGGTAGTTTGATTTTAAAACATCCTTGATTACATAGATTTTTTTGGAATGGAGGACAGATTAATCTTCCTGTGATATGTGGATCAAAAACTATATAGGCAGCCAGTGGGCTCATCTTGAACACCTACAGCCGTTCTTTCAAAAATGATAGAAATGGATATTGTGAAGTAAATAATGAAGGTGGCATAGTGAATTCCTGCTGGCAGAGAGTTAAATTATTCATTTTGTTAGTTTAGCTAACATGGTTCATGCTGCGTGGGATTTGAGCACTATGTCAATGACTAATATTGCATAATTAAAAAGCCTCAGTTCCTCGGGCTTAGAATGTAGCTGGAATTTAGAAATGGTTGTTAACATCGTGGAAATATAGTTTTATTTGTATAAGTAGATGCTGTTTACCTAGCCGTTTTGAAGTTTTGA
This sequence comes from Homo sapiens, assembly GCF_000001405.40. Taxonomy (NCBI): domain Eukaryota; kingdom Metazoa; phylum Chordata; class Mammalia; order Primates; family Hominidae; genus Homo; species Homo sapiens. The sequence continues at coordinate 132,996,922 of NC_000007.14, read as the reverse complement.
CTTTATGAAACATTTGTGTAGCATGTAGGCAGTATGCCGAAGATGTTTTTAACGATAGTTAATCTTGCAGTCCCTTCCCCTTGCTTTGCGTCCCACCCCACGGTGTTTTTCTTCTTGAAAGGCTGCTCTGTAGTAAATGGTCCGTTTCGAAAGCCTGGTGAGCACACTCCCTCAGCATCGCACCGCTGCCTCTTCCCTTTGCTTATCTCTTCCACATTAGGTTGCTGATTAGCGACAGGGCTTGGAAGGATTGCCAATTCTGTAACGATTCAATTTGGGGGACTGCATAGGCACTGATACCTTTACAAAGCAACGCCGACATTAGTTTATTACCTTCTCAATTTTAGCAACTCTGAAGGGAAAGAGACCTAACATAAACCTCTTTTCATTTTTGTATGATATAATCTTACACACAGTATTTCATAGTCAGTCAATTGGACTATTTTGTTTTATGCTTCTTCACGGAATGTAATTTTACATGCATATTTGTAACTTTGGGATAACTTTTTAGCACTATTTTTGAAGCTCAGGACTCTGTGAATGGGGAAAAACAAAGAGTGGAAACACGTTCTGGGTCACCTGGTAGCCAGTTGTTGCCTTGTGATGTCAATAACTGCGTGTGCTTTTGCAGTTGCTTTAGGGCCAGTTGGATTGCAGAGCACGTAACAGTGCCCTGCATAAAGGTCCACAGAAGGGTGGGCTTCATTAGGGGAAAGAAGAAAGATGAGACATGTACATCAATGTTTGAATCAGAACATGGAGCATTTTACTTTGAGGGTCTTGAGCTAAGCGTTTCGGTTCACATAATCAAGATATAGCATAGTGACTAGCTATTTGGTTTTTTTACCATAAATCTAGAATACACATTCCAGCACATGTTTTCCTATGTGATTTTGAGTAATCTATTGAACTTCTCTAAGCTGTGGTTTCTTTAGCTCTGAATGGGGACTAACAACTACTATGTGGGATTTTTGTGTGGAGTAAATGAAATAACATACATAAAACACCTGTTAAAATGCCTGGCACAAGGAGGTACTTCACAAATGGTAGCTATTATAATATTATTGGTAGTGGAATATTATGCATAGTTTTTAGTTTAAATGGTATAATTTGTATGTTAAAATTGTTAATACTAAAAATAAAAAAATGAATGGAGTGAGAAAATGAAGGAGCACATAGGCCTGATGCCTTTTGTTAGGATGAGTTGGAATTGTATGTTATTGTAGACACCTTAAGAGCAAGTCCTAGGTTTTACGCTCTGTCTCCTGCCGGCCAATTCCGCAGCTTCACACTATGGCCTGCACATTAGATTCACAAAAAGTGCTTTTAAATGCACTTCAATTTCAGGTTACTTCATTTGTTTATTGTTTTTGTCTTGGATGTGAATTCTGAATGGTAATTCTTCTTGAAGTATGTCTATGATTTCACTTTTGAGTCAAAGATGGAAAATATCAAGTGAGGATACAGCATAGTGCCTACAGCTAACAATATTGTATTATAGGCTTAAATTTTAGAAGGGTGGACTATATATTAAGTGGTCTTAAGGGAGCGGAAGGAAACTCTGGGAGGTGATGGACTTGTTAATGGCCTTGATAGTAGTGATGGCTTCATGGGTGTTTACTTATTCCTAGACTCATCAAGATGTGTACATTAAGTATGTGCAGCTTTCTGTATGTCAATCATACCTCAATAAAATGGTTTTAAAAAAAGAAAATACCAAGTAAGGGAATGAACAGGAGTTATCCTAAAATGACAGTAAAGAAAATCCTACTGAATTTCACATTTTTTCTCTTTCTATACATGTTTCTACCATTTTGAGGTGAAAATTAAAAAATCTAGTATACTGCTTAGTGTGGCTTTAAAATCAATGTATTTGTTTTTGAACTTTTTTAGTGTGATTTCATAGGGAATACTAGAAATAAAACATCTGTCAAGGAATGAATTTTTTGCAGATGAGTAGTGTCAGAGAGGCATGAAATTGATTGCTGTGATCTAAGGAGAATGCGCTGTGGAGCAGGCATGGTGGGTGCTGATGTTGTCTGTTGGTCTCTCTGTGTATGCCAAGGTGACTTTCAACAGAAAGATGAGCTTGGTCTAGGGGATAAGGCCCCTTCAACTCTTGGTATTTCTTTTGAGGTTGTAAGGAGTTGAGGTAAAAAATATAGGGCCATCTTTATTCAGAAGTAAGACTGTTGGAAATTGTTTTCTAAGGCCTATGTTTAACTAGCTAATAATAACAATTGTTGTGATTGTGTTCAATGATATAAAATTTGATTCTTAAGAGGCGATTTATCCTTTTGCTGGAGTGGGTTTCAAGTAGTTTTTCAGAATAAAATTAGTTTTGCAGCATATATTCCTTTGGAGAGGGGTTGTTCTGTTTTCTCATATAACTTCATTAGACTCCTAGCTTTCAAAAACGGATATCACTCTTCCCTCAGATTGGCTGACCTTTACAGCAATTGGCGGTGTCTTTCTCTAACATCATAGAATAGGTGCTGGCCATGAAGTTTAATCTTGAACTTACTTCTGTGTAATGTTTACTCAAAGCCATGCTCTGAAATATAGGCAATCCATTTATTTCTTGATTGTCTAAGACCTGTCTTTTCATTATGTTTGATTATTATTAGTGAGCTACAAAACTGGACCATGTTGTTCTGTCTCTCTATATCAAATTTCTCTTATTTGATTGTTTTGGTGTTCACAGTTTTCATCCTACATATATAGAAAGACTTCATATAGTACTTACAGTGAGTGGGGGAGGGGGCTATGTTAAACCTCAAGGTGTCTTTTTAGAAAAATGTAGCCTATAGTGAAAAGATGGTACAAGGAAATTATTTCCATAGGAACTAATGTACAGTGCCCCAGATTGCCCTATCTTGCACTTTTTACTTATTAACTCTGCCCTAAAATTCTTTAAGTAACCCTTTAATGTTAAAACATTAAGATGAAATAGACATTTTAAAAATGGAGAGGATTCTGGGAGTTGGAGACTTGAAGCATCTCTGCACCTTCTGCTATCAATTTCAGTCTCGCCACTAGTTGCTGTTTCTCAGAAGCACATCTGACGACAGATGTGAGCCATTGGGCTAGTTCTGGCAAAGTGCAGGGATCAACAGTGTTGGCCCCAGTCTCTGTGACTGTTCCTGAGATAACCTTTTGGTTTTCATGTCCCTGTCAACTGGTTTGGGTGGGTGAGGGATGGGGAGAGACTTTCTCCAGGTTTTCTTAAGAGGGGGCTGCAAACTCATCAGCTGCTGGCATACCACTGGGCCTCAGCAGCAGAGGCTGCCTCATCTCCCACCACTTAGTGGATCCTTCCACTTAAGGCAGCCCAACAGTGGGACCTGAGCTCTGGTGCGTAGGCAGATGAAAAAGAAGGGGTCATCTATGGGGCACAGTAGGCGGAGAGAAAGAGACAAATGAGAACTTAGAAGAGGTGTGTCTTGGAAGAACTCTTGGAATAGTTCAGTGGTGCTTTGATGTTTGTAGCATTGACAACGATTACTACTTGATTTTAATACACCCTCAATTTTAAGTTGCATTTTGATTTCATAGATAGTGAAGAGTAGAAGAAAGTAACTTCATGCATGTTATATTTGATGAATTAGACTAAATTCCAGAAGGAGATAAAGGGAAGAGTTTGAGAGGAGGTGATAATTATGTGATATAAAACATTTCACTGAGCTGAAGAAAACTGGAGTCTGCAAATTGAAAGGACTCTTTATTCTAGGAGGCACTGATGAGAAAACATGCACACCTAGTCATAGACAGCTAAAATTTCAGAACTCTAAGGATAAAGAGAAAGCCTTATGAACTTCCAGATAGAAAGAACACTAATTTATAAAGGAAATGGGATCAGCCTGGGTTTAGGCTTTTCTTCTGCCAGACTGGAAGCTAGAAGATGGAATGACACCTAAAAGGACTGCAAGCCCACAATTCTCTGTTGAGCTCTTACTCAGCTGTTACGGTGAAAAAGAGGACCATTGATATGCAAGGATTTAGAAAATTTATTAATTTTAATTCTAGCAGGCAGAGTCCATTAAGGAGATCAAACACACCAGTTATTTTTATAGAGAGAATTTAATGTAAGAATTGTTAATGAGGCACTTAAGAGCTGAAAAGGCAAAAACAAACAAAAAAAAGTAACTCTAAAGCAGTACTGTTTAACAGAAATATTATGTGAGCAATCATTGTAGTTAATTTTCTACTAGTTCTGTCACAAGTAAAAAAGGTAGAAATAATTCTGGTTTTTTCTCAGTATATCTAAAATAATAACATAAGGAGTATAAAATTTATTTTCATACCAAGTGTTCAAAATCCAGTGTATATTTTATGATTAAGCAAGTCTTGGATTGGACTAGCCACATTTCTGGGCTCAGTAGCCGCATGTGGCTAATGGGGACTGTATTGGACATTGCAGCTCCACAGTATCTCAGATGTAGCACTGGGGGAGCAATGGGAAGAGGTAGTTGTTAAAACATTAAAGCTTGGAGGAGAGGCTCTGTGGGATGTAGCTCAGACGTCTGAGGAAGGGGCATTTCCTAGCTGGTAGACTGCTGTCATGGAGCTCTGAGGAGAGACCTGTGGGTCTGGGACTGAGATTTTCAAGAGTGTGCCAGTAGGTAGGGTCAGTGTCTCCAGAATGGGGTGCACTGAGGCTGATTTTGCAAGCAGACTTAGCTTGAACAAAGTGCAGACTCAACTGCTGCTGCTGCAGGAGCAAGTGCTGCTGCTGCTGGGAAGCAGTGAGGCCCGAGTGACGCGATAGGAAGCAAATGGGAAACAGCTCCTTGTTCTTCCACCAGCCTTGCAGTTTCCCTCTGGCTTCCCTTGATGGGTCCTAGTAGGGACCCAGCTATGAAGCAGAAATGTGTTTAGAGACCTTGCCTTCCCCGCCAGCTCCACATCATGAAGCAGAGAGCAGAAGAGGGGTGAGAAGCTGAGAGTCGTAGCCAAATGTTGAACACAGTAGTCCATCTTAGGATAATACTTAAAAAATAATTCTAACCAAATTAATTACAACAGAGACTTCCATGTAGGGGAAGATGGAGAGGAGGGGAAGCACCCCTGAGGATCAGTCTTTGCCTTGTGTACATAAATGATAGACCAGGATTGTCTCATAAAGTGCTAATAAAGATTCTCGAAATTGAAGAAAAATCCTTGAGGAAAAAAAAAACTAAGAGTTTTATGAGTTTCAAAGTACTGAACTCTTAGCTCAGAATTGGGTTGGGGGAAAGTCAAAGCATTCAAACGATTTCATCTTACTGGGTTTGCTGGAGTAGTGTTTGAGGAAATAGTTGGAACTGTGTTTTTAAACAACAGTAGAGAAAAGAGTATGAGATTTTTTGGTGGGAGTTGGGGGAGGGTATGGTAACTTGATACAACCAGGAAAATGAGGAAAAGGGAAAAAGTAAAATTAATATTAAACATGATATAAAATGGAAGAAATAAGTATATCAGTTGTACTGTTAATAATTGTGACTGGGCACAATTACCCATTTAAAGATCAAGGCTGCCACATGCACAATAAGAGCTATGTATTTATATGAAATGCAGTTAAAACAAAGTAATTTGTTTTAACCTTAATAAAGGTTAAAAATTAATGGATTGGCAAAGTTGTGCCAAACAGAAAGAAATATGAAAAAATGTACAATCAAAGCTTATAAACACTAAACAGAATAAAGAAGCAAATTATGTAATGATAACAAGCACAGTTTATAAAGACAGCAGCCATTAACCTTTATGCATCAATCAAATTAGCAGCTCAATGTAAGAATCAAAAATGATTAGAAATTCAAAGTCTAGTTGATTTACAAAAATAATAAGGGACTTTGTATAATTATTTTTTCCTTAAAAATGTTTACTCTGGCTTCATGGAGGAGCATGCTAAGCTTTAACATTTAGCACATCTAGTATAAAAAGAGACAGAATGAGTTAGGTTGTGTGTGTGTGTGTGTGTGTGTGTGTGTGTATGTGTGTCTGTGTAGGGGAGCAGAAAGGCCACTCACATCCACCTCTCAGCTCCACATCTGAGAAGCTAAATGCAGGTATAGGGTGAGAGGTTGCATTTTGGTTCAAGTTGGAAGGTCTTTTGAAATCAAAAAGAAGAGGAGAATTATTGATTGTTTTCCTCCATAGGGCTTACAATGGTAATGTCATCTCTTTGTCTGGCCTAAGGTTTCCCTAGCCTTATCAATGAACATAATTTCAAAATTCGAGTCCTGGCAAAAACGTGTCCCTTGTGAAAAAGAAACGTAAGTGCAAAACAATGTAAATGATGTATGTTTTGTCTACAGAAGTGTACTGAGATTCTCATGTTATTTCATAGCTTACGGTCCTCTTTATGAGACCCCACCCATGTCTCTCAGGTCACGGAACCAGGATTATTGCCCTAGTTTCTGTCTTCAGGAGGAAGCCATTTCACATTGTCATCTGTCCAGGGCTCAAGCTGCCCATCTTGGATGGGGCCGCTGTTTGCGGGAGGAGTTGATAGTTGGCTTATGAAAGGGATTTGCCCAGAGATGTCTGCATTTGACCTTAGGTTCCTTTTTCTTCCAGCTGACTTCATGATTGTCTAGCTCCAGCATCTTAGTAAATACATAGCAGCAGTGCCCATTCCAGTGAAGGATGCTACAGGGGAGGATGCATGGGGAGGAGTATAGATATTTTCTAAACAATAGTAATAGGTCAAGCATGAGCATTTCCTCCCATAACTTCTGTAAAACAGGTTATTTATTTATTTATTTTTTGAGATGGAGTTTCGCTCTTGTCTCCCAGGTTGGAGTGCAATGGCGTGATCTCGGCTCACTGCAACCTCTGCCTCCTGGGTTCAAGAGATTCTTCTGCCTCAGCCTCTCCAGTAGCTGGGATTACAGGCACCCACCACCACGCCCGGCTAATTTTTGTATTTTTAGTAGAGTTGGGGTTTCACCACATTGGCCATTAAGCCCTGCTGATAAGACACAGTTTAATGGTGGTGTCTTTACCTCCCCATTCCCACCATTATTCACCCGTATATTGAATATTATGACATTTGATGTGTACTTTAAGATAAAAAGCTGATGATCTCGGTTTAAGATGCCTCTAAATATTCAGTTCAAGTTAGACAAAGAAGTGGCCATAGGTCATTTCAGTAGAGGAAGACAAGGATACTTTGTGGTGTTGTGTAATTTCCTCCTAGGTAGTTTTGGTTGTGAATTTCTGAGAGAGAGTGGGTGCAGGAGCCATGGATATAGGAACATTAACTTATGAACTAAAATCAGAATACTTTTCAAATATAAATGTATTTTTCAGTGCAGTAGGAGAAAATATTTAAGAAGAAGGTCCAAGAGCATCCAGGACAGGTGGTACTTGTTCCCAAATGAGAACTGAAATAGGGACTTTAGGTATAAAGTAATATACAATGTGTAAATGGGAGGCAATCATCTGGAAGGGGGAGATGAAAGCTAGTTAGGATTATGGCTGTAGGTAATCCATAATTATAGTCCTAGGCTTTCAGTTATGGGCTGAGTTTTTTTTTTTTCTCTTGCATCATTTTGAAGCTATGCAGGCATATTTCCAGATTGCAACAAAATTTTATTGTGAATTAAAATAAAATCACCTTTTCTATGTTCCTTTGGAAAGGAAGGAAACCTTGACTTAAATTCTGAGTGCCATTTTCAATGCTATTTACACAGAAATGTAGATGACCAAAATAAATGTCCTCTTGGTTTTATTCAGAACCAGGACTTAATGCTGGTTAAATACAGTCCTCACTTGATATGCATGGAGGATTGGTTCCAGGATCCCTAAGGATTCCAAAACCCTCAGATGCTCAAGTTCCTTATATAAAATAGTATAGTACTTGCATATAACTGGTGTACTTCCTCCCGTATACTTTACATCATCTCTAGATGTACTTACAATACAATGTAAGCACTATGTAAATAGTTGTTATACTGTATATTAAAAATTTGTATTTTTAAAAATTGTGTTACTATTTTTTTATTTTCTTTATTTTTTTAAGAGACAGGGTTTCATTCTGTTGCCCAGGCTGGAGTACAGTGCTGTGATCATAGCTCAGTGCAGCCTCCAAATCCTGCAGTCAAGTGATTCTCCTGCTGTAGCCTCCCTAGTAGCTTGGACTTACAAGCAGGTGCCACCACACCTGACTGATAAAAAAATTTTTTTTTGTTAGAGATGGGGGCTCACTATGTTGCCCAGGCTGGTTCTGAACTCCTGGCTTCAAGTGATCCTCCCACCTCATCCTCCTGAGCAGCTGGGATTGCAGGCATGAGCCACTGAGCCTGGCTTTTATTATTTATTTTTCCCTAAAAATTTTTGATTCCCATTTGGTTAAACCTGTGGATGAGGAACCCATTTTATTTAATTTATTGCTAAATTACCATTATGTAAAATATATATTGCTAAATAATCATTATATAAAGAGTACCTATGTTCCATAATATTTATAAAAATATGCTCACACTCTGTATTCATTCTTTCAAAATATATTTTGAATGCTTACCAAGTGCCAGGTATTATTTAATGTGGGGATTACAATGGTATATAAGACAAAGTTCTACCCCCATGCCACTTATTTTAATGGTATCTGTATATTTGTGTGGGTGTGTGTGTGTGTGGGTGTGTGTGTGTGTGTATTTTCTGTAAGAATGCAGGCTCTGAAGTTGGGCTGAGTTTAATTCTGGCTATACCTCTCACTGGTTTTATTTTGGGTAAATTTGACTATGGGTAAGTTTCTTATGACCCTTGAATGACCTGAGCGTTAGGAACACTGATCCCTTGTGCAGTTGAAAATCTGTATATAACTTTTGGCTCCCTAAAAACTGAACTAGTAATAGTCATCTATTGACCGGAAGCCTTACCAATAGCAGAGTAGATTAACACATATTTTGTATGTTATATGTATTACATACTGTATTCTTACAATAAAGTAAGCTAGAGTATAGAAAATGTTAGTAAGAAAATCATAAGCAAGAAAAAATATATTTATTATTTATTAAGTGTAAGTAGATAATCATAAAGGTCTTCATCCTCCTTGTCTTCAGGCTGGAGGGTTGGTTAGTCTTGCTGTCTCTGGTGGTAGAGGCAGAAAAGATGAAAGGACAGGCAGACATATTATGGAAATGCCTTATAATTTCTGTCTGACTTTTTTTGCTTTTTTTAGTTTCTCTAAAAATGTTTCTACATGGTACCAGTTCTCCTCCCACTGTTTGCTTTAGTTTCAGTGACTATATCTTAGATGGGTCCCTGTCATAAAATAAGTCATTTGTAGTCTTGGATAATCTGAACCCTTGTGCCAGATTGTCTAATGTCAGTTGTGTTCTGGCACTGCTTCTTCTACATCTTCTCATCGTCTGGCGCTGTTTCGAAGGCACTCATCACCATAATGTCGTCCATCTTCTGTTAATTCGTCTGGTGTGGTGTCTGTTAGTTCTGGAATTTCTCCAAGGTCCATCTTGAAGCCCTTCATCTCCCACCTTTTTTGGTTATATTCACAATCTCTTTCATGATTTCCCTGGTTGACTCTGTTGTAAATCATGTGCAATATCTGGACACAGTTTCCTCCAGGAGGAGTTTGTTGTTTTGGGCTTGATGACTTTCATGGCTTTTTCTTTAACAACAGTGGCATCTTCATGAGGTAATCCTTTCAGACTTCATGATGTTCTCTCTGTCCGGGTTCTCTTCCATAGTGTTGACAGTCCTTTTCATAGATTATCATGTCTGATGAAGAAAGGTCCTTATGATCCCCTAATCTATAGGCTGAAATAAAAACATTCTGTTTGGGGGTAAGTCACCACTTTGATGTGTTCAATATTGAAGTCATGGGGTTCTGGGTGGCTAGAGGCATTGTCCAATATCAGAAGAACTTTAAAGGGTAGTCCTTTACTGGCAAGGTATTTTCTGATTTCAGGGACAAATCATTGATGGAACCTATCTAGAAAATAGGTTCTTATTGTGTAGACCTTCTTGTACAACCAAAAGACTGGCAGCTCGTGTTTATCTTTTCCCTATGAGGCTCAGGGGTTAGCAGCTCTATAGATAAGGACAATTGTGCCATAAACTCAACTGCATTTGCACAAAACTAGTAGAGATAGCCTATCCCTTCCTATCTTAAATCTTTGTACTTGCTTCTCTTCTTTACTAATGTATGTCTTTCATGCCATTTATTTTCTAGAGTAGGGCACTTTTGTCTGCATTAAAAATCTGTTCAGGCAGTTATCCTTTCTTCTCAATGATTTTCTTAATGGCATCTGGGAACTGGTTTGCTGTTTCTTGGTCAGCAGAAGCTGCTTCTCCTATTATCTTGACATTTTTAAGTAAAACCTCTTTCTCAAATTATCAAACCATCCTTTGCTGGTATTAAATTCGCCTTTAATCTATCACATAATGGAGACTTGACTTTTCCTCAAATCGCATTAGAGTCTATAGGTAAGCCTTTCCTTTCTTAGCAATCCAGCACTCATATAGAAGTTGTATTTTCTTTTTTTTTTTTTTTCTTTTTTCTTTTTCTTTTTCTTTTTTTTATTGATCATTCTTGGGTGTTTCTCGCAGAGGGGGATTTGGCAGGGTCACAGGACAATAGTGGAGGGAAGGTCAGCAGATAAGTGAACAAAGGTCTCTGGTTTTCCTAGGCAGAGGACCCTGCGGCCTTCCGCAGTGTTTATGTCCCTGGGTACTTGAGATTAGGGAGTGGTGATGACTCTTAACGAGCATGCTGCCTTCAAGCATCTGTTTAACAAAGCACATCTTGCACCACCCTTAATCCATTCAACCCTGAGTGGACACAGCACCTGTTTCAGAGAGCACAGGGTTGGGGGTAAGGTCACAGATCAACAGGATCCCAAGGCAGAAGAATTTTTCTTAGTACAGAACAAAATGAAAAGTCTCCCATGTCTACCTCTTTCTACACAGACATGGCAACCATCCGATTTCTCAATCTTTTCCCCACCTTCTCCCCCTTTCTATTCCACAAAACCGCCATGGTCATCATGGCCCGTTCTCAATGAGCTGTTGAGTACACCTCCCAGACGGGGTGGTGGCCGGGCAGAGGGGCTCCTCACTTCCCAGTAGGGGCGGCCGGGCAGAGGCGCCCCTCACCTCCCGGACGGGGCGGCTGGCCGGGCGGGGGGCTGACCCCCCCGCCTCCCTCCCGGACGGGGTGGCTGGCCGGGTGGGGGGCTGACCTCCCCTCCTCCCTCCCGGATGGGGCGGCTGGCCGGGCGGGGGGCTGACCCCCCCCCCACCTCCCTCCCGGATGGGGCGGCTGGCCGGGCAGAGGGGCTCCTCTCTTCCCAGTAGGGGCGGCCGGGCAGAGGCGCCCCTCACCTCCCGGATGGGGCGGCTGGCCGGGAGGGGGGCTGACCCCCCCACCTCCCTCCTGGACGGGGCGGCTGGCCGGGCCGGGGGCTGACCCCCCCACCTCCCTCCTGGACGGGGCGGCTGGCCGGGCAGAGGGGCTCCTCTCTTCCCAGTAGGGGCGGCCGGGCAGAGGCGCCCCTCACCTCCCGGATAGGGCGGCTGGCCGGGCGGGGGGCTGACCCCCCCACCTCCTTCCCGGACGGGGCGGCTGGCCGGGCAGAGGGACTCCTCACTTCCCAGTAGGGGCGGCCGGGCAGAGGCGCCCCTCACCTCCCGGACGGGGCGGCTGGCCGGGCGGGGGGCTGACCCCCCCACCTCCCTCCCGGATGGGGCGGCTGGCCGGGCGGGGGGCTAACCCCCCCACCTCCCTTCCGGACGGGGCGGCTGGCCGGGCAGAGGGACTCCTCACTTCCCAGTAGGGGCGGCCGGGCAGAGGCGCCCCTCACCTCCCGGATGGGGCGGCTGGCCGGACGGGGGGCTAACCCCCCCACCTCCCTTCCGGACGGGGCGGCTGGCCGGGCGGGGGGCTGACCCCCACCTCCCTCCCAGACGGGGCGGCTGGCCGGGCAGAGGGACTCCTCACTTCCCAGTAGGGGCGGCCGGGCAGAGGCGCCCCTCACCTCCCGGACGGGGCGGCTGGCCGGGCGGGGGGCTGACCCCCCCACCTCCCTCCCGGATGGGGCGGCTGGCCGGGTGGGGGGCTGACCCCCACCTCCCTCCCAGACCGGGTGGCTGCCGGGCGGAGACGCTCCTCACTTCCCAGACGGAGTGGCTGCCGGGCGGAGGGGCTCCTCACTTCTCAGACGGGCCGGTTGCCAGGCAGAGGGTCTCCTCACTTCTCAGACGGAGCGGCCGGGCAGAGACGCTCCTCACATCCCAGACGGGGCGGCAGGGCAGAGGCACTCCCCACATCTCAGACGATGGGCGGCCTGGCAGAGACGCTCCTCACTTCCTAGATGGGATGGCGGCCGGGCAGAGACGCTCCTCACTTTCCAGACTGGGCAGCCAGGCAGAGGGGCTCCTCACATCCCAGACGATGGGCGGCCAGGCAGAGACGCTCCTCACTTCCCAGATGGGGTGGCGGCCGGGCAGAGGCTGCAATCTCGGCACTTTGCGGGGCCAAGGCAGGCAGCTGGGAGGTGGAGGTTGTAGCGAGCCGAGATCACGCCACTGCACTCCAGCCTGGGCACCATTGAGCACTGAGTGAACGCGACTCCGTCTGCCATCCCGGCACCTCGGGAGGCCGAGGCTGGCGGATCACTCGCGGTTAGGAGCTGGAGACCAGCCCGGCCAACACAGCGAAACCCCGTCTCCACCAAAAAAATACGAAAACCAGTCAGGCGTGGCGCCGTGCGCCTGCAATCGCAGGCACTCGGCAGGCTGAGGCAGGAGAATCAGGCAGGGAGGTTGCAGTGAGCCGAGATGGCAGCAGTACAGTCCAGCTTTGGCTCGGCATCAGGGGGAGACCGTGGAAAGAGAGGGAGAGGGAGACCGTGGGGAGAGGGAGACCATGGGGAGAGGGAGACCGTGGGGAGAGGGAGACCGTGGGGAGAGGGAGACCGTGGGGAGAGGGAGAGGAGGGAGAGGGAGAGGAGGAGCCTTTCCGAGAAGTTGTATTTTCAATACAAGATTAAAAGGTATTTCTCAAAACATGCAGGGGTTTTGGACCTGCTGGCATAGCTGCATTGAAGGCTTCGTGAATTTTCTTTTCTTTTTCTACAACAGTCCTTATGCTGGATTCACTTATCTCAAAGTGGCAGGAAACTGCAGCTGCAGACCTCAATCTATGGTACTTACCAAGCAATTCAACTTTTTTTTCCTCTAATGTCATGACTTTTCTCTGCTTCTCGGGAGCACTTCTAGCATCACTAGTGACACTTTGTATGGGTCCCATGATGTGATGCAAAGTTATGGTATTGTAATAAACAATGAAAAATACACGAGAACCTCAAAAGATCACTTTTTACTGCAGTATGCAATTTACTGGAGAGACTAACTGCTCACTCGATGATTAGCATCACAGTGTGTTAAGCAGATACTCGTAACTCCTGAGCTCGCTACAATAGCAACAGGAGGTGCCTACTGAATTATAGCAATACAGTATGTACTATAGTTAATTTTATGCAGTTATGACTTAATACTGCATCTTTACCTCTGTTTACGTTTCCGTCCACTGCAGATGGTGCCATGTACAGTCTGTTTGTGTGCATACATTTTGATACATTTTAACTTTTTGTTTGAGATAGAGTCTCGGTCTGTCACCCAGGCTGGAGTGCAATGGCGTGATCTCAGCTCACTGCAACCTCTGCCTCCCGGGTTTAAGCAATTCTCCTTGCCTCAGCCTCCCGAGTAGCTGGGATTACAGGTGCTACCACCATGCCTGGCTAATTTTTTGTATTTTTAATGGAGATGGGGTTTCGCCATGTTGGCTAGGCTGGTCTCGAACTCCTGACCTCAGGTAATCCACCCGTCTTGCCTCCCAAAGTGCTGGGATTACAGGCATGAGCTGCCGCGCCTGGCCAATTTTAACTTTTTAATAATAGATTCGTATATATTTTATGATAGTGAATGATAAAACTGACCAGAATCAACATATTTTATGCATTCATGACATACTTTAAAAATTTATTTATATTTATAGATATGTGATTCATCTGTGAGTTTTATCAAATTGCTACAAGTCTTCAAAAAAATGTTCAATATATTTATTGAAAAAAAAATGCACATATGTGGTTCTACACAGTCCAAACGTGTGTTATTGAAGGTTCAGCTGTACTTAAAAGTTCTGTAGGCCTCAATTTTACATAATTTCTCTGTGCCTCAGCTTTTCATCCGAAATATAATTGATTTAATAGGGTTGTTGTGAGGATTAAATGAGTTACACCCATCAAATGCTTACAGTTGTACCTGGTACGAGTAAGCATAATAAATGCTAACTCTTTTTCTGTCACACATGCAGATATTATATATGAATTTAGGCTGGGTGTGGTGGCTTTCGCCTGTAATCCTAGCACTCTGGGAGGCTGAGGTGGGTGGATCACCTGAGGTCAGGAGTTCAAGACCAGCCTGGCCAACATGGTGAAACCTTGTCTTTACTAAAAATACAAAAATTAGCCAGGCATGGTGGCACATGCCTGTAATCCCAGCTACTTGGGAGACTGAGGCAGGAGAATCGCTTGAATCCCGGAGGTGGAGGTTCCAGTGAGCCAAGATCACACCACTGCACTCTAGCCTGGGAGACAGAGTGAGACTCCGTCTCAAAAAAAAGAAAAATTAAGATGCCATATTCATGTTTATGTATTTATTTTGGAATCTCAATCCACATATATTTTCTTCCAGGATTTGAAACGATTTGAGCTGAGAAGTGTTAAGCTTCTCTGTTCCCTTATTTTTGTCAAGTCTTATTAATCAAAAACTGTATACGTGTTTTGTCCTTATTTTTAATAGTCTAATAATTACTTCATTGAATTACCCAGCTTAGCTCTTCTGTTTAAAAATGGATGGTAAACAGTATCTTGAATGCTGGTTCGGCAGGTTCTGACAAAATATGATGCGTTAAAATAAAATTCATTGTTAGCATTAAAATGACCTTTGAGGTTGTCGTCACTCATTTTTCTCTTTCAGTGTTTGAAATAGCCTTTCTGCATCAAGTGCATTGCAGTATCTTGTATATATTGCCTATGTATAACGGTCACGGTTCAACTTTAGATAAGTCATTTAGTCAAATCACTTTATCTCTAGCAATCTCCGTTTCCCATTTATTCTTACCCATTATCTGAAGTTCTTATCAACTTTCTCTCCATAGTGTAATGGCCTTATGTATTACATTTATAAAGTAATTTTCTAAGCTAGAATTGTATAGAATTACTTATGTGTCAACCTACATGAAGATAAATCTGAGTATTTGTGAATGGCCAAATGAGCAGTATCCAAATTCAGAAAAACATTTAGGGCCATTAAAAGCCAAACCACTTTGGGAAAGGGGTGGTAATAATTTAGACTCTGGCAAACTCTGACTTAGTGTAGTATACACAAATTTTAAAAGAGCCTATTTTAAAATAACCGTGAATAATGTAAGATTTAAAAACTGTCCTTACATGACCACAAAGGTGAGTAGTATAATGGAAACTAATTCCTATAGGAAAGTTTACTCTTTAAGATGTTTAAGAAGTATGACTTTGGAAGTCAGATCACCATCTTTCACACCTCTGTTGTACTTCTCAGTTTTTCTCATGTTAAAAATGGAGATAGTAGCTGGTGTGGTGACTTGTGCTTGTAATCTCAGCACTTTGGGAGGCTGAGGTGGACAGATCACTTGAGCCCAGTTCAAGACCACTTGAGCCCAGTTCAAGACCATGTGGACAACATGCTGAAACCTCGTCTCCACAAAAAAAAAAACAACCCAAAAATCAGCCAGGCTTGGTGGCATGCAACTGTGGTCCCAACTGCTTGGGAGGCTAAGGCAAGAGGATTGCTTGAGCCTGGGAGGCAGAGGTTGCAGTGAGCCGAGATCATGCCACTGCACTCCAGCCTGGGCAAGAGAGCAAGACCATGTTTCAAAAAAACAAAAAACAAAAAAACTAGAGCTAGTAATGCCTCCCTTATGGAGGTGAATGAAGTTCAATATGTTAATGCCTTGCTAAAGTTATCTTTAAAATTCTCTTTCTACTTTCTTAAAAACTTGAGGTTCTTTAGAGTAAAGTCAAACTGGCTAGTTTTTACCCTGGGACTAAAATATAGAGAACTAGATTTTATACCTGCTGTCCATGAAAGTTGAATGTTTTATAAGTAGTTAATTTGTTTTCCCATTTAAAAGGACATGTAATAATATTTATTATAGGAGATTTGGCTGGCTTTTAGGAATTCATTTTGCTGGTGTACCTTAAGTCCCTCGCCTGATTGACAATATACTGAGGAAAGAGCTAAGTTGCTAGGGCTTGAGGTCTAAGGGCAGCACTGACTGGTATTTGTTTCATTAAGCTTAGGCAAGCTATCCAATTACTTAATGCAAACAAGAAAAGTTTACACTAAACTCCTACTTCTTTGCTTGAAACTCTAGAGAATTTAAATGAGGAGAGATATGTATTTAAAAGAAAGAAATTTAAATGAAACTTAAATCAGGGACTTAATGTAGAATATATTAGAGCAGGAGATCTAAAATATTAAGTGGGAAATGCCAATAAATAAAAAAGGAATGTATTCTCTAAGATACTTGGCATGTTTAGTTTTGTTTTGA
The DNA here is from genome assembly GCF_000001405.40 of Homo sapiens. Lineage (NCBI taxonomy): Eukaryota > Metazoa > Chordata > Mammalia > Primates > Hominidae > Homo > Homo sapiens. The sequence continues at coordinate 132,980,325 of NC_000007.14, read as the reverse complement.
GATAATTCTTAAATCTTTGGAAACCCAAGTTAATAATGAGAGACTTATTTTATCTCCTGCCTTTACATATAAAGTCCTGCCTTCCCTTGGTCAGTGAGAGCCTGGGTCTTCTCTCCTTAGTGAAGTGTTCCCAAAACAACATGGCTTCTGATTTTATAGCTCCACTATCTGGGCAGTAGTTTTCAGAGAGGCCCAGATGGCAGGGCTGTCTTATTTGGTTCAAAAAGAGAAAAATTGGTTGACAGCTCATCTACCTTTTGCAGATGGCTGTTGAATAGTATAGCTCCATGCGGTATAAAACCAAGGGGCCAGAGAGGAAGCTTTGAAAGTAATTGGGGGTTTCTGAAAACATAAGCAGTTTTTCTTTGCAAAGTGGTTTTGGCTCAGTAAAGAATTTACAGGAACCATTGAAAGAGGAAACTTAGAAGAAAATAATTGCCATGCAATATTTTGGAGGGGAGGGTTGGGGAAATGGAGAATGGTACAATTTTGAAGTTTCAAATCTATTGCTTTTAAATGGGAAATGGTACAACTTAGAAGCTTCTCATCTTTGGGCACTGGTCAAAACTGAACCTCAGTCAGTATACCATTGAAACTCTGTCCTCCAAGAGAATCTGAAAGCAAGTAAAATTCTTTGCAGAGGTGATTTCATGCCTCAGAGACCCTTCTAAGTGTCACAGGAATCTAACTGAAGGAAATCCTTTCTTGGTGCTTCTGGACCCAACTGATGTTTCCTCTGCCTAAGACACTTTCTCCTTCCCCATGTTGCTCAGTTAATGTCCTGTAGAGCTCAAGTTAAATATCAGTCCCACCCATGCAGTGTCATAGATACCTACCTAACTTTTTAAAAATAATGCATCTGTTATTTGTAATCATGGCTCATGAAAGTAGGGACTGTGTCTCTTGCTCACTACTTCATTCTCAGTAACCAGAGTAGTCCCTTTCACCTAGTAATTATATACTGAATAAATTTATGAATTCCAGTGTGTAGTTTTTGTTGAGTACTGTAGTGAGAAATCTCAGGATTACAGTAGAAGTATATGTGCCCATCGAGTAGAAATTATAACAGTATCAAGCTGGGAGATAATATAATGCCCCTCTGTTTTATTTATCCCCTGCCACCACCTTTTTCAAGATTTTTTATGGAATGAGGAATAATATGTTTAAGGTATAGACTTTTTAGAATGTTTATATGCAAAGGACCATAAGATTATATAGTAGTTCAACCTTCAAATTTTAAAACTGAGGAAACTGAGGCTTATTAGATTGTACAGCTAAGTTGTTGATAGGAAATGAGAATTTGTTCAGAGTCCTACTGCCAAACTCCCTGATGACAAAAAATTTGGTTTCTTAAACAGTCACCATACAGACCTTAAAAAAAGTTTTTTTAAAATTTATAAACATTCCTTTAAAAACATTTGAGAATTTGTGCAGTTCTATTTGTAAGGATGAATGAAAGTATAAGAATTTATTAAGAAAGGAAAATAATATTCTTTTTAGTCAGTTTGCACCACTGCCAATCCTCTTTCAATCCAGGTGTCAAATATAGTTAGGTGTTGATGTTGGAGGGGCTCTGGACTGTTGTGGCACCTCCTGTTGTAGGCTATTTAATGTAGCCTGGGATTATATCACAGATGTGCCACATCTAACATGGTGGCTAAGCCCTTGGAGGATACAGTTTGTCTCGTTAGTTGTTTCTTATATACCATCGCCTTGTGTTCTTTTGCAGTTTGTTTTCCTTGTTTTGTTTGTGGTTAGAAATATGCCATTTATTTATTTATTCATTCATTCATTCACACATGCATACATCAACAACTTTTTCTTGCGTGTTTGATATGTGGCAGGCACTTTTATAAGTATGGGGGATATAGCAGTGAACAAAAATAGGGCAAATCGTTGTCCTTATGGAGCTATGGACAAGAGGGAAAGGAAGCAGCTTGTGAAAGGGTCTAGCTGCTGGAGTTAGTAGAGTCAATTTGTGATTTTAGAAGTCCTTAGAGATCATAAAAATAAAGCAGAATTTATTGGTGAAAAATTGGAAAAGATGATGGAGATGGCATTGTAGTTAGTGAATTTGGAGATTGTCTTCTTCATTTCGTAAAATCACTGCTTTCTCTGTATTCCTACCCGCATAGTGGGTACTATTATTATTACTGCTACTTACCTAACATTTATTGAGTGTATATTATGTTATGGGCATTGTGCTGAGTGCCTTGTTTATATAGAACGCTGTAAGGTAGGTATTACACTATTTCATTTTACCCATGAGAATAACAGGACTCACCGGAGATTAAATAAAGTACTTATTCAGATAGGAAGTTTAGAGCCTTGATTTGGACCCAGAGTTTGCATATCTGTACCAGTCATGGCAAGCTAAATATGTTTATTTTTATTATCACATTGAAGGCTTTTGTGCTCATGTTTTGCTTCTTTTTCATTAACTTGCCAAAATCCTTATGATCCTGTATTTCTTAAAGTTGAACCATGTAGAACTCCATATGTAATTAAAATCTAAGCCATACATAAGTAAACTAAAATGGAAAAAAAAAGTAGTAATTTTTAAACAGTACTTTAAAATTAGATACACCAAATGTGGTAGATGTGATAATTCAGTTGAACAGAATTCATTTTATGTTCATGAACTAATAATAGAATTTGAATAAACATTTTATATATGTTTGTAAAGTGCCTAGCACAGTGCTTAGTAGTTGATCCATAAATGATAGTAATTTTATTATTTTATTTTAGTTTCCACCTCACTGGTAAAAATAGGTAATGCTTTTTTACTTAGGGGTAAGATGTCCATACAAATGCGTTAAATACAGTATTGTAATCTGATATGATAACCTCAGCAGTTATTTGCACAATATTCTCATGGGGAGCACTTCATTTTTGATGTTACTTTCATTTACCTCCAGGATTTATTTGAGTACAAGTGTATTTTGGTAATTAAGGGCTGTAGTCTTAAACTTTAGCATGCATCAGAATTCTAGAGGGCTTATGAAAAGACAGTTTGCTAGGCACTATCCCTAGAGTTTCTGATTCAGCAAGTGTGGGATGGAATCAGAGAAGCTGCATTTCTAACAGACTCCCAGCTGATGCTACTGCAGCTGGTTTGTGGACTGTAGTTTTAGAACTGCTGTTCTAGGAAGTGGTGTGACTTCTAATTATTGCTGTTCTCTTACAATTACACATATCCAGTGGTGTTAATGTGTTGATATCATTGATGTTGCTGAATTTATTGTATGGTCCTTGTGAAATAATTTAGAGAAATTTGGTTTGTATGAGTGTCATTGTGCTTATTGCTTAGGAAGTTTCCCAAAGGTTACTTTTGCATTAGAGAATTTCGAAATACAGATTTTAACTTGTTTCTAGTCCTCTTTTTTTTTATTTAAGACACAAAACTACACAGCTTTGATTTTTAGGGGAAAAGGATGATAACTTTGGAATATATCTCACAAGGTGACTTTTTTTTTTCTGTTGTAGTTGATTTCTGAGAATTCCAGAGTATCAGGATGATGTAGCAATTTAAAAATAGTAACACAAAATTTTATCTCTAGTTTTTTTCAAAAATCTTTTTAAAACTAAAATTTGATAAGCTAGTACTGAGTAGAATTTGGTGCTCATCATTCACACGTATAAAGTAGATTTCACTCAGAATTTCACTTACACCAACATAACAATTTTACTTTTCCTTTTTAAAGCATAGCTATACCTTCAGGGATATGATGGTATAGTAGGGTTATTCTCTCAAAGAAGAAAAGGCAGTCAGAAAATCTTTGTTCATGAGATTAGACTGAAATCTTCAGTGATTCAGTGATTACTGAATGCCTCTATGTGCCAGGCACTATGGCAAAAATCAGTGCCAAAGTAATTTATCTTTATCATGTACAATGAGGGGTTTTAGTGGGTTGTAACTTAATATGATCTAATTGTGTGATGAGGCTACTGAGAAATCTAATGCAATCTTATGCTTCATTAATAGAATTAGTATTGTGTACAGATCTAGGGAAGTAAGATTCTCCTGTCTTAGTTTGCTAGAGCATGTCTGGAGGGTTAGGTTTAGTTTGGAGCTAACAGATCGATTGGAGTCATTCCAGAAGTGAGGAGCCCTGCAGTTGAAAGGCGTGGTCATATTTGCATATGAGGATTGTTGGAAAATAGGGGTAATATACTGGGAGGAAAGATGTCCTTATTAGTTCCATAATGTCTGGCTTCTCTGCTGTGCTGTAACATCCACAATGACAGTGACCTGTCCATCTTGTTTATCGCTGTGTCCTCAATGCCTAGCACAGTGCCTGGTGTGCATTCAGTAAATGGACGAGTTGAGTAAGTTTGGAGAAAGAGACGATGGTTACCTTCAAATATTTGTCATGTAGATGGCTTTTTTTTTTTTTTTTAAACGGAGTCTCATTCGCCCAGGCTAGAATGCAGTGGCATGATCTCAGCTCACTGCGTCCTCTACCTCCCAGGCTCAAGCAGTTCTCCTGCCTCAGCCTCCCAGGTAGCTGGGATTACAGGAATGTATCACCACGCCCAGCGAAGTTTTGTATTTTTAGTAGAGACGGGGTTTCACCATGTTGGCCAGGCTGGTCTTGAACTCCTGACCTCAAGTGGTCCACTTGCCTTGGTCTCCCAAAGTGCTGGGATTACAGGTGTGAGCTGCCACCACGCCTGGCCTAGATGGTTTGTTAATTACTTAAATTTTCAGAGGCCAAATGGAAGCACCAGGGATGGAATTTTTTTGGTGGGCAGATTTTAATTTTACATAAGAAGAACTTTGTAAAACTTAGTTATATTTGGCAGCCAAATTAATAAGCTTCTTCATGTATTTGAATTTGGTTATTTGAAATGCTTGAGTGGAGGCTGCATGGGGATTTACCTCTATACCTGCTTTTTTGATAGATTATGGGCCAAGATGATTTCAGCTGTTGACCTTTTTGGCTATGTGTTTCTATTTTTAAATTATTTCATTTGATAGAAAATAATGTCAACTAATAAAATATTTTTTCTAACTTAGACAATTCTTGTCATTTTAGACTAAAGCAAGCCAAAGAGCTGGACCGAGAGAGGGCTGCTGCCAATGAGCAGTTAACCAGAGCCATCCTTCGGGAGAGGATATGTAGCGAGGAGGAACGCGCTAAGGCAAAGCACCTGGTGAGTATTAAAAATGTAGGAGAAATTTTCTTGCCTACAAGGAAATCTCTGATGTTTGGGAAGAGCTAAGTACTCTGTGCCAGCTTTTAGTGTTGATAATATTATTCATGTTCTCTTTGCTCAGATTTTGATTTTTGCCTTTTATAAGTAGCTTACAGTTTAGGTTTAACCATCAAGGACTTTAAAGGCAGGTAACTCTGGAAGTATTGAAGACCAACATGCAGACATGTGTACATGTTTCACACCTGAAGGATTGTTGTCTGCTTTTTTTTCTTTTTCTTTCCTTTTTTTTTTTGAGACGGAGTCTTGCTCTGTCGCCTAGGCTAGAGTGCAGTGGTGCGATCTCAGCTCACTGCAACCTCCGCCTCCGGGGTTCAAGTGATTCTCCAGCCTCAGCCTCCCGAGTAGCTGAGATTATAGGCACCTGCCATCGTGCCCAGCTAATTTTTGTATTTATAGTAGAGACGGGGTTTCACTATCTTGGCCAGGCTGGTCTTGAACTCCTGACCATGTGATCCACCCGCCTCGGCTTCCCAAACTGCTGGGATTACAGGTGTGAGCCACCGAGCCCGGCCTGTCTTCTTTTTTTGTCCTTTGCCTTTGGTTTTATTGTCTTTGAAACCTCAGGGGTCAGCAATGTAGGCTTCTTTCTCTCGTGGCTGGCAACTACCAGATGTTAGTCTGGAAGACTCTGGCAAAGGTGAGTAAGGTTTGATCAATCACTGCCTGGGGTTTAGGGAAGAGAAAATGTAGAGCCAGGGCCTTGGGGAACAGTCTTTTCTAAGATAATTTTTTTAAAAAGAAAATATTTTTTAATCTTTTAAAAGATTACATAGACATGTTTTTGTTGTTGTCTTTAAAAGTATTACTAACAGACAGAAGAAGGTTTAAAAGACACCCATCAATCTGTCTTTCTGATATAACCATGGTTTACACCAGTGTGTGTTTTCCTCGAGATTATTTTTTTCTAGGCTTTTTAACATATTGAAACATTTAGATAATGCTATAGATGGTGTTAAGCCTCATGAACATTTTCCTATGTCACTGAACATTTTTCTGAAATGTAGTTTTTAATGGCTGAATAATGTTCTGCCTTTTGTATTCAACATAATTTATTAAGCAATTTCTTATTGTTATTTGATAGATAAAAGTGGAGCTGCTCTGGGTGAAACCTGGAGTGTTGACTGCTTAGCCTCCACTTCGGCCTTCCTAGAAACCCAGATGTTACTCCTCGGAACCTTTAGTCCTCATTGGAGCACAGTTGGGAACTCACTGGACAGGGAAAATGGGACCATGGAATGGAGAACTTTGAACTGAAGAGTGAGGGGGATTTTCCTAGTTCACTAGGCAATTGGGAAACACTAAAACTTTCTAAGAAGAAGGCTCATTTCTAGTCTCTCCCATTCTTTACCTTAGTCACTTCTCTGAAAGACCAACCCATGACCAGCTGCAAACAGAGAACATGAAAGGAAGTCCATGCGTAATGAATCAGTTTCTTCAGTGACAAATCTGGGGTCCCGGTTGCATGGGCAAATAGTGAAGCCAGAATAGAGGTGGTAGACCAAGAAAGAAATGTCAGTGGACTGACTGGCAGCTGCCCTAAGAACAGTACATGTGTTGAGTGGAACAAAGGGAATAAGAGAGGTGGAAGCAAAGTCAGTCATTGTGAAAGGGGAATAATTTCAGAATTAAAGACAGTAAGTTTTGAGTAACTCAACTGAAAATTAAATTTGTTGTACGTCTAAGCTGAAGGATTTTTTGAGGAAGCTGAAAAAATATCAGGTCAGTGGGTTGAAAAGTCATTTCTATGTATATTAAAGTCTCCAAATTTGGAAGCTAAGGATGTAGTGGAGGAGGTTAATAGTGCTCATGTTTGAGGAAGGTACGAGAGCAAAACTCTTAGTTTCCAGCGGGCAGAAGAATACCTTGGTTGGCATTTCTCTTTGCCTCCCAGCTTTTACTCTTTTGAATCTTATCTTTGAAGCACTCTTTCTCCACCTCTTTTTGCCTGAATTTGGACATACTGTCTTACTCTCTTAGTTTATGGAGACCAGCAAGATTCAAAAACTCAAAAAACTCATTAAATATATACACACACTCAGCAAGACATAAAAAGAGATTTCACAAAAAAATGTGAAAGTATCAAAAGATTTGTTACTCAACATAACTAAAATATTAAGCAACATGTTTTGATTGGAATAGCATATCTGCAGTCTGTTCTGTTTTACCTAATAAATCTTGTCTATTGTCTGTCTTTACTGCTTTGTGTAGCTGGTGAAGCATGAGAAACTGGCCTCGTACATTCTGATTTGTAGATCTCTTATTTACAGATTCTGGTTGTGTGGTATAGATGACAAATTGTAGTACTCACAACTCCTGTATTTCAGCATCTGTTGTAATATTTGCCAAATAGAGCCCTCAAAGCACTTAGGGAATAAAAGTGGAATTTATGCCATAGGATGACAGCTGATTGAGAGAGTCCCTTCCTTCCCAGAGTGTTGTCAGACATTTGCATGGTCTGCCATGGCCACAGCAACATGGCTGCCAGTGACATTTAGTTATTGGGCAGTTCCCAATTTATTTACCAGATTTCTCCCTTTATTGTTGTTATTTATTATTATGGAAGACATACATATTCATTGGATCAAGATTAGAAAATAAATACAAAGGGATACTAAAATCACTCAATGTACTACAATTCAGAGATAGTTACTGTTAACATTTTGGTTTGTTGTGTTTATATTCCTTTTTACTTCCCACTGAGTTGGTATAAAACATTTGATTTTATGTGTATAACGGTATTTCTCCAAACATAGATAATAGTATACACTCTTTTGTATAACTGTTACAATAACCTTCACATTAAAACATTTAGGCCATGTGGTAAAAGTTTTTATACTGATAAATACGTTTTTGTGTGGTCACATTTTAATGGTTGTGTTTCACTGAGTTTTCCACTAATTACTAAATTAATACAAGAATATTATAGAACACTTGGAAAACAAAAAATTACAAAGAAAATCAGTATTGTTATAATTCTGTCATCTATCATTAATGTTTAGAGGTATAAAGTTCTTTCTCCCTTCCCCATATGTATATATTTTATACATGCTTTAGGGTCTCAGATTATGTATCCCACCACCCTCCAAACCAGTACTGTGCGGTGTGGACAGTGATCGCAAGCCTGCTGTTGTTTGTTAGTTCCTTGATCCCCAGCTGGAGAGGTGGGCATCTTCAGAACCCATAATTGATGTGGGAGTCACCCCAGAAAGGTTAGCATTGCTCCTGCTATTTTGGAGGGCCCCTATTGCTGCCATTCTTAATTCTAATATGTGGGACTCTTTGAGTAATGGCCAAGCATTGCTTCGTTCCTCTTTATTTAGAACTCAAATGTTGCAGTCTGCAGGAAAGTAAAGATTGTGTTTCACACATGTGAAGTAATTAAAAAGTTGTCTTTCAGGAGAGCGAGGGTGAAAGCACGGGAGCTGATGTGATGTTGGGACTGTGAAATAAAACGATTCCCACCCCTTACCCCACACCCCCCACATCTTTCTGGCTCACTAACAGCTGACATTTAGGTTTCTGTCTCCTTAGATGTGAGTCCAGGCTTTTTCTTCCCACAGTTGTTTTAGCAGCTAGCTTTATTGAAGCTCTTTGAAGGGCAAAGTCATGATGGCCCTGTTGTTGAAGTTTTAAAATAGGATCAGATCAAAACTTTCCCCTTTGGAAGAATTGCTTTAGCTGGGGAAGCTGTTAATCCCACTCTAGATTCTGGAAGAGTATACCAGCCCCTTCCTCTACTCAGCACTGAGTGATGCCAGCATTTTAATCAGTTGACTTTATCCAGAGGCTTTGGAAGAGGCAGTCTACTGATAATGATTTTACCTGCATGAAAATGTTAAAAGCAACTCACGTTCAAAATATGCTTCTTAGGATCAGGAAAGCACCTCTGTAGAAGATGAAGACTGACTAGAAGGACAGGACCAGGGAATTTGTAAAGTTAATGCAACTTGATATGTGTATTGTAAAGATCTTATATACGTGATCTAATATTTGCTGTCATTAGATTCTTTTTTGAAATTGAAGAGTAGTGAGTTAGTTTTTTTGACTTTGCAGTTATATTTTCTTTTTAAAATTCCAGTTAAAATTTTGACTCACTCTTTTTTATGTCTTACTACATTATGCTGGTTTAATGTTAGATTTTTTAAATTTTAATTATTTTTAAAAATTTAAGTAGAGACAGAGTCTTGCTATGGATCTTGAACTCCTGGCTCAAGTGATCCTTCTGCCTTGGTCTCCCAGGGTGTTGGGATTATAGATGTGAGCCACCATGCCCAGCCACATATTTCTTGTTATCATCACAGAACTATGTAGTATTTTCTCTTCTTTTCTTTTTTTTTTAAATCTAAATGTTAAAAAGAAGTCTCAATTTACTTACTTAAGGCAATATTTACTTCAAAATTCTTCCATTACTCTTTGGACAGATGTTTTATTGAGTGCTTACTGTATGAAATTTACTATGTTAGGTACTAATGATCTATGAATAAAAGACAAAATCTTGTCCTTGAGGAATAAAAGGTAAAAGATACACTAAAAATAATGTTTAAAAATGCTAAGTCTGTTATAGAGCCATGCTACTTATAGTCTTGTGAGGATTCCCACTTTTGGGAAAGCCAGGACTTTGTCTTTCTTTTAACTAATTGCTATGTTTGCATTTATTTATTCAACACGTAATTGAGTGCCTAATATATGCCAGTGCTGAGCAAACAGTAAGCAGTCAATACATATTTGTTGATTGAATAAATGACTGATTGCATCTACTGAAGCCCTGGAAATAGGAGGAGAGGAAATGGGGAAGAATAGAAAAGATTTTCTGGGGAAAGGACCCCTGAGCTGACTCTTGAAGTATGAGTAGGATTTGCTCCCAAGGTTGAGGAGTGGGATGAAACAGCCTTAGGTATTGCAGGCAAAAGCTTGGAAACGTGGGGATAGGGGGACACTACTAGAAGTTGCTGAGTGGGAATCATTGTGGCAGTTAGAACATAGTCTGTTCTTTAAGTGGGTGTGTGTGTGCAGGGGATTCACGACTTAACCCTTGCCTGGCCTGGCCCTAGGTCCTGTTTATAATTGGTACCTGATTGCCACAAAAAGCCTGCTTTGTCAGTCTTGTGGTCTCTGTTTTAACGTTAATGCTGGTCAATGGTTGTATCTAAACTGTAAAAGAGAGGGTGTATAAAGAGACATGTCCAACCTCCTATCCCTTTATGGTCGAGACCTCAGTTTTTAAGTTTCTCTGAGGTCCCCTTGGCCAAGAGGGGGTCCATTTAGTCAGTCATGGGGTTTAGGGTTTGATTTTTAGCTTACACTCTAATGAAGTATGAAGGGAAGAGCAGAGGAGGAAATGGCTGGAAGCCCAGAGACCAGTTAGAAAGCCCTGTGTTAATCCAGGTGAGAACAGGTAGTACCCAAATTAGGGCATGGTAGCAGGGATGCAGAGGAAAGAAGAGGAGTAGGAACTATTTGGGAGGTAGTATTACTAGGATTTTAGCTTTGAAGGGTTGAGAGAAATGTCAAGCCTAACTACAAGCAAGGTTTCTAGTATCAGTAACTTCATATCATTTGAAATACAAAAATTAGCAATCAATGTAAAAAACGTCCTGGGCTAAGCATAGCGTGAAGTCTGACTTCAGTGTAGCATTGAGGAGGGTCCTGGCCTCAGATACTGCACCAGTTGTTTGTTCAGCTCTGGGCAAGAACATTAGTCAGATCATTAGGTATTTTTGTCCCTTTCTGCATTGTCCTTCGTCATATATTTATTAAACACCTACTGTATCCTAGGCAGTATTTCCCAGGGATGCAAAGATGAATTAGATCTGGTTGCTTTTCTTCAGAGTCTGAAGTTAAGTGTCAGGTTTGTGGGGAAGGTTATTCTTGCCTTGTGTATTTTGTCCCAACTTAAGCTATAATTTTTGAATTTGTAAAACCTTATACTGTTTAGAAAAAAAAAAAACACAGTAAAAAAAAAAAGGATGGGTGAATGCATAAATTTAGTTTTTGAAAATTTAAGCGACTGTTTCTCCAAAATGTCACTTTTCATCCCCAGTTTGCCTTTTGTCTGAAATGCACCAGTGAAGCAATCAAGAAGAAGAATTGATTAATTTTGTGCTGTATGCCTTTCAGTTCTGTATTTTGTTTGTGCTTCAAACTGTGACAGTTGAAATTTCATGGTAAAAAAGAAAACGGTTTTGAATTTGGGATATAGAGAAAAATGACTAAATTAAAGGAAGCAGATAAGAACACTACTGCTGTCCAAGTGAGGTTCTATCCAACGAGGAAGGGAAACAACTGGGGTTGTAATTTTGAAATGATCGACATGGTTTATACTCAAAAGTTCTGTGTAAGAGAAGAGTAAGAGTGATCACTTGGGGTTTTTAGTATCACTGAAATTAGCCAGGTGAACGAAATTGCAGTGTAAGCAGTGGTTTCCCGGGTTCTTTTATTGGGCATTTAAAGATAATTTTAGAAATCTGTTGTTTTTGGGTGCAATTTAGACTTGGATTATAACCTCTGTTAAAACTCTCTCTGGTTATGTATGTTGTGTACTGGTTTTCTTGCCCTAGACACTAACCTCCAATTATTTGGATATGTGTAGAGTATTAGTTTGCTTTGAATTCCAAAAATGAAGTTAATGAATTCGAGCTTTTGCTTTTGACAACTATTGAAATATGGTATTTCCACGTTGAATTGGAAGGATTTGGGCCATTTAGGTGTTAGACATTTTTCTCAGTGTTATTGGTGAGAATGGGCTCTGGAATCCATCTGCAAGTCCCATTCTTTCTGACTCTTCTCTCTTAATAGCTTACCAGGAAATTCAAAGGGAAGCATCCCTCACGACAGGTGGGAGCCCCCTGTGCATTTGGATTTAGCAGGGTATTAGGGCTTCTGGGACAAAGTATCCAGATTCTGTTTTCTCCTTTGTGTTCTTTGTTATCACGTGTGGCCTCTACCTCCTGTGTGTTATGGCAGCATTATTATTATCAGCTGGAATGCATATACAACCTTATGAAGAGACTGTGAACCAAGTTTTCTGTGGAGTAGCAGGGCAGCTTTAGGTATGTTTGCTACTGCAGTGAAAAAGGAGAAACGTGTTTTGTTTCAGTTTGCCTGCCTAGGCTGCATGTTAAGATCCCAAAGAATGAATAGGACTGCGATTACAGATTTAAAGTTTGCTTGTATCCTGAAAACTTGCCCAGATTAATATATTTCTGAAATGTACATTGTCAGACCCGCTTTCCTCATCTAGGTCGGCAGAAATGCCTAGGTTCTTTTTTTTTTTTTTTTGAGACAGGGTCTTACTTGTTGCCCAGGCTGGAGTGCAGTGCATGATCACGGCTCATTGCAGCCTTGACCTCCCAGGCTCAAGTGATCCTCCCACCTCAACCTCCTGAGTAGCTGGGACTGGAGGCACATTCCACCATGTCTGGCTAATTTTGTTTTATTTTATTTATTTATTTATTTATTTATTTATTTATTTATTTATTTAAGAAACAGCATTTTGCCACGTTGCCCAGGCTGGTCTCAAACTCCTGTGCTCAGGAGATCCTCCCTCCTTTGCCTCCCAAAGTGCTGGGATTACAGGCGTCAGCCACAGCACCCGGCCAGAAATACCTAGGATCTTAACATCACCAAATAGCCTCTGAGAAGCTCAATATTATGCTGACTAGATATTGAGGGACCTGGAGGTGGAGAGCAGTGGAGTGTTCTGGTCCTGGAGAACTCACTGCCAAGACTCTGGGGGCCTATCCAGTCAACACGGTGTTGCCATTCTCCAAGGAACTGTGTCAGACTGTGTGGCCTTTTGGACAGTGATTAGAAAAGAAGACAGCACAGTTGAGTAGAATGCTATTGATGTTCTTGGCAACAATTAGTCATATTTAAGGACAGCTAGGGGGAATAACTCTGCTTAGAATGTGTTCTCATATTTTCTAAGTGTGATTTTGAAAATTCATCAAGTTACTTGCAAACCAGTTGGTTCAGGGCAGTTCTTGTTGAGTGGTGTCCTGTGTGTTAGCCGTAATAACTTATTGACATCCTATCACTTGGGTCATTATGGGTGTCCAGGTGAGATATGGAGAGCACTGCGTAAAAGTCCATAGGCAATTAAGGTGCAAAGGGCTGGTTATAATTCCATCACTTTATGATGACGTGGCATTCATTGTGAACATATTTACTTCATTGCCTGGTCTGTTGGAATTTTATCGAACTGACATCATAATCTCATTTCCTACTAAAGAGGCTAAGAAATACAGCCCTTGGTATTTGCTTTAACCTGCAACAAATTAAAAGTTAAGCATAATCAAGTCTGTCAGTCCTTAACAATCCCAAGTACATGTTTTGCACATTATGTTTTGAATGAGAATGTAAGGCAGATGAGCTCCTTATATTCTTACAGCAATCTTTCCAGATTGTCTTCATGGCAAGTCACACAACTGTCAGTTCTGATACAGTTCTTGTGACTTGTTTTCAACCTATTGTGCATGGACCTCAGGTTTAGTGAATTCAGTATTACATTGAACAGCAATATTATTTACCATGTGATAAACTATGTGATATACCATGTGCAATGACGCCTGCTTCATTTTCGTGTATTGGATGTTAAATTTTTCACAGTGTTGAATATCACAGCTCTGTATTCCTTTTCTGTATCCGTGCTTTTATTGCTTTGATATGATTCCTAAATGGCACTGAGTTATGCTTTTTCTGTGTTTCTTGATGTTCTGACCTGTGTCCTGATTTGGCGATGGGGGCAGGTGGCAGCTATCTTCATGTATCTTGTAACTATTCCCTTACCCATAAAGACATTGGACATTTTCTTGCTCACTCTTTTCTTTACTAACTGTAGTTTAAGGATGACTTCTCTTGAAAATACCAAACGGCAGAATTACCAAATGAAGTAAGGCTTCCGTTCTCTCAAGAGCAGGAATCTGTTTACAAACCTGCAGTATTTATTACATACCTCATTTAGCCCATTCATCATTTTAATAGAAAAATGAGTCATTTTAGATGATTCTGAAATAATTCGAGGTAAGCTACATTGCTGCAGGCAGAATATGATTTACACAGATAGCACCATGCTATTTTGAAAAAAATACAGTGGAATGATCAGCACCAATAATTTATGATTACTTGTGGTAAACTTATCAAATGTCTTCATTGTCATAGAAATTTGTTGATTAGATAAAGCATTTAGAGTTTTCTAGCTAGCTTTTCCCCCTTCTTCCATCTTTTATGACAAATGATTACAAAGTTCCATACTTACCCTCTGCCTGTTTCAAACACTGACTGTAAATTTAATTCCAGATTTGTTTTTAATATTTTCTTGATAAGAAATAACACTAGTCACTGTCATGGGCCAATTTTATTGGAGATGATAAAACCTACTCATATACATTTTCTGCTTAGAAATTAAACTTCATCCATTTACAGTTTCTTTAGCCCAGTGTATGCACATATTTTAAATCCTATCTTACCTATCCATAGGTTACATATTTGACTCTCAGGAACACAGGTAACTCATTGCCTGGAACCATAGCTCTGAGCCCCAAAGGCATCACAAAGTGATTCTAGTTAGTGTCTTGAAGCTTATGAGCTTTGCTGATAAGCAGCATCACAGTAAAAGCAATATTTGTTTTTAGATTTAGTTTTTTTTTTTTTTCATTTAACTAAGAGCCTTCAACTGTACTATCTTCTTGGGTGTTTGATATGGGCAGGACATCTATCATTGATTCCTATTAGAGATGATAAAGCAAACATTCAAAGAGACTGTGAAACTAAATGTTGCACAGAGATAGAGCCAGGGTTACAACTCTGATCTTCTGTGCCGAGGTGATCTTATTTTGGGCACAATTTAGCAAATTTAGTTTTGTTGTTGTTCTTTGTTTTTAACGTGTAATGGATTTGATTTATTACATTAGAAAGGGAAATGGACTTTTAGGCACGTGGTCAAAGCAGAAATTACTGCAGCTAAGAGTAGAAAGGGCAACTAATCGCCATGCATGTGATGCACACTCACAGGAAGTAAAACACACACACACACACACACACACACATAAAACCCATAGCATTATGAGCCTACTTAGCATAGAGGCAGGCAGCCGTAACTACTCGAATAGGCCTTGTGTGTTCTTGCTTAGTGAAATAATGTATGCACAATCATAATGCTATCAGGGATTGAGAATAATTTGTTTACCAGCGTGGGTGAGAAATATTAGCACTACCATTTCCATAGAAACCATTTTGCATTTAAAAAGTTCTGGCATGTCAAACTGTAAATTTCAGTATTTAAAAACATTCTCTTATGTGAATCCCTGTATTGCAAAAGATACTGGTCAAAGGAAGTGCTATTTGTACACTTTCGTCAAGTCATTTTTGAATTTTCTTATTTAAAGAAAGTTTGCCATGGCCTGTCATACTTTGGGAGAAGTGGTTGATATAGACACAAAAGGACCTGGTTTGTAGCAATTATCCATTCCCTTGGCCTCAAAGGAATACTAGTATATAAAGGCAGAAACTTTCTCTTTTTCTTTTGAGACTGAGTCTCACCCTGTTGTCTAGGCTGGAGTGCAGTGGCGTGATCTTGGCTCACTGCAACCTTCCGCCTCCCGGGTTCAAGTGATTCTCCTGCCTCAGCCTCCTGATTAACTGGGATTACAGGTGCACGCCTCCATGCCCGGCTAATTTTTGTATTTTTAGTAGAGACGGGGTTTCACCATGTTGGTCAGGCTAGTCTTGAACTCCTGACCTTGTGATCTGCCCGCCTCGGCCTCCCAAAGTGCTGGGATTACAGGCATGAGCCACTGTGCCCGGCCTACTCTTTTTTATGTCTAACATAAAGTCTTCATTTGTGCGGGAGGTAAGAGATGATTCAATTATTTTTGTCACTTTGAATAATAAAGAAGCATTAATCTGGGAGAATGCTTGTTGAGAGTAGAGGTGGGCTTGCTGCAATAGAGTATTTTTAGGAATAACCGTGATATACATTAGCAGTGTCTACTCGTAGTGAATTCAGTCACTTTTGTATTTTCATTGAATTTTATGAGAAATTTAAAGGAAGATATTCTACAGTTTGTTTGTAAAGCCAAGCTCTGAATAGAGTTTGAAAAACTATGCCATTGACCATTTTGGAGATTTGTTAAGTTTAAACAAACAAAAAAGGAAACAAAAAATTGGGGATGTAGTTGTATAATTGTTAATGTATTTTTCAATTATACTTTCCACTTCCAAGAATAATTATCTCAACAGCAGGTTAACTAATGTATTAAAAATTAGTTTATTTCCAAAAAATAAGCTCTTTTCTCATAGCTCTGATAGAATGATAGGAAAGAGCTGGTAACTGATTTTACTGTATGTCTACTATTGCAAAAACTAACAACTGAGTATTAACATTGCTAGATTATGTGTGTGTGTGTGTGTGTATAATCGTTTGTGTTGCATAGGGTAAAGGTAGAGACACTAGGAAATTACAATTTTTTTTTTTTTTTGAGATGGAGTCTCACTGTATCGCCCAGGCTGGAATGCAGTGGTGCAGTCTCCGCTCACTGCAAGCTCCACCTCCTGGGTTCACTCCATTCTGCCTCAGCCTCGCGAGTAGCTGGGACTACAGGCGCCCATTACCATGCCTGGCTAATTTTTTTGTATTTTTAGTAGAGACGGAGTTTCACCGTGTTAGCCAGGATGGTCTCGATCTCCCGACCTCGTGATCCGCCCGCCTTGGCCTCCCAAAGTGCTGGGATTATAGGCGTGAGCCACAGTGCCTGGCAAAAAAAAAAAAAAAAAAAAAAAAAAAATTACAATTTTAAAATTCCTTTCTTAAACTTTTTACTTTGAAATATTTTTAGCTTACGGTAAAGTTGTAAGAATAGTACAAAGAGCTTGACTCTGATTCATCTGTTTTTAGGCATTTACCACACTTTATCATTCTATTTCTGCCTACATATATTATATATATATATATTTTTTTTTTTATTTGGGGGAGGGGATCAATTGAGCATGGGTAGAAGACATGCTCATTTACCTCTTAATACTTCTGCCTCTTAGAAATCAGTGTTTCTTACATAATCAAGTATAGTTGTCAAAATCAATAAATTTAACATTGATGACTATTGTAATATTTAGCCCAGGTTTCAATTTTGTCAATTTTCTCAATAATATTCTTTATAGCAACTGTTCCTCTGGATACAGGATGTATTCTAGGATCATATATTGGCAACTATTATAGTTGATGTGTCTTAAAATTCCATATTAAACATAATTTGCAAACAGTAGTATTAAGATGAATACTTTTAACTTCAATTTATGAGTTACTGCTGTCATTGCTAGAGTTTTAGTAAGAAGAAAGTGGAATGGGCAAAAAAGAGGTGAAGAATTTCATTCAGACCTATAGATTAATATTCTATATTGTGGGTGAATTGAGGAAAAACCATTGTTTTGGAAATTTTCTTTTCATGAACTAAAAATGCTTTCAGCATCTGTATAGATCCCGTATCTTCAAAATGCAGCAGGCATCCAACTTGCATCATTAAAAACTGTTAGAGAATAAACTCTTCCTATTTTTTGACAATTTTTGAACAATAATTTCATCTGAAATAGCCTTCTCTCTGTCCCTCTGCCCTTCCCGTCCAGGTACAACTCCATGTAATTTTAGGCAAATTGCTTCCTTTTCTTTATGCCCTTTGTTTCCGTCTTTTTAAAATGAGGACAAGGTCGTTAATGTAGTTCTCTTTCAAGTCTCTTACCTTGATGAATAAATATCTAAATATAGGAGTTCTTACAGAATTCGAAGTTCTATATACGTATAAATTGAGTTTTTATAAAGTAATTTTGTTTTATGAATAGGTTACCAATTCCAAGAGTCACATTTATTTTAATTTTCTTTGGTTATTAAAAAAGTCCATTTTAGAAAAAGAAAAACTGTTAAAGTTGAAAGCCTCTATTTTCTTGGCTAAATTGGAATTTTGTTATTGATTACTTATTCTGATTAGTAAAAGTGGTTTAGTCACAGGCCGGGCATAAATGCTTTTAGACAGTCACTGAATTGAAAGTGTCAACATGAGAGAGGGATCCTTTTCTTGGAAATGGGAGCATGGGATCTTTCTGCTAATACGTGTTTGTTGGCTTAGAATGAAGACTCAGAGCTTTGTTAGGAAAATAAACTTAAATTGGCAACATGGTGAGTGTGAACCTGGAGGGCATTATGCTAAGTGAAATAAATGAGATACAGAAAAACAAACACTGTATGTTCTCACTTATATGTGGAATCTAGAAAAGTTGAACTCACAGAAGCAAAGAATAGAAAGGTGGTTGCCAGAGGCAGGGGACTGGGAGAAGTGGGGAGATTTGGTTAAAGGGTACAAAGTTTCAGTTATAAGATAGATGAATAAGTTCTGTGGATCGAAGGTACAGCATTGTAACTATAGTTCTACAGTATTTTTAATAATACTCTATTGTATACTTGAAATTTGCCAAGGGAATGGATCTTAAATGTTCTTAACCGCACGCATGCATTGTGTGCGAGCACACGCACAGGTGTGAGATGATAGATGTGTTAATTAACTTGATTGTGGTAGTCATTTTATATTGTATATGTATATATAAAGTCATCATGCTGCATACCTAAAACATATGTAATTTTTACTTGTCAGTTACACCCCAGTAAAACTGGGGAAAAATAAAGAACCGGTGGGAAAAAATAATTAAGTGACCCAAATTTTTGTATCATAGTGGATGAAACCCCTTTGCTGTCTCTAAGCTTAAACAAAGATTCATCTTTTCGAATGGTTGCTTATTTTCCATTTCTTTCTTCAACTCATTAAAACTTAATATATTTGTGGGACAGGGTCTTTCTCTGTTACCCAGGCTGGAGTACAGTGGTGCAATCATAGCTCACTGTAGCCTCGACCTCCTGGGCTCAAGTGATCCTCCTGCTTCAGCCTCCCAAACAGCTGGGATTACAGGTGTGTACTACCACACCTGGCTAATTTATTTTTTATCTTTTGTAGAGATGAGGTCTCACTATGATGTCTAGGCTGATTTTGAACTCGTGGGCTCAATCGAGCCTCCTTTCTAGGCCTCCCAAAGTGCTGGGATGACAGGTGTGAGATGCTGCATCCTGAGCCCCTTTTTTTGTTTGTTTTTTGTTTTGGCGATAGAGTCTGTCACACAGGCTGGAGTGCAGTGGCACCATATTTGCTCACTGCTACCTCCGCTTCTGGTGTTCAAGCAATTCTTGTGCTGCCTCCTGAGTAGCTGGGACTATGGATGCATGCCACCATACCTGGTGAATTTTTTGTATTTTTAGTAGAGATGGGGTTTCACCATGTTGGCCAGGCTGGTCTTGAACTCCTGACCTCAGTGTTCTGCATGCCTTGGCTTCCCAAAGTGCTAGGATTACAGGCATGAGCCACCATGCCTGGCCCCATTTGTTAATTTTTAATGTGACCATTAGATCTTCTGTTTTGCTAATTTCTGACGTTGTTTTTCTCCTTTCTAAACACCTCCTTGCTCCATGTTGAATTTTAAGCATATGGACAGTGGCATCATTAGAAAGTTTCCCATCATTCCCTGTCATGCACAGGTGATAGAAGAATGTATTGGTGCTTCAAACTGATTATTACTTTTTACCTCCTTGATGAACTCAATATATTATTAAGAGAGTGGCTCAGTTTCAACCCTGGAGGCATCAAAAAGAACAAGTTCTAAATAACATCCTCCTTTAGAATGCAGCATATTTTAACTGTGTCTCTCCATCTTGCACATCACCACTTCCAAGCTCCATCTCTAACTGTACATATGCTCTCTGTGTGTATGATAATACTGCTTTCCCCGTCCTCTCTTCTCCTCTCTCCTCTCTTTGAATATTTTTTTTTTTGTGAGCCTTAGGAACATGTACACTGGTCCCGTAGAGTGACACAACAAAAGCAGGCTCTTGGTGTAGTCAGGTTTTGTCCTTGTAAATGACATGGTACAAGTGCATGCGGTGGATTAAAATATGTTCACCCTGACAGAAATCTTTTAGTTGAAGTGAAAAAGCCTCCGTCAATTCTGATTGCAACAAAGGTTGCTGCTGCGAGTGAGAGGGACTTGCCAAGACTGCAAGTTTTTCAAGCTCTATTCTGGAGATACGTTTGTTACTTGGTTCTCAGCTTTGACTTGGTTATAATCTTGTCTTGGCTTGTTCTCTTTCCAGAATACACTAGTTTTCATTTTTCTTTGGCCTTTTCTCAAGATTTATGAAAGGGGGTATTTAGCTTTTTGTCTGGCAAATAGCAAAGGCTGTTTGAGTTCCCTAATCAATAATTGTAAAATAACTAGAAATTGATCTATGCCAGCTGTAAACCCATGCATGCATTTATTTTTTCTTTTTCTTTTTCTTTTTTTTTTTTTTTTTTGAGACGGAGTTTTGCTCTGTCGCCCAGGCTGGAGTACAGTGGCACGATCTCGGCTCACTGCAACCTCTGTCTCCAGGGTTCAAGTGATTCTCCCACCTCAACCTCCTGAGTAGCTGGGATTACAGGTGCCTGCCACCATGCCTTGCTAATTTTTGTATTTTCATCGGAGACAGAGTTTCACCATGTTGGCCGGGCTGGTCTTGAACTCCTGACCTCAAATGATGTACCCACCTCAGCCTCCCAAAGTGTTGGGATTATAGGCGTGAGCCACCATGCCCAGCCCCATCCATGCATTTCTATTAATGTCTGCTATCCTTGAGAAACTGTACATAAAACATTTTTGTCCCCACATCACTGAAGATAGGACAGAAGCAAGTGACAGTCAGACAACTGTGTATTAAGGGTATGCTCTTACAGTGCTCACAGTTTGATATATGGCTGTGGGGCTGTTTCTCTAGATTTGTAATACATACTTTGCAGGTGAAAGTTTCTGGAATGTGAGTATAGCCTCATTTGGGAGTTAGAGCTCATTTGGGAGTTAGGTGTAGGTAGAATAACATTGTGATTTGAGGCTACTGCCAGGTTATGCCTTTTCAAAAATAGACTTTTCACTCATTTGGCATGGCCTCCCCTTTCTTCTCTATTTGGCCTGAAATTCTTAATTTCCCTCTCTCTCAAGATAGAATTAAGGGCAAGTGTGCTGGAAGTGTTTAATTTGGCAAGACCACCATTGATAGACACATATGTTGCCCGGGCAAAAAAGATGCTGGTTAATATTTGGATGAGAAGGGTACATGTTTTCTTCCTCTCCCAGTTGTGGTGATACCTGTCAGTTTGTCAGATACTATTTTGCTACCTTGTCACTGTGGAAATTTCATAAGACCTAAGCTTCCAACTGGCCAGGGCACTGTTATTTTGGGAGGACTTACCTGTGCTCACAGATTATAGTAAGACACTTATTCTTAAATAACTTAGAAGTAAGAGAGAAATAGTGGTCTTGGGATAAAGCTTGAAATGTACTGAGTGGCTTCAGAACAAGAATGGCCTGTTGCCGATGGACTATATTAATACATCTAAGGAAAAGATGTGCCAATCTTTATTTTTCAGTCTTTAAAACATGGTTTTAAATAAAAACCAAGTAACAAATGTATCTCCAGAGTATTTAATATCATGAGACATGTTTACAGTGTGCTGTTTAATAGAATAAAAATCATGATACTCTTTAATACCTGTACATCTCCATGGATGGAAACCTTCATAGTAAGATTGTTTTTTCTTTTCCTTTTTTTTCTCATACTTCTATTTTTTTTATTATCACAGCAAGGTGTGAGAATTTTTTTCTTATACTTGAAAAATGCTTTTCTGTGATTGCTAAAGTCTCTGAAATGAGTAAGTATTAATTTACAAAATACATTTCAGCCATTAATTATTATTTAGAAAAGAATACATGTATAGAAAGAAAGAAGAGATTGTAAAAGACCAGCAATGGTTGTGTTCTTCTCCTCTGCCCTGGTGTAACAACTCTGGCCCTTGTAGGTCTCTGCCTTTTGTGGAGATGTTTATAATAAGCCCTCTTAGCCTCATGCCCGTCATACATTCAGGCCGTAAAGCTTATCAAATAGCCATCCTGTTATGATTTAGCTTTCCAGGTACTTGGTCTGCAGAAAGAGTATATCTTAGCAGGAGGTCCCACATATGTGTTCTTTTGGCCAGATTTTATTTTATTTTAAAGCAATAATTTGGCCCATTGGTTGATTCGTAAGTCTGTGTAAATTTCTCAGCCTGTTGACAAACTAGTCTTCCAAATGTGCAATACTAAGTTCATCCAGAGTAATTCTTTACCTTTTGATAGGTGGCCTGAAGTTGTTTCTAGTAATAGCTCCTGTACCACGTGCCAACTGGGCTTTTCATTTTCAAAAGTTTATTGAAGAAAGAAAATTGAGGGCTGGGCACAGTGGCTCACGTCTGTAATCCCAGCACTTTGGGAGGCTGAGGTGGGTGGATCACCTGAGGTCAGAAGCTTGAGACAGCCTGACCAACATGGCGAAACCCCATCTCTACTAAAAATACAAAAATTAGCCAGGTGCGGTGGCGCAGCCTGTAATCCCAGCTACTCGGAGGCTGAGGCAGGAGAATCGCTTGAACTCAGGAAGCAGAGGTTGCAGTGAGCTGAGATCGTGGCACTGCACTGCAGCCTGGGTGACAGAGTGAGACTCTGTCTCAAAAAAAAAGAAAAAAAGAAACTTAAGAAGGGTGTGCCCCAGAGGGTGTGTGCCCCGGGATGCCCAGTGAGGTGAGACCCTCATCAGATTGGAGTGGCGCAGCCATTTCCCAGTTTGGCCCCACCATTGTATTGCTATTTTAGGGCCCTAGCTCCTACTTTCCCTTTTATTGGACCCTTTTCTGGGCACCTTTCGAGTAGATGGGGTCAACTTACCTTGCACAATCACTGTACTTCTTTTTAGACCTTGAAGAAATCTTAGTAATCACCCTATCTAATCTCTACCTTTTCTTCATGAAGAAAGAGGCCCAGGGGTTTTGGGAATAAACCGAAAGAGTCAGAACCAGCCTCCAGGTCTCCAGGTTCCCTGTCTAGGGTATATTTCAGTCTTTGTGGTGGTTTTCAGAGAGGCTCTCAGGATTGCTGAACAGAGAACAAGAAGGCAGGGATCTTTCTGCACATTTGGGCTGGCTTGGGATTAGCAGTTACACTGAGGGTGGGGAAGCTCTCTCCCTCTGCTGGGTAAGCCAGACACACAGAGGGCATTTGGGGTAGATCGCTCTTCAGAAGAGGCATGGAGATGTATATTTGTTTTTGTATTCTCTCCTGTTTTCTGCCTAATATGTTGCAGTTTTCTTAGCAGCCCTTCCCACCATTTACCTAACTCCTCAGCCTAAGTGGCTGGGCAAAGATTAATGTCATAACTTCCTAGATAGTGAAACTGGTGTCTTATGCTGTAATCTCTCTTGAATGATGAGGAAAAGGCCTAGACTATCAGTTATCTTCAAGACGACTGTTACAATGAGTGAGATAGTGAGTAAATATCTGTAGCCTCTGTGTGTTCTTACTTGAAACAAAGAGGCAGAAATATGGTCACTGAATACAGAGAATGATGATCATTGATAGACCTCATTCTGTGATTATAATGACATTATATTGTACTTATGTGGAATTATAATAAAGCTTTTACAATTTATAACTTGACTTGCCTGTCATAACCAATGCCCATTGTTTTAGCAAGAGTGGACTTTTTCTTCTCGCTCTTCTTTATGTCTGTACTGATGTGTGTTTGTGTATGTATTTGACTTACATTTCCATTGATTGAAGAATTATTTGTATAGGGCCTACTATATGCTAGGCATTGTGGTCTATATGCTGGGTATACATCAAAATATATGTATAAAAAATCTTTGCCTTAATAGAGCTTACGTTTCAGTAAGAGGAATTGGTGTACACCATGCTTGATAGATTTTAAGAAATTGGCTTATGTGATTGTTGGGACTGTCAAGTCTGTAATCTTCAGGGCAGGCCAACAGGCTTCAGATTCAGGGAAGCCTTAATGTTGCAGTCTTGTGTCTGAATGCAATCTGGAGGTAGAATTCCCTCTTCCTTAGAGAACCTCAGCCTTTCTCTCTTATGGATTCAACTGACTGGATGAAGCCTGACAAAGATTCTCTTTTTTGAGCAAAACTTTAGTCAGGCTCTGTTAAATCCTTTCTGAATAGACTGATCTTAGGTTTCCCTCTTGTAGAATCCACTTTGAGCAAGAATCCCGCTAAGTCAGTTTTCGGAAAATCCCCCACCCTTGTTATCTGACCACCCTGGATATTATCACCCTGGCATTGGCTTCAGCAATGATCCTATTCAGTCAGCTCCTTATCCTTGATGTTTCCTCTTGATACTTTTCTATTCGCTGATCCCCCACCTTGCTCCTTGGTTATAAATCTCTGCTCTTCCTTGTTAGAATCAGAATTGAGCCAATCTCTTCCCCTCACTCCAAGACCTCATTGCATTAGTTCCTCCACCTATTGCCATGGGCCCTCTTGAATAAAGTCTGCTCTGCCGTCTTAACAAGTATGATGAACAACTTTTTCTTTAACAGGCCCATCCACATTATAAAAGGTAATGTTTTATTCAAAGTCTGAAGATTTAAATGTTAATCACATTAAAAAAAAAAAACAAAAAACCCCAAAAAACAAACAAACAAAAAACCCCAGCTAGACTGGTGTTTGACCAAACATCTGGATATCGTAGTCTAGTTGATGGACATTAAATTAACTGTGAAAGCAATTGCCTCCACTTTCTAGATGAAAAAAACTAACAAGTACTTTTTGCCCTGCATTGCAAATGATGTAGAAAGCTAGGCAATCATGTTCGTAATATGCACACCAATGGCTGTAGAGTGTAGAGGTGTTTGCTTTGTTCACGACCATGGTTGTGGGTCTTTTCTGCATAGGTAGGGAAGAACAATAGTTGATTGAGGAATGTCTTCCAGCCCACCCCGCAACACACACACACACACACACACACACACACACACACACACACCCTCTGAGGGAAAAAGCCTCCTTTCTACCTTGACGTTGTTGGTGATGTGCCCTGCCACACAGTGTGATAGTTTGGGACCCTATGACTTCCCTGGGCTAAGGCCCATTTAGAGAAGGGCCTACGCTGACTCTTCCCCAGTTGCAGTTACCGTTTTTGATGGCTTCCCACTTTGCAATTCCTTGATGTTTTTGCTCAGAGAGGAAACCCATCTCTGCGGTACATGGTATGGCCTCCATTTTTGAGGAATTTTGTGGAGGACAAGGTCATGGAGCTTGAGACACATGCAGTCTGTGATCAGGCTTATGCTTTATCTGAGTAGGACCACAATGAGCCTCCGTCAGGGCAAGCTGTATGGACGTCTAGAGGTACAGGCAGATGGCGAGGGACGTCGAGTGCATACAGAATGGAGATATCTGCTCTACTTGGCCCCTCAGTGGGACTGCTGCTGTCCTGGTGGCTTTTCTGGGCAGGATTTTGTGGAATGTTGGGAATTGTACCATCTGAGGAATTGGGCCTGCTGCTGTGGGCTCCCCTTGTCTCTGAACATTGTAGAGTCCGTCTTTTGTTGAGATGCTGAAGACAGCCCAGGTTGAGGGCTGTGGTGGCCCCATGTTGGCATTGTCACATGCCTTCACCTCTCAACCACTGCTCCAAAATTTGTCTCTGGATGGTTGCCTGAGGATAATCCCTGACCCTGTGTCCACAAAGGACGTGGGTTCTGCCAGCCCTGACAGCTTCTTCCACATTCTCCTAAACTGTCAGGCCAGCAAAATGTCTAGTGTCGTGGCCATGAGCTTCCTCTTGTAACAGAGCCATGTAATCAGACATAGGTGACAAAATGTTGCCATGCCTCGATTCATTCAGTAGAATAGCAGCCCATGGGTTTTGTGCTCCTCTGCACCAGGTGCTGTGTCAGGAGATAGGGACACAAGATGGAGCAGAATCCTTGCTCTCAAGAAGCTTAGAGTGGCTGCCATATACACCAGAGCAAGGCGGACCCCCATGTGCCTTGGAAGCACATGGCAGGCCTGCTGCTGCCCTAACCCTCCTGCCTGTCCCTCTGCCTGGGACATCCTCCCCTGCTTTCTACCACACCTCTCAGCCCTCTTTTAAACTTTGCCTTTCATTTCATCCCATAGCATAAATATCTCATTCTTCAAGAAGCCTTCCTGATTTCCTAACACAGAAATGATCACAATCTTCTCCATATTTCCAAACTCTTTTATGACTCTTTTATGGCTAGGGCAACCCGATAATTTATCATCCAAACTGGGAAAGTGAAAGGAGGCACTGTTAATTATACGGAGACAACACACATAAACTGGGATGCTCCAGGCAAACCAAGACGTATGGTCACCCTACTTATGACCTTTACTCCTGTTTGAGTAAAATACAGTCTGTTCAAGTATGGCCATGTTCAAATGTGAAGTCCGTCCTTGGGGTGGGAGAGGCAGAAGTTATTTATACTTGCATTTCCATACTGGGATTTACATGCAACAGGAGCTCACTAACACTTCCTGAATGGAATTTATGCAGTTCACCATACATGTCCTAAGTTGAGCAGACCTGCTGGGACCTCCAGGATAGCTGGCAGGGAGAAGAGAATCAGTCTGAATAGGCAGAGCTGGGGTCAGGGAGGCTCAGCTGTGGACTGGCTCCTTTGAGTTGTCCAGTAGTCCAGTCTTGGTATAATGGCAATTTGGTCCCATGCTGGGCTGCATTTGGTCAACCTAAGGTCAGATCTGTTCTGTTATGTGAGCATGAAGTCAGGATGTCCCTCAGGGCAGTCTGGAAGGTGGTGGAGCTGTGGTTCCTGAGTAGACATAGGAGCCTCGTTGTGGGGAGAAATAGAGCCTCCCCGAAGGTAGACAGGTGACAGGCTCTGTTTCTCCATGCTGTGGCTGGCACCTTCAGAGTCTTCATTACATCTCAATACCTCCTGCCAATATATTAAATTCACAGCATTGGAGAAGGTTATAATCACTTAGTAAGGCCGCGGAAAGTTACGTGGAGTGAAGGACTCTATAAGGCTCATTTTATAGACTAGCTATCACTGAGGAATTTTCCTTGATGGATGACATTAGTTCATGGACTTTTACATATAAATGAAGGACTTGCCGTTTAAACAGTCCTTTCACTGGCCAGAGTAGGCAGCTATTGGCATAATGAAGTGAGGTATTGAATATAATATTGAGTTTATTACCACATGGTTCTGAAATAAGTAAATAATGGATACATTTATTTCTACTTTATAGATGGCTGTGAGAGACCTCTTTAGAACACTTCAAAGGTCTTTTGAAAAGTGCAGTATTTTACTGCCACCTTCCCTGTTGTCATAATTCTTTAGTGCCTTGAGGCCAACTCCCATTGGAAAGGTGGACACTTAAAATCCTTTTGTAGGTAATGAGCATTTGGTTTTACTGCAGCCAATAATTTGGACTCCAGTGGAAAGCTGTTAGTACAAACTTTTGAGCCTACAATACTATAACACTTTTTATCAGACACGTATGATCAGCTAACTCTATATGGCCTATGTTTATAGTATTTGGTATGAAAGTGAACTGCTCATCTCTCTATTCAAGACTGGCTTGAGTACTTTCCTTTCTTTAGTTAAAATAACTCAGGCTTGATATTAGTTCCTTAGACAAGATTGTTTACTATTTGATTCTTTCATACACTTCTTGTCCTTCACTGGCTCTTATGAAATCTGTAGCCAACTTTTAAAGTTGCGAATTTTGTGCCAACCTCATTTTCTCCATCAATTGTGGATGCAGGTGGAAAAGAAAGAGCTGTGCAGTTCTAGCATCGAGAGGCTCAAGTCTGGCCGGTCATTAAAGTCCCTCTGCCAAACAATTAGAGAGTATAAATGCCCCAGTGGATTCAGACTTACAGGGTGGGACCTAGGCATGTGTATTTTTAAAATACACCATTCTAATGCTTAACCCTCGATGTGAAAAATGGATTAAGGACATGAAAGAGGCAAGATGTCATTCTCCTCTTGCTGCTGGTTGGCAGCCCAGTAGTTGGGTTGGCTTTGGTCTTGCCTAGCAAACCTGCTGGTCAGTGCCAAGGCCTCTGTGCCCATATGCACTTTCAAGCTTCCTCCACATTGTATGACAGTGAAATCTGTATTAAGCATGTATGTAGCAGTCATGCTCTTCATGTTTTTAAGGAAAATATTTCTACTCATCTTTCCTCTTGGGCCTCTCCCTTGATGCCACCTCCTTCCTATTAGGTCTTAGAGAAGAGAGCACTGGCTTTAGAGACAAAAGACATGATTTATGGGCTCTTCAACTAATGAGCTTGTGATGTTTAGCTAGTCACCTCACTTACCTGAGCTTCAGTTTCCTCTCCTCTGAAATCAAGATGGCATTTTCATCATAGCTTTCTTGGTAGGATCAAATGAGGCAATGTATTAATATAAGCAAGCACTTTGTAAAACTGCAAATTCTATATTTCTTAATAAATATATTTTTGATATCCAGTCCTATAGCTTAGCGACAGGGATATGTTCTGGGAAATGCATCATTAGGCAATTTTGTTGTTGTGTCAACATCATATAATGTACTTACACAAACCTAGATGGTATATCCTACTACATACCCTACATACCTAGGCTATATGGTATAACCATGCACAGTCACCGTTCAGTATGCAGTCTGTCACTGACCAAAGTGTAGTTATATGGCTTCGTATATGTGTTTCCCACAGTGGCTGGATCAGTGCACCTCATCCAAATGGTTGATCAACAAATATTCCCAACAGGTTATAGAAAGAAGATTCTCAGAGTAATGATGTGTTTCTATTGCTTCTTTCTAAATACTTCCCTTCTCCTTGCACCCCTCCCTGTAAAGCCAGGGACTCTATTTCTTGATTCATTCCTAGGAAATAGGATTTCTTTTGCCTACAGTTAGTATCTAGTTTTGGAGACCCACTAGTTGATGTGTGGAGTTTCCTCCTTGGCCTTTTCAACAGTTTAATTCTGATCACGTTCTTAAAACAATATTTCACTACTTCTGATTTTCCTAATTATCATGCAGACAAACAGTGGGGGATCATGACATTAGAATTAGTGAGTGGCTTATGATTTTTGCCTCAGAAAGAGAAACTCTTGCTGTTTTTCTCTCCCCTTGAGCAACACAGCAGTAATGAATGAGCAGGTCCGGAGTACTTTATGATAGATGGTTAAGGGTGCTGTGCCTCAGCCAACAGGCCTGTTTCCCTAGCATCTGTCACAATTCAGAGTCATTAGCATACCTTTAATGGTTTCTTTTCAAAATAATTTCTACTAGGGCATTTAGAATGCATCAAGGAAAAATATTGAGTTGTAGAGATGAGGAATTTTAAATGTAGACAAATGGTTTTCATTCCCTTGGATGTAATTTTGATAAAATCAAGAAACCACATAGCAACCTACTATGGAGTATAACATAATTCACAGCATTTAATGTGCTATCTGGGAATTACTTTTTCAGGCTTTCTAAAATAGTTAATGAAAAAAAACCTTCTTTAAAAAATAACAAATTTAATGTAAAAAAATGTTTAAAGTTGCTGTTTGCCAGCACCCTTAACTCCACAACAGTCTTCCTCCTGGTGTGTGTGGATGGCCCGTTGGCTGTCTTACATACTCTGTCTTATGATCAATCAGGGAATCAATGTGATTTGCATCTTATAAGATGACAAATGTTTTGTAAGGTATATGCCATTTTTACTAGTACTGGTAAATATTAGGCTCGTTATTTATTTAGTTGTGAGGGGGAGATCTTCAGAGAAGCAAATTAAGCCACATCTTTTTCCTAAAATGTCAAAGTTGAGTGAGATAAGGTCTCTATTAGATTTTTTATAATGCATTTACTCTATTTTGGACTGGGGGGTACACTGTACATGTTTGTTATGTGGGTATATTGCATGATGCTGAGGTTTAGCATGTAGTCGATCCCGTCACCCAGGTAGTGAATGTAGTACCCAATAGTTAGTTTTTCACTATGACTTATTTCTTTAAAAAAGCCAAATGACCTCTTTACTTTTGAAACATGCAAATCAATGTATACTTTTCTCACAGTTATTTGAATAATAGTTATATTTACTAAGGATGCTCTTTTTTAATATCTACTGATATATTTTTTCATATTTAATGTTTTACAACAGAATTATGAAGAGGGCAGAACACAAAGTATCCCATATTCCTAAACACAACTGAGAACCTCCTGGAGGAAAGCTGATGTGGTCAGGTTTATACAGCTGACCATTGGAAGGGCCAGAGCTTCTAACTTGTGTCTACTTTTTGTGTCTAGACTAGCCATTCTGTGCTACTCTACAATGATCTTTGTAGCCTTACCAATATTATAATTTTCATACTGCACTCCTAACTCCTTTGTGAAGAGGTGGTATTTTTTTCTATATTTTTTTCTTGGTGATTAGGAAGCAAATAATTTGATTTTCACAAGTCTTAAGACATATTTTATTAACTTTAGGGTCTGAATATTGGTTTCTCTTATTTGTTTGAAATACTGACACTATATGAGGGCATTTATTCTTTGCTAGGTGTGTTACTTTTAAAAATTATTGGGTTGTTTAAAATTCAGAATCTGTTCATTGAATTGAAGAAAAGTATTTTTCCATTTCCAGAGTACATCTCGTACATTTTTGCATTCTGGAACAATTACTGTTATGCTACTTAGGCAAATAAACATAGGCTCATTAGAAGATGGAACTTGTGATTTTAAACTTCATTAGTATGTATTTTTGTTCATTTCTCATCCACAGGGTCCAAGAAAGCTCAGTATCTTCTTGTTCCGGGCAGTGGGATTGAGTAGGGGAGCAGGAAATAGGCGTTTGTCCTCTCTCTTTTAAGATGAGTCCTGGGAGGCGTGCTTGTCACTTTCCTTCACATTCTGTTGGTCAGTACTCAGTTGCCCATACATATCCAGCATCAAGGGAAGCTAGGAAATATCTTGTTTTTCCCTAGGATGATATGAGCCATGCAAAAATTCAGAGGCCCTGTTATAGATAGATATATGAAGAGTTAGTATCTGCCACAGTTATATGGTCTTCAAAAATGATATTTGAGCTTTCTGATGCAAAGCCAATTTTCAAAACTATTTAGATATTTAACATTTCTTGACAACTCCTTTGCGATTGTAAATCACATTGACGTTTTGATTATATGTATTCATTTGAAAGCACTAAATACTATTATTTTCCTAGTTATTGTGGTGCTAAAGAGTTGTCAGTAAAATCTAGAATCTTTAAATAAATTTTGAAAAGGGATGACGGACCAAATGGAATTCTAATTACTTGATTTCAACACATTTCTCTTTCATTTGAATCTTTTAAGAGAAAAGTGAAAAGCAACATTATCCTTGAGAATTTCTCTCTCAGCATCTAAGCAGCCGTTTTAATTACAGAAAATGTCTTCAAAATCTGTTTTGCCATTTTAAAGTTTTGGCTGTGAAAAAGTCAATTGTCAGTGTGTAATGGTGGAAAAAATATCTTAAAAAGCCATTGATATAGTATGTTCAGTAGACATGTGTTACTTGAACACTAGTAGTTGATTTTCCATAGAAACTTTTTCCTCTTGAGTTTGGGTATCGTTGTTGGTAATAAACATCCCTGCAGAACTGACTGCGATTTCACATGAATTGTTTAAAAATAAACCAAAATTACACATTATATATTCCCTCTCCCAAAGGAATCTCCTTGGGAAGCTGTTACGTTTTCTACTATAGCTGCCCTTATCGAAGTTTCGATCCTACCCTCCCTTCTCCTTCTCCGTCCCTCACTCTTCCACCATTTTCTTCCCCTCTTTCTTTTCTTTCTGTCTATCAAGAGTTGCATGAAAAAGCACATCTCTTTGACCAGCCTCCAAGGTGATAAATCTTCATCAGCTGAGAATAAATTTGATTTTTGGAAACAGCCAGCAGTCAGAGTCAAGGTCAGTGGGTAATAAAACTATAGTAACATTTTGAGTTAGAGATGGGGAGTGACTGTAAAGTAGTGAGCCCATTTTTCTTGAGTTTTTGGAAGGCAAAGAAGGAAATCCCAAAACAGGAAATCTCAGTTTATTGTGTATATTTGTTAAAAACAAAAGAAAACAAAACAAAAAACTAGTCTTGTTTGATAATGACATTGCAAGTTTTGTATATTATTTATTTATTTTTGTATTTGTGACTTTTTCCCCCCAATGGTTGTGTCTTTCAACTGACTGTGGGATCCTTGTCACACTTTTATTTTATGTTGATAATCCTTTTGGCATTTTAAATGATATCTGTATGTCATATTGAAATACAGTAATTAAAGTGGCACAACATAGGAGGAAATCAAATTTCATTTAATGTTTAATTACATAAATTGACTACCTGATAGATTTTTTTTTAAATTTGGAGTTTAACATTTGAAAATTGGCAGGAAGGTTTTAATGCTTGTTTTAAACATAGTCATCATCTAGATCTGTACTATCAAATGCAATGATATTACTTATTATAACATTATCAAATGTTATATGTAGTGCCATCAATTTATATTGTTTTCAAAGTGTAACTTTTAAAAATAGAGATATTCAGCAGTTATACTAAACATTTGAGTCTTTCAATGTCTGTTAAATGTAAAACTTGATATTTATTAAAAGAGAATTTTAAACTTAGAAAAACAGTGGTTTTCATTTCTGTATTTCCTTTGAATTTGTTTGGTATCTCATTTTTTCAGGCTATAATTTAGAAACTTTTTATTTTACATGCTTACTGGCCATCAGAAGAGTTTTTTTTCTTTACTCCAACTTCATGTGTAAAGTTTTAAAATAAAGTGAAGATGTTAGTGAATTTGTTTTGAAAGGAAGGAAGGAAAAGAAATTAGTACAAAAGCTAAATAGGTATGCTTAGATATTGAGATAAAGTGCCTCCTGTTTCTGGTTATTTCTACTACATGGCTTATTTCATTCAATTTTTGTTTAATAAAATTATGCCTTCAACTATGATAATAATAAATTTAAAGCATTAACAGTAGTGATTAGCTAATTATAAGAAAGTTATTTTATTAAGATATCTAATTGTCTACTTGCTTTAAAAATAACCATTTATTTTCCGTAAAAAGCAGTAATCTTCATTAGATTTTCTAGTATCTGTCTTGTAAATAAGTACTCATTGGTCCACTTTTTGAGAAAGAGGAAAGGTTTATAACTGTTTAGCAGAAAAGTATGGTGGTTTGTGTACATTTTCTGGTAGAAGAGACAACTGTCGAAGCTCAGCAGCTTGGCAAATGTTTTAGGGTGGTATAAAAGTTACTGTGGATTTGAACATTAAGAAACAATAAGAATAAATATAAAATTTAGATATTTCTTCTGATTAAAAACATTATCTAAATACATTGTAATATAATTCGCTCATTTATTCATCCATTCATTTGGTAAACTATCACATATTTCAGGGTATAATCTCAGTAATAAAGATGCAAGTTTGCATAAAAATAGAATCCATCACTGTGGAGCTCAGTCTGATATATACCAGGTTTTACTCCATATTTATAAAATTATAAACCAATATATTTATACTCTAATTAAAAATGGAATATATTTTTATAAAATTAGACTAGGAGACTCATCATTTTTGGATATAAATTTTTGGAGTTAATTCTTAATGACCTGTAACAATAAAAGTTTAATGTTTGCCATTCCCTACTGAGTGGAGCTCCAAATGACATGAAATTCCAGTTTTAACTCAGATCTTGAGCAAACTGAGCAACACCATAGAGGAGCTCTTCTCAGTTATGTTCCTGCCCTAGTAGTTTAAAACTGGCTGATTTTTATTCTATAGTATTTATAGAGTACCTACTATGGACCAGGCACTGCTTGGTGCTTATTTTTATATATCAGGTACATTTCAAAGGTATTAAAATAATTTTGAATTTTTCACTGTTCTCTTTCTCTTTCTCTCTGTCTGTATATAACAGTGAGAAATGTGTGTACATTATATGTATATGTGTGTGTATACACACACACACACACACATATATAAAGGCCAAGTAAATTTTTAGTTAAATTGAATTATTCCTTAATGGTTACGTGAGAATATCTTATCAAGTCTAAATATAGTAATCATCAGTATGATTTTTTATGTTTGATGTAATAAGAATGTGTCTAATTTTATGCATTTTATAATTATTGAATGTATCTTTGGACAGTGTGCATACAGATAGTTCTGGTTATCATTTTCAATAAAAATGTTTATCTGAACTTTTGTAACTCTGCCCTCTGAAGATTATGCTTCATAGAATTTCTCATGTTCATGAGCATAATTGCTAACTGGTGTTTATGTAGATTGCATTGAACAATCTTTAGGAAGAAAAAAGCACATTATACCATTTTCTTTTCAAATTTAATTGAGAAAATCTTGTGAGCACCTCCTGTGTGCCTAGTGTCAATGCCTACATTTTAGTTGAGCTTCAAGATTTATCTAAGTATCTTAGTTTTTCTTTTTATAAGTTCTTTTAAAACTTTTATTAAAGCAAGATGAGTGTTATTAAATGGGTTGCACAAATGACCACTAACTCGTAGTAATGTTACCTTATCAGCTTACTCTCATATGTGTTTTCTTCAGACCCCTCTTTTGGTCTTTTCCATTCTCATGCTTCCTACCTATCACTTGTAAAGAAGTTTGAGGTCATTTAATCACATCTAAACCATTTTAACTTTTAATAGACAATAGGAATTCATTTTGGTGCTTGGCAACCCCATTGATATGTACTTGTGTGAATATGTTTATACATATATGTACAATATTAAAGAAATCTCATCCATTCTTTTATATTTATTTACCACAAAAATAAAGTTCTGGAATACCATGCCTTACTTGAAAAGCATTATTTCTGAGTATTTTCACATTTATTTAATTAATTGTTTTAATGTTAGGTAGTGCTGGCTTAAGGGGAACCTTTTTGAAAGCTGAATTTTTAAAACAATGAAAACCCAAGAAGTCTTCATGATTTTTAATGGCAATTTTAAAAAAGCACTCTCATTAATGTCAGGAACAGATTAAAATATGCATTCTTTATATTTTTCAGGAAGTACTAACCAATGCCGTTAGACAAGAGAAAAAAGTAGAAGGGAAAACATGGAAAGGAGGAAGTAAAATTTCCATTATTTTTAGATTGTATACCTGCAAAATGAAGAAAGCCAGCTGACAAACTTTTATAAGCTGAGAGAATTCAGTTAGGTAACTGCCTATAAAGTCAATAAAGAAGTTCTTTATGTACTCATAAGTAACGAGAACAAAGAAAGTTTAGAGTAGGCTTTCATTTTGGAATAATAATTTTGTAACATATTGACAGTTATATTAAAACAAATGCAAATGTTTATTATACAAAATGTTTATTATACAAAAATTTGCACCAGTAGATTTGAAAACGTAAAACATCCATAATCCTACCACTCCTGATGACTAGTGTTAATACTTGCTGTTTGATTCCTGTTTTTACCATGCATATATACTTCTGGGGAGTGTATGGATAGGATGGAGGAGGTACAAATTTCGGCTCATATTTTACTACTATTTATACATTTTTTTTTACAACAATGTAATTATTTTATTACAACAATATTTTTTACAGCAATAAAAATGTAATATTTCTATTATAGCAATGTATTGTGACTATTTTTTTCATATTACTAATATTCCAGCTATTCTTTTAATGTATATTTTGGATATTTGACCATTTTTCCATTTTTGGATATTTGTGGTGTTTTCTTTTTTTTTTTTCTTTATCCTTTTTTACTATTCCCGACAATGCTAAGAAGAATGTCTTCTTGGCTAAATCTTAGCCAATCTGCACTCCTGCTCTCTCAGATCACTCAGCCCTGCTAGAGTCTTGATAGAGGAGCAGTTGGAGAATCAAGGGAGATGATGATATTAAAACCAACAGTACTGTGTTCCTAATTTTTGGGTTGCCAGCAGTTGTAAGGCACCCTGTGTCACCAAGAAGTCAGCAATTGATTGGTTAAAGGGGAGGATTTGAGAATTGTACATTGATTGCTAAGGAGCAATTAATGACTTGATATTGATGACTTATTTTCTGTTTTTGATAAATTTCTAAAAGCAAATTTGCTGTTTAAAGAGTATATTTTAATGTTTTCTTTCTGTACATGCATGCTAGTAGGAGCTCATGCCCACACAGAGAAAACTTTCTCTCTTGAAAGTTTCTATCAGTTTATATTCCTACCAGCAATATGTGGTGGGAATTACTTGCCTACTTATTAGCATTGGGTGTTACAAGTTCTGTTGTTATTTATCAGTTTGAAAGTGAGGAAGATTTCACTTTTATCTGTGGTTCTTAGATGAAGAGACAGATAGTGAAATAGAGAGACATCGCCAGACATATGTGGCTAACCTGAATTGCTCATTCATAACTTTCCTTTTCAGTAATGTCTTAACATATTTTTTATAAGACCCCCTCATTGTTTGCATATATAAGTTTTACTTTTAGATAGTCAAATCTGTCAGTCTTTTCCTTTTATAGTAACTATATGCTTAGAGTGGTTTGTCTCCCTTTAAAATTTATTTAAGTCATCACTGCTTTATTTGTACTTTTGTTTTCAATTTTTTTACTAATGAAATTTTAATTCAGTCTTGTGTTTATTTTGGCATGTGGTATCTCACCAGCTTTTTCTAAACAGTTTTGCCAGTAGTAGCTTTTTGAATAAGTAATTTATCTATTCTCTTTAGAGTTGTCTTGGCTATTTTATATTAAGTTCTCATGTAGAATTAAGGCTGTTTCTGGTCTTTGAATTCTGTCCAATTGGTATATTTACCAATTCTTGAACCAGCACAACATTATTATTTATTGTATATTTACACTCAAAAAATATTTGTCAAGGCAATTCCCCAGTCATGACTATTAATTTTCAACATTTCTTTGCTAGTATGATTTATCTGTTCTTGAAAACGAACATTAGTCTCTTTTCATTAAGCATTTTAAATACTCAAGTCTCTTTGTTGTTCTTTGTGCATTTAGATACCTTTATGCAGTATCTGGAATGTATGTATAAATTGAAATTTTTGTGCTTCTAATATTTAGATATAGTAGGTAGTTTATTCATGAAAAGGTCTATTTCTTAGAGTATGCTTAAGTTAAGACAAAAAATAGGATCTTTTCATGCTTATTTTTTATCCTTTATTTTTTCTTCTCATTGTTGG
Organism: Homo sapiens; assembly: GCF_000001405.40. NCBI lineage: Eukaryota > Metazoa > Chordata > Mammalia > Primates > Hominidae > Homo > Homo sapiens. The sequence goes on along the minus strand of NC_000007.14, from coordinate 132,942,991 downwards.
CTTGGGTTCCTTTCTCTCTGTTTGCAACCAGACCCTTTATTACTTGTGCATGGTTGGACATGCTGTAAGCAATAGAGACCTCCTGCAGCAAACCAGATACCTAGTGGTAGGCTGCACATGGGATGTAGCTTTTCTTATTAACAAACCACGTTAGTTTATTCACCTTTGAACTTATTGTAGCCAACTCTTCTTCATTTCATTATGAACAAAGAGAATTACTTGTGTGCTTTTTCAGAGGACATTTGTGTTATATGTTTTTCTCCATTCATGTTTTATAGATGTTGTCACAGAGCATCTTCATGTCTGTAATACCAGTCTAGATCCCATCATATTATTTTTAGCTCTTCAATGTATTTCTTATGGATATCTTCTTTTAATATAAAAACACAGGAGAAACAGAAAATTCTTCCAATGTATAAAGCCGCAGGATTCAATAATGTAAAATTACAGTGGGTTCTGTTAGAATCTTCAGAGAATTGCAATTATTAACACTGAGTAATTTTCTTCTTTCTTAACTTGTAGTTGTTAGAGAACAATTTAGAAAATTGATGCTTCTGTCAAAAGTCTGGATGGGTAGGATACATGCTCAGTGTGGATATGACAACATTAAGAACTCCACAACTTTTACTAACTATGAAAAAAAGAATATATTTTATACTCCATTAAACTGTTACACATCATCAATAATTACATCAACCCGTGTTCTTGTCTGTATCAAGGGTGATAAACTAGTCACTGTAGAGAGTTTTTCTAGTGACTGTAACAGTATTCCCCTTTCCTCCTGCCCGTGTGACTTTCTGCCCCTTCCCTCTCTCCACCGCTCTTTCTTATTAGAAGTGTGTTGTCTCCTGAATGTTTCCAGCCAATGAATATAGGCCTAGAATTGTATAGGGACCCAGCAGGGATAGTTCAGGAAGTCACGTGACTTAGAGTGATTTGCTTTCTAGCTCTACTGCTTTCTGAATATATTCCTTTGGGCACAGTCCAGTCTTTGTATCTCAGTTTTCTCATCTTTCAAATGAGCATAGGTACTTACTTCAGAGAACTGTTTTGAGAGTTTGAAGAGATATGTGAAAGTGCTTTGAAACTGTGATGATTATGTTAAATTCCTATTGCTATGGTTATTTTTGACAATGTTAATCAGGACTGGCAGACCCACAGACAGATTCCACAGGTGGACTTGGGAACCCAAGAGCTGTTGTTGTTGATCTCCCATCCCGTCCTGTGCTTTTCAGAAATGGCTCCGTGCCTCCCTGACTGCACTCCTGCCCCATCAGATCACTCAGCCATCCCAGGCTCTTAGCAGAGGAGCAGTTGGAGAAGCAGGGGAGATGATGGTATTAAAACCCAACGGTATTGTGTTCCTCATTTTTGGTGTTGCCAGTAATATAAGGAACCCAGTATAACCAGGAAGTGGTAAACGTGGAGGGTTTGAGAATTAAACATTGACTGCAAAGGAGGATAAAAATATCAGAAATAAGGTGGTGGTGTTTGAAGTGTCAGAATGGCATGGCTGTTATGGTGGGTGGCTGATGGTCTTAGTGGGGGTATTTTGAAGAGGACAAGGAAAGCCATTGTTGTGAGCTGAAGTGTGGGTCCGTTGAGAAGTAGGGAGCACCTCAGTGTCATGTAGCTGAGGATGGCCTGAGGATTATAGCATCCATGTGGGGCCTAGGCAGTAACTGCACCCTTGCAGGGAACTACCCTGTCATGAAGCTGTAAGATATCAAGTGCCTTGTTTTAAGTATTATCTTCAAGGATAACTATGAATCCAAGAACTGTTATCATCAATATTTAGCTATTTCTTAACATTGGATATAGTCTCAAATTTGAGGAGAGAAATGCAAAGAACTGTTGCCTCACCATAACCTTTTTGTTACAATTGAACACATAGATCATAATGCTTTAGTGGGTAGAATTGTGTAAGAATGAATAAAATCAGGCACATATAAGATCGGAAAGCATCAGTTTTACAGTATTTTGAGAGGAAACTGGCCACTGAGAAAGTGGCTTCTTGGGTTATATTGGAATTTGGATCTTGGATGCAGAGTCCAAGATCTAAGATTTCCCCTGGACTCTTCTACTAAAAATGAAAACTGACAGGGCGGGTGGAACAATACCTTAACTCATCCACTCCTGCATGGTAATAAAACTTGTTCAGTAAAGCCATGTACTTTCCACCTGATGCCCCATGCCTAGCTTTATTGACACCTGTCAAGGATGTCTTTCTTAACAAGCTCACTTATTTCCACCCAAGTCAATGGAATAAACTCTTAGACTGAAGTGAATAATGGAGGCTTGTGATTGTTAGAAGCCATCACAGCAGTAGTGGAAAAAATGACTGCTGAAAGCCAGACGTTGAAGGAAGAGAGAAAATATAAAAAGTAGAAACTATATTAAAGTGCTTCAGTGGTGAATATTCCTAAGGACGGCCATGGTTTATTCCTACAACAAAACCAAACCCCTGAACCGCTCCACCACTTTCAATCCAATTGCCTGTAAGGATGCAGGGAATGAAATACTCTGAGGAAAGATTTCCCTTACAGATGGCCACAAAATTTAATCAGGGATTCACAGTGTATCAAGGGATAGGCCTTGGTTATATAGAAAATGCACTTAAATGGAACACCTTATTTCCCAGGGATGCCAGATAATTGAGTTATACCTAAAATCTTGAACTGTCTGACTAGCACACATGCATACACATCTAGCTTCTGTGTGCTGAGAGGTGTTAAATGGTTTGGAAACTGTAATTAAGTAGCTGAAATTGTGCTGCAGAACCACTATAAGCATTGCCTCATGTAGTATTTCAACCTTAAGTGCTAAAATTTCATCTGAGTAGCTGTGACTAATCTAGTCTTTATTTGTAACACATTCAAATTAGGAGGTGTATGTTCTTGTCCATGTACTTTCTCATTAGCACTAATATTGCTAATGGGAGTGACAAATGTATTATGTTTTTTCCTTCGATCACTCACGCCTTTTAGATAACTAGCTTTTTAGAGGAGGTAATTTTCCTTGTGATACATTTATGGAGCTCTGTGTTTAACAGATTTACTCAAAAGAATATGTCCGTAGGGACTGTTTATTAGTTGATAGGCTCCGGGGAAAACAAGTTTGGATTAATCAGTTTGAATCACAGAAGAAATTGTGATGGCAGTTAGTGTAAATGGGAATAGCACATACTCATTTGTTCCTAAATGTCTTTCCAGCATTTTCCGCCTAGTTTATTTGAACTTGGAAGGTTCTTTCCTAGGCTGTTTACTTTGACACTTGAACACACCCTCTTCATTCTTCCTTTCCAAATTTTCGTTTGTTCAAAGGACTCCTTAATGTTTAGAGAGTCACTGAACAGTGTTTGGTACAGTCATAAATAACAAAGAAGATACATTCTGAAAAATGCATCATTGTGTGAATACTAGAGAGTGTACTTACACAACCCTAGGTGGCATCGGCTACTACACACCTAGGCTAAATAGTATAGCCTGTTGCTCCTAGGCTACAAACCTGTGTAGCAGATTCCTGTACTTAATACAATTATAACACAATGGTAACTCTTTGTGTATCTAAACATATTTATAAAGGTACAGTAAAAATATAGCATAAAAGATAAAAATGGTATACTTGTATAGGGCTCTTACCATGAATGGAGCTTGCAGGACTGGAGGTTGCTCTGGGCAAGTCAGTGAGTGATGAGTAAACATGAAGGCCTAGGACATTGTTGTATACTATTACTATAGAATTTGTAAACATTGTATACTTAAGTTATGCTAAATTAAGCTTATTTTAAATATTATGCTACAGTGCTGCAACAGCTATGAGTTACTGTGTGATAGGAAATGTTCAACTCCATTGTAATCTGGGACCACTGTCACACATGTGCTCCATCGTTGACCGAGACCAGTTTTATATGGAGTAACTATATTTAAAAGTGTAAAGCCATCTTCTTCTTTTAAAGAATACTGATTTCATTAAGGGCCAGTACATTCGGTTATTGTTTTCCCTCCACCTTCTTAGCAGGTACTGTTTCCTTGTAAGAGATCAAGAATGACACTCACCAGGGATAGACTACCTGCTGCTACCAAGTGTCCCCTGCTCCCAAACATGCACTCAACTTCACACCCAGTGGGGTCAGTGGGTTGTGTAGACCTCGCAGCCGCATCTCCTCTTGGAGCACTCTTCTCCTCATCTCCCCAGGGCTCAGAGATCTAAACGTCCTGGGAACCTTCTCCTTTCCTGTTTGCTTGTTGCCGGTGTCGGGGACACACTGCAGGTTTAAAGTGTGAGCCCAGTGGAGGAGAGCTGTCAGTTTGGACTGTGGCTTATGGGGATAGCTTTCTTGCATTCCAATTTCCATTCGATAGGCACTTTTCCTTAGACAATATTATAAGGAGTAGTTAGTTTACCTGGGTGATGTACTTTAGCTGTGTATTGAATTAAATAAGAACTTGCCTAGGCTGCCTGTGTTGATTTCCAAAATTAAATTTCAAGTGACTCTGGAACCACCCATTTCCAAGTTGTGTACTGTTTCAGTCTTTTCTTGGTGAGTTACTTAAGGTTTTTACCCCAGCTTTTGGGAATAGATGTATTACGTGTTCATTTGGGTGCAGAGGAAAGAATATTGACTTTGGAATCAAGAAACTAGACTACGAATCCTTATTCTCATTTGCCTTACTTTGAGCAAGTCATTTAACCTCAATGAGCCTTAGTATTTCCATCTGTTAAATAGGGTATGATTCATAGCTACAATATGTACCACACAACATGATTTTGAGCATTATATGGTATAATGTAGATGAAAGTGCCTTGTAAGTTGTTAGGAAGGGATGTAAATGAAAGATACAACTATGTAATATTTAATAATTAGAACAATAGCTGTGTTTGGCAGGTCTCTAAAATATCATAAATTTTCATAAGTTGTTGAAGGCATTTGCTGGGGTTTTAAAATTCCTGCCATTTTATAGAAACACTTCATGTATTATTTTTAAGTAATACAGGTTTTTAATGAATTAATTTTCTTAATGGCTGTATGTTTGTAAGTAAAACACCTTACAGTAATAAGGTACTTTGAAAAGGAAATGTCTTTTAACAAATGAAAGATCAGTTCAGTCTCTTTATGTAGCACAGGCTGAAATACCAGCCATCATATTAAATCTTAATCAGTAACAAAGTTTCACTAATTACAAGAGCTGGTTTATATATTGGGTAAATTGCTGTTTGTAAACGTTGGATTATATTAACTAACACTGCTAATTGCCAGCCACAGCCTAAGTGTAAGATTTTCTGAAAGCTTCCATTAGTAGCTTGAAGTAGGCACTGCTGCCTAATATTTCAGTCAGTGAGGAAAGGCAGGTAATGACATTATGAATACAATTATAATGCAGGCCAATTTCTTCTAAAATGCATGGAAGTATTATTACTTTACCAGGAGTCTTTGAAATATGATTTATTTAATGCATTCCAGCCCCCATAATATTAAGATATAATTGAGATGTGAAGTTTAAAAAATTGTATGCAGTCAGTATGGTACATGAATCATAGACTAAATTGCTTATAATTTTAAAGGCACTTAGGGGAATTGTGAAATTTATATAATGCATTCTTATGTTTGGAAAAGGTTATAAGAACAATAGTCCAGTTATTTTAGTATTTCAGTCCCAAAAATAGGATTTTTTGAGTTGCTATTAAACCTAAGATAGCTGTATACATGAGCAAATCCAAATCTTTCTATGTCCAGTTCTCATTCACTACTTTTTGTGAGTTTTTTCTTTAAACCTCTCATATTTATCAAAGCTGTTGAGTGGTATATAATTTCTATAAAGGCCATAATCTAGTTTTTATAAACTGTACAACTGAATGAATGACAGCAACATAAATGTTGCCAGCATGTTTAAGAAGGGAATCAGTTAAATGGTACTTGGAATTTTGATGATTATTGCTTTGAAAAGACTGAAAATCACAGGTCTTGGCTTTATAGTTTAATTACTTGCTTAACAATTGCTAGTGATTCACTAAATCACAAGGCTTCCAAACAAATAACATCAGTAACTCTGCTATGCCTGAGCAACTCCAATTTTCTTGACAATGGCTACCAAACTGTGTTTAGCCTAATATAAACTGTTAGTTTAACTGCAAGCAATGGGGGCTTCAAGCATGCTATTGATGAGATGCCAGCAAATTGAGCCCTTTGCCACTGGTGACACTTGTGTCAAGAATAACTTTAGCACGTTTTATCAAGACCAGTTGGAGAAGCAAATATAGTAATTATCCACATCCTTTTTGGATATTAGGTTTAATAATAATGAGTGCTGTCCAGCTTTCCAGAGTTTCTAATTAATAATTGGTTCTTAAGAACACAGCATGTGGTTTCTCACAGTTTGAATAAGATTGGGAAATAGGGCAAGCTTAAGGTCCTGCATACTTTTATGGGCCTGATAGAAAAGGCAGTTTAAAAGAAGAGCAAGTTGTAGGAAGACATTCAGGTGTGCTGGTGTGAAAATTTAATTTGTGCCTTTATTGACCTCTGCTCCCTGACCTTGCTGTGTCTTAACTTTGTGGCATTTCCATGAGTACACTGCTCTTCCTTCTTGCCCTTTTGCAACCGCAAGCTTTTGATTTCAAATGGACTCTTCCAGAATTAGATGAATTTCTCAGTTTTTACTTTGGTAGCAGCTACAGTCTTTTGCTCACTTGAAAATGATCTTATCCCCTGTTCTTTAGTACTTTATCATTGAAATAATGGAAAATAAGCATGTTAGACCTGCATTTAAGAGGGGACAATAATGCCTGTCATTTATCGGGTGCTTACTCATGCCGGGCACTATACTAACTCCACGTACGTTCTTAAATTGTTAAAGCATGAGGTGGTTGTATTCTTGTGCCTATGCAATGGTTAGAATGTCCCTTCTAAAACTCACATCAAAATTTAATTGCCATTGTGAGAGTGGGCCTCTCAGTGCACTCGTGAATGGATTACTGCTGTTATCTCAGGTGTAGGCAGTTGTCCAGGCAATGGTCTCCTGATGAAAGGATAAGTTTGGCCCCCATCCTCTCTCTGTTTTGTGTGCTCACTTGCTCTTCTGCCTTCTGCCAAAGGATAATGCAGCAAGAAACTCCTCACCAAATGCCAAGCAGATGCTGGCGCCATGCCCTTGGACTTTGCAACCTCCAGAACCATGAGCTAAACAAACTTCTTTTCTTTACAAATTACCCAGTCTTTGGTATTCTGTTACAGCAGCAGAAATTGACTAAACACCCTATGATAGAAAGGAAGCTTAGAAAAGTGAAGTGATTTGTCTAGAGTCACCAGTCAGTTTGGCTCCAGACTCATGCTCTGGGCTACTATGCCAAACCATCTCTTTAGTATAAATGTGTTTTCTTAGTATAATTGTGAACATTACCAGTTCAGATATAGGCACTATATGAAATATGACCCTTCTTGGTATAGATGGATATTTACAAAAATTTTAAAATTACAACCTGCAAGAATATATTTTACATCCTGACCCAGAGTACACACAGATTTTAATTCATACATAGGAAGTACTACTACTTGTGATTTATTGTTTTCTGCCTTCTTAAAGTTTCTATTTTATTGTATTTTCATATTAAAAATGCTAGTGTGATATGCTAAAATGATATAATAGTCCAATAGTAGGTAGCAACCTCCAGTCTGAAAAATCACTGAGAGTCAGTGCTGGCCTTGTAGGGTTCATGTGGCTGAGCGAAATCTGTGTTCCACTAGTTTTACTTTTGCTCATGTGCTGCCTCAGGTACTTGTACTTCTAATTTTGTTAGTTTTCTAATTTTGTGAGGCCTTGAATAGTTTTGCCAGTAGGCATTTGTGAGTGATTGGATTCTGAGGCAGGATTAATAATTTTCCTGAGGCTGTCTCTTGCCATTTCATCGTGGTCCTTTGGGGGTCCAGTGGAGTTTGGATTACACGAGTATACTCAGAACTTGTCTTTCCAGAGGCTTCCTCCCTTTTTTTATAAAGCTCTTTTATTCCAGGCATGTTCATTATGGCAACTGAAGGAAACTGAAGTACAAAAATATTATTTCTCCACTTGTATCTTTTCCATATTGTGCGGGAGATAGTATAAGAAATGTGTTATAAATAGAAATTGAGAAGATGCAGAATAGTCTCATCTTTATCATCTTGTACCCCTTGTCAGACCTACCAAAGTACTGGCTAAAAGGCTAGACTAAGGTTATTGCCCCATGTGTCTTTGCCTAGAATGAACTAGCAGTGTAGGAGCGGCATCACCTAGCGCTCTTTTGAAATAAGGTGTCCATGTCATCTCATTCAGTCCTTTTTGAGGAAGCAAACATTTGTTGAGTATCTACTCCATGATGGCCCTGTTTCAGGCTCTAGAGTTATAATGGGGAATGTGATACACAGGCCGCTGCTCTCTTGGAGTGTGTATTCTAGTGGGAAAGACGGTCATTAAATACGAAAGCAACTAGGTATATAACTATATATTTGGTTTCAGAATCAGGTAAGCATATGAAGAACAGCGATGTGGGGTCAGATGATAGAGAACTGTGGACTGCAGCATTTCCCTGCTTATCTGTGTCCCACCCCATGGATTGTGAATTTCTCTAGGATATAGAAATCCTCCAGAGATCCTCAATGTGTGAGCCCAGGACCACGATAGGATTTTCATTTGTGAAAGGCCTGTAACTCAGTGAGAGGATGTTTCAAGGAATAGAACCAAATGCGGTGTGTAGAGCAGTAGCATTGGCATCACCTGGAAACTTATCACAAGTGGGACTTTCCAGCCCATCTTGGACCTACTGAAGCAGAATCTGCAATTTAACAAGATCCCCAGGTGAATCCTTAGGCAAATCAGAAGTTTGAGAAGTTTGAGTAGTGGTTCTCAGCCTTGGCTGCTGTAGAGAAGGAGAGTTAGGTCCAGTAAGTCCCTCCCAGTGAAATGCTATTCAGCTAAACCTTTAATCTGCCAGGGTGGAAATCATCAGGTGCCCCAGCTTTATTCACTTCTGCAATACCCATTAAGTTTAGGCTGAAGGCAAGGCAACTTCTTCTGTACCTTTGACATCCACCCACAACCCAGATAGGCTACCTGAAACAAGTCCTTCACCCATTATTATTAAGAAATCCCACTGGCACACTCTGGTCCTGTATGTGTGTCCCCAGGACCTGGCACATTGTCTCTTCTTCTGCTCAGACATGAGAGCCCTTTTGCCAGTGGGCCCCTTTGCCCAGGGATTCTTTTCACCTTTCCTGTGCCTGAGTGAGTAATAAAGTTTTCTGTTATGTACTATCATTGGATCAGATGACATCTAGTTTTTTAATGGTGTTTTTTGTTAATCGAGTACATTTATGAGATTGGGGGTACCCAAGTTTGGGCTAAGTCAGACTATGGATCATCTTTAACAGAAATCTTGGTTCTCAGACATCACTCCCAACCAGTGAAATCAGCATCTCTGCAAATTGGGACCTAGTATTTTTCAAAACTCTCCAGTGATTCCAAAGGGCAGCTGAGATTCTAGAGGGAAAATCTATTTTATGTTGTTAGGGCCATAGAACATTTTAGAAGAGCCTTATGATAAAGTCTGGCTGATGTTTTGCACATAGTCATTGAAATACATACTTCTCGTGATGTGTATGGCATGCTGAGCACACCATCAGAAATCACGTGGCCCCTTCTTATAAAACTATGGCAGAACTGAGAGCAGCAGAGCAGAGTAACCAGAGTTAAATTTGAGTCACCATAATGAGATTACCATTAGATTCTGTGGAAAATGTGTTGCAACAAATATGACTCAGTTGATAAGTGCAAATTGCATTTTGCCCTTGATGCAAAATAACTGTTCTGTTTAACGTTCAGGATGTTTTTGCCTGTTGTTTTCATCTAACTCAGAACGGAGTCTGCTTAACAAATGTATGAAACTGGTCAAGACCTCGGTTTTCCATCTGAATCTGAAGGTGACCCTTGTTTAAAACTTCATACTCTGGGCGGTCTTTTTGTGTCAGCCTTGCTTTTTGCCATTTTCTTTTTCAGATGACACAAAACAGACAAGATCAGCTGGGAGCCCTTCAAAGCCAGCTCTAAATGGAATTAAAAGAAGGTATTCTGAGGCAGGAAATAGTTGTTAGATGAAGGGCCTCATGGGGAATGATTTTGAGGTCCTTAGATTTTATGAAGTTGGATAAGTCAGGGCTCTGAGTCATGGTTTAGAAGAGGAGCTCAGGTGGAAAAATTGAAAGGAGGTCTCCTCAATTTTGTAGGATGTAAAAATGAGAAAATTTAGCAAAAAAGGTTTATGTGCTAATAATGAGCCTGATTTGAAATATTGGCCTTCCAGCACTTTGATATGTGTCTATCAGTGGTCTGCCTTTGACGTGAAGGCCCTGTGTGCGGCAGCTTAACTTGTGAATCCTCACTAAAGGGGAACAGTGGGAGACGGCAGCCTCAGAGTGCATGAATGGCAGTGATTGGCTGGCAAGTTGCGTAGGCCAATAAGCAGTGCCTTCCAGGGTAAAGACCTAGGGAAGCGCCTTGTTTTTGCTTTGTCTTAGTGTCTGCATGTGTTTGACAAGTGAACAATAAAATGTGCTGTTTGATTCCACACTGTCTTGATTCTTTTCTGTGTCCCTCCTGCAATCTTTCTTTTTCATGTCACATTACATGAGGCTCTTTTCACCTCTCTCTCCTGACCCTGAGTTCTAGTGTTCATTGCTCTCTCTCACCCAGGATGTGCTCTAATTGGCAAAACTATAACCTGGTAGCAGCAGTTCACTATTTTAGTTTCCTAATTGGTGTCAGGGGCTGCTGGCAGAGCCCGGCCATGTTGGATTGATTGATAGATCAGCTGCTGTGAGTGTCAGGCTTCCATCTGACCAACAGGTTTATTGCTTTTGAAACTTAAAAATTAATATGGTAAATATATCCTGCAGTGTCCATAGTGGGTCTGAAAAAAAATAAACTATTCATCATTCAGGAGCACTTCCAATGTTACCTGAAGGTCCCTTGGGTTTGCAACTCAAAATTTTGTTCTATTTCTGACTCACAGCTGGCTGTTTTCTTGCTTTCATGATGCAGTGTAAAGCTGCATTATATTTCCCACTGCCTGCTGCACAGTGGGTTTCTTCTTTTCAGAAGTAATGCAGACAGGGTGTTAAATGTGTGTGTCGGGGTAGGGGGAGGGGAGGCAGCATCGAACCCATTCTTCCTACAGAACTTAAAATTTACAAGCTCATTTACACTGGTCAGTCAGAGTGTAGATAGTTAATGTTGAATCAGAAAAATGATATAAATTCTTTTTCAAGAGGTATTTCATTTAATTGACATTGATATTGAAGATGTAACTTAGCATTTAGGCATCTGAGTAATCATCATCGAATATAATGATTAGTTTACCCACATTAATGCCTAAAATTATACGGAAGGCTAAAAAGTACTGCATTTTAAAATCTAGTTTTAATACTTTGATTAGCGCTTTATGTTCTAGTATAAGAAAAACAATACAGTGACCTTAACGAGATCAGCTGTTACCAGTGAGCAAACCACTTTCATGTTTTTGTTGCTTCTAGTTCCTGTAGAAAAGTACTTCATCATTTATAGCAATTTTTCTTTTGTAGAAAGATAAGTTTGGGTCAATCTTCAACAAACATTGTGCAAAATGTCTTGATAACAATACTGTCTTATATTTGTTTGCATTGTACTGGTTTTCCAAATAACTTTTATGTATGTTATCTCATGTGGTCCTTAGAAAAATCCAAAGTTAATAATTATTATTTAACATTTATTGATGAGGGGAATGCGAATCAAAAAGTTCAGTAACTGGATGGAAATCACTGCTGCAACATACGTGAGTAGATCGTGACTTGATCCCTACTTGTCACTCTTGTTACTCCACTTCTGGAGTTTTTCCACAAGAGTGTGCTGCCCTCTATGTGGTGAGTGCTGTATTAGTGCTTCCGGGGTTACAAAGCAACCTCAAAACTTGAACTCTCTTGGGTCTTAAATTCTAGTTAGAAGACTGATACCTGCATATAGATAGAAGCACAAAGTGCAAAAGGGCTGAGTAATTCAGGCCCTGGAGATGGGACTGGGCCATAGGGGTGAATGAGGAGAAAACCTGGTACAATTTCTTAGAAGAGTAAGTGTCAGAGCTGCAAGGGGCATAGGGATTTGAAATGTGTCTGGCATCCATCTTGAGAGAAAAGCTGGATCGAAAAGGTATAGCGATGGGAGAACATGGGTTCTACTTTAGGATGTTGAGTAACTTAATGTTGCAAGAACTTAGGGTGCTGGGGTGAGGGAGGGCTGATAACAGGACAGGTGTGGAGGGTAGAGAACAGCCAAACTGCCTCTGGTGGAATTGTTGCTGGGCAAAAGGATAGCGGGGAAGAAAGGGCGAAATATGTTAGAAATGTGGTATAGCCTTCCAAACAAGTGGAAACACTCTGCATTCGAGGATTGTTCATGGGAATTCAAATGATGAGATTATATGTGGGAGACATTGCTGAGGTTGGAATGAAATTAAGAGTGGGGGCCAGGTGCAGTGGCTCACGCCTGTAATCCCAGCACTTTGGGAGGCTGAGGCGGGCAGATTGCCTGAGGTCAGGAGTTTGAGACCAGTCTGGCCAACATGGTGAGACCCACTCTCTACCAAAAATACAAAAAAATTAGCCGGGCATGGTGGCATGCCCCTGTAATCCCAGCTACTCGGGAGGCTGAGGCAGGGGAATTGCTTGAACCAGGGAGGTGGAGGTTGCAGTGAGCGGAGATTGCACCACTGCACTCCAGCCTGGGTAACAGAACGAGACTCCTGTCTCAAAAAAAAAAAAAAAAAAAATTAGGAGTGGGAGGTTAAGAAGGAGGAAGTGAGTTAGGCAACACCATAAAGCTTACTCCGGCTTGAAGACTGATAAGAATCACATTTCTGTTTAAGATTTCTGTCACTTAGGTTTATTTTGAACCAGCAAACAAGCAATTCCAAGGGTATGTAATGAGTTAAGGACCCAAGTGACTGGATAAGGCTTTCTCTTGCCTTAGTTTCTCACAGAGTAAATCCAAAATTCTGTTGTCATTACAGCCATCATGCAGGAAATAATATGCCATATTCGTGGCAATCAGAACCATAGGTTCTGTGACTTTCATATGTTAAGCTGAGGAAAGACGCCTCTCAGCTCTCAAGCATCTACCCCTTTACCATAAAGGAAAGCTTCCTGTGCCCACTCATGAATTCTCTTCCTGTCTCTCTGGGCCCACCATAGCCCTGGTCATGGAGTATGGCAAGAAGTAAAAGATGACTGCAGTGTGGAGCTCAGTGACTAGCAAGATATTGACAGCTTTAGATTGGGTTAAGGACAAGTTATGTTTCATATTGCTGTGTTTGAGGTCCCTTCAGGATATTCTTGTAGCTGTGTTCATTAAATAAGTTGGAAACATATGTCTGGAACTAGGGAGAGCAGCCAGGAATAGAGAGAGTTATGGGAATCCTTCTCAAAGAGATGAAGCTCTGGGAATGGGTGAGATTGCCAAGAAATAGTATGTGGAGAGAAGAAAGAAGACAAGGGCAGAATTTTGGAGAATACTTACCTGTAAGCAGCAGGCTGAGAAAGAGTTGCATGGGAGACTATGCAGGAGCCATCTGCAAGGCAGATGGAGGATGAACCATGAGTGTTCAAGCAGCCAACAAAAGAGAGAGAGAGAGAGTCAAGAAGTGAGGGATCCGTCAGAGGTGAAGTTTCCAGAGACAGCCAGTGAAATGAGCCTCAGTGAGAAACTGGTTGAACCATCAGTTGCTATCATTTGTAACATACATAATAAAAAATAGTGTTGAAATCAGAACCCAGGTTTCAGGTGGTTAAAAAAGAGGAAAAGGGAAAAGCCAGGATAGTTATTATTCTATGAAGATTTTAAGCTTTGAAAGAAAGGTGATAAAGATTATGTACCTTGAAGAAGTAGTTTTTTTGGGTGGTTTTCCTTAAAGGTATTAATATGTTTGAGAGTCGAGGGAAAGAAGCCAATGGCAAGAGAAGGATAAAAAATGTAAGAAAGAGGTGATAATAAGTTGATGGAGCAAAATCTCAGGATTTGAGGAGGGAGTAGGTTCGAGGGTAGAAATAGTCCTTGGAAAGAGAAGGAGAACCCTGCTTCAGGGTAAGAGACGGAGAAAAGCAAGGATGACCTGAGCAAATTTAAAAGGGAGGGAGGATTCCTCCTGAATGGCCTCCATTTTCTCAATTAAGGGATTTATTGATATTTTGTATCCTTCTACGTTAATGCTGAGTCTATTTATTTTATTTTATTTTATTTTTTGATGGAGTCTTGCTCTGTTGCTCTGGCTGGAGTGCAGTGGCATGAACTAGGCTCACTGCAACCTCCGCCTCCCAGGTTCAAGTGATTCTCCTGCTTCAGCCTCTCCAGTAGCTGGGATTACAGGCATGCACCACCATGCCTGGCTAATTTTTGTATATTTAGTAGAGATGGGGTTTCACTATGTTGGCCAGGCTGGTCTTGAACTCCTGACCTCAGGTGATCCACCCACCTTGGCCTCCCGAAGTGCTGGGATTACAGGCGTTAGCCACCACACCTGGCCCCATTTATTCTTTAGAGTAGGAGGCTAAGACAGCCCAAGGGGTACACAGTCAGATAAGACACTTGTGATGCAATTCTATTCCAGTGTCCTGAGAAGTGCATCTTCATTGCTAATCAGATATTGATATTGCTTCCCTAAGTTAATTGGCCCCTTCCTGGCACATCTTTCCTAACTTCAGCGTTCACCCAGGCCTCATAGAATTCTTTCACTTTTTATCCTTTATCCATGATGTCACTCTCTTCATGTTACAAGTCTTGGCTGGCCTGTCCCCTTCCTCATTCTGACTAGGAAGATGGGATTCCCTCTGAATCAGGCCTGGACTCCAGCCTCCAACTAGAGTCCCCAGCCTACTCTTTAGCTGGGGTTTAGTGGACTCTCTTCTGGAACCTGGCTCGGTTCTGTGCCTCGATGAGAGAAGGAGGCTTGGGTTGCCTTATGGGGCCTATTTCACAACTATATAAATCAATTTTTTTTGTATGAATAAATGAATATGTTAGGAGATCCTTCAGGGTAAAGATGTCTTTAGGAGTAGGTTGAGATACTTCACAGGTAAGATGGTCCCTTTTAAAAAATTAAAAGGAAGTCTTAAAGACGTCTGACAGATTTGTTTTCTGTAAGGTTAGTTTTTTCTTGCTGAAACCTACTTATGAGTCCTAAGATTGTGTTCCTCCAGTGCTTATGAAATCTGTTCTGACTTTCTGACAGTGGAAATGGACATCTAGTTCCAAGAATAGGCTTAAATTAAAGATTGTCAATTTTAAACAGTTTAATAGATATGTAAGGAATGGAGCTATTTTAACAGCGTCTTTCATTTTTTGAAAAATAACACATGCTTTAGAAATTCAAGCTGTTTTTAACCAATCGCTTCCATCTAACTTAACAGCAGCTGTTGCACACTATTATAAAAGGCCTGGGCGAGATACAGTGTTGAAAACTTGGTGAGTCTGAGATTTGTTACATATTTTATCAAGTTACCTGCTGTCCCTGCATTTACAGATATGCTAGATTGTTTGATGTCTACTTTTCTGGATGAGGAGCAGATGTGGTTGACGGCTGTTAAGTTAGGAATGCATGCAGAGGTTCCCGAGACTTGGTGTGTATATTCAAAGAACAGGGACTTTCTCATTTAGCTTCTTTGTGCCTAATAAACACAGCTAAGGAAGGAATCAGAAGCATTAGTAGTTTGTAGAACATTTATGGTTTTCAGTGAAACCACTTTCTATACTGCATTTTGGGCAATGAGCTAATATGTATTGTATGGGCTTGTTACAGTGGGCTCTTAACTGTTTGTGGGTCTAATCTGGGGGCATGGGTTTATATGTAATCTTTATGAAGACATTGCAATAGCCTGTGCTCCCTAAAGTTCCCTCAGACTTTGAATTCTAATCATAGCTGTATTCCATAATAGAGAGCTGCTTATAAAAAGACATCTCAGTAGAGATTCTTGGTAAACAGGATGGATTCTGATGTTTTGTTAAAACGAAAATACCTATGCAGTTACCCCTCTGTATCCATGGGTTTTGCATTTTTAAATTCACCCATCCATGGATTAAAAATATTTGGAAAAAAAAACAACAATACAACAACAAAAAATACACATTAAAAACAATACAATGTAGTAGTTATTTACATAGCATTTACATTGTGTTAGATAGAAGTAATCTAGAAATGATTTAAAGTATGTGGGAAGATGTGCCTAGGTTATATACAAATATGATGCCATTTTACATGAGGGACTTGAGCATCTGTGGACTTTGGTATCTGAAGGGGGTCCTGGAACCAATCCTCTGCAGATACCAGGGGATGACTATATATCAAAAGTGCAGCTTACAGAATGCAAATATGTACATTATCTCATTTGCGCCTCACAAATTCCTTTTACGGATAGAATACTTCCTTTTCAGTCTCTAGACTCTCCATGTGCAGTCTCGTCCACACCCAACAGGCCATCAGATCTCAGCCATCAGATATAAACCAGCAGCTCCAGGATCTATATTCTAATGCTGTACTTTTCAACATGTAACTCTGAACTAGTCTTCCCTTCCCACTGTCAGCTTCTTCAGAAACTGGTGTTCTCTTTCTCAGTGATTGAGACTGCCATCTCTGTCCGAAATCTAGCTATTCTCCTTGCTACCCCTCTACCCCTTTCCAAACTCTACTGATACCAGTAACTTATAAGTTGGGATTCCAAACTTGCTGTCTTGGACATTGTTCTGGCCTTCATTTGGCCTGTACTGCTTCAAGCATATCCCAACTAGTCTACTTGCCTCTGTGTTCCACATTGCCTCTGGAATGGTGTATCTGATTCCTATGCAAGAAACTCCGTAGTGGCTTGCCATGGTCTACAGCTAAATCTGGCACTTCAGAATGGTAGATGGCTCATCCTCATAGTCTGCCTTGCTTGCTTTTGCTACTTCATCTCTGGCCATTTTTCTAAGTGCAGCTTGGACTTCACCTCCCTGAACCATTGGTAGGTGCTGAACCTACTATAGTATTTCAGGCTGCCATCCCTCCATGCTTTAATACCTTTCCTTGTGAATATACATTTGCATTTTCCCCCATCCCCAACTCGTTTTTGAGGCTCATCTTTTGGAAACGTTTTCGTTATGAAGTTTGTTGTTGCTCTGTGTTTGTGCTCCACTTCTCTAGTGGTCAGTAAGCTCTTAGAGGACAAGTACGATGTGGTATTCCTCTCTTTTTCTAGCTGGGATATATACTTGTGTTATAGCTGGGGTATATACGTGTGCGGTGAGTGCTTGCTGAAGATCGTACAGATATGAGTCTGCACAAATATTAATTAAATAACCAAATGTAAGTAACAGAAACTAAATAAAAACCTTACATTACTGTCCTGAAGGTGTAACTTGGGGATGAAGTGGGGATGGGGACCCGTGTCCCGTGTAAATAAAGCATTTAATTAAGTGCAATTTTAACATTTAAAGTTGGCACCTGGACAAATTTTTACTCCCAACATTTACATCTTAAAAAGTAGTAAACTTTGCTGGAAAGTGGTAGTGAAATTTCTGTCATTTTGAAATAAATACCAGAGTCACAGTAGTACCAGGTTAATGCATGATGTTTCAGTGGCTTGTACTTGCAGCTTTGCACTATAATCAGGTTCTTTTAAAATTAGTCTTACTTAAATGAGAAACTGTCTCCCTCCTTTTTTTTTCTTTTTTTTAAAATAAGAGCCTCTCCCTTTTCTAATGGGGACAGCATCCTTTTCTTCTACCATTTCTCCCATTCCTACTCCATTATTGGTATTATCTCATAAGGATTGTTTTGTGTTTTGAGAATTTATTTTTTCCTCAAAGCTCCCTCACCTATTTCCTCCAAACAGACAGAATTCAAAGAAAGAATAGCCCTTCTTTCATCCATTATAAATGATTTTTCATTTGAGCATGTCATTTTGCTTTTTTGTTCCAATGGAGATCAAAGGGATACAGGTTCACCCCCAGTGTTCAGCAGTTCTTTTCAGTTCTGGACCTTAAAGAAATGGGATCTGGTTGAATTTGTTGCAGACTTAGATCTCTCTCCAGGCATGTGGCACTCAGATGCTGGGTGTTGCTGCATGCCGAGTGCTGTATGTGTACGTGTGTTTTAAGACGGTGAAAGAGCTGGAAATTTGGTGTTTCATACATTTTGATGCATGTGCCAAAGATACACATCTTAAAGGAATATATTTGTGTTGAAATATTACTTGTTTCTATTTAAGCTAAGTGGGGAGTCCTTTAAAGATCTCTATCTAAGAATATCTGCTCCACAGTTTGAACTCTGGCATCATGAAAATTTTGAATGAATATTCTATAGTTGCTAGGCTTTACAAAAAAGAGGTTTAAAAAATATTTTACTTCTTTACTATGACCAGAACCAGTGAGACCCTTTTAAATGAACTCTAGGTGGTTTATAGTCTCAATTTCAAGTCGTGGTAGGGCAAGATGAGGAGAGATTAATTTTTACCTATACTTAAAACCAAGAATAATGAATTGGACTTTAACTGTGAGACACTGACACATTAATAAATTAAAAATAATCGAGCTTTTTTTAAATACCCTGCTTTGTACTTCATTCTGTGATTTATGTATGTGTGTCATACTATTATTGTGAGACTAGTGTGAGATGTTAGGCCAAAACTGTACCACTACTGTTTGATTATTATTAGTCTTCAAAATTTCCATAAGATGCATTTCATATTTCACTATGCAGTCCTTTCTCATTCCTAGTCTCATCATTGTCACCTAATCTTACCCTTCTGACTGATCTTACTCTCATGGAAATGCCAAAATTTCTTTTGCCTCCTA
This sequence comes from Homo sapiens, assembly GCF_000001405.40. Taxonomy (NCBI): domain Eukaryota; kingdom Metazoa; phylum Chordata; class Mammalia; order Primates; family Hominidae; genus Homo; species Homo sapiens. The sequence continues at coordinate 132,924,113 of NC_000007.14, read as the reverse complement.
TTCCTTATTTCTCCAGCTGTGGTCAAAGTCCCATTTTTCTTCTAGTTGAATTGAATGGCTACTCCAAGATTTATAAGACAAATGTTATTCTTATTGTTCTGATGAATTGCATAGTTTATTACTGTTGTCTACAAAGGAATGTAATATTCTCTAAAAATCTAAGACTCCATTCACTTATTGCATAGAGCTAATAAATTAAACAATTCATCTATGTGTTAATTTTTGTGCTTAATCTTTCTCATTCCTTCTCTAAATCAAGTTGAACTTCCATGTATCTGTTTCTTTTTAATGTTAGGATAGCAAAGTGTTTACATAAGGATTTTAGGGACTAAAGACCAAAAATATTTCTGGCTGCTGGGAAATCAGATTGGTGGTGGGGTCTATCTTCAAGTTTATTTCCCATTGACAAGGCATATTTGAAAAAATATGTTTATTTGGATTAAGAACTTGGGTTCTGATTTGTTGTACTATTTTATATGTAATTTTATGGCTGAGGATCTGAACGTACATTAGAACCCTCATGTAAACTCTCAGGTTTATAAACTGATACCCCTGTTGCTATGAATTTTTTTGAAAAAATCTTATTCAACGTAACTACTATATTCCAGCTGGTTGTACGTCCCAAAAGTCTGGTCATTGTATAAATGGAATTATTTTTATTTTCTTCCCTCTGAATATTTGGCATATTTACTTTTATCTATGTCTAATCTTATCTCTTATCCATATGGAAAGGCGAGTTTGAAGTGTCCAGTCACACAAATCTGTCTGTCTATAAATAGACAGCCATACTTTATCCAACTGTGCTGAAACACATAGACATTTAAAACCAAATGAAATATCAACCCAACTTTCGGAAAAGGACTATTCATGTCCTTTTTGAATCTAAATTAAAAAATTATTAGAAGGGCCTATTGGTGCATTTGAATTTTGATCAATTTTGGTTTGAATTTTCAGTCAAGTTTATTGTGACATTGTTGGGACAATATCTGTTGTGACATATATTTGAAAGGTGTATGCTTTGTGCCTATAAGAGCAAGACAATATTCTGATTGTCTTGAATTCCTATTCTAAGTGACTGTTTCATTCTGGTGTTCCTTCTTGGCCGTTTTCAGATCCTGCATGTTGGGGAATGAGTAGGTTTTTCACATGATGATTGTACATGTAAGTTTTAATGCTCAGCACAATCATGGATGGATAGGTTTGATGAATCAACATCATTTGGAATGAAGTTTCCTCATTATTGGCCAAGGGTTGTGATTTAGAAAAGTAAGAAGTAGTTGCTTTGCTGGTAGGTTGCCCCATACTTGAAATACAGGGTAGCTATTTGTAAGTAAACGTAAGACAAGGTTGGGAGTCTTAACTGTGGCTAAACCCTGAGAGTGAATAAAACTATATAAAAATTGATTAACACACTTGGATTATGAAGTCAAATAATCAGAATAGTTTCTTGCCCAAGTGGGAAATATGACTTACGCCTTTCAAAGCCACAATGGACATTTTGATCAAAGTTTATCAGTAGTATCTGCTAGTAAGTTTGCTTAAAAAAAAAAAAAGTATAGAGAGGAAGAGAAGCAGGGATATAATATTGAGGCCTCTTTTAATGAGTAGGCAGAATATGGGAATGGACCTGGCCTGGACTCACATGAGTGAGTTGCATTGCAGTGGGATACTGGCAGTTTTTAAAACTCTGGTGTTCTATTTGATGTTTGGAAATGGTGAACTGAGTACTGATGATTAATGAGCACAGGGATTAGTGGTGATATTAGTAATTTTGCTTGGCACAGGTCACATTTAATGCCTATGAACAGATTTTTGAGGCAGGAGAGGTTTGGTCAACCCCCTTCTTCCTTCTTAAGGGTCCAGTGCTTGTGCTGTACCCGCCCTTTGTCTTCATGTCTACCCACAGGTCTCAGGCAGCTTCCCAGGCACACCCATGCTTACCTGAAGCCATTGCCTCCTTTTCCACGTCCTACCTCCTGCCTACCAAGCTGGGAACAGTTTTTTTCCTTTACTCTGTCCATTTCTCTTTGTGAGCTTAAGAAAGCTGGTCAAGTCTAGCTCAGCTATACATCACATCAAGGAAAAGCTGTAGAAGTGAGGCAGCTCTTCTCTGCACTTCTTATGGACTGTTTCTAGCCGTGAATCCTTGGGTAGTCATTTGCTCTTGTTAAGTCTTTCTTTCCTCCTCTGAATAGAGATGTGGCGTAAAGGGAAGGATTTCTCAAGTCCTCTGAAAATATAAATTCTTTGTCTGTGGAAATCATAAGATCTGTAGGGAAATTAGACTTCTCACCAACCCAGTGTCATCATCCTCTGAGACGTGGTGATAAGAAGTGCCCTTCAGGCTTTGCAGGCTGCCTTAGGACCATTTTCTAATGGAAAAATGCATTCAGAATTCCAAACACTTGCCTTAGAATTTAATCCTCAGAAAATGACTTAATCCTTTTTTGTGTTTTGTTGTTGTTGTTGTTGTTGTTGTTGTTGTGTGTGTCATATATTTCTGTTTTGTATTTAATAAAGGTCTCAAGCTCTTCTTTATTTCAGTATATTTACCTATCAATTGGGATTGTTGATACCTCCTTCAAATAAATATTGGGTTTATTTACTGTTTACTTTTAGGATGAGCCTAATATGCAGAGACTTGCAGATTATTAATCTTATTACTTTGAAAAAGAACTGTTTCAAGGGGTGAATACTGAAACTTGTCCCAGTACTTGGAATTTTCTTGCTTTTATTACATTTCCTAAATGAAATTTCAGAGCCTGGAGGAAAGTAGTGGTGTAAGTATATTTCAAGTATATATAATTGGTTTGAATTCTTTGGTAGAGAGAAATTTATAAAATTATAGTATCATTATGAGTGTAGTTTAACTTTTTGCTTAATGTATATATAGACCCTCAAATCTTTTTTAAATTGGAGCCATAATTTACTCAAATATAATAAAAGAGCGAAAATATTGTTCAGTTTACATATATCAGTGTTTTCCTTCTCTTGTTCTATACTTAATGATATTCCATGGGTTTTGCTTCTTCCTGGTGGTGATTTATCTTGAGGAAATGGGGCATGATAGCTGGAAAATAACCTCTATCAATTGCCATTTTATCCAAAGCAATGCCCGTTACTGTACTCCTTCCCCAGCCAGTACTGGAGGTAAGTGGACAGAAAATAAGTGATGTTTAGAATTATCAACAAAGAAGCCGAGCTGTCTCAGCATGTAAGGTTTGCTGTTTTCATTACAAATTATAAGGCCAGGTTTTTTTTTTTTAAGGCAGTCTGTAGATAGTTTTTTTCTTTGATCTGAGACTACTTAAAAAATACAGATGCATATAAACAATACAACAATTAAGTGAACAATGATTACATGCTTATTTTGAGGCATAGCAAGCCTATGATTCTAAGTGAAGTACCAAGCACCTGAACTTGTATTGGATGGGCCATTTGTTTACTTGCTTCTAAAACACACAAAAGCATTCTGTCAGCATCTGGAACCTTCATGACCATTTTTGCTTTTTCATGACGACAGAGTAAACAAATAAACAACAATAAATAAAACAAGTTGAGACAGTATTTGTCTTGTGTGTGTTCGGTCATTCAGCGAATGAATAGTGTATTTAAATCATCTGTTTCTCTGATTTTTGGGGGACTTGCATGTCAGATAAGCATCTCCTTTGTATTGCTATTTATTTTCTTCCCCAAAGTGTTAGGAAGGCCAGGTTTTCTAGTTTTGTTTGTTTGTTTAAGCACCATATTCTCTATTAGAGCAGGGGCCAGCAAACTTTTTCTGTAAAGGGCCAGGTAGTAAATATTTTAGGCTTTGCCTGCCATAGGTTCTCTTGCAATTCTTATCTCTGTCATTGTAGCGTGAAAGTAGCGACAGAAAATGAGTAATGAATGGATGGGTTTTGTTCCGATAAAACTTTATTTCCAAAAGGCAAGATTTGGGCCATAGTTTGTTGATGCCAGCATTAGAGTGACAATTCTTGTTCTTTGTGTATTCATTTATACAGCCCTGCTCCATGGACTACTCATGTTATAATAAAGGGATAGAGAAGGGCATGATGACGATGTGCGTTCCCAGTGTGCTAGCTGTGGCTCTACCCCTTTTTCTCTCACTTAAGAAAACTTCCCAGAAACCCGAGAAGTGAGAGCATTTTCCCCCAGGGAAAACCTTGAATTGTGTAACATGTAAATCCATGGGAATCTTCAGCACTTTATTATTAGCATCAGATTTTTTGTCAGACTCCTCACAGCTGTCCAACATACACCAACTTGTAGCTATATGGTCTTTTAGAAGTGGTGTTAGAGGGCTAGTCATTTGGAGTTAACGGTTTGGGTCCCAAGGAGCACAGTCGCCAAAGCTGAAGCAAGACAAGACATCTTTGCTCATCCAGTAGTGTATCATGGGCCACTCAAAGCTTAGTGTGCACGAAAGACTCTCATTTGTTGTTTATAGAGGCGTGTGACTAAACTGAGCCCAACAGCAGTATGCCTTGTGTTTCATATTCTTAGATCTTTTCCTGTCTCTATCTCTTGCAAGTTAGAATTACTACAGATGTTGAAAACATTTGACTGGATTTAGCCAAGTTGAAAGTATATTTTATAATATTTTGGTGAGGGAGTTAGATCAACTTGTCGTAGATTACTATTTGGTCAAGGAAAGGCAGACAATTTATGTGGGGTCTTCTAAGAATAAACCCAACTATGGCCGGGCACAGTGGCTCACGCCTGTAATCCCAGCACTTTGGGAGGCCGAGGCGGGCGGATCACGAGGTCAGGAGATTGAGACCATCCTGGTTAACACGATGAAACCCCGTCTCTACTAACAAAAATACAAAAAATTAGCCAGGCATGCTGGCGGGCGCCTGTAGTCCCAGCTACTTGGGAAGCTGAGGCAGGAGAATGGTGTGAACCCGGGAGGCGGAGCTTGCAGTGAGCCGAGATCGCGCCACTGCACTCCAGCCTGGGCGACAGAGCAAGACTCCGTCTCAAAAAAAAAAAAAAAAAAAAAAAAAAGAATAAACCCAACTATATAGGATTAGAGTAAAATTAATGATGATGATGATTCAGATACAGTATAAGCTCTTATCTGACCTTCACAGAATCTACCTCGTGGAGAAAACAGCTTCCCATTCCCTCATAAGACTTGCTTTGCAGTGTCCATGGCACATTGATGCTCATCACTGGTAGACTTTCTGACACTCCTGTGCGTTTCTTATCTGTTAAGTCAGCTGCTTACCAAGTCAGTTGTGCTTGCTTATTCACCTATTTGCCAGTAGTTTCTATTACATAATTTTATTAAGTGCCATGTCAGCTGTAGCTGTTTCTATGAAAAATAAGAGGAATGCTTTGGGAAGACTTGTAAAGGTGATCTACTTAAAAACTTGCTCTTGAATTAGGTATAGGCAAGAGGACTGTGGAGGATTAGGGGGAAATCTAGAAGGGTTCTGCACTCAGATTGAGTCTTTTAAGTCTTTTAGTTCTCACTGACCTTTAAAGAAAACAGTTGAAAATGTAGATAATCTGCAGAGAACTCAGCAGAACCATACTGGAGGAAAAGGGCTGATACTCATGTGAGACAATTGGGAAATAATTTGTTACTTAGATATGTTATTGCAACTTTATTGTGAAGTACATACATATCTTTTTAATTGTTTTTCACTTACTGGTCTCGATTGTATCTGAGTGTTTCACAAATGTGTCACGCACTGTGCCAGGGCTTTACCCAAACTCTCTTATTTAATTCTCCCAGCAGCCCATTGAGGAGGGTCCGATGGTTAGCTTCATTTTACTGATGGGGAATCTAAAGCCTGGGTAGCCCATGAAGTCTTCCCATGGTCCTAAAGCAAATAAATGCTAGATCTGAGATTCAGTTTCCTTCTCTCCCTAATTATATCATCCCCCTGCCAGCAGCCAACTCAAGGCTTTTCAATGCTATAGATTTTTTTGAATACAGTGGTAGGTGAGATCTTAACTCATTATGAATCACTAAGCCAGTCTTTATTAGAATCAAACCTGGGGGTTGTCACAGAATGAATTAGCTTTAGTTTAGTGCAGAGAATATAGACAAAATGACTTAAATCTTCACCGTGTTGTCCCTATGTCTTTTCTTTGCTGCGTTCTGATCTTTTCTCTTTTGTTTGCTCACATACCTGCTTGGAATGGATATATTGTTTTTACCTCTTAAACATGCTTTTATGTATATAATTTGATGCTCAAAAGATGAGTAATAGGAAAGGTTTTTTTTTTTTTTTTTTTGAGATGGAGTCTCACTCTGTCACCCAGGCTGGAGGGCAGTGGCGCGATCTTTGCTCACTGCAAGCTCCGCCTCCCGAGTTCACGTCATTCTCCTGCCTCAGCCTCCCGAGTAACTGGGACTACAGGCGCCCGCCAACACACCCGGCTAATTTTTTGTATTTTTAGTAGAGACGGGGGTTTCACCGTGTTAACCAGGATGGTCTCGATCTCCTGACCTCGTGATCTGCCCGCCTCAGCCTCTCAAAGTGCCGAGATTACAGGCGTGAGCCACCTGGCACCCAGCCTAGGGCAGGTATTTTTAGGTCCATTTTTTTAGGTGAAGAAACTAAGGTTCAAAAATTAAAATGAACCACAAGAGTTTAGAGTTTAAATATATAGGAAAGATCCACATTGCAGTTGAAAAGTTGAATAAAGAAATGTTTGGCTGTATAATACAGATACTTAGTTAAAAGAGGAGAGGGTTGAGGGGATCACTTTTTCCTACTATGTGCAGAAGTATGATATAGAGGATTACGACTGGCTCTTTTCTAGTTATGTCTGAGTATGGGATTAATTTTTTTTTTTGTAAGAATTCAATTTCAGCAGGGGGGATTTAGTTTAAAGATGGAAACTAGTTCCCCCTTAGATGGAAAGTCTGTTGTTTAATCTTTTTCCATAGGGTTGTATATAACAGTTTTAGATTCTGTCCAGATTCAAAATAATAAACTAGACAGCAGGGTCCAAAGTTCTGCCATTATATCTAATGATTGTAATTTTTAAAAACAACAATGCAGTCATAAACTTGGATTCAGTCTGTAACATTTGCATGCACTCAGACTTTATTATAAATGCAGTAATCTTCCCTTACCCACTGAGGATTCCTTCCAAGACCCCCCTGTGGATGCCTGAAATGCAGATGGTACCAAACCCTATATGTATAACTTTTTTTCTCCATACATACATACTGTGATAAATTTTAATTTATAAATTAGGGATAGTAGCCAGGCATGGTGGTTCACACCTATAATCCCAGTACTTTGGGAGGCTGAGGTGGGAGGACTGCTTGAGTCCCAGAAATTTGAGACCAGCCTGGGCAAATATAGAGAGACCCCATCTCTACCAAAAATAAAATTAGCTGGGCATGATGGTGCACACTGGTGGTCCCAGCTACTCAGGAGGCTGAGGTGGGAGGATCACTTGAAGCCCCGGAGGTTGAGGCCACAGTAAGCCATGATTCCACCACTGCATTCCAACCTGAGTGACAGAGTGAGGCCTTTTCTTTTTAAAAAAGGCATAGTAAGAGATTAATAGCAATAACTAATAATAAATTAAAACAATTATAACAATATACTATAATAAAAGTTATGTGAATATCATCTCTCTCACTCAATATCTTATTGTACAGTACTCACTTATTTTCGGACTATGGTTGACCTTGGATAAAGGGGGAACTACTGTAATTTTCTACCATGTTCTTTTCATTCTAGAGCAAATAAAGGATGGTGATATGAAACAAAGTATTTAGGTAAAAAGAGGCTTCTCAATAAGATTTCATTTATATCAGTTTGTAATATTGCCTACTGAGCAATTTAGTTATATTTCTAATTCTGTGAAAGAGCACTTTCATGGTAGACCCAGACAACAGTAAAGGAATTAGGATGAAGAGTGGAACTACACATAATGGATTTAAAATTAGTAGTGTGGATTTTTAAAATCAAAATGGAATTCAGAGATGAGAAGGGTTGTTTAACCAGATCATTGGGAAATAATTAGAAAAACAGACAGTCAGTAGACACAAGAAACTTGGAAATCTACCTTCAGTGGGGAGGCATAGTCGTTTGCTGAACCATCACCCATATGTATTGATTCTGCAGTGTGTGATCCCAGAACAATGCTCATTTTGCTTTACCAAAAAAAAAAAAAATTTTTTTATTAAAAAATTAAAAAAAAACCAAACTCACCACAAAGCACAATATTACACACACCAACTATGTCATGTCCTTAGTACCCATTGTTCCCTGAGTTCACAAAGTTAAACATTAACGAAGAAGTTCAAGGATTGGCTAGGTAGCAATAGGAGCAAAGATTAAAAGAATGAAGAATGTATCTGCTAAGTCAGGGATAGGAAATCTTCTCTCTTAAGTACTATGAATTATCTTGAGAAGAAAAGAAATCAGAGCACAAGTAAAATAGTTGGGGTGGGATTAATGCTTAGGGATTTTTGGAGTCAGAAATTTGAAATGCTCAATTGACCTATTTTGAACTTCAAAACAAAACAATTCACATATGTTTTAGCTCACTAAGTGCAAGAACAAAGAGTGAGGCAATAAAATTGTAGAAGAAGAAATGAGCAAAGAAAAAAAGATACAAGAGAGTGGAAAAAAGTTTCTGGTAAGTGGAAGGATAGATAAGGGAGGGGACGGATATGGGGAACAGCTCAAAAGGAAAGACCAGAGGGAACCGTGCAGGAGTGAGAAAAATCATCCTCATCTGCCCTCCACATGCCACTTCCAGAACTTTCTTATGGTTCCCGGCCTGTGTTTCTGCCCCCTAACTGGGCTCAGTCTGTTTTAAGGTGTTTCCCAGTTGTCCTGTCCCTGACCCCATGTTTCCCCAAAGTCCGTTCCTCCTTACCATAGCTCGAAATCCTTGCCGCTCTCTTCCAGTGGATGACCTTGAGAGCTTGTTGAGGTAAATAGGATTGCAGAGTGTTTTTTTGTTGATTTGGTTTTTTTTTTTTTGAGATGGAGTACTGCTCTGTCACCTAGGCTGGAGTGCAGTGGCATGATCTTGGCTGACTGCAACCTCTCCTGCCTGAGCCTCCCTAATAGCTGGGACTACAGGCGCCTGCCACCACACCCGGCTAATTTTTGTATTTTTGGTAGAGACAGGGTTTCACCATGCTGGCCAGGCTCGTCTCAAACTCCGGACCTCAGGTAATCTGCCCGCCTCAGCCTCCTGAAGTGCTGGGATTACAGGCATGGGCCACCACGCCTAGCCTCTTTGTTGAACTTAATATTATTCTTCTTTATTTTCGCTTTCTCAGTGAAGCTTTCTTCCTCATCGTTTCCAAGTTGTTGTGTTTCGGTAATCTGATTATCTGTCATTTCAGAGTCCCTGTCCTCCCACTGAGCCACATGCGCACACACATCTCTGTCAGGCACCCCTGTCATGTAAGGCACGTTGGGTCTGCCAGAGCGGCACCCCTTGTTCCAACTTTCAGGTTTAATGCTTGAGAACATTTGAAGGCTGTTGTCTGGAAAAGATAAGTGTTTTTATATTTCTTTGAATTTTAGGAGTTGTCTACCACAACAAATAAACTAGATCACACTTTTTAAGTTCAATACTTATTATCCTCATTCTGTGGAAAAAATATATTTTCTATTAATCATGTACATAATAGTACTAATTATGGGCCACTTTGGCTGAACACAGTTTTATGCTTAGGCTTACATAATTAAGGTTGTAATGTTATTTCTGGATCTTTGAGGCATTAGTAGAGATCACTGATGAAGTAAACTGACAAACATAACTCCTTTTCTTTGGAAAAGATGGATGCTGTCTGCTAAACTAATCAAGTTATAGAGCCTTAGGCCGGGTGTGTCGGCTCATGCCTGTAATCCCGGCACTTTGGGAGGCCAAGGTGGGCGGATCATGAGGTCAGGAGTTTAAGATCATCCTGGCCAACATGGTGAAACCCCATCTCTACTAAACACACACACACACACACACACACACACACACACACACACACACGCCAGGCATGGTGGTGGGCATCTGTAATCCCAGCTACTCGGGAGGCTGAGACAGGAGTGTCACTTCAACCCAAGAGGCAGAGGTTGCAGTGAGCCAAGATCATGCCATTGCACTCCAGCCTGGAAGCCTGGGCAATAGAGCAAGACTCCATCTCAAAAAAAAAAAAAAAAAAAAAGAAAAAGAAAACGTTTACAGAGCCTTTTTCTGTTGATAAGTACACCTTGAAATACCTGGCTCCGAAGCACCCATTGGCTGGATTTGCTGCCTAACAGTGTGCTGTCTCAGCGTAGTTGCTTCCCAGTGGGTCCCATTGGTGTCACGTTATTGTCAGTCTCTTCAGTCTATCTTAAAAGCCTTTCTTTCCTTCCCTCTGCTGCTAGTAACCTGGCCTGAGCCCCCTGTGGTGCCTCTCTGTGCAGATTCCGCTATCATTCATTCTCCACACTTGTTCATCCTGGACATGATGTGGTAAGAAATCATGGCTTCAGAATCGGTAGACCTCCCTGTTGCAGGATGTGGATATTTGGTGAGATTTTTCTTGGCATAGCCAATGTAAAGAAGACTGTTCAGGTACTCTTGTGTGTGGCCAGAGCCTGAGTGCTGCCTATGCTTCCACCTTTAGGGCTTTGTGCATTCTATTCCCTCTGCCTGGGGGACCTGTTTTTTTGCCTGATGGATGAATTCCTACCCAGACTCTTGGATTCATCTCTAAATTTACCTCCCTTAGGGAAGCCTTTTCTGACTCCAGAGGCATAATTTCCCCTTCTCTAAAGTTCCATGCCTCCCTTAATCATCATATTATATTGTGACTTAAAAAATTTATTTGTCTCCCCATTTGACTTTGAGATCCTTGAATCAGGGTTTGGTTCATCATTGATAGTACCTATCACAGTTTCCAGAGGTTGTTGGACTTGGGGGATAGCCACATTTTTGGCTTCGTTGAAGCAGAGGAAATGGAAGGTGGATTCCCTTCACTTTGGAATCTCAACATTCTTTTTCTCTGGCCTCCTTCAGCATGTGTCCTTGACACAGTTGGGGTTTTGATTTATTGATGTTCTGGGTTTTTCATCACATGGTAGACAGTGTCATTTGTTGTGATGTTCTAGTTGGCACAGTGCATGTGGGCTGCTGAGCAGAACCAAGTATTGTCATTGTGGCAGTTACAGTTTTTATTTAACAAACATATAGAAAATTTAAGCACTTTACATATTAAACCATTTGACCTCATAACATCTTTATGTGGGAGGTACTGTTAGTAGTCCCATCTTTGGCCGGGCGCAGTGGCTCATGCCTGTAATCCCAGCACTTTGGAAGGCCAAGGAGGGTGGATCACTTGAGGCTGGGAGTTTGAGACCAGCCTGGCTAACATGGTGAAACCTTGTCTCTACTAAAAATATGAAAATTAGCCGGGTGTGGTGGCGCACGCCTGTAGTCCCAGCTACCTGGGAGGCTGAGGCAGGAGAATCACTTGAACCCAGGAGGCAGACATTGCAGTGGGCCGAGATCATGCCACTGCACTCCAGCCTGGGTAACAGAGTGAGACTTTGTCTCAAAGAAAAAAAAAATCCTGTCTTATAGATGAGGAAACTGACACACAGAGAGGTTAAAGTAACTTGCCCAATATCACATAGCTAGTAGGTGGGAGAGCCAACATTTCAAGCCAGGAAGGAGCTCTGGCTATGGGCTAACATGTAATTTACTCCCATACTTCACTGCCAGCATCATTTTACCTTTAACCACTAGTAGTTTATCTGTCTTCTTATTTCAGAGAAGGGAGGATGTCTCAGATCAGAACCTTGGGCCAGGCAACAGTTACTAACCAGAAATTGTTTCCATTATATTTTCCCTATTATCTTCCACTTAGACAGTTGAATCTGATTTTCTAATTATGGTAGTTATATAAAGACTTCTCATAATTATTCAACTTTTGAAATAGAGCTAATTTAAAGAAAAATATCAAGTGAATAGCAGTAGGTATTAAATGGTGGCCTATATAACAAAAGTCCTGAAGGTGATACATTACATATTAATGGATAGGATATTGTGAGTAGTTGCTTACAGAGGGTGAAGAATTATGAATAGGGCAGCTTTCTGGTTTGGCCGATGTAATTCACGTTTGTTGTGTTTGCAAAGGTAAGGGAACCTAAAGATGGAAAACTTAGTAGCAATTGAGGGGATAAGAGGGCATAGAAAGGACATGGGTAGACATGTTAATGTTCCATTATTAACCTACATTGCATGTGTATTCAATTATTCAGCTCCGATTTGGTTTATATTTAGTGATCTCACTCATACCAAGGGGGTTCTACTGGATAGCAAAGTTTTATACATTTGACTTGCTTTGGGCAATAAACATGGGGACAGATGATAAAAGAAGGGTTATGGAGAGCCAAAAGGCAGTTGCTATGAAGCCATCACAAAAGACACTAAACCGATGGGGAGCAGAGCAAAGGTTTGTCTGGAAAATACAAGTTAGGCTGAAGTTGGGATGACCCAAGGTAAGTTTTAAATATAACGGTACATGCTACTTGTATTTTCCCAAATCACTACTTCTGCACTTCTACAACAAACTTCTGCTTTCTCACAGGACTTTTATGGAAGGAAGAAAAGTAATTTGAATCCCTTAGGCCTTTTTATAGGTCCATTGTCAGCGTCTTGTGTCTGCCTTGACCCATTTGCATTCTGGTGGTTGCTGGGAACAGTAAGATAACCTATGAATAGTCCTTGTCCTTCCAGTGTGATCTGAAAGGTCTTTGCTGCTCTGTGCCTGAAGAGAACATTGACAGGTAGTTAATGATGTTCTCGGGTTGCTTCTAGCTCTTTGTAGATGGGGGTGGCCAGTCATCTCATGGCTACTTCCTTGACTGGGACCCCTTCCCATATTGTTCCTATTAGTTTTTAATTCCAAGAGGGTGGGCTGCTCTCTGTCCTTGCTTTAGTGTTGATGTGTTCATTTAGACACTGGGCATGCCTTGTGAGTCTACTGGACTGTGTTTGTGGAACTCCCATCTCTTCTTGCCCTTTTAACCCTTATTCTTCATGACTGAGAATGGGCCATGCTTCTTTTTGAGCCTAATCTGTTATTGCATCTGCTGCTCTTAATTATGCTCCTTTTATGCCCTTAATTACTCCTCTTGGTTTTCTGTTAGTTTTTCTTCTCCTTGTGTTACTCTTTCACCCTTAGCATATCTGACAGTCAGGATAGTACTGTGGCAAACTGTCAGCCAGCTCCCGTTGATTGGTAATGCTTACGTAGTGAGCTGTGTTGGGAAAGGTTGTGTAGCCTTACTCAGACTCGGTAGGGTCAGGAAAGACAGTGCTGGCTGAGCAACGTCTGCTATGAGCATGGGAGTCAGGAGCAGTGACATCCTTGCCTCTGTCTTCCATGTCTTAGAAGCATATAATTGCTAGCCCTTTTCTGATCTGTAACGTGCTGCTGTGTTCAGTTTGAGAAAGTTAGAGGGGGTCAGCTTGGATGAAGAGAAATGGAAATAGTTAAGCTGCCTGCTTAGAGCTATCTCTTGGCACAAGAGAGATGGAGAAAATGACACATAGAAGTGTTCAATATTAAACTGAGAGACAGATATACAAAGGGAAACTGCAGAAATATACTTTGTTCTATTCACCATTCTCTGTCAAAAATCTGCTTGAATTCCCAATAGTTTATTAGTATAAGAAAGTTAAGGAATAAAGAGTATGCATTTAGTTAAACCTACTTGTGTCTGTCAGGAGCCTGAACAATACAGGCAAGTATAGGAGCCAGGGCAACTCTTTCTGCTCTCCTAGACATGCATCAAGCATGTGGGGGGCACTTGTTATGGAGTTGCAGGCACTATGCTGGACTCTGATCATACAGTAATAAAAAGAAATACCCCCTGCCCTTGGCAAGTTTTACCGGTACAAATACAGTTGTCCCTAGGTATACACAGTGGATGGGTTCCAGGGCCGCCCTTAATATATCCAAATCTGTGCATATTTAAGTCCCACAGTTGGCCCTGCAGAACTTGTGGATAGAAAGTTTATGCTTAGGTTTTGTATCCTGTGACTACTGTATTTTGGATCTGCTTTGAGTTGGAAAAAGTCTGCTTATAAGTGCACTTGCTCAGTTCAAATCCATGTTTCAAGGGTCAAGTGTGTATGCTTGGTACCAGTTTTTCATGGGAAAGCTCATACCTGATTATTTTCTCATTCTTACTCCAGCCTCTAAGCAATAACACTTTGTACATTGCCTCATGCATAGGAGTTTCTCTGTAACCATTGCTGAATGAATTGTGTGCTGTAGGTTGCAAGTGCCATGAAGTTTCTAAAAGAAAATGGTCAATAGAGCCTGGTATGGCTTTGTAGAGAAGAAGATAAAGGTAGTTGTGTTAATAATGAGAGAGTAGTTGATTAAAAAATAAATACAACATCATCTTGACCACTTATTGGCTGTGTAACTGTGCCAATCCCTTTCACTTCTGTGACCCTCATTGTGCTCCACTGTGAAGTTGGGAGTGATAATTTTGGCAAGATTTGTTTATTTTAGCATTCCTCTGCTATATAGTATTGTAGGTGTATTAGTCTGTTCTCATGCTGCTATAAAGAACTGCTTGAGATTTGTTTTTCTGTTGTTGTTGTTTTTTGTTTGTTTTTTGAGATGGAGGCTCGCTCTGTCACCTAGATGGGAGTGCAGTGGCACGATCTTGGCCCACTGCAACCTCCACTTCCTGGGTTCAAGCGATTCTCCTGCCTCAGCCTCCCAAGTAGCTGGGACGACAGATGCGCACCACACCTGGCTAATTTTTGTGTTTTTATTAGAGACGGGGTTTCACCATGTTGGCCAGACTGGTCTCGAGCTCCTGACCTCAAGTGATCCATCTGCTTCAGCCTCCCAAAGTGCGGGGACAGCGTGAACCACCACACCTGGTCTTGGGCAATTTATAAAGGAAAGAGGTTTAATTGACTCACAGTTCTGCAGGGTTGGGAGGCCTCAGGAAACTTAAAATCATGGTGGAAGGGGAAGCAAACATGTCCTTCTTCACGGTGTGGCAGGAAGGAAAAGTGCCAAACAAACGGGGGAAAAGCCTCTTATAAAACCATCAGATCTCATGAGAACAGCATGGGGATAACTGCCCCCATGATTCAATTACCTCTTACCGGGTCCCTCTCACAACACGTGGAGATTATGGGAACTACAATTGAAGATGAGATTTGCAGGGGGACACAGCCAAACCATATCCCTAGACATAGCTTTGAGAATTTAATTAAGACCTAGCATTATTTTGAGAATTAAATGATATAACAAATATGAGATAACTTTATAACATTCTAAAGTACTACACAACTATTAGTTATTATTCTTCTTTGTTATTTAGAAGCAGCTTTCCCCAGACTCGTGAGTTCAGGGATCTATTCCTTTGTGTCTGTCTTCCATTTTGTTCAAGTGTCCACAGGACCCTAAATGAGCCTGCCTGGCCTGGACCCAGTACTTACAAGGGCTTATGCTTGTGACTTTCTTCTTCGGGTATCTTAGCAGCTTGTTGGAGAGGATGGAGTCTTTATCAGAGGAGAGTCTAGAGTTTTAACCTTTAGACCATGCCTTAAAAACCAAGGGCCTCAGATATGAAAGGATACTTATAAGAAGAAAGTGCAGGTTACTTTGACTCATATTTTGAAGATGGCATACTAAACAACATCTCAGTGAAATATCTGAACAAATATTAAAATTAAGACATTTAAAAATTTATATCTAGAGCCAGCATGATTTTTCTAAGGTTTGGGACTTTATATAGTAGCCTCTTATTTAGGGTAAAGGACTTAAAATTTGCAAATTTGAATTTTTGATGGAAGGACATTGGTACTTTTGTCAAGTTGGACACAGGAATACTCCCAGTTACGTTTTCCTGCACCGTGGCAGCATGATTCTCTTAAACACCAGATTCTGAACCGCAGACCAAGACTGATGGTTAAAGCAAACAATTCCTAATACCTCATAATGATTTGTCCCAAATTTCCTTCTCTTTCATTAATTATATTTTCCTTAATTAATTAATTTTATGTTAGAATAGCGTGACTGATCTCTTAAATATATCCGTGGCCTATCTTCAAATTGCCTAGTTTCGGTGGTGATTCTATTTGGAGATTTTTCTGTGGCATAGTCATGGTATGTATTGTGTTAATTCTTGTACATTTCCCTGGGTTTTTGACCGTGGTTTGTTTTTTTCAGTTCTGCAGTTCACTGCCCTCTCACTAGAATTTATACCTTTCCTTTAGAAGATATTTAGAAAGGGCTGGTAGAAACATAGCTGTCATTCAGCACATGCAGGTCCTGTTATATCACACTTGGATCCTTTCAACAGGCCCTTTAATGGTTTCCCTACTGGCATTCTCCCCTCTTTCTAATCCATCCTACATACCAAGATTAATCTTCCTAAAATACTGTTTCCATTGTGCTCAAAAACCTTTAGCGGCCCCCCCATGGCCTACAGGATGAAGTCCAGACCTCTTAGCCAGTTAAGTCTTCCTACAGACTAGTTCTCACTTATTTTCTGGCCCTCTTACTGTAATTCCCTCTTCAACTGATAGGCTTGCTGAGGCCTCCTTTCTTCCCTTCTCTGTGTCTCTGTTTCTTGTCCCCTTTCTTGCGATGGCCTTTGACCCTATCTCTGCCCATCCAAATCCTACTCATCTGGCTTTCAAGTTCTAGTCCAGTTGATGAAATCCTTTATTTTCCTGGCAGCATTTACTGTCCTTATTGTATATTATATTCTATTATGGTTGCTTGTGTTTACAAGCTGTGCACTGCCCTCTACCCCAATTTATAAGTTCCTGAAAAACGTGGCATCTGTAGACAGGAATGGATTCTTGGTAGTTTTATAGCTCTGTGTGTAAATGGGAGCTTTAGGATTGTGGTTTATGATCATTGAATGAGATGCAATAGACAAGTTATTTATTGTAGTCTGTCCTGTCTTGTTCAGTGACTGAGGGTCTTGTACAACACAGGTTTTCATTGAGTGCTTATTCAATAAATGAATAGATATATTAAGTTTATTTTGTTCTTCAGGTGTGTAAATTATTTTAGCATTTAACTTAACATGTTAGCATGTATATAGGGTATGGTTTATTTCCTCTGGTGGGAAGAGACACATTCAGAATGCCTGAGAGTCATTTATGGGTGATCATGAATTGTGTATTCTGCTTAGATCAGGCTTTGTGTTTAGAGCTGAGTAAGTTGGTGTCCTGGCCATTCTACCCACCAAATTGCAAAGTTCTCCAAAGTGTTACAGGAGCTATTTGGATAGTAGATCAATTAATAGTTTTATGTTACGTTTCATCTCCGGAGGATGCAGGCTACCTCAGGTGACAGAAAGCTACAGGAGGACAAAAGATAGCTTTCTGCAAAGACCTGCTAGGCAGTCTTTTTTTTACAAATATTCCAGCTGGTTGTCAGCTCTTCCTTGATCATGTCATCATTACTGCCGTATTCATCTGACACCAGACAAAAAGAAAAAAGGAAAAAGATTGGGGCGGGGGTTGGGGAGGGAATTCCTTCAGCGCTAAAACCAGTCTTGTCACACTGCAGGGGCACCGTGTTTGGTTTTAATAATCTCATGTCATTATTAGTAGTAAAATATAAATCTGTTTCTTAGAACTTTTTAGAAAAGAATTTTGAAAAGGTTATGAAATGGTACTCAATGCTCATCTTTCAGGAAAGAGGTGGAGGGGGTGTTAACTTGCTAACTGTCATTACACTGCTTGTTTTCAGTTTCAGATTAATAGCAGGTGGTATGCAGTTTTCAAAGCAAACAGGCTTTTTTGTTCGGTTAGAAAAAGCACTAATTGTTTACTGTAGCCTAGAATATTTTGTGCAAAGTGACAAATGGCAAGGATCACAAAACATTTAACATTTAAAATAAATTGATAGCTGGCTAATATTGTAAATTTTTTAATTAAAAATTTTCTTAAATTGATAGATAACATTGTATGTATTTATCATGTACAATGTGATGTTTTGAAGTATATATCATACATTGTGGAATTTTTAAATCCAGCTAATTACCAAATGCTTTATCTCACATAGTTATAATTTTTGTGGCCAGTGCAGTTAACATCCACTCTCTTTGCATAGTATTGTAAATGTGTAAAGGATCAAGCCAGCACTTCAGCAAAATATTTCTCTTACCATACTAATTGAGTTACGTGTCTTGGTTATTTATGCTTAATATATTTGTCTGTTACTTTCCGTGAATATATTTTCATGCAGCTATTTTGATTTCTGGCAATATCCTTTTGTCCACTCTGCAGTACAGTACTCATCTCGATTAGTAAATGCCTCTGGAGAGGAATTGCATCTTAGAAGCTCTGCAGATGATCAGCCCATCCAAATGGACGGTTAATACATGCTTTTAAATACGTCTCTGTGTATGTGGTGGCAGGAGTGGGGTGGTTGGTGATGTTATGTTTGGAATAACATATTAAGGATTTCTATTTTTGGATTCTTATTTACAGGTAAGTTTTTTTTTTCTTTAATTAGGCATTTTTTTCCCCTCAACTTTTATTTTAATTTCCAGGGTACATGTGCAGGATGTGCAGGTTTGTTACGTAGGTAAACATGTGCACAGGTCATCCCATCACCTAGGTGTTAAGCCCAGCATCCATTAGCTAGTATTCCTGATGCTCTCCCTCCCGACAGCCCCCCAGCAGGCCCCAGTGTGTGTTGTTTCCCCCCATGTGTCCATGTGTTCTCATTGTTCAGCTCCCACTTATAAGTGAGAACATGGGGTATTTCAGTTTCTGTTTCTGTGTTAGTTTGCTGAGGTTAACGACATCCGGCTCTATCCATGTCCCTGCAAAGGACATGATCTCATTCCTTTTTATGGCTTTTTTAAATTAGTATTATTATACTTTAAGTTCTAGGGTACATGTACACAACGTGCAGGTTTGTTACATAGGTATACATGTGCCATGTTGGTTTGCTGCACCCATTAACTCGTCGTTTACATTAGGTATTTATCCTAATGCTATCCCTCCCCCTGCCCCCCACCCCACGACAGGCCCCCGTGTGTGATTTTGTTCCCCGCCTTGCGTCAAAGTGTTCTCATTGTTCAATTCCCACCTATGAATGAGAACATGCAGTGTTTGGTTTTCTGTCCTTGTGATAGATAGTTTGCTGAGAATGATGGTTTCCAGCTTCATCCATGTCCTGGCATAGGACATGAACTCGTCCTTTCTTATGGCTGCATAGTATTCCATGGTGTATATGTGCCACATTTTCTTAAT
Source organism: Homo sapiens (assembly GCF_000001405.40). Lineage (NCBI taxonomy): Eukaryota > Metazoa > Chordata > Mammalia > Primates > Hominidae > Homo > Homo sapiens. Next base: position 132,904,865 of record NC_000007.14, on the reverse strand, counting down.
CCAGTCTATCATTGATGGACATTTGGGTTGGTTCCAAATTTTTGCTATTGTGAATAGTGCTGCAATAAACATACGTGTGCATGTGTCTTTATAGTAGGATGATTTATAATCCTTTGGGTATATACCCAGGAATGGGATGGATGGGTCAAATGGTATTTCTAGTTCTAGATCCCTGAGGAATCGCCACACTGCCTTCCACAGTGGTTGAACTAGTTTGCAGTCCCACCAACAGTGTAAAAGTGTTCCTATTTCTCCACATCCTCTCCAGCACCTGTTGTTTCCTGACTTTTTAATGATTGCCATTCTAACTGGTGTGAGATGGTATCTCATTGTGGCATTGATTTGCATTTCTCTGATGACTAATGATGATGAGCATTTTTTCATGTGTCATTTGCAGGTAGGTTTTTAAGAATATTGAGATATTGCTTAGTATGCTAACTTTAAAATGTGAGTCAGAATAATCTGTATTCTATTCTTAACTCATGACTAGTTAGCTTTGTGATCCTAAAAGTGTCTTTAACTTCTAAGGGCCTTGGTTTCTAAGGTATATTCCTGCCTCTGCCTTAAATATGTAAAAAAAAGTTGTGGGTTTTTTTTTTTTCTAGACACAAAGTCTTGCTGTGTCATCCAGGCTTGGAGTACAGTGGCATGATCATAGCTCACTGCAGCCTTGACCTCCTGGGCTCAAATGATCCTCCTGCCTCAGCCTCCTGAGTCACTGGGACTACAGGCGCATGCCACCATGCCCAGCTGATTTTTTTTTAAATCTTTTGTAGAGATGAGGTCTCATGTTGCCCGGGCTGGTCTTGAACTCCTGACCTCAAATGATCCCCCCACCTCAGCCTCCCAAAATGCTGGCATTACAGGCATGAGCCACCATGCCTGTCCTTTGTTCAAGTATTTTTGATAGCTGAGAAATATGGCATCAGACGTCACTCATGTTTGTCATTAAGATGATTTTACATGTAATATACTCACATGCAGTTTAAAAGGCTTAAGGGTGGGAATCTCTTTCCTCTGGTCTGGAATCTGATCAGTTAGTTCCTCAGTTCGAATACTTGCGAAGAGCTTTCTAGCATCTGATCAAATGATGCCTTAATGAAAATCCTACCCACAGTAAGATGAGTTTTAAGTCAGAAAGGCAATATGTAATTAAAACAATAACTATAGCCATAAGCAGGCCGGATACCCATGCCAGGTAGTTAAGAATATTCTGACTTCCCCAGAAGGCAAGACCAAACGAGAATTATGAGGTTGTTTTTGTTGTTGTTGTTGTTGTTGGGTTCAAACCTAGAGATGGATCTGCCTGGTGAGCTCTCCTGGGAAGAGTCAGAAATTCTGTGTTCATGAGACAGCTCTTCCAGCTTGTGGATTTCAGGCAGGTCACTTTTCTGCAACTTGTTTCCTTAACTGTAAGATAAAAAAATAAAAAGGTTGTGTAGAAACTGTACTACAGTTGGCCCTTTGTGTCCACGGCTTCTGCATCTGCAGATTCAACCAACCAAGGATTGAAAATATTCAGAAAAAAACCCCAATATAACAACTAAAAAGAATACAAATAAAAAATAAATACAGGATAATAATTACTTACATAGCATTTACATTGTATTAGGCATTATAAGTAATCTAGAGATGCTTTAACATGTATGGGAGGAGGTACATAGTTTATATGCAAATACTATGCCATTTTATATCAGGGACTTGAGCGTTTGTGGATTTGGGTCTTGGGGAGTTGTGGAACCAATCCCTTGCAGATACTGAGAGACAATTGTACTTGCTTCACATTGCTGTGCAGTGAGGCTTTCTAGTGTGATTATATAGTTACAGGTCTTTCAAGGTGACAAAGGATGTTAAAAATTGTAAGTTGACAATGGTGATCATGTCTATTCCTGAGTACCTTGACAGCAAAACTCTGGTATGACAGGAGTTTCTAGAATTTGGGATTGTGGAGCTCTCTGCCTCGTTTTGGTCTTCCCATACCAGAGTATTGTTCACAAATAGTGATGTGAACAAGCTAAGTCTTTTTTTATTATTTTTTATTTTTATTTATTATACTTTAAGTTCTAGGGTACATGTGCACAACGTGTAGGTTTGTTACATATGTATACATGTGCCATGTTGGTGTGCTGCACCCATTAACTGGTTATTTACATTAGGTATTTCTCCTAATGCTATCCCTCCCCACTCCCCCTACCTCACAACAGGCCCGGGTGTGTGATGTTCCCCTTCCTGTGTCCAAGTGTTCTCATTGTTCAGTTCCCACCTATGAGTGAGAACATGTGGTGTTTGGTTTTCTGTCCTTGTGATAGTTTGCTGAGAATGATGGTTTCCAGCTTCATCCATGTCCCAGCAAAGGACATGAACTCATCATTTTTTATGGCTGCGTAGTATTCCATGGTGTATATATGCCACATTTTCTTAATCCAGTCTATCATTGATGGACATTTGGGTTGGTTCCAAGTCTTTGCTATTGTGAGTAGTGCTGCAATAAACATACGTATGTGTGTGTCTTTATAGCAGCATGACTTATAATCCTTTGGGTATATACCCAGTAATGGGATGGCTGGGTCAAATGGTATTTCTAGTTCTAGATCCCTGAGGAATCGCCACACTGTCTTCCACAGTGGTTGAACTAGTTTACAGTCCCACCAACAGTGTAAAAGTGTTCCTATTTCTCCCTATCCTCTCCAGCACCTGTTGTTTCCTGACTTTTTAATGATTGCCATTCTAAATGAGATGGTATCTCATTGTGGTTTTTGACAAGAAATGGGGAAAGGATTCCCTATTTAACAAATGGTGCTGGGAAAACTGGCTAGCCATATGTAGAAAGCTGAAACTGGATCCCTTCCTTACACCTTATACAAAAATTAATTCAAGATGGATTAAAGACTTAAATGTTAGACCTAAAACCATAAAAACCCTAGAAGAAAAAACCCTAGAAGAAAACCTAGGCAATACCATTCAGGAATAGGCATGGGCAAGGACTTCATGACTAAAACACCAAAAGCAATGGCAACAAAAACCAAAATTGACAAATCGGATCTAATTAAACTAAAGAGCTTCTGCACAGCAAAAGAAACTGTCATCAGAGTGAACAGGCAACCTACAGAATGGGAGAAAATTTTTGCAATCTACTTATCTGACAAAGGGCTAATATCCAGAATCTACAATGAACTCAAACAAATTTACAAGAAAAAAACAATCAACCCCATCAACAAGTAGGCGAAGGATATGAACAGACACTTCTCAAAAGAAGACATTTATGTAGCCAAACAGACACATGAACAGATCTGATCATCACTGGCCATCAGAGAAGAACAAAGCTAAGTCTAAACCAGCCAGGCCTGAGGACTGAGTCAGACAAGAGGACCCCCTGCCTCCCTCCTGTGGCCTTTGCCTTTGCCTCAGGGTGGCTTCTTTAATGGGCAGATGATGGCATGTCTCTCTTCAGTCACCTCCATCCCGGCACTGAGGTGGCTGATTTCCATCCTATCTTGTGTGCGCTGTTGCTTTCTATTCAGATGACTCGTGCTTTGAGCGCATTCTCTTCTTTCCATTGCTCCCTTCTAAGACTTCTTTCCCTTTTTACCATGTTTAGGCCTCAGGTTATCATTTGTTATTCCCAAGATCTTATCTCTTAACTTATTTTCCTTGATTAGATAAGCCGGAGGCTTTGTACAGAGGCTGAAGGTTTTCAAGAATTCCCTCACTACGGGTTTGGGGAAAACTGGGATGTTGTAAAGGGCTGAGTGTTCTGTTGTACTTTCATTACCAGTGACCCATTGTGGAAGATTTCTTTAGAAAGTAATTTTTATCCCTTAAGTGATTTTCCAAATTCTATTTTTCTTTTTTTCTCTCTCTGTTTTTTGTTTTTTGAGAGGGAGGCTTGCTCTGTCGCCCAGGCTGGAGTTCAGTGGTGCTATCTCGGCTCACTGCAACGTCCGCCTCCCCGGTTCAAGCAATTCTCCTGCCTCAGCCTCCTGAGTAGCTGGGACCACAGGTGCCCACCACCACACCCAGCTAATTTTTGTTTTTTTAGTAGAGACGGGGTTTCACCATATTGGTCAGGCCGGTCTTGAACTCCTGACCTCAGGTGATCCACCCGACTTGGCCTTCCAAAGTGCTGGGTTTACAGGCCACCATGCCTAGCCTCCAAATTCTATTTTTCTTAGAATATAGTAGAGTTGCATCTTAAGGATTTAGTTTTAAAATCAGCATGTAAGGTAAACATTTCTTTTGTTCAAAATTATTCTTTTGAGTCCAGCACTGCTAGTTTTTTTTTCCATTCTGGGTCAGTAGTTTTCTTTAGTTGAGCACTAGATGAAAGTGCTGGCTTTCATTTAAAGGTTTGTGAATGAATCTTGTATAAGTTCAACCACTAGAGTTCCATTCACTGGGAAAAGATGCTCACTCTGTGAGGGTATGTGGGAGATGAGACAGATCAAGAGGAGAGCTGATGTATGCCTCCGGTCTCAGGCTTTCTTGTGGAGTAAGTGGAGCCCTGGGTACTACTGAAATTATCTCTCTCCCTCCATCACCTTGGGCAGTTGAGTTTGCATAAGTTAAATGTCCGTATGATGTAATTGTACCAGCTTCTGTAAAGAAACATAAACAGGATGAACATGCCTGATTATTGGTTAGCAGCAATGAGTTGAGGTTATTTTAGAAAAGTGGCCCCTTGCAGCCCCAATCTTACCTATTTGAGTTTGCCAGGTGGTATGAGGTTCAGGAGGCAGCCCAGCGAATATTGCTAAGGCTTAGGCTCTGTTCTAGTAGTTGCAAACCCACTGCTGGTGCCAAGTCAGGCAGAGAAGGAACGCTGCTGCCACACAGTGTCTGCCCCTGGCATCCAGGTGTCACATACACACGGTTATTTCCAAATGTTGTTTAATGTGTGCCCCTAGCATCCTAGCAGTTTGGCAGAAGAACATACACATTTATTGAATTTCCTCTGGCCTAGCTGCTTAGTAGATTCCAAATGAATAATAGAAGAAATGTTGTGGTAAATGTAACGCATGAAATGTGGGTGTTAGAGGGGTCTTAGATATTATTTAGCCTATCCTCTGAATTGTACAGATAAGAGACAGATCCAGAAAGGTGAGGTGATCTGCTATAGACCATGAGTTAGCTGCCAAGATGGAATGGAAGCTTTAATTGTCTGATGCCTATTTTGTTGCTTTTTCTACTTGATAGAACTTATGGATCAAATAGTATTCCATAAGTTCAATCGGATTTACTCTGCCTGGCCTGCATAAGTGAAGCAATTCTAAAGGGAACTGATACATACAAACACATGTAAACCTCATTCTCTGCTGGTTTACATTCTGTTTGAAGTGGAAGTTGATGTTTGCTGTCATCATTTTGTTTTGTGTTAATTAACAAATCTGATTATGTGGCGGCCATAGGAGCGTGCCCTTTAGCTCTATGTTTAAGAGAACCTGCCTCAAAGGGTGTGGTGCAGTTAGCTGACAGCATCGAGCTGCTGCACCTTTGGGATCCACCATGCGCTCTGGGGCTCCCCATCAGCCTGGCTAAGATTTTCCCAGAGCTGCGTATGATCTTCCTTCCTTCCCTCCTGTTGCTGGTGTCAGACCTGCAGCACAGTCTGAGGCTCTCCTGCTTTCTTCTGCTCCTTCTCTCCTCCACCCTTCCCACACATGCCCCCATAATCAGTCTCTTGTACTTTATGTCTTAGTGAGAGGTGACAGCGTGCTGGCAGTCCTCACAGCCCTCGCTCGCTCTCGGCGCCTCCTCTGCCTGGGCTCCCAGTTTGGTGGCACTTGAGGAGCCCTTCAGCCCACCGCTGCACTGTGGGAGCCCCTTTCTGGGCTGGCCAAGGCCAGAGCCCGCTCCCTCAGCTTGTAGGGAGGTGTGGAGGGGGAGGCGCGAGCGGGAACCGGGGCTGTGTGCGGCGCTTGCAGGCCAGCTGGAGTTCCGGGTGGGTGTGGGCTTGGCGGGCCCTGCACTCGGAGCAGCCGGCCGGCCCTGCCGGCCCCGGGCAATGAGGGGCTTAGCACCTGGGCCAGTGGCTGCAGAGGGTGTACTGGGTCCCCCAGCAGTGCCAGCCCACCGGCGCTGCGCTCGATTTCTCGCCGGGCCTTAGCTGCCTTCCCGTGGGGCAAGGCTCGGGACCTGCAGCCCGCCATGCGTGAGCCTCCCACCCGCTCCGTGGGCTCCTGTGCGGCCCGAGCCTCCTCGACGAGCGCCACCCCCTGCTCCACAGCGCCCAGTCCCATCGACCACCCAAGGGCTGAGGAGTGCGGGCGCACGGCGCGGGACTGGCAGGCAACTCCACCTGCAGCCTGGGTGCGGGATCCACTGGGTGAAGCCAGCTGGGCTCCTGAGTCTGGTGGGGATGTGGAGAACCTTTGTGTCTAGCTCAGGGTTTGTGAATGCACCAATCGACACTCTGTATCTAGCTACTCTGGTGGGGCCTTGGAGAACCTTTGTGTCCACACTCTGTATCTAGCTAATCTGATGGGGACGTGGAGAATCTTTGTGTCTAGCTCAGGGATTGTAAACGCACCAATCAGCGCCCTGTCAAAACAGACCACTCGGCTCTACCAATCAGCAGGATGTGGGTGGGGCCAGAAAAGAGAATATAAAAGCAGGCTGCCCCAGCCAGCAGTGGCAACCCGCTCGGGTCCCTTTCCACACTGTGGAAGCTTTGTTCTTTGGCTCTCTGCAATAAATCTTGCTACTGCTCACTCTTTGGGTCCACACTGCCTTTATGAGCTGTAACACTCACCGCGAAGGTCTGCAGCTTCACTCCTGAAGCCAGGGAGACCACGAGCCCACCGGGAGGAACAAACAACTCCAGACACGCCGCCTTAAGAGCTGTAACACTCACCGCGAAGGTCTGCAGCTTCACTCCTGAGCCAGCGAGACCACGAACCCGCCAGAAGGAAGAAACTCCGAACACATCTGAACATCAGAAGGAACAAACTCCGGACACGCTGCCTTTAAGAACTGTAACACTCACTGCGAGGGTCCGCGGCTTCATTCTTGAAGTCAGTGAGACCAAGAACCCACCAATTCCGGACACATTAGCATCTGCATTCCAGAAGACCTGAACCGACATAGTATACAGGTGGATTTGAAGTTATTTTTAGTGTAGTGTGCAATAATGGTTGCAGAAAATCTTTAAAAACAAATCTTTATGTTGAATAGGGCTGAAAATTGCTACAAATGTTTGATTAGTAATTTTTTACATTTTCTTCTCTTAACTTCAAGCCAGCATGAGAAGAAATAAAGTCAGAGCAATGGGAAGTACACTGCTGTCAAGAGGCAGGAGTCCCAGAACCAATTCTCTTTCTGACCTTCAAGAATTCCCTTAGCAGACAAAGAGCTTGGAGCCTCGCTTACTTCCTAGAAAATGAACTGAGTGATCTCTGGATGTTTTCTTCAGCTCTGAATGTGAAACAGATTGCAAGAAAAGAGGTTGAGTGGCCAATTGGTCCCAATAGTGTGAACATTAAGTCTAAATTTAAATTGAACAAATACAAGTTAGTACAAAGAAAAGGAATTCAGAAGTTGTGCGGTAATTGTCTCCATGTTGTTGTCCAATTTACTTGTCAGTTCACTGACACCAAATACCTTGGTGCAGATAGTGCAGTTTAACTGGCGTCTCTATGTCAGAGTGCTTCTGAGATTTTTAATCTCCATGGTAAAACAAGATTATATGTAAGTGCCTGGAAATGGAAGTTTTATTCCCCACAATATGGAATAAGAAGATAGAGATATTTGAGTATAATTGCACCTTAAGTTATGTAACTCAAAATGCTTAGTATTTCTTCCCACTCTGTACTCACAACAGCTGTGGTTTAGAGTTGAGACCACCCTGCTTTTACCAGTGATGGTAGCATTCAGTAGTTGATAACGCCAATCTGTGCTGCAGCTGCCTTTAATAGTAAAAACCCCTTCCTGCTCTAAGTCCATATAATCACACAGTTTTATAGAATATGGCCTCTTTTACCACTTTTTCCTCTTTCAGTGCTAATTCTTAGCTTTGAAGTTTTTAAGTTTGCTAGTGATACTGTGACATACAGTCCTTAATTTGTTTTATAGAATGTAGCTTTTTGGAGCTGTGTTTTATATTCAGTTGCTGAATTTGATTCACCATGGTCTTTTAGGCTTGTTAGCTGTTTATATTCACTTGTGTCTTTCATAAACATGTAGTAGCTGAAGCCATTGTCATTAGAGAAGATAAGACTGCTTGTGTTAGAATTCTGAAACCCTAGCCATTCATTTGAGTTTTGATTCAGCATTTATTTAATGTTTCTTATGGGTTGGGGATTGTGACGAGTGTTCTTGTTTTAAATGGATGTTGGGCGGAGAGCACAGAGCATATGCCACTGAACTGATGCAGTGATATGTTTCAGCACCTTTCATGTTGAAATGTCATGTTACTTTGTAACATGAAACTTGTAAGTTATAATGGAATCACAATATGCCTTGTTCTCAGGAATTATATATAAAATATTTAACAACAGGTATGGCATAGTCACTGCCCAAGCAGAACAAATGTTAAACAACCAGAACCAGTTTGTGTCAATGGAATCTCAGCCTTGCCTGATCTGAACATAAGTTAAATGGATTCAAAGTCTTATATGTGATAGAAGCTTTGATTCTAGTTTTACCAGAAGTTGTAGAAAAGAACGAGCTTTTGTACATATTTTATATATTTTCTCACTGGGGAATGATTTCATTACATTACAAAGATTTGAGCCACTCTCATTGCTTTTGTACCTTACGCCTTTGCAATTCAACCCAACCACCAGATGATAGATAACACAAGCAGACCCAACCCCAATCTACAATATGTACAGACATTTATTGAACAAAACTTTATTAGAAATCCAGTACAAAATGATTCATATGACCCGTTTTGTAAAACTCAATGAAGTTGCAGTTTTCTGTTCTTTTAAGTATTTTCTTTGCAAGAAAGTTTCACCTGAGACAGATGAGGCTTTTTGTATTTGATCTCAAACAACCAACAATCCTCTTGTAGTAGTCTGTTCTTACACTGCTAATAAAGACATACCTGAGACTGGGTAATTTATGAAGAAAAAGAGGTTTAATGGACTCACAGTTCCACATAGCTGGGGAGACCTCACAATCATGGCGGAAGGCAAAGGAAGAGCAATGTCACTTCTTACATAGTGGCAGGCAAAGAGAGCTTGTGCAGAGGAATTCCCCTTTATAAAACAATCATATCTCATGAGACTTATTCACTGTCATGAGGACAGCACAGGAAAAACCTTCCCCCATTATTCAGTTACTTCCCAGTGGGTCCCGTGCATGACACGTGGGAATTAGGGGAGCTACAATTCAAGATGAGATTTAGGTGGGGACACAGCCAAACCATATCACCTCTTAAACCTGTGGTTTTCCACAGAAGGCGATTTTGCCTCCTAGGCAACATTTCGCAATGTCTGGAGACATTTTGCTTGTCACAACTCAGAGTAGGGGGTAGTGCTGCTGGGCTGTACGGATTAGAGGCCACGAGTACTGCTAAACATTCTACAGTATGTAAGATCTGTCTCCATAACAAAGAATTATCTGGTCCAAATTGTTGATAGTGCCAAGGATGAGAATCTTTGTCTTAAACACATGGCTGGATACAGAGCTTTTTAGGGATCAATTCTGAGGTACCACTCCTACAGTAAAAGCTAGAGGCCTCATTGGATTTCTTTAACCTGTTCATGCAGCATATGTAGGAGTGTCTTTATAATATGGCAGCTAATTCTGATATCTTTGTGAGAGCTCTCATTTTACTGATAAGAACTCATATCTAACATTTATCATGCTGGTTAATGGACCATTTTCACCAATAAAATCCCATTTCCAGCAGTCATTTTGCTAATTAGCAAAACATCACTGTTGATTAAGACATGGATGACTGAAGCCCTTCTAGTAGCCTCCTACTTTTTGAGCTTCTAATAAGAATACTTGCTGATTGCTCCTGGATTGTGCATTCCTGAGTAACATGCTGGCAGCACCTAATTCAGAGCTTACATAATAATGTACATACATAATAATGTACACATAAAATCACACTGTATATCATGTGGTAGTTTGAACTAAATCGTAGACATTAGGACAGATTTCCTTCCCAGAAGCTGTACCTACTTACTTTGTACAAACTCTTGCCCTCAGTGCAGTTCATTTGATTCAGCTACTGTGTACTGAGTGTTTCCTTGTGGAAAGTACAGATCTAGCTTGAGCCAAAGATACAGGCAGAGAGGAGGAAAGCCCTTCTCTTGTCTCAGAGAGTTTACAGTTAAGGAGAGGAGTAGTGGGTAAGTAAGCATGTATCATACAAGGTAAAAGCAAAAACAAGTGCCATAGGAAACATATTGAAAGGTTTTATTAGCTGCAAAAGTAGGAGAAGCAGCTAGGGTATGACTTGGCAAAGACTCTGGAAGTAATATCCAAGAGTGGTTTGGAACATGGGTGCAGGGCTGGGTCAGTGCATGGTGATGTGGTGATTCCGAAGAGTCAACATGGGCACCCAAGTCTTCTGTCTCCTCACTGAGTTTCTTACTGTGTCATAGTGCTAATAACATCCAAATTATGAAATAAAACTAGAAAACTGGAGGAGTAAATGTATAGTTTACAATTGTTCCCTCTCTCTCAAGCTATAGAAGAAAGTTTATAAAATTGGTTCTAATTTCATCCAGCACTGCATTTTGCTTCTTTTGTTAAGCGCTATGATATACATAAAAGTTATGAGAGAACTTCTGGGATAATTTAAAGCAAAACACCACCAGATCACTTTCTATTCAAAATTTGTGTACTCCAACAACCTCCTGTCTTTATTCAATGTTGGCTTTACTTTTTAATTTCAAAAATCATTCATTTTTGGCTCTGCATTCTTATTTAAGAGAATAGCAGATATACTTTTGCATTAGTCCATTTTCACACTGCTATAAAGAAATACCCGAGACTGGGTAGTTTATAAAGGAAAGAGGTTTAATTGTCTCACAATTTCACATGGCTGAGGAGGCCTCAGGAACCTTACAATCATAGCAGAAGGCAAAGGGGAAGCAGGCACCTTTTTTACAAGGTGGCAGGAGAAAGAGCCTGTGAAAGAGAAACCTTCAGACACTTACAGAACCATCAGATCTCATGAGAGCTTGCTCTTGATCACTGGAACTGCTCGTGGGAAACCGCCCCCATGATCCAACCACTTCCCACCAGGTCTGTCCCTTGACACGTGGAGATTATGGAGATTACAGTTTGAGATGAAATTTGGGTAGGGACACAGAGCCAAACCATGTCATTCCACCCTGGCCCCTGCCAAATATAAGATTCTTTTTACATTTCAAAATTAATCAGGCCTTCCTCACAGTCCCCCAGAGTCTTAACTCATTCAAGCATTAACCCAAAAGTCCAAGTCCAAAGTCTCATTTGAGACAAGGAAAGTCCCTTCTATGTAGGAGCCTGTAAAATCAAAAGTAAGTAAGTTACTTCCAAGATAAAGTGGGGGTACTGGCATTGGGTAAGCGCTCTCATTCCAAATCAGAGAAATTGGCCAAAATAAGGAGGCTACAGGCCCCACGCAAGTCTGAAATCCAGCAGGGCAGTCATGAAGTCTTAAAGCTCTAAAATAATCTCCTTTGACTCCATGTCTCATGTCTAGTTCACCCTCATGCAAGAGGTGGGCTCCCATGGCCTTAGATAGCTTCGCCCCTGTGTTTTTGCAGGGTACTGCCCCCATGCTGCTCTCATGGGCTGGCATTGAGTGCCTGTGACGTTTCCAGGTGCACTGTGCAAGCTGTCAGTGGATCTACCATTCTGGGGTCTAGAGGACAGTGGCCCTCTTCTCACAGGTCCACTAGGCAGTGCCCCAGTAGGGACTCTGCGTGGGGGCTCCAACCCCCCATTTCCCTTCTGCACTGCCCTAGCAGAGGTTCTTCATGAGGGCTTTGCCCCTGCAGCAGACTTCTGCCTGGATATCCAGGCTTTTCCATACATCCTCTGAAATCTAGGTGGAGGTTCGCAAACCTCAATTCTTGACTTCTGTGCGCCTGCAGGCCCAACATCACATGAAAGCTGCTAAGGCTTGGGGCTTGCACCCTCTGAAGCAGTGGCCTGAGCTATACCTTGGCCTCTTTTAGCCACGGCTAGAGCTGGAGCTGCTGGGACTCAGGGCACCAAGTCCTGAGGCTGCACACAGCAGCAGTGCCCTGGGTCTGGTCCAGGCAACCGTTTTTCCTTCCTAGGCCTCTGGACCTACGATGGGAGGGGCTTCTGTGAAGTCCTCTGACATGCCCTGGAGACATTTTCCCCATTGTCTTGGTGATTAACATTCAGCTCCTTGTTAATCTTACAAATCTTTGCAGCTGGCTTGAATTTCTCCCCAGAAAAATAGGTTTTTCTTTTCTACCACATGGTCAGGCTGCCAATTTTCCAAACTTTTATGCCCTGCTTCCCTTTTAAACATAAGTTCCAATTTCACATCATCTCTCTCAAGTTCAAAGTTTCACAGTTCTCTAGGGTAGGGGCAAAATGCCACCAGTGTCTTTGCTAAAGCATAGCAAGTGTCACCTTTGCTCCAGTTCCCAGTAAGTTCCTCATATCTATCTTGAGACCACCTCAGCCTGGACTTCATTGTCCATATCACTATCAGCATTTTGGTCAAAACCGTTCAACAAGTCTCTCAGAAGTTCCAGACTTTCCCATATCTTCCTTTCATCTTCTGAGATCTCCAAATTGTCCCAACGTCTGTCCATTACCCAGTTCCAAACTTGCTTCCACATTTTCTGTATCTTTATAGCAGTGCCCCACTACCTTGGTACCAGTTAACTGTATTATTTCATTTTCACACTGCTATAAAGATACTACCCAAGAGTAGTTAATTTATAAAAGAAAGAGATTTAATTAACTCACAGTTACGCTTCCTGGGAAGGCCTCAGGAAACTTACAATCATGGTGGAAGGCAAAGGGAAAGCAGGAACCTTCTTCACACGGCAAGCCAGAGAGTGAAAGAGCATGTGAAGGAGGAACCGTCAAATGCTTATAAAACCATCAGATCTTGTGAGCACCCACTCACTATCACAAGAATAGCAGGGGGAACCTCCCCCATTATCCATTCACCTCCCATCTGGTCCATCCCTCAACATGTGGGGATTATGGGGATTACAGTTCAAGATAAGATTTGGGTGCAGACACAGAGCCAAACCATATCATACCCCAAGGTGGCAAAGGACATGATCAGTTGGCTGTTTTCTGTATGTTATTAGTATGAAGAAACTTAAAATGTCGATCAGGGCTCTTGAAACTCTGAGAAGGGGAAGACAAAACAAGCACCAAAACCAGCTGCCTTGATCTAATCCTGGGTGCTTGGGTTTGAGTTCCAGACTTCAGATTAGGAAGTCTATTGGAAGAATGGGCTTTTGTATTTCATCTCTCTGGTCTATGTTCACCTTATATTAGGTGTTATAGTGTTAGTGGACATCAGTGCAGTTTAACATTTCCAGCTGGGATCTGCTTATAGCTGATGTTTATGCCTCCAAATAGTCATTGAAAAGTATGATAATAGGTTGGACATCATTTAAGTTCACCTAGGTGAGTTACCCTACTGAAGGTCACCCTCTGATATGGTTTGGAAAACAGTGCTGGAAGTATAATACTTTGTGTATTAATGCCACTTGGTAAAGACTCATTGAACCCTATGTAATTTCTCCTAACAAAAGCCTAGAATTCAATTAATTGAATACATGGCTACTTTAATTATTCTGTTAACAGCTAATTGATATTCACAGTGATCATGTTTTACAGCTTCTAAATGCAATATTACCTTACAAGTTTATGGTTCGGCCTCCTTTGATATTTCAGTTCTTTTTCTGTTTTATGTCAGCATATAATTTTCTTAGGTTCGTATATATTGCACCTCATATGTAGTTTTGACAAGAAATAAAGCTCTTTTTCCTACTCTTATTTGCTCATCTGCCTATGTGAGTTGTAAAACAGATTTTGCCTACCATAGATTATCCATATTATAGTGAAAGATTAGTCTTTCTCAGTTCTTTATATGTATGCTTCAGATTGTTAAAAGATTTAGAATGAAAGGATATATGGTTACAGGGATGTCCTGTTTATATTGTTAAGAGAGTTGTTGCCTTTTCTAAATCCTAGTAATCTCTGGCTTCATAGTCTTATCTCATGGAAAGTTGAGTAGGTACCTGCTTTGTTTTTTACCCTGAGCTATTAAAAATGGAATACTGACATTTCAAGGAACTTTGTCATTTAAAATATACAAGCTTTGCCCATAGCACAGAACCTTGCCTTAAAATGCCTTGTGCTTGATATACAAAGTAACAGTACATTATCTGTGCTAAGTGGTTGTGTTGTCACCGAGTTCCCAATGCCATGCAGTTGGTGCCACACTTGAGTCCCCAGGAGCAACCAGGGCTAAAAGGGCGTAGTAATGCCGAAAAGTGTGTGCTATGAAGATTTAGCCTGGACTATTCATGGGAAGGTAAAGTTTCTATCAGCCCAGTATGTTATATTCATAATCCCAGTTTTCTCTTGTATAAACTTTATTATAGCCTTTGTTGTAAAGCCCCTTCAAGTCTATTCTGAAAAGAGACAAGTCTTTAAGGAAGTAAACATACGTACTTCACTTTTAATCTAGCTATCAACACCAAGTTAAGACATCAAAATGTTCGTGTTGGGTTCCTTAAACTTGATTTCCATATTTTCTTTGTTTCTCTTGAATTATAGGATATTCTAGTTTTCCATAATGATCCACTTAAGTACATTGTGTCACATTTTCCAGCCCAGTTACGTTATCCCGAATCTGGCAAGATCTGAAAACTATTCAATACATATTTCTTCTAGGAATAGCAAATAGTAGATGGGGAAAAATGTTTTATATTATTTTTTCCCAAGATATGGTTCTATATCAATAAATAATGTTGTAGTCCTCTTTGTTTTTATTTGTTCATTTACAGTGATTCTCTGTTAGAGAGCTCTACGGAGTTTCATTTCCTTGCAGTAGGTTTACTACTTTTTTAAAGTTGAATGTGACTCTCCATCCTCAGCAGCTATTAGCTTAGTCAATGTATTCTAGGCTTATTTAAGTTTCAGGATTCATATCGTGTGACTTTTCCTCCTAGCATCATATTAACTGTTTCAAAGCAATGTGCTATTAAAGTGTTGTGGCCATGTTTCTTACTTTGTTATTCTTCCCAGTGGATCTCAAACTATTGATTCTGTTTGCAATCCAGGGAAAGATGTGTGCTGCTGGCCTATAACTTGGTGGTGTTGGGTCTTAGGAAATATTGCCCTCTTTGGTCTTTAGTGTACACATCTGAGCTTTGGACATGTTATTTTAAACTTTTTCAAGGATCATATCTTAGAAAAGTGAGTGAGCATATAGCTGTACACCCTTTATTTAGGTTGTAATCAGCTCTTCAAAATTAAATTTGTTGATTGATGCGGTGTCCTCAGCAGGCTCAAGTGTTGAATTCTCTTAGTGTTTTCTAAATAATGATAATGGAATATCCATTATGATTTTTTTTGCATTTTAAAAAATCTCACTTTGTGAACAAAGGGAACATTACCTAGTATGAGTGTTTTAATAGCCAGGGTAGATAATGCCATACATTGAATGGGGGAGAAAACCAGGTGCTGATACATTCAGGATTTAGTAGGTAATACAATTTCCATGCTATCTATAACTGTTCAAGTTGTTAAATTTTTTGAATTGTTAATATAATTATTTAATAGGTTCACTCTTTTAGATGCCCTCAGTGCTACATTTCCATCTCATAGTCAAGTGTAAACATATGGAATATTGATGTTTAAAAGATTTTTTCTGATCACAGAAGTACTAACTGTTCATTATAGGAAATAAGAAACAGTCCAAATAATATATCCCACTACATATATCATAACTACTATAACATCTTACCATACTTTACACTTTTTTCCATGTCCATATAAACAAGTACTCAACCTTCTCTGTCCCTCCCTTCTGCTCCTCCCTCCCCCATTTCTCATGCAAAATTAGGAGCTTAGGGCACATGCTATTTTATGACGTGTTTTTTTTCTCACTTAATATTTTGAGTTTTAAAAAATTAATTTTCTGTTACGATATCAGCTTTCAAGGACTCTTACTGTTTGATTATATGGCTGGATCAAAATCTTTATAATCAATATCCTATTGTCAGATTATATCTTATTTACCCAAACATCTATTGTTCACTCTTAGTTGTTGCTTTAAATAATGCTGGTTGCATTTTCTTAGATGTAAATACTCTTATATTTTAATATTTGCTAGGATTGAATGCCTGGAAGTGAAATTGGCCACATAAGAAGATTAATGATAATAATGATTTATACACACATTCACACATTTATAGTTATTATTATAAATTTTAGTATACTTAATTTATATTCATTTTTAAAATTTATGTAGTTAAATTCATTCT
Organism: Homo sapiens; assembly: GCF_000001405.40. NCBI lineage: Eukaryota > Metazoa > Chordata > Mammalia > Primates > Hominidae > Homo > Homo sapiens. Next base: position 132,888,423 of record NC_000007.14, on the reverse strand, counting down.
TTCTGATATACAGTTCTATGAGTTTTGACAAGTGCATGTAATTATATAACCGCCACCACAATCAAGAAACATATTCATTTGCTCACCTTAAAAAATTTCTTCCTTTTGCCCCTTGACTATAAAGTATGTTTCTTTTTAATTCTGAACATATAAAGAAGCAAAAATAAGAAAATAGATACCGCCCATAAGTCTACCAGTCTGCTGTAACCTCTGTTGACATTTTGTAAAATATCCTTCTGCTTTTTTGTTTGTTTTTGTTTTTTTATTTTTGTTTTTTCTCTTCGTCTTCCTTACAAAAAAAGAGGTTATACTGCCTTTATATAGCTTTTTTTCTTTTTTCTTTTTTAAGTGGTATACTTTGAGTACATATTTCATTTAGCCATTGGATTGGTTTGTTTTTATTTCTCTGCAATTCTAAACAACCTTGTAATGAAGTTTAAACAACCCTATAATGAATATCTTTGCATATAGTACTTGAGTACCATAAGTAGAGTTTTTAGATCTGGTACATAGGTATATTTTAAAGACTTGTTAATTTTATCCAGTTGATTTATAAAATGGGTATACCAATTTATATTCTGACCAGCAGTGTATAGGAGAGCCTATTTTCTTATATCCTTGCCAATATTGAGTATTTTTATTTTACATTTTTGTTAATTGGTAGATGAATAATGACACCATATTACCTTAATTGGTATTATCTGATTTGATGTGGGGTTGGGTTTTTCTCATGTGTTTATTATTTGTATTTTTCGTGTGTTGATTTCTAGTTTATTTGTGTATATTTCTTTTGTTGTTTTTCGGTGGGGAGAGGAGTGGGGGATGAGGCTTCTTTTTTCAGTGCTCTATATGTTAATAACATTAACTCTCCCAGTTACATGTTGGGATTTCTTTTCCTGTTTTTGTTACTTGCTTCTTCTTTGGATTTTATAATGCTTTTGTTTTATGCAGTTTCTTATGAGTCTATTCTTTTTCATTTTCTTTATTTATATTTTGGGTTTTTATGTTGAATTTAAAGAGGTCTTTTCTCTTTAGATTATGTAGTCATGTATATTAGATTTGAAATTCATTTACTTTTTGTTTCATATTCTTAACAGTCTAATAAAATTTTTACTATGTTGTACCAGGGAGCCATAGATTATATACTTGTATATGAATGTACTTTAATCTAATCTTAACATTGTATTTGTTTTTATTTATTCATATGCTTCCAAGCAGCATGTACTTTTCATTGAAATCTTCTATTCAAACTGTAACAGCATAGTGACATTAAAATGTGTCTCAAGTTAAGCATTTCCTTTTTATTTTTTCTCCATTACCTTCTTTGGCTTGCATTTTAAATATTATCCATCAGATTTTGTGTGTGTGTGAAATTAGGAAAAAACAGTACTTATGTTGTTAAATAACTGTTTATTTTATTTTTAACATGCTGCAGGATATTGAAGACAAAGTAAGTAGCAAAACAATAACCTATAAATGTGCAAGTAGTTCACCTAAACTAAGCAGATAGTTGAGTAGACAGGCACCTTGACATCTGAAACAGACAATACTTGATCATTTAGCAAAAGAATTTTGGTGAAATAGCACAAGGATGGGAATGCCTAAATATATACTTGTTAATGGATGGCTGGATGCATACAATTAAAGAAATGTATACACTTTACATATTAAAAGTAATATATATACTTTGTTTATTAAAAGATACACACAAAAATATATATATCTATATATAGTGTGTGTGTATATATATGTATATATACACACATATATACATATATACACATATATATACACACACACACTTTCTTATAAGTTGTAGTCAGGCATATATTCAGCATTCACTGAGCAAAAAATATGTTGAAAACAAAATCTAACTCAGAGTGATATAGGAAAGTCTCATCCCTCAGAGATAAAGGCCAATTAAACATAATATTCAAGATACCAACATTAGTTTAAGAAATGCATTTTTTTTTACAAATCTTGAAAAATATCGGTAAGTAGCCATCTTCATCATTGTTTAAAGAACCAAAAATATTATACTTGTTTTGATTTTGTTTTAAAAAATCTTGTAAATTGAAAGTACAATAACTAAAGCTTTTAAAATTACTTTTAAATATGGTTATTTATTATGATTATTTTGAATTATTGAAATAAACAATTATGGTAGTTTTTGTTTCCACTCTTCCATAACAATTAATTCTTTACATAAAGGGAAATAGAACAATGTATGTATTTATTTGCAGGTAATTAACTGTTCTTAAACACAAGATTTATGTACAAAATGTTATTTAGGCATTACTTTTTTGTTCAAAAAAGAGCCATGTATCTTATGCCCAGGATAAAATTAAAGTTTCATTGTACAAAATATTAATCCTTGAAATTACTCTTTGATAGGGAAGTTAAATAAGAGTCTGTTATGTGCTGTATTCTGACGTTTCCTAATATATTTGGACAAAATAGGACACAGCTGTTACAGCGGGAAAAAAAATACAATGCGGACTTCTTCTTTACATTTAAATACAGCAATCATCATCTTAATGTTTTTCTATGGCAGAGACCTAATAGATTGCAAAAATCTTCAGATTTGTATTCTTATTTCTAATGCAATTTATTCTTGACTTTTGCTTTGCTGTTGCTGCTTTTTCTTGATATAGTATATTCCTCATTTCTTTTTTTAGGCTAGGCAGCTGGAAGAGAAAGACCGAGTGCTAAAGAAGCAGGATGCATTCTACAAAGAACAGCTGGCTAGACTGGAGGAGAGGGTATGACTATTTTTTATCATTGATTCTATTACCACATCTGCTGTTTTCTTGTATATTTATTTAAAAATTAATAAATTAGAACTTCAACTGCTTTTCCTGGTTGTAAAGTGGCCAGGAAGTGAAGAAGCAAAGCAGGTAGTTAGTTCGTCCTCTGTAACAATGTCATTTTTTCTTTGGTCACTTTGGAATGGTTGCGTTATTTGTTCACTGATGCATTTTACCACTTGGGACCTACCGCAAATACTTTTCTTATATGTTTAGAATCTACATAGCCTCCAGGTCAGACAGTACACTGCTACTCTTATCTCTCCCAGACATTGACTAAACTTTAGTACACTCTTAAAAATGGTAGTGTTTTAAAGGATATATTTATCTTCTTTTATCTTTTCTTTTTTTGCTTTTTTCTTTTTGAAATGGAATCTCACTCTGTCGCCCAGACTGGAGTCTAGTGGCATGATCTTGGTTCACTGCAACCTCCACCTACCAGGTTCAAGTGATTCCCATGCCTTAGCCTCCTGAGTAGCTGGAATTACAGGCATGCACCACCATGCCTGGCTGATTTTTGTATTTTTATTAGAGACAGGGTTTCACCATGTTGGCCATGCTGGTCTTGAGCTCCTGGCCTCAAGTCATCTGCCTCCCTCAGCCTCCCAAAGTGCTAGGATTACAGGCATGAGCCACTGCACCTGGCAGGATATATCTTCTTTCTGAAAACTCAGTTTCACTGCATTTGTAGTTTAGAAATGAATGTCTCCTTCAGGAGAGGTAGATAGGAGCTGAATAGCAGAAGTTAAACATGAGTTAGGAGAAGGAAAAGAGATACGGCGTCAAGTCAGCATGGGTCTAGAATTGGACAGAGATGGACAAAAGAAGGCAGTGAGTTTAAGAATGAGAGTTTGAGCACCTTATCAGTGCCCTTTTCAATAAAGTAGATTGGTTATCTAGATTAATTTCATACATAGACCATGAGGTTGCAGAGTAAGCTCTCTCTCTTTTGAATGAAACCCTCCAAATTTTATTTGTTGAAAATGTTATTTGATAAGAAAATAGGAAAAAATAAGAAATACACTATTAACCCTCACTCAGTACAGTTATGTATATGTTAAATGTGTTTGCTGTCTCCATATGTTACCGAACTGAGTACCTCTTGAATGTAGGGAGCATTTTCTCATTCATGTAGCAGATATTTACTTAAGCACCCTGGTCTTGTGCCAGCAGCTATGTACTAGTGAAGAAAATGAGGTAAACATCTGTCTTCATGGAGCTTAAATTCAATTAAAACCAGAATACATATTGTATGGCAGGTTATGATAATTTCGGGAGGAATAAAATGGGAAAAGAGAGTCCCAGGGCTGGGGTTTAGGCATGGAGTTGGGTACAGAGGGAAGAACTCTCTGTTGAGATGACATTTGGGAAGAGGCCTATGGTAATAGGGAAGCAAGCCATTGCCAAAACCGTGAAGCAGGCGTGAACTTGGCATGTTTGGGAAGGCTGGGGGGTTTGGGAGCAGATGAACCCTCTGGCTGCTGTGTTGGGCAAGAGTTGAAGCAACAGAGAATTAGTAAGAAATTACGGCAGTAATTCGGAAAAGGGATGACTGGTGTGGGTCTGAGTGCCGACAGGGGAAGTAATGAAATGTGGTTCGGTATTTTAAAGGTAGAGCTGACCAGATTTGCTGATGGCTTTGAACATGAGTGAAGAAAGAATAAACTCTAGGTTTATGGCTTTTATAACTAGAAGGTTTTTCCACAGGTGAAGATTCTTAAGATATGGATTGGGATGTTGGTGGTGGAGGAAATCAGGAGTTTGATTGTGGATATGTTAAGCTCAGGACACTTAAGACATTGAAGTAGAGATGTTGAATAGGCATAAAGTGAAATGGTTTAGAGAATGTCAGTAATTTTTCCTGTAAAGGGCTGGATAGTAAATATTTTAGGCTTTGCACACCACATTTGGTTTCTGTGCAGCTCCCCACCTCTGCCTTTGTAATGTGGAATCAGAGAAAGCCAACTGTAAATGAATGAGTGTGGCTCTGTTCTAATTGAAAGACCCTGAAGTATGAAGCTCATATAGTTTTCACACATCACAAAATTTTGCTTAAATTTTTTTCCAACCACTTAAAAATGTAAAACCAAAAACAGGTACTGGGCCTGATTTGGCTCCCTCGTTGTAGTGGGCAGAACTCTGATTTAGAGCACAAGGCTCTGATGTCAGATGCCTTGGATTCAAATTTCTGACCTGGCATTTCCCTGCTGTGTAATGTGGAGCATCTTATTTTTCCTCTCAGTTGTTTCATATATTAAGTGATGATTTAATAGTACTTACCTCACTTGTTAAATGAGCTAATACTCATAAAGCACCTGTAATAGTATGTAGCACAGAGTAACCATTCACCCACTAATTGTTTTACTTCTATACCTAGAGCATTGTACATGGCTTAGAGTTTGTATTAGTCTGTTTTCTCACTGCTATAATGAGCTGCTTGAGACTGGGTAATTTATGAAGGGAAGAAGTTTAATTGACCCACAGTTCTCCATGGCTAGGGAGGCCTCAGGAAACTTACAATTACGGCAGAAGGTGAAAGGGAAGCAGGCACCTTTTTCACATGGTGGCAGGAGAGAGAGAGCGTGCAGGGGAAACTACTTTTAAACCATCAGATCTGAGAACTCTCTCACTTATCACAAGAACAGCCTGGGGAAACCACACCCATGATCCAGTTACCTCCCACCAGGTCCCTCCCTCAACATGTGGGTATCACAATTCAAGATGAGATTTGGGTGCAGACACAGAGCCAAACCATATCAGAGTTAGTAAATGTTAAATGAGTGAAAGTGAAAGTTTTTGAGGTGATATACTTGGCACCTGCTTTTCCTCACCCAATGACAGTTTTCTTTGTCATCAGGTTTTACTATGTTAGGTACCTTATAAACTTGCCTTTAATTATTGTCAGGTTCAAGAAAAGGCACTGAAAAATATTCTCCCATTTCTCATAGACTCACCAATTTGATTGGTACAAACGTCTGAGAAGATTTGTTTCTGGCAGATTGAACTTATCTGCTCAACAACTGCTCAACAAATAAACTGTTAGGCTTTTTGGCACCAAGTAGAACAAGTGGTAGAAGATTAGATAGACACGATATGATAAGATCAAATTATTGTGAATATATATATATATATATATATATATATATATATATATAGAATATATTGTTTTCCTTTTTGAAGATCAGCCTGGGAAGTGGTCATCCTACAGTTGAAACTGAAATCTGAGAAGCACCAGTGAGCTTAGAAAGCTAAGGTGGAATATATACACTGCTGTTACTTAATACTCGATAACTCCACATTAAGTAAAAGAAAGAATGTTAGACAAGGAGTCAGAAGGTATGCTTTTGTCATGTGGCTGTTCGGCAATTCACCTAATCCCTTGTGGTGTCTGGTTCTTTATCTGCAAAATGGGGATATACTCTGTTCCTTGCTCATCTTCATGGTGATTGGGGGTAGATCAGATGAGTGTGTAAAAGCCCCTTGAAAGCTGGAAAGAGCTTAACAAATATCAGCTGTTGCCATGAAAGAATATTTGCTTACTTTCCATTGTGTATAAGATAACGATAATCATAGAATTAATATTATTCAACTTCCTTGTGTCTTTTGCACATTTCTGTACAGTCCTGTTTTTGTTTGTTACTGTCATTCTCAAAGTACTCAAGTTGAATTTTGTCACTTTGGATTTCTTCCAGGAATATGTGAGAGACATTTAGGTCTCTAATGATGAAGTATTTTCTAGGCGTAATGCAAAAGATTGTAAAGAGATTTTCTTCTGTATTGTGATGGCAGTGAGAATTACAATGTCTAACTATTTCTATTAGGAATTCTGCACACACTTTTGTATTAGACAGTGTAAAAATGCTGAATCCATTAATTCGTATTGTAAGAAATGATTCTAATATTAATATAATTTGCAGAATCATCTAACTTACTAGGAAATCCAGGTTGCCTGTGGTTTAAAAGTGGACATAAGCACATATCTTTTCCTCTTTTAACTAAATGAAGTGATGAAACTATAAAGTAGATACCAGATGGTGTATCATTAATGGAGAGGGATGTTGCATCAACGAGTCTTTTACAGAATCATTCTGAGGGAGATTCCTGAGATAACCTTACCATCTGCGCATCAACTAGATTAACACAGCAATTGTACACGTTATCACTTTTTGATGACTTGAACTATTCATTTATATTGGCTTGATGCAGATTTCTTTTGAGAGTATGAATCAAAGTGCACTGAACATGTGAAGTACATTTAGTTCTGTAATACAGCTTGATTTGCCTCTTGGATCTATTTCAATAAACTGCTTGTTAATTAGATAATTCCCATGTGTGAATGGAACTCCCTCTACCCAGGTATTTATATTGGCCACTTCACCCAGGAGTCTGATATAATTTTCTTCTTTCACTAACTTGTTAGGAGTAATAAGTGTAATTTAACTGGACACTGATTTCACCCTTTTTAGAATGAGTTTTCAAAAGCAGCGACACTTTACTGAGAGAGAAGGTCAAAGCCATTTGAAAAGATTTTTTAAGTCCTTATTTCATACTCAAATGTTGCTAAGTTATCAATGGCATCTCTGTGAACATTAGAGATATCACATTTAGGTGTCTTGCCTAATTGAAAGATACTTAGAGAGTATTAATTCCTGATTATTGGTATAAGAGACATAGATAGTATTAATTCCTGGTTGGTGATTTCATGAGAGGAAGTTGAGAACAGCTTTCAAAGAGAAGGTTCTTAAGTGTTTCTACGAAGTAGTCTCCAAGTCTCACAGGGAATTCTGTTTTTTTTGTTTTCCCAACTTTATTTTTGTTTGTTGTATAATTGACAAATATGTCCATAATGCTTTATACCTCTTTATGATAGCCACATTTTGTTTATAATACTTGTGATTAGTTATGTGTGTTTATCTTGTACACTCCTGAGGACACAGAGCTAATTTTCATATTTCTGTATTTTCTATTTTTTTCTTTTGTTTTTGAGGTTCCATAACTTGCATATTTCTGTATTTTCTACAAATAGCACAGTGAATGAATCCTAGATTTTCTAAGCTTATACTATGAAGTTATGTTTATGCAATTAGTGTATAGTTTTAAAATACACACAAATGTTTAGTATCTTCTTCACTAGCCATTTAAATTCATAATTTAATTCTATCCTGGGAGAAAGTCAAGTTTAACTTTGAATATTTTGTTATTGTTTATAGCATCCTTATTAACATGCTGATGATAACATTTACTGAGCATTTACATTGTGATTGGCACTTTGCATGGATTGTCTCATTTTATACTTACCAACAACCCTGTGTGGCTGTGCGCCCTATTGTTTAGGTGAAGGCTTAAAGTAATTCACCTAAGAACATACAGCCAAAATATGATAGATCTGGATTTGAGCCAGGTTCCATGCTTAAGCATTTAGCTGCTGTCTAGTACCAACTTGAAGATGTTCATTCTGTATGTAAATCCTGCTGATTGTAGCATTAGTTCTTTGTGTGGTAAGTTAGCTCTTACCAGCTTCTAATACAACTTTTTGGGTCCTGACGTTATGATTTGATTAATGCTACCTCATAACCTAAAAGTGTTAAGCATTCAAAAATGCATAATTTTCTCCCAGAATTTGACATTTCCTGGGAAAATTTGACCAAAAAAGAATAAGTAAGGTCTTATTACCTAGCGATTACAGCATGATACCCCTAAGAGTTATTTTAATATCGAGTTGTGCTTCTTTCACGTTGAAATAAGAAATTTATAGTCATTAAAGCAGCTTAAAAATTTCTTCTTGAGGTCTTCATTCACTTGCTCATACTTTGATTAATACTGCCTTCCATCTTTTCATCTCTTTCCATCTTCTGGAAAGAAAGCAAACCTTTTTTTTTTTTTTTTTTTTTTTTTTTTTTACTTTTGACAAAGTGTTCTGATAGTTATTTCATCAGAGTTTGGATCGTTGTGTGTTCTTCAGGAAAATGTGTATTTTTCAGGAGTCTGTTGGTCCTGTGGGAGGGAAGCGAGGGGTAGGACCGTGGTTATCGTGTCATAGAGGGCAGAAGCCACAGTCTCCCATGGGTCTTCCAGGATGAAGGGCCTTGTCTCCCCAGGACATGTTGAAGACTTGAGCTCTTTGATAATGTGTTTTGCATGTATAACTTCTCCATTATGAATTTGAATTGATTTGCTCTATGGCATCCACTTTGCTCTTGGCTTTCCTAAGAATGATGGGGTTTTGGCTCAGCATGAAGCCCTCTTGGCTTGAGGAGCTGAGGGAAATCAGAAAATTTAGTTAGGTATAATACAATGTTGAGTAACCCAGTGATGTGGCATGCATTTGTTCTTTGAGAACTCCTCCCTACACCTCCCCCCACTGCATTTACAATTTATTTGCATTCTTAAATATGAAGATATGTTTGTAAGATGGGCCACTTAAAATATTATTCTATGTGCTGTATGTAAAAAATGGAAGACTAATTTTATTAGGTTAGTTTTCCATGGCATATAATCAAATAGATGCCTCCTTGTCTATAAACATATTACCTATTATTCATCATGTGCTTACTATATTGAAGATCTGCTAAGTGTATACCATCCTTCAAAATTCTTTCCCATGTCAGGATCTTTGCCTTTGTTGTTCCCTGGGATGCTGTTTCCCACCTCTGAATAGCTGTCTCTGACTCCCTTACAAGTTTTAGGCTTTCCTAATGACTATCAGAAACTAGACTTCTGAACCCTGTCTCTAACTGTCATATCAACCTATTTATTTGTTTGAAAGCACTCTTCCAGATCTATAATTAGTTTACTCATTATTTGTTAACTTGTTCATGACTGCCTTCCCAGTCATCCAGTAGAAGTTCCACGAAGGCAGAAACTTTGTCTTAGACACACCTGAATCCCTTATCTGGTGAATCATAAATGCCAGTGTGGCATGGATTGCTTTCAGTTTTCAGACACCTCTGGATTTCAGCAGCAATTTGCATACAGACTGCAGGAAATCTCACAGAATTAAAAGGGAGAGAGAATTAGATAAGCTGGGCAAAAGAGAATAATACAAAGAGAATGGTGAAAAATAAATTGCCATTAAGAAGAAAAGTATATTACTAGTTTGTCACCTGTGGAGAGAGTTGCTAATTAAATTCTAAGGTCATGCTTACATCAAATGAGCAATTTTTAAAAGTCTCTCACTTATGGCAGATGACATGTCTTTTATTGCATCATAAAGTGTTGGGCTCATCTGTATGATTAATTGGCTTTTGATTGTGTGTGACTTCTTCTTTCTCAATTAGTACCTTTGCTTCTGTGCTCCTCTGTGTGAAGCTTGGGGAAAAAATAATGCCAACAATGATAATAATGAGAAATGACAACAGAACAGGTTATTGTCAGCCCAGAGTGCTTCTTATGGGAAGAAATTATGTATTTTTACTACCAGGTGAAGTCTGTCATTGTAAAATATTTCAGTGAGTGAAGCTGGATCAACCTTTTCAAGGGATTAATGCAGGATGGATTCACAATTAGTCTACTGACATCTGAGATACTAAAATATAAACAGTCGTTTTTTGGAGATGGGGAGATAACTTAAACTTGGTTTATGGGATTAAGAAACCGTTTGATATTCCCCCCTGCGACGTGCTTTCTAAACAGTTGCCAATGATTTTAGGTGATGTGGTTAACTCATTTTGGCCCTGCAATGTGACAGAGTAAATTTAACATGAGAGTTAAAAATGTAACTTCCTGGTAGATGTGCCTACGTGGGTTATACTAGTTTGCACTTGTCAACCTAGAGAGATAGACTATTCCTTTGACACTGGGAAATTTTGTACTGGCTTCTTCATTCATGTGGAGATCAGGGCAGATTCCCTGTGGTTTCTATAGTTACCGAGAGCTACACAAACAGAGATGAGGTTCTGTAGTCCACAGGTTTGGATGTTGAAGTTAATAGAAGCCTACACCACTTTTAATTGTAATGTCACAAGCAACAGAGGTTTTATTAAAGTGGCTTGGATTGTGTACATTGAGTTACTCTCAATTTTTTTTATCATCAACAAGTAATGATAGTTTAAGTAAATGCACTTAGATGTTAATTGTTCTGTAGAAAAATGAATAAGGCCCAGTATCAGCATATCTTTTGTTAACATAATTGACACATTTATAACTTAGGTGCAAAGATGGAACCATTTTACAATCTACCTGCTTTCCTAAAGGAAGTTTATTATTGCAGATATTCCAAAAGTAGCAAGCAAGATATTTTTTTTCCCTAGTTTGTGCTCTGGGGAAAAATATCAATACAGTATAGTAGGATATGGGGGTCTTATCCTTAATTCATTATTCAACAAATCCTCAAAATGCGTTGGCTTTTCTGTTAACCTCTCTGAAATTTCGAATGGGAAATGTGGTTTAGGTAACCTTGAGCTGCTTTTCAAATCTGGCTTTAGGGATATGAGACTTACTTTTTTTCTAGGGTGAGCTGTTAAAAGTGCATCCAGGTAAAATGATCCCTTTAACTGGAGTCAGTTTTTCTATGTCTAACTTTAGAGGAAAGATTTGCAAATCATGGGATCAGCACTTAATTTGGGGCTCTATTTACCATGTAGGCTGTCAAGAAGTATTAACCTTAAGGTAAGATGAGAACATGGAGTACAAAGCTGTGAGTTGATGGCATACAGTACAGCGGTATTAAATAGCATTATCCATCCTGCTTGCTACAGTAAATAGGATTTCACTATTATGATGTGTCAGGGCTTTCAGTAAAATCAAATTTACAAGACACTAAACTGCCATCCTCTCTGCTGAGCAGCTTTATTCTGGGATCTTGCTTTCATATTAATCCTGTTGGTAGGAAATACTTGTACCAATTGTGCATGGAAATTATAATTTAATGATCTCTTCCTTTTCTTTATTCAGAGCTTAGAATGGACTACTGTGCTTTGCAGTGATAGCCCCAGGGCTCTGAGAAAGAGAAAATATACAGTGCAGCTTTAAAGCCCAGTATTGCTTTTTTGTGAGTGCTTGTAATGATCATAAGTGCTGAGATGCCAACAATATGGGTTGCATACTTTCTCAACTCTTCACATTTCCTTTACCTTTTGAAAGGCTACACAATAAAATAATTAGATTCTGTTTACCCTGATGGTTTTAAAAAATGATATGCCACTTGAATATGTAAAGACAAGGTAAGAAATAAAGCATTGTGAAATCAAGGGAAAATTAATTCCACTTTTAAAGATTCTTTACATTTTAGGAAGGCTCAGCAGGCTGTTTTATTTGAAAAACAATTATTTACTCACTTTACTTTCTTTGAGCTCCTTTCTTGCTATTGATAAGAATATTACAGCCAGGAAATCATTATGTTTCCTGCGTATGAGATTGAAATTGGCTAAATCCTTTGAATTTTCTTCACATCCAATTTCAAAGTTAGTGATTGTTTTGCTTCTTGACATCTTGCTTATTTATAAATTTCAAATGTACTTCATTTAGGCAGACCAGCCAATGCGTATTTTCCTATTTTACTGACTGAAAAATTAAAGTACATGAATATTAAATTTTTTAAAGGAAATTGCAGTGCTTCTGTTAGAAAGTGCTCTTCAATCCCAGTTTTATGTTCAGACCATGAGACAGCTGTGCGTCTGTAAGGATTACGTTTCAACACATTAGCTTCAGTTAAAAAGATATATTTGGTCATTAAAACATTTGCAAATAATATTAGCTCATAACATCATCAAATAGAAGTGCCCACATCTGAATTTGGCATATAAAGCAAGTTTGCACAGTAAGGTTGGCATTTAATGAAGGGAACCTAAATCCAATTTGTCCGTGTAGACTAAGATAGGATTTTAACTTTGGTCATTCTTATCAGAATTTTGGGGACTAGAGGGAGTCCTTGGCATTCACCACTCATTCAAAAACACATTTATTAATCTCCTACAGTGAGCCAGGCTCTATTCAAAGATATAATGATGAATACAAATGGCACAAAAGCCCATTGGTATCTGGCACGGAGCTTTCAGTTGACACAGTGGCGCAATGGGCCCATGGAGGCTGTGTGTTTTGTGAAGAACACTACCTTTTTACTACCTTTGTCCCTTCAAGAGCTAAAGATCATGGGATTTTGGGGGGAAAGTTAGTAGGTTAGAGAGATCCATCAGGTTAAATTATCAGATGAAGACCCCAATACATTGGTTGCCTCAAGTAGTTCTTTCTGAAAATAAACATTAAATAGGTAAGTTCCTTTGAGGACCGGAACTCATTCCCCTTTAATCACTGTGATAGTGCCTGGCACATAATAAACCTTGGATAAATTTTTTTAAAATTAATGTGTTCGTCCAGGAATGGGGTGGGTTCCATGGCCAAATAATTTTGAGGAATGTTAGGTTTCACAAAGCTGAACAGATTTCTTTTCTACAGGCCTTCTCAGAAGTTACGTACACTTAGAGCCTCCAGGATGAGGATGCTGCATGATGTGTTTCACCATTATACCCAAAACATGGAATTGTTCTGAGATGAATTTATCCCAGTATATCACCTGAGATTTCTGTGCCCTGAATAATGCTAGTACCTACATTTTTTTTAGTCCTTCTTAGCTTGCATCCTAGGATGTAAAAGTAGAGTAGCCGTAGAATTTCACTGTTGGAATTCCTAATCTGAGGGCTTCTGAGGACCTGAAAGCACCCTGGGATTGCCGCCCTTTGCACCATGTTCCAAAAGCATAGGTCAATGAGAAGAGGCTGCCTCAGGGTCCTAAAGGTGCGGTGCTCTGGGATAGGGTTTTCTTTCTCTCTGAATTCTCTTCCTAATCCTCACCCTTTCCAAGAGTCTTTGAGAAAACTGTAGCCCAAGGTATCTAATTTTTGTGTTTAGGTGTCCATTGATTCAAGCTTGCATTATTCCAACCTCCTCAGAATTGGGAGCAATGGGTAGTGGGGTTTCTCCTTGATCTTCCCATGTCAAGATTCAGCACCATGCCCATTAACCCAAGAGTTGTACATACTTGCCTGAAGAACCAGGCGCAGGTTTCAGTAGCATGCCACCAATGGAAAGTCTGAACCAGAATATTCTTCCCTTTTATGAAATGAAGTAGGAAGGTAATTAAATTGGATAAATTACTCCTGTGGATCTCTACAAATCTTCCCGCAAGTGTTGCCAAGATATGGTGCTGAAGGAGCAAGTGAAAGAGATATCAACATCTTCTGTTCCATCAGAGCCTCAAGGTTTCTGTGACCCTCTAGAAAGAATCTATAGGACTTGCTATTCTTTTGTGAGGAAGCAGTAAGGTTTACTTACATAGCGTAGAAAGTGCGCCTTTGTATCTGGAGAATAAGTTTGATGATGGTCAGTAATCACATGCTCTGCAATTTAATTTGTCTTCGTAAAACGTTTAGAACTGGAGTTCAGAGAGAATGGCATGATCACCACACTGTCCCCTTGTGACTTGTAGTGTTTGTATAAACTCTATAAAAGCAGGGACCTTGTCTGTTCCCTGCTGTATCCCTATTACCTAGACCAGTACTTGGCACTTAGCAGGTGCTTGTTAAATATTTGTCGAATGAATGATGAAGGCATTTTCAGCGGGTCAAAAATGTCCACGTAGCCTAGAGATGCATCTTCCAAATTGCTTAGTGGGCAGCTCGTCTCAAGTTAGACCTTATTCTGCAGGTTTTCTGAAATTTAGGTGAGGGTCCTTTTGCTCCAGTCATGCTAACTTCTGCTATTAATGCAACAACATACCTTATTTATGTAAAATTAAACATCAGTGTAATTACTACTCCTCAAGCAAGCTTTTGAAATAAATTAAATTATTTGTCTAAGTGATGTTCTTATCCATTACTTTTACATGACTGGGGAGAAGGTGAATAATGATGATGATGATGATGATATCAATTTTATCCACAATCTTTAACCTAAATAGAATGCCCAACTTCATATATTATCCCAAAACCTGGTTTTGAGTGACAGAGTGCCCCTGGGTACTATGCATTGTGTACATCCTTGTTCCAAGATTGTTGGGAAAGAAATAGTAATATCAGTGTCAGTACCATCAACGTCATCATTAAAACATCCACCATTGGCACCCGCCTGTAGTCCCAGCTATTCGAGAGGCTGAGGCAGGAGAATCACTTGAACCTGGGAGGCAGAGGTTGCAGGGAGCCGAGATTGCGCCACTGCACTCCAGCCTGGGTGACACAGCGAGACCCGTCTCAAAAAAAAAAAAAAAAAATTTACCATGAATTGAGGGATTATTATAAGCTAGGCAGTGCTTGAAATTAGTTAACATAATACTGTATTCTATCCCTAGAACAAACCATTAGGGGAAGGTATTTCTTTGCCAGGCAACCAGTTGATTTGTTGAGTCTGAAAGACATTGAGTAACTTGACCTGGGATTCTTAGCTGGTGCACCCAGGCCTCTGTCTTCCTCCTCACCAATGGCCTCTCCCTCTGTGTCACCAGTGGTGGACTATTAAATTTTCACTTTCAGTCTCATATGATTCCACTCCCCTTTTCATCCTCCCCCTCTTCATTTTTATTTATTTATTTAATTTTTGAGACAGAATCTCTCTCTGTCGCCCAGGCTGGAGTGCAGTGGTGCGATCTCGGCTCACTGCAACCTCCATCTCCTCAGTTCAGGATTCTGCTGCCTCAGCCTCCCGAGTAGCTGGGATTACAAGCGTGCACCACCATGACTGGCTAATTTGTAGAGATGGGATTTCACCATGTCTGCCCGGCTGATGTCGAGCTGACCTCAAGTGATCTACCTGCCTCGGCCTCCCTAAGTGCTGAGATTACAGGCATAAGCCACCGAGTCCGGCCCTCCCCCTCTTTAAAAAGATTTTTGGTGGAGGTGGGCCTGACATTTTTTGTTTAGAACCACTAGAGTCAAGTAACAGATTCTCAACTGAGTTTCCCTCAGCAACATTCATACTTGGTTTTCTTCCATAAGCTAAGCGCCCATTGTTTTATTTAATAGTGAATCTTGTTTAAAGAGAAGTTGAACCAGCTTTATTACAGGGCATGATTAGATACAGTTAATTAGTACGGCTATAGCGTATAGGCTAAATTGATAGGAAAGGTGCTGAAAGTAAGGAAATTGTAAAGGATCTGTGAACTGGGTCTTATTCCTCTGAGGGGATGCAGAGAAAAGAAGCTGGCCCTGTACTGTGGGGAAATATAACCAGAAATTGAAGTCACAAGCGAAGCCAAATCAGCCCAGGTAAAGGTGATGACACTTTCTGAGATGGCAACTAGTAGCTCTTAAGTAGCCTTGAACCATGGTGTCCACAGCAGCCCAGCACGCTTAGCTTGCTATGCGGATTGTACCTGTGGAATCCTGGGGCATAACTTCCTGCAAATTTAGGTTTAGTCACACAAGTTTACTGTCACTTTCCATTCTAAGACTGAGTGTGCACTTGTTTCAACTCTCTCGTTTCAGGTCAGAGATGTTTCTCCTATCCTAGAACTATTTGAACTTCAACTTCCCCAGGCTCTGCCTCAAAATTAACTTTAGTAATTAATGACCTTCAGTACATGTACCACTCAATTAACTACCCTCAAGCCAGCCGTACTTTTAACCTTCCTCGATGGCAGATTCTTGTCCATCTCCTGCCACAGCATTCCTTCCTAGGAGATCTCCATGCTTGCGTTCTCTCTGCAGATTGCTCTGCCTGTGTTGGGCATCCCCTTATTTTTACTTTTTTTTCCCCAACTTTATTTTTGTTTGTTTTGTATAATTGACAAATACATCCATAATGCTTTATACCTCTCTTGATTATAGTCACATTTTGTTTATAATACTTGTGATGAGTTGTAGATGATGAGGGGATGTTGAGCATCTACTGTGTGTGCAGATATTATGCATGGTAGGTACCTGTGACACACAGTCACTGAAGCAGACACAGTTTACCTGTAACATCTCATCACTCCTCCTTGCTTGCTACTTCCTAATATTAGAATTTCTAGAACTTAATCATAGTGTAGTTTCCACCTTGCCTTCATGGACGATCTGTGATGTGACGTGGGCAGCGGAAATAGAAGTGAGAACGGAGTAGCACTGACTGAGGGGTTGTCTCCTTGGGCAAGCAGTCCACGTGTTGAGAAGATTTGTCTGCTTATCTGTTTATCCTCATTATCATTAAAATGAAAATGTAACTAGAACTACAACGAGCACTTCTGTAGCTCAAGAAAAATAACCCATAATAAATTGTGAACTGTCTATTCTCTCATGGTGTAGTTACTCTAAATTGTGGAAATTTGGCAGACGTCCCTAGAACTATTTGTTAAAATTCAATAGTATGTAATTAAAGACAGAGACTGCCATTTTGCTGTTGGGTACATTAAAAAATTATATTATGTATCATTTGGATTTGACCCTGAACTTATTTCCCAAAAGATTAATGCCAGAAAGACAAAAGTATATTTTAGTCTAAATAGAGGCTCAAGTTATATAAAGTAACTAAATTTATGGAAATATCAGTTAGACTCTAGCTATTTAAGAGTAATTATGCAAAAGATAGTTTTGAACGAATATTCCTCTAGAAATAGCCAAATGGACACTGTAATTATGATGAAATTCTGTGCTTCAAGTCTTGCCAGACAATAAAACAAGACTGCTGATATTTTAAGCCTATATCATTAAAACTAATATTGATACAACAACCTGGATAATATGTCAGTGAAATGGAATATTTTATAGATACACAAAAGTATACTGCTCCTTGAAACGTTAGCATTCATCTAGTATAAAATTACACTTTTTTCAAGCAATGAAACAGAAACCTAGAGGCTTGAAAATTGTTTTTACGTGGTTGGGAAAGGGAATGGTGGCACTATTTACCTAGTTATGATTATCTCATCAGATAAGTTCTAGGCAAGTGAGTGGGTGTTTGTCTGTTTAGGTTCCTGCAATTGATTTGTGTTGGGGTGGCCCTCCCAAATATAGACAAGTGGATATGGATTCATATATTAGACCTCCTAGTTATTGGCTATTTATTCTTAGATAAATCATGTAACCTGTTTGACCCTCAGATCCCTCATCTGTAAAGTGGCCTTCATATTGTACTTCCTTGGGGATGTGGAGATTAAATAAAATATTATGTGTTAATTTATACATACTAAATTAGGATAAATATCAGTTATCAGCACCAGTCTCTAGGAGGTTGATAATTATACAGCTGTTTGAGGTAGCTTGTTGCGGGGAGAAAGCCCTAGAATAGAGTAGAGGGATTGAATCTGGAAACACAGGTTGAATTCTATTTGAAGTATTTATCTTTTTTTTTTTTTTTTTTTGGTGAGATAGGTCTCGCAGTGTCACCCAGGCTGGAGTACAGTGGCGTGATCTCTGTTCACCGCAACCTCTGCCTCCCAGGCTCAAGCAATCCTCCCACTTCAGCCTCCTGAATACCTGAGACTACATGCACGTGCCATCACACCGGGCTAATTTTTGTATTTTTTTAGAGACGGGGTTTTGCCACGTTGCCCAAGCTGGTCTCAAACTTGTGAGCTCAAGCAATCTGCCCACTTTGGCCTCCCAAAGTGCTGGGATTACAGGCATGAGTCCCTGTGCCCGGCCATTATTTTGTTATATTGAAATGTTATATTGAATTTTGCCAGAAGGAATGGAATTATTGGCTCAACCATAAAACTGTTTTTATAATATAGATACAATAATTAAACCTACAATTAAGCTTATATAATCTTTCAGGTTTTTCAGAACTCTTTCATGCATATCATTTTATTTGATGAAATGGGATTTCTCTGCCAGGTATGGTGGCTCATGCCTATAATCCCAGCACTTTGGGAGGCTGAGGCAGGAGGCTCGCTGAGCCCAGAAGTTTGAGACAAGCTTGGGCAACAAAGTGAGACCTTGCCTCTACAAAAAATAAAAAAAATTGCCAAGCATGGTGGTGTGTGCCTGTGGTCCCAGCTACTCGGGAAACTGAAGGAGGAGGATCAGCTGAGCCCAGAAGGTCAAGGCTGCAGTGAGCCATTATGTCGCTGCACTCCAGCCTGGGCAACAGAGCGAGATCCTGACTCTAAAGCAAGTCATGGAGGGTGGGGGCAGCAGATTTATCTTATATATATATTTGCTTTCGAATTTGGCAAATTGTGTATATCAAAGTTAGAAGTCTGATAATTTAGTGCACATAAGCTTAGGTCTTTCTGTCATCTTTTGAGCAGAGGCTGGTTTGAATCTGCATCTGTTTTGTTGAATCACCCTAGCTAATGAGTGGGAAATTTAAAAAAAGAACAGAGCTGGTTGAGCTTTCACTTCTGCATATTCAATCCTTTGGTATGTTTATTAAATTCTATGGTATTGTAATATTGCAGTCTAGCTCTTCCAGACCAAGGAAGTAGGTACACAGAGAAGAAACCAGGTTCTAGAGGTTGTGGTTGTGACATTTGGGGATGGCAGTGTTAAGGAAGTAGCCAGGGTGTGGGGACTGTGGGACTGTAGGAGACCTTAGCATCAGAGGAAATGCTATACAGGTGCCCTCTAATAATGTAATGTGAGCATGTCTTCTGGAATTTTTAGTTTTGTGTTTGAATGTTCCATCAGAAGTGTCTGACTTAGGATATCAGTGCAGAACAAGGATTTGCTTTTTCGTGATGCATTTTGGGTCAGTTTTTTTTTGTTGTTGTTAACATCGAGTAAGTACAGACTGAGTTATATTTTCCATCTTCTCCATTAAGATGAAATGGACAACAAGAGGAAGCAAACATGAAAGCTTGGGTGAGGGTGGGTCACCAGGCTGTGGTGGGCAAGAGCAAGGAGCCCTGGGGAAAGTCGCACAGCAGTTACTCTCCGACAGCCACTGAGCTTTGTGGGACAGTGTTCACAATTGTGAATAGTCCTGGTTAAAAGGTCTTTTCTTGAAAACCAAGCTTTTCATTTGGATTCTATTCCAGAGGCACAAAACAATTCTGGGGTCTTGGCTTTGGCAAAATGACATTGGGATGTTTATATCAATTTTCTTTAGAAATGAAATTTTCATTTCTAAAGAAAAATGTACTGGGTCAGACTTAATTCTGGCACATCTCATCATTTTGTGCAACTTATGCAAGAGTCTATTAAAAGGACTCACCAAAGAGCAAAATCACCAAAGCCCTTTTCGTTATAAAACTAAAGGTCTCAGCATATGTTGGCCAGCTCAGAAAACCTTCACAGACGGCTGTGTTAACCTTTTTTAAGAATGTAATTTTTTTGACTAAATTACTCAAAAGGCATTCTGAGTTTAGAGAATGCCTAATCTTGTTGAAATTTTAATTTCATTAAAATTAAATGACAAAAAACTCCAGTCTTTAAGTCATCAAGCAATAACTTTTCAAAAAGATCTGTATAAACATCTAATAATTTTTTTCTCTTGTAATTTAAATTTATTTTTATGTTCCTCCCACAACTTCCCGTCAGCTTTGCTGCTTCTACCTAAAAAGCAAAAAGCAACGAATATTGGTTAGTTAGGCCTTTTAAATTATTTTTTATATTTGTGGATCTTATTTGTATTTTTAATCCCTTAAGTCAAAGTGTATTGTGTTCATGACTGAAGTATGCAGTTGTTACAGTATAAAATTATGGGCATTATAAGGATTAAACCTAGCTTGTCAATTGTGGGTGAACGTCTTTTTTATTGGAGTATGCTACAGTGTAAAGATAAAGGCATAACAACTGTTTTAAATTGTTTTTCTTTCTCATTTTCTCTGTGGTACGAAATATGGTAAAAATACCTGCTAACTTGCCACTGTGAACACCCACTCTGCAGTTAAAACATTTCCCATAGCCTATTTTATATAATGTACTTTCTGGATCCCCTCATTATCCAGAGAAAATCATTTTTCTTTTGAGAAAATTTTTTCTTTTGAAGTTTATCCACATAGCATAACAGGGTATTGGTATAAGTCTTTCTGCCTTATACTTTCTCATCATTCATTTACTCTAAAATTAGTAAAAGCAATAAAATTCTGTATGTGCATGATACATATTTTAAGTAACCTGGAATATTGACTTTAATGTATTTCTATTATTGTATTAGTAACTTTCTTTATCTGTGGACGTTTTAAGGAGAGAGAAGGGTTTGCTGATTTCAATCAACAATCAGCAACTGAAATAAAAATTCTAAACCATATTTTCTCAAAAACCTACCTCTGTAAGTTCTGTAAGTTTTGCTGAATTCAAGAATAACTATTCTCTAATTTCTTAGTCTCATCTGTAATTTAGAATACTTTCAAATAATTTTTTGGACTTTTATAAAGCTTTAAAAAGTAATACCTTTTAAGGCTTTAAGGTTTTAAAAGGTATGACTTTAACAACATTTTAATGTAATTTAATACCCTTGTTTCTAACAGTTTAAGACTTTTGCCAAATGTCTTTTTATTTTTTAGTGTTATTTTTTGCACTAGTAGTTGTTCATTTCATAAATATTTATTTAGAACCTACTATGTGGCAAGCTCCATTTTAGGTTCTGGGGATATAGCAGAGAGCAAAGCAGACAGAAATTCCTCTGGTTCTGTAGAGCTGACAATTCATTAATGTGAGGTAGTCAATAACAAATATATTTTATGTCAAGTGGTGATGGGTTCTATGAAGAAAAATGACTCAATAAGAGGAGAGAAAATGATGGTATGTGTATGGTGGGTAGGTGTGCGTGATGCTGTTTTGGATAGCGAGGCCTCCGATTAGATGCTACGTGAGCAGGGACCCAAAAGAGCCATGTGTTTCATCTACCTGGGGGAGAAGCCTGCTGGCAGATCCTGTTGAACACTCGTTACCTAAATCTCTTGCATTGGCTCCATGTCATTTATTGCTCTAGTGTATTCTTCACTATCTTTTCAGAAAGTGCCAGGTTTGCTTTTCAAGTATAGTATCTGTCTTGCCAAGTCTGGCAGACAGTGCTTATTTTGGTCTGTACTTTGTTAGCAGATCAGTTCTATGTTGAGTTCAAATGACACTCTGGTTTCAAGAGTGACTCTAATTCTTTTTCTCCTAGAGGAATAGTAAATAAGCCTTATGAATCTGGTCAGTGAGTATTGAAGTATTTTAAAAATTCCTTATCCAGTGAAAATGCATCCATGATTCTCTCTGTGACTTTACACACCTTTCCTCAAGCCTATCCCAAACCCAAGTCAACACTAACAATCCTACCAAGCTATTCAAAATGAAGAGTAACATTTATTGCAAGTTTTCTTGTATGTATGTCAATGTGTTTGCTAGCACTGCAATGCTGAGTTACTTAATTAAACCTTTCCAGCTTTCTAGGAGTGTTATCCTCATGTTTTAGACAAGTACAGTGAGACACAGTAAGGGTATGTACTTTATCCAAGGTCGCGGGAATAGTAAGTGGCAAAACCAGGAAGTGAACCCTGGCAGTCTAAGCTCACATACTCTCTAAGCCACACAACACAGACTTTTTGAGAGGTTGTACTTGGAATGGGATTGCATTAGCCAGAAAGGGGCTGAGTGGGCCCTCTGGTTCAGTGTTCTACCAAAGTTAAATAATATGTGCATGGGCCACATAAATGTTTTAATATGAATTGGGTGAAAGTTCCTCCTTTAACGTTGTCCATAGATTGGAAATGGTTCCTGTCCACAAGGTTGTGCAGTTGATGGTTGTTACAGGCCGAAAGAATGAGGGGTCGTGATCAACTCACTATACCACTGGAGGCTATATGAGTAAACAGCAAACTGTTCTCATGAAAGCAGGATGTTGGCAAAATGACAAACTGCGCTACCCAGAAGGAATGCTGAGGGCAGTCACGACCCAGGCACAAGTGTTTCTTGTGATTAGGCACATCTGAAGTCTGTTAGCAATAATCTGAACCTGTGATCAATTAAGCAGCTAACCAATCGTTACCTCCTCCTCCCTGCTCTTGCTACCCAATAAATAGGAACAGTGGTAGAAGCTCGGGGGCTGCCTTTGCTCGTTAGAAGCAGGAAGCTCTCTTCTTCTTCCCTGGTTCCCCTTCCTTTAAAACAGTTTCTTTTGTCTTAAGTTTTCATTTCTAGGTTCCTCCCTTCCTTCAGTCTTGTAATGATGGTCTCAAGCAGTAACAATAGTAACTGCTGTAATGACGATCTCAAAATAGTAACCATGGCAGTCGGCCACGGATGGATCTGTATTCACCACCTCCATGGTCCCTTTCCTGCTTTTGTTAATCTGTTCCCCTATTAAAACAGAGAAGGCCTGATTGCTGTTATTTGCACCTGTCATCTTTGCACTGAGTCCCCAGTTTTTGTGGTGTTCCCCCCAACCACCACCTTGGGGTGAATTCTCCTTCCTGGTTTTAGGTTTCCAGTCCCCCTGCTGTCCTCCAACCTCTTCCCCATGATTAAAACAGGAAAAGCCTTTGTTATCTGAAGGTTTCTCTACTGTGGACAGTCTGCCGAGATGGCAGCAGTTAGGTACAGCTAAAAAAGTTCAAGTAACTCTTCTGGAGCTTTGGGACATATGTTCACTCCTCATCCTTAGCATGGGTCATCACTTGTTTTTCTCACGCCATATAATTATTTCTCAGGTTTAGACCCCCAGGTACACAATACTGCTTTCCAGTATGTTTGGCATAATTTTATTAGGTATTTAAAGCATCTTTGTACCATAATCCTCCTTATCTGACAAATTGAAATTCATTTTAATGGTTTCTTTTACCCTATGAAGTTTTAATGAATGGGGTCTATGGTTGGAGCTCATCTTTGCAATGAGTAGAGATCGTGCTGACATTGTATTTGAAAATAGTGTTTATTCTGGGAAGGATGTTATGCAGGATAATACAAGAGTTTTCAGAAGTTTTTATATTTTATTTAGGGTCTTTGCAATGTGTTGAATCACTGTTTTAGTTGGAAATCCAGGTTCATCATATTGCCATTTATTTTTTTAAAAAATTGGTACATATCTCGGCATGGAAAGAGGATGGTATTCTGGTTCCTCAACAAGTATCCAGAGAATGTAAGTTTTTATCTTTGTTTTAGACTTGGGGTACATTTCTCTTATTTGTCCAAGAGGTGCCAGATGGACAAATCACAGTACAGACATACTTCATTTGCCTTTTTAAAAAAATACAAATTTAAAGTTTGTGGCAACCCTGCATTAAGGAAGTTGATTAGTGCCATTTTTCCCAAAGCATGTGCTCACTTAGTGTCTCTGTGCCACATTTTGGTAGTTCCCATAATATTTCAAACTTTTTCTTTGTTGTTATATATGCTATGGTGATCTATGATGTGATCTTTGATGTTACTATTGTAATTGTTTTGGGACACCACAGACCACACCCATATAAAAAGCTGAACTTAATTGATAACTGTTACGTGTGTGTTCTGACTCCTCCACCCATCAGCCATTTCCCCATCTCTTTTCCCTCCCCTGAGAGGCCTCCTTATTCCCTGAGACGCAACAATACTAAAATTAGGCCAATTAATAACCCTACAATGACCTCTGAGTGTTCAATTGAAAGGAAGAGTCACACATCTTTCTTTAAATCAAAAGCTAGAAATGATTAAGCTTAATGAGAAGGATATGTGCAAAGCCTAGGTAAGCTAAAAGCTGTGCCGTTTGCACCAAACAATTGGCCAAGTTGTGAATGCAAAGGAAGTGTTCTTGAAGGAAATTAAAAGTGCTACTCCAGTGAACACATCAATGATAAGAAAGTGAAACAGCTTTATTACTGCTGTGGAGAAAGATTCGTGGTTTGGTGGAATATCAGACCAGCCACAACATTCCCTTAAGCCACAGCCTAATCTAGAGTAAGACCCTAATTTTCTTAAGTTCTACGAAGGCTGAAAGAGGCAAGGAAGCTTCAGAGGAAGCATTGGAAGCTATCACAGGTTGATCATGAGGTTTATGGAAAGCAGCCATCTCCATAACATAAAAATGCAAGATAAAGCACTAGGTGCTGATGTGGAAGCTGGAGCAAGGTATCCAGAAAATCTGCCTACTGTCATTGATGAAGGTGACTACACTGAACAACAGATTTTCAATGAAGGTGAAACAGCCTTCTATCGGAAGAAGATTCTGTCTAGAACTTTTCTTAGCTAGAGAGGAGAAGTCAGGGCCTGGCTTCAAAGCCCCAAAGGACAGGCTGACTCTTGTTAGGTGCTAATGCAGCTGATGACTTGAAGTTGAAGCCAGTGCCCACTTACCATTCCAAAAATCCTAGGGTCCTGCAGAATTATGCTAAGTCAACTCTGCCCGTGTGCTATAAATGGAACACCAAAGCCTGGATGGTAGCACGTCTGTTTACAGCCTGGTTTACTGAATATTTTAAGCCTACTGTTGAGATCTACCTCTCACAAAAAACATTTTCCATTTAAAGTATTACTGCTCATTGACAGTGCACCTAGTCACCCAAGAGCTCTGATGGAGATGTACAGGGAGATTAATAATTTCATGCCTGCTAATGTCCATTCTACAGCCTGTGGATCAAGGAGTAATTTTGACCCTCAAGTCTTACTATTTAAGAAATACGTATTATAAGGCCATATCTGCCATAGATAGTGATTTCTCTTGAATGATCTGGGAAAAGTACATTGAAAACCTTCCGGGCAAGAGTTACCATTCTAGATGCCATTAAGAACATTCGTGATTCATGGGAAGAGGTCAAAATATCAGTTAACAGGAGTTTGGAAGAAGTTAATTCCAATTATGGATGGCTTGAAAGGGTTCAACACTTCAGTGGAGGAAGGAGTTGCAGATGTGGTGGAAATAGCAACAGAACTCGAATTAGAAGTGGAGCCCAAAGATGGAACTGAATTGCAGCAATCTCATGATGAAACTTTTAATGTTTGAGGAGCAAACTTGAACAGATGATGAGCAAAGAAAGTGGTTTCTTGAGATAGAGTCTACTGTTGGTAAAGATGATGTGAATATTGCTGAAATGACAGGAAAGAACTAAGAATATTATAATACATGAACTTAATTGGTAAAGCAGCAGCAGAGTTTGAGATAATTTTGAATTTTGAAAGAAGTTTTACTCTATGTAAATGCTATTAAACAGCATCACATGCTACTGAAAACTCTCCCCTGAGAATGAATTGATGTGGCAAACTTCATTGTTGTCTTATTTAAGAAATTGTCATAGCCATGCCATTTGGCCACCACCGCAGCCATCAATATCGAGATAAGACCCTCCACCAGTGTGACTTGCTGAAGGCTCAGATGATTGTTAGCATTTTTTAGTGATAAAGTATTTTTAAATTAAGATTATGTACTTTTTTTGACATAATGCTATTGCACGCTTAACAGACTACAGTGTATTATAAACATGACTTTTATACGCACTGGGAAACCAAAAAGTTTGCATGACTCACTTTATTGTGATAGTGTGAAACCAAACCTGCAGTATCTCCAAAGTATGCCTGTATTCAGTTTTCCTATTCCAGTGATATGGTGGTTGTAAAATAAAAGTATTTCCTCCCTCTTTCTCTCCCCTCATTTCTCCATCTCTCTCTCTCTGTTCCTCTCCCTTCTTTCCCTCCCCTCCCTTGCCTTATTTCATTCGTTTCTTCTTTCCCTCCTTTCTTTCTTCCCTCCTTCCTTCCTTCATTTCATCCATCCATCCATCCATCCATCCATCCATCCATCCATCCATCAGCAAACATTAAGTGCTGGATTTCAAGATTCATAGACATGATTCCTTTTTCTTAAGGTACAGTAGGTTAGTGGGAAGGAATATAGGGATTATTTTATGGTAGTATAAGTTCTTTAATACAATTTATACTAATCATCCAGTTTAACATTTTCTTACCTTTCTATTCCTTGACACCTGAGGCTTAAAATTTGGATAGACCAGGCATCAGCAAACTGATAATAATTTATACATTTTTAAATGGTTGGGGAAAAAATTCAAAAGAATAATTTTATGACACAACAATTCTATGAAATTCAAATTTTAGTGTCCATAAATAGTTTTATTGGAAGACAGCCATGCTCATTTATGTGTGTATTGTCCGTGGCTACTTTCGTACTACAACAGAGTTGAGTAGCTTTGACAGAGACCATGTGACCCATAAAGCTTCAAATATTTACTCTCTGGCCTTTTATGGCAAAAGTTTGTCACCTCCTGCTTTAGACATCTTTTTTCCCCTAGAAGTTCCTGAGGATAATTGATTGTGGACATATCCAACTATGTTCCAAGACATGGGCTGGGGACACAGGAAAAAGCAACAAACAAGGAGAACCTGTTTCCCACCATCACAGAGCTCAGAGTCTAGCGAGTGGAATACAATACAGAGAACAAAATGAGCCAAAATAGATCATGAAAAGTGTGATGAAAGAAACATGAATACAGTGAGAGAAAATAGGAGAGGGGTTTTCAGATGAGGTGATCTAACGACGAAACACTTAGGAAGCACACACTCACACTCCAAAGAATAGCAGAGGTAGCGGTCCTGAGTGCTCCAGCCACCAGTCTTCCTCCAGTTTTCCTCGGGAAATGGCACCATTACCTACTCAGTGGCTGAAGCTCACAATCTACGACACATTTTTGGTTCTCACTTTTCCTCACATTCCCTCCTTCCTCTCCAATTCATCAGGAAGTTCTGTTGATTCTACTTCCAAAACATAGTTCAATTTTGTCTGTTTTTTAAGTCTATTACCACCATAAACCAAGCCTCCATCTCTCTTAGCTGAACTCTTGTAATCACTCCCTTGTCTGTCTAGTCCATCTTCTGTTCCCTCCACCACTGTCTATTTTCCAGCCAAGAGCTATGGTTTTTTAAGAACTTGAGTCTGGGCCGGGAGTGGTGGCTCACGCCTGTATTCCCAGCACTTTGGGAGGCTGAGGCGGGTGGATCACTTGAGGTCAGGAGTTTGAGACCAGCCCAGGCAACATGGTGAAACCTTGTCTCTACTAAAAATACAAAAATTAGCCAGGTGTGGCATGCACCTGTAATCGCATCTATTTGGGAGGCCGAGGCAGGAGAATCTCTTGAACCCAGGAGGTGGAGGTTGCAATGAGCTGAGATTGCGTCACTGCCCACCAGCCTGGGCAACAGAGTGAGACTCTGTCTCAAAAAAAAAAAGCTTGAGTCAGATTATATCGTTTCTTTGCTGAAAACCGTCCATGCTTTTCCATAGCCGTTAGAATAAAATCCAAACCCATTACATGCCTGTTAAAGAAGAAAGGAAGCCAATAAGGCCTGAACATGGGGATTGTCTGATGTGCTGGACTGGATATAAGATGGTGTAAGAAAGAAAGATGATTCCTGTATCTCTGGCTTCAGCAAATGTGTGAAAGATAGAACCAGTTACTGAGTCTAGGAAGACCAAGAGGAATAAGTTTGTTCATTGAAACAAACAAAAAACAATGTGGGATTGTGTTCTCTCTCTCTCTCTCTCTTTCTCTCTCTCTCTATCTATCTATCTATAAAAAAAAATCTGTTTATTTTTGAGATCGAGTCTCACTCCATCACCCAGACTGGAGTGCAGTGGCACAATTTTGGCTCGCCACAACCTCCTGGGCTCAATTGATCTTCTTGCCTCAGCCTCCAGAGTAGCTGGGACTACAGATGCGCGCCATCACCCCTGGCTAATTTTTTGTATTTTTTTGTGTAGACATGGTTTTGCCATGTTACCTAGGCTGGTCTTGAACTCCCGGGCCCAAGCAATCTGCCTCACTGACTTCCCAAAATGCTGGGATTACAGGCGTAAGCCACCGAGCCGAGCCCTGTGTTTTAATCAATTTAAATTTTAGGTGTTTCTGATACAATTGATTTCAATAAAACATTTGGACCATTGAGTATGGAATCAGAGGCAAGGTCTGGGCTGGGTATATAGATCTGGGAGTTGTCAGCCCATGAGGGGAGTTTAAAGCCATGAGACTGGAAGAGCTTCGCTAAGAGACCAAGTGTAGGTCAAGGAGAAAAGTGGACCTTGAACAGCCCTGAGGTCTGAACTGGGGGTTACTTCTTAAGGGAAGACAAGAGTCCAGTGGAATTCCTCCACAGGGACTGAAGGGGAAGGAGGCAGGAGTTGTGCTAATTTATCCAGGGAAGCAGTTCTCCATCATCTTTAGAGGAAGTGGGAATCTGGGCTGGACAAAAGCCAAAGATTATTAAGAGCGTCTTCTACAAACAAAGTCTCTGGCTAATCTAAATTTAATTCTGGATCTTGTAATATATAGTTTAGGAGTTCATTTAAATTTAATTTACATAGGGTGAAAATAAGCTTTGACCTTTATAATTGCTGTATCAGTAAAGTCACAGGTTCATTGACTTGTTAGCCAATTTTTCCTGTGTTACTTTTCTTCTGGTTTTGTTGTTGTTGTTTCAGTTTGTAATATACAGATTTAAGAACAAGTGTCTGGATATCCACAAAGGCATCACAGACAGCTGACATGTGGATCTGCTTTTGTTTGTAATTAAAATGGGCTTAAATCTCATCCCCCTTACACTAAGTAAAATATATAATTAGAATTTTTAATATATAATAACTTTTAAATATCTCATTGTAGGTTCAGGGAAGGTAATAGTATTCAATTAGAGGCTAAATGCCACCTCCTACACAAAGCCTTCTAATTGTTTTGTATAGATGGTGATCTCTTTTCATAAGGCATTCAATACAGTGATCTGGAAATCAGTACGTTAATACAGTGATTTGCAAATCACTGTACTGTAGCTGTTAAGCATATTACCTCTGGAGCTCGGCTGCTTGGATTTGACCCTGGCAGTGCCACAGACAAGCTCAAATGACCTGGTAAATTATTTCATTTTGGAGGGCCTTAGTTTTCTCATCTGGAAAATGGGGATAATTGTACCAACCTGATGGAGTTATTGTCAGGTTTGCATGAGACAATCTATGTAAAGCGCATGTCCTGGGATCAGATTTAAGAACTATTTAGAAAAAATGTCTGTATTAACACTTAGCTAAAATACGCCACTGATTTGTAAAGATATTATTATTAGCATTTATACCTTTCTTGTCCTCAGAGTGATTTGATGGGATATGGGCAATATTCTAAACAATATTAAATCAGGAAGGCTTTAGTTTTCTAACATACAAACTCTCAGAGAGCTGAAGACTAAAAATTTATTTTTCTTTGTATAACCAGTACCTGGCACAATACTAGGCTATTCATGCTTTGTTGAACTGAGGGCTAAAACTCAGAAAGTTGATATCAGAGAATTAGGATGATTGGGGCAAGGGCTGGCACACGCCATCTGCTTGAGGGGTTGTGTTAGTGGCTGTGCAGAACTTTCCATTGCATCATTACTTTTGTTTTTTGTCAAGAACGAAAGGTATATAATAAAAGTTGGCTCAAGAGAAGTGAAACTAAAGAGAAAAGAGGAAAAAAGTGAAGATGCCAGGTGCTCATGCCTGTAATCCCAGCACTTTGGGAGGCTGAAGCAGGTGGATCACCTGAGGTCTGGAGTTCAAGACCAGCCTGGTCAATGTGGTGAAACCCCATCTCTACTGAAAATTCAAAAATCAGCCAGGCGTGGTGGAGTGTGCCTGTAGTCCTAGCTACTCGGGAGGCTGAGGCAGGCGAATTGCTTGAACCTGTGAGGCTGAGGTTGCAGTGAGCTGAGATCGTACCACTGCACTCTAGCCTGGGCAACAGAGTGAGATTCAGTCTCAACAACAACAAAGTGAAGAAAGAATTGAAAAAGAATCGAAGAAAGCCCTACTCTGAATGAGCTCAAATGCGTCTCAGCATAGAGGAATACAGACAAGTGTGCCAGTTCTTCTTGTGGAGAAGCACTGTCCCAGAAGACGGGAGTTATCCTGTGACCTGCTAGGCCAAATAGGCTTTTGGCTGGACTAAAGTAGTTGAGCCTCTAAATGACTTTACTCTCCTTCAGCTCCGATTCTTTCAACACAGGGGTATCTAATTTCTAAAACCAGACCCAGTGGGATTGAGTGGCTTGCCCAAGGTCACAAGCAGTCAGGCCCCTGTTAGGAAGTGCCCCCTCCCATCCAGAGATGTTCAGCTCTAAAATAGGCTGCCTAGGCCAGGCGCAGCGGCTCATGCCTGTAATCCCAGCACTTTGGGACGCCAAGGCAGGCTGATCACCTGAGGTCAGGAGTTTGAGACCAGCCTGGCCAACATGGTGAAACCCCATCTCTATTAAAAATACAAAAATTAGCTGGGGGTGGTGGCGGGTGTCTGTCATCCCAACTATTCAGAAGGCTGAGGCAGGAGAATCGCTTGAACCTGGGAGGCTGAGGTTGCAGTGAGCCAAGACCACACCATTGGACTCCAGCCTGGGCAACAAGAGCAGAACTCCGTCTCAAAAAAATAAATATATAAAATAGGCTGCCTTCTGAGATTTGCCAGTCTCCCTGTCACCAGTAGTGTTTCAGGCACAATGAGAACAATCACTTGTCGGGGATACTGTAAAGAAGATTCTTGGGAAAGGATTTGATGACCTGGAAGGTCTTTACACGTTAAAGTTCAATGATTCTAGCTCCAGTTTCATGGATTTAATAAGACAGCCTCTCTTCCTAGCTCCTTTTAGAAATGGATCTTTGAAAGCCTTTTGTTTTATGTTCTATTTAAAATAGCAATTAGCTTTGCATCGCAGGTACTTTACAGTGCACCATGTGTATTATTCTTGTGGAATATTAGTTCACCAGATGATAGCCCACAATTCTAGTTACATATGAAGTGGTGGTGTGGTGAAATAACATTGCAGCTCCTCACTAAACCAAAAACTGCAGCAAGCTTGTCGCAGAGAGACCCTCATTTTCCCAGCTGTCAACCTGACTGATATTTTAATTTTTTTGCCCTGTAGAAAACTTCAGTCTCTTATCCAATAGATAAATGAGTGAACCCCCAGGAAATGCAGCAGAATGTTTCTGTTTGCCAATGCAATGAATGCAGAAGCTAATAAATGTCTACTTCTATCAGGAGGAGGCGTGTAATGAGTAAATGATGAGAGAAAGAATTCAGGGAAACAAATGATCAATTCAGTCTAAGATGACAAACAATTTCCTAATAACTTGGCCTCTAGTTGGAGAGAGGGCTTCACCAGGCAAAGAGAATGCCTGTTGAAACTAAGCCTAGCACAAGGCCATTTACATTCAGCTGCTGATGGATTTGGTCTGGTTACATTTGGGTCACACTGAGCAATAAGGCGACGTTCAGACACAGCGTGGTTATTGCAGACTTTTCTTTGCCCTGTAATGTCTATGAGTGTGTACTAGGAAAAGGAATCATTTCAGAGCCTAATTCACATTATTCACCCCGATTCCATTTATGTTTCACATTTGTCTTTATAATAAAAATCTTTTTCAAAGTAAAGATCTAGTCTCTTTCTCTTGAAATGTGTTCAGATCACAAGGGTCACACAAGAACCTCTTTTGTGTAGAGTGAATATGCTGTTCTTTAAAGACTTTTGTAGACCTCAGCTCCCTAAATCCCCAGTGTCTGCCTTTGTGGGAACTAACAGAACGCATATGCTTTGTCTCTCATGGATGGGTGCATTCTTGCTTATAGGTCTTGTTTGGAAGGACTTGGACCTACACTAGGCAGAATACACAGTAAATGAGATGGGCCTTGGAAGGAGACTTGCAGCCCACATGGAAGATGTGAGAAAGTGACATCATGCCAGACTGAAAGATCATTTGATGAAATGCATTTTATTATCACCCCTTGGTGGGATCTTTCTAAGAACAATTCTCAGAAAAGCCACGTGGCAAAGATTGGCTACTAAATACCAGCAGTTTTCAGGGACAGATTTTCATGAATATTTCTAGAAGACTATCAGACTTGTTTACTGGTCCTCTATAGCTATCTTTTTCTCCCCATCCCACCCACCCTCTTCTTTTTTTTCTTTCTTTTTTTTTTTTAAACAAATATGACACATTCTGGTGTATTTCAGTACCACATGAATGAACTGCTTTGCTGCAGTTGAGGGGTAAAACTTTTAGGTAGAGTTTAATGCAGGAAAATGCTAAGGAGCCACCAAATAGAAGCTGGACACAGGCAATACTGCAGGGCTCTTAGTGTACTTGGTAGCATATAAAATACACCTTAGAGACTCCGGAATCCTGCACACTGCCTTCTGAGGGAGAGCCATTATACCTGCAAGCTAAGACTTTTCAATGTGCCTCTATTCACATGCATATTTCTCTGCCAAGTCTTTCAAAAAGGCCTTTCCTTTGAAATACAAAAAGATAAACACATCTTTGAAATAGATTGATGGTCCTTTGCCACTTTTGAGCTTTCTCCAATTCATATCTGAGATTATTAACCCTTAAGACTGACTTTTCTGTTCACCTGTGTAACTTTACGTGTGTTGCTAGCACTAGAGAAAACCATGTCACAGTTATCATTAACATCTCAGTTTGTGCTAAAATTGATGAAAAGAAATTAAACTTCAGATATGTGTATCATCTGCATTGGATCTTCTTTTTCTTGGGTATTGTGGTTTGGTTAAGAAATAAATATAAACCCTCCATGGTCAACAAAAGGCATGACTTAGTGAAGTACTCTGTAGGGTACCATCTACTGCTTTGTACTGAAAGAACTATAATATTTTAAACCTCAAGACCTAAGGCCTTCTAGCTCTGGACTTAGGGACTGATTTATTTCTGGCACTTAATATCTTATGGAACACCAGCAAATGTGTGACCTTGTTTAAACACACCATTCCTGGTAGGTAAAATAAAGATAGTGGCCCCTAACTTTACTTCCTTCTTGGCTGGTTTTTATCATAAAATCAAACGATATGAACATAGGAAATACTTGATTCCTAACAATATTTGCTTTTGGACAGTCCAAGACTCAACCAGCTCTCCTATGCTTTCAACTCTTGCCCTGTTAGAATTGTGTTCCCTTGTATAGGAAGAATCTCCAGAGCCTCCCTTCTTTCCAGAGACTTTTGAATATGAATGTTAGAGTACATCTCAGTAGATCATAAGCAGTGGAATCACATAACTAAATTTAAAAAAAAAAATC
Source organism: Homo sapiens (assembly GCF_000001405.40). Classification (NCBI taxonomy): domain Eukaryota; kingdom Metazoa; phylum Chordata; class Mammalia; order Primates; family Hominidae; genus Homo; species Homo sapiens. Next base: position 132,854,754 of record NC_000007.14, on the reverse strand, counting down.
TAATTCAGGTCCTAGGACCTTACTCTGTAGAAGTTGCATTCAGTAAATACTTGAGTGAATAAAAAATGGACATTGACCCACTTAACAAATGGCAGAAGAATTTCAGAGATACCAATAATAAATAGGGCTTTAACCTTCATAATTTAAAATTGGTTTGTCCCCCAACCCCCTTTTGAAAATTAATCCCCACTCTCTCATCTGTATTGACCTTGTGGTTGCATAGGTTTGTACTGTGCCAAAAGGGTAGATTTTTGTTTTTACTTTTTTGTTCTAGAGGAGAGTTGGTACAGTTTGGAAAATCATAAGAAACTGTTGCGTAACTGTCCTTATTCTTATATCTGTTCACCAAGGGCTAAAACTTAAAGGAATTTAAACATTTCTTCTCTCCTTTTTTCTCTTGGGGAAAGGGGGAAAAAACAAACCAAAGTCTAAGCAGCCCTATCATTCCATTATATGAATAATCTATTAGTTACTTTAGCTATTTTCTGTGGCTAAATACTTGTTTTTCATTTTTCAGTATGATGAACTCCACAATGAACAAATTTTTAGCTAAATTTTTGTATACATTCATGATTATTTCACATATTTCCAGACATGAAGCCTTTGAGTCAGAGTACATTCGAAAGGCATTTGAAACATGTTGCCGTAAATTGTACCAATTTATACTCTTACTAGCAAATGATGAGGGAACCCATTTCCTCATTTACTCATTGACACTTAATGCATCTGTGAAATGAAAGAAAGCAAGTAAGACAGCCAGTTTGATAGGGTAAAATCAAATGATTTTACCAATCTTTGTCTTTCAAGTTTTTCAAATGCTACTATCAAGGAAATGTATGTGCTAGACACCTGCAGTCTAGCCCTTCCCTGTCCTACTCCCCAGTCAGGAGACTTGAAAGAATGGTATTTTCTGTTAGGTGAAATCTCAGCTTAGAATATAATACAATTCATCCTAGACTTCTGAGAGTGCATGATGCCAGTGATAAAAGTAGATTTACAATGAGACACTGTCTTGGATAGTAATTCTATACCCCTTGCCTGCACCAATCCCAAGACTGTCTTCATTGAATATAGATATTAAGTGTGTGTGTTAAAAGAGTGAGCATTGTAGTTCTTTTTATTTTTATTTTTTTGAGACAGAATATCGCTCTGTCGCCCAGGCTGGAGTGCAGTGGCGCGATCTCAGCTCCCTACAACCTCCGCCTCCCAGGTCCAAGTGATTCTCCAGCCTCAGCCTCCCAAGTAGCTGGGATTACAGGTGTGTGCCACCATGCCCGGGTAATTTTTGTATTTTTTAGTAGAGACGGGGTTTCACCATGTTGGCCAGGATGGTCTCGAACTCCTGACCTCAGGTGATCTGCCCACCTTGGCCCTCCCAGAGTGCTGGGATTACACCGTAGTTCTTAATGAGTAAATCTGTCTTACTCATTTGTGTCACCTTTTATATGTCAAAAGGTGACACAGATAACTTCCTGAGCATAGTGATTCTTTGAGCTTAAGGATGCTTTGCCTTGCGTACACCATCAGAGCACCTCCTCATTAAGGCTTTTGCTTGTCACTCTGCAGCGGTCAGTCGGAGTTGTTTCATCTTCTTATTCACTTAGAGAGATGTGCACAGTCTGGGATACTGAGCTTGTTTGTGGCACTCATCCTTTATGAGAGGTGCGTATTTTCTGTGGTGCTGGAAAGGTATTACTTTTGAGCAAATAGATTTGATTCTGCTGGAATTACAGCTCATCTGGTGCTGAGGAGCACAGCAAGTATCATGCCTGTGAAAGAGTTCAGAGGTTTGCTCAATCTTCAGGAAAGTTTTTCTTAGGTAGATTTTCTGAATCAGAATGAATTATTTATGTTGGCCTCTATTAGAATGTGTCTATCTTTTCTTGCTAGAGATTTGATGCAATCTTATTTTAAAAAGTCAGGTTCTAGGCAAAAGTGGGAGGAAGGCAAACTTTGTCTTGGCCTCTCCAGCTACTCTCCTCAGGATTCCTTTCTCCACCAACACTTCTCCTTCCTCACAGGACTCCTTCTGTAGTCTGTACACTTAACTTTTGTTCTGGAAAGCATTCTTGTTCCCACCTGTTGGTTATGAGTCTCTGTAGTTAATTGATAATTAGCTGAAGGGTAATAACTGGATTCACTCAGTTTTTCTGTCAACCTGGATTCCAAAGAAATAATAATTCAAGGTCTTCTGATTCTTTATGAGAATCTTTAAAATTTGTTTTCTCTGTCCTGTGGTTATTTCTATGATTACTATAATCATATTTTCGGTCAATAGGATGGACCTTACAAATTTGAGAAACACTAGGTTGGATGACAAAAATACCTCCCTCCCATGGCATTGACACTGTAATATGGAGCTCTTGAAGACAAGAAAGACAGCCAAACTGAACCTGGTTATCTCTGTGTACTGTAATTGGTTAGCTGTTTGGAGCTCTCTGTCCAATAGCCTTTCAAGGGATCTTCAGCCTTCCATTCCTAGGACTTACCCCTGGCCTGGCCCATATTAGCTCTTCAGCAGTAGTGCTTCTTGAATGAATGAATTTTAGGTTGGCTTCTCTGAGGGCTGGAGAAGAAGGTGGAATGGTAAGCCAATATCATCCAAATCAGCATCTGTTATAAATCCTTCAGATTATTAATATAAAATTATGAATGAATGCAGGGCTAAAGAGTGTTGCTGTTAAAGGAGCTAATGTTTGTCTGCTTCATCTACGGTAAGGCTGATCATTTATGGCTTTCGTCTTGGCCCACAGTTTTCAAGAGGACTCTGTGTGCACGTGCTCCTCCTGTAGCTGAGCAAGCACAAGAGAGTTTGTTAGTTTTATAGAGTTCCTAGTCATAGGAGATGATATGAGACCAGGGGTAAAATGGAGTGCAAGCCTGAGATGTGTTGGCAATACGAATGTGACACGTTCTGTATAAAGCCATCCAGTGGATGTGCTATTAAATGTGCACGTGGCATCACCTCATTGAGCACTTCCCAAGGAAAACTTATGACCTGGAGAGTGACTGTGTCACATCACACAGCCCTTGAGAGAATGGGAGGTTCCTGTGCTGGTTCCATGAAATAATTTAACAGTTACTCTAGAGGTCTTGCAAGACATCACAGTAAATTCTTGTGATAACCCTTCTGATAACTGTGAAATTGCTTTGTCTCACCCTTGTAGAATAAACAATGAGACATACAACCATGTCAAAAGCAGAAAGGTCTCAGGTGTGTAATATAGAAGTCCAAAAGGTGAGTGTGGATGACTGATACTGCTTTATCACAGGGAGAAGAGCTACAATAATAGAAGGATTTGAGACCTTTTATTGGCATTATTATTAAAAAGAATAATAGAAAAATTAATACCTTATATTTGCGATAAATGAGAAGTCCCAATCTAAGCATGGAAAATAGAGAAAGGATTAGAGTCACTTTCCCAGTAATATTTAGATAACTTTCATGCATGATGAGAATTTACTTAATACCTACTGGAAATGAAGGCATATTTTTCTAATAAAAATTATACATGCCCAGGCTAAAACCTTAAATTGTTATAGAAGGCTATAAAAGAAAGAAAAGTATCTTCTCACATCTGTAACAACTGCTCCTTGCAGAACATTTCTGGGTATGTGGGTGCATGTATTTTTGCTTATCATTTTATAAAATATTCAAAGTGTTTTGTACCTTTCTGTTTTCTTCTTAGACCTCTTTCCATATCAAAACTGGTAGGTTCCTCTTATTCCTAAAGGGGTCAGAATAAACTTTTACAAGTAGAGAAATGAAGCTTGAATTGTCTGACACAAATAGCTAGAGAAATTTAAAGGAAATAAGATCACAACTAACTTAAGAACTGAATATGAAGGTAGATACTTCAGAGAAATATAGGGCTTTAGAGACTCATTACAAAAACCACTTCCTAGAAATAAAAAATTTCCACATAGTGATCCAGTGGCACTGTAATTCTTTACTAACTATGTATTTATGTGATTTTTAAATTTATGTCCGTCTCCTTCATGATAACGTTAAGTTTCATAAAAGCAGGGCCATTCATCTGTTTGCTCAGCATCATATTCCAAGTTCTTGGCCCAGTGTCTGGCACAGACCTTTAGTATTAATAGAAGTAAAAAAGTGAACAAATAAAAGGAAACTTAGAATGCCAAATGAGTTTTTGGTGCAGTTGTTTATTTTAATTCCCCAGATGAAGAAACTGAGGCATGAGGTAATGTAACTAAGGTTTTCCTTGTGTAGTGGCAGGGCTGTCAATGAATCTAGGATTCCTATTCTAATTAGAAAACCAAATCAAGAAAAAAAAAAAAAACAAAAAAAAAAACCTGAGACTCTAATTAATGAAGTTTCTAAAGCTCCTGGAATAAAACTAGAAATGCCAGAAGCAGCTCTAAATAGCTCTGTTTCTTTATATAAGAAAGAGTAAAGATGGAACGAAAGGGTAATTATAAAAGCAGTTTATTAATTTTGCCAAGCCACCCAGGAGATAATGGGGTTTTCATGAAATGTGACTTCTCAGAGATGGTAAGATTTGATGCTAGAGTTCAACATGGCTTTGACATTTTTTAATTCTTCCTGTTCTTTGTTGGAAAAGGAGAGAGGCAGAAGGAAATGGAGATTCCTGACAAGTAGAAGTGAAGCATTACTGCAAAGGAGAAAGTTGCTTCCAGTGTGTCATTGCATTTGACTTTATTGAAGTTATTCATGAGGTGTACAAAAAAGCAAACATCTTAGGGCTTACAGAGGTCTATTCCTGATTACTTTCACCCTGTCTATCATAAAAATAGAATGGCTGACATAAGAAGTAGATTTTTTTCTTGTTTAATAAAAGGCTGGCATGGTGGCTTCAGTGTCATCAGAGCCCCAGACACCTATTATTCCATTGCAGCACCCTAACACAGGCTTTTGCTCTTTAAGGTCAGCTTATGTCCCAAGATGGCTGCTGGAGCTCTGGCCATCACATCAACATTGCAGGCTGAGATAAAGGGCTGAAGAGATCCCCTGTCAGCTTAGATCAACTCCCTTTAAGCAGCCTACTGGGAAGTTCCATATAACACTTCTGCTTACAGCTCAGCCTCACTGGCAGCAAGCTTGGAATTCTAGTTTTGTTTACCATATATCTAGCTTAAAACTAGGGTTATCTAAGGAGGAAGGAGAGATTTTAAGATAAACCAGTGAGAGTCTTGTTTCCATAAGGAATCTTAATTTGGCTTAACTATGGAATGTAATAGGATTTTTGATTCATTAGAAACTGCTAACTTGGTTATTTATTATTGATGACTGGTGATATGGATTTGAAAAAGAAATAGGGCTGAGACAAATTATGATTCACTCATCCATATACACAAATGATTATTAGCAGAAATTTAGGGATACTTAGGATAAATAACTAGGTTTTTGAGTTCAGTGCTTACATAAAACAAATAGCAATGCTGAATGTTAGATACATGGAGATGCAGTTTGAATCCATCCGCTTGATGATTGTTCTTCAGGTTCATGCAGAGTTGCATAGGTAAATGAATGGAAATCCAGGCTCTTTGGATTACCTAGGGAGCCAAGGGTTGCTGGCAAGAATGGTATTGTGATGGAGAACCACTGCCTTCCACAAGGAGAAACCAGGCCCTATGCCAAGTACTGAACTTACATAGTCCCACTGATACAGTCATCCTGAAAGATAAAGTCCTCATTTTAGATGTTAAAAAGCGAGACTCAGTTTAAATAACCCAAACCATTCCTTAGTGTACCTTTCAGAAACAGAATACTGGATCTGATATACTGTGAATATGAACCGATGTTGGCAATTTGCAATCTATTTAAATTAGCTTTGATTTTTCTGTCTGAGGACAGCATTCTCCTGGGAGCATTGAGTAAAGACGGAGGGTAGGGGATAAAAGGAGAGAGTCCAGTGAAGTGGACTCAAGGCCATAGGTTTAAGAAGTTTCAGTAATAAAATATTCTTTAAGGTGCCAGCTACTCTATTGGAGGGCTGCTTTTCTTACCAAGAATTTCAAATTCCTTCTGCTTTTCTGCCCACCTATAACAGACTTCAGAGTATACACACAAGAAAGGCAGAATTCAAACCAGTCATTAGGTTTTCTGATAGAAGAAATTTTAAAACTTCTAGATAAACTAAATTTGGACTATTACTGATTAAAAAAAACCATAGCTTTTAAAGTTCTGGTAGAAAATGTAGTTCATTGCAAAGTCAATCTCTTGATTCTGTGTAATTCTGTAAAAAGACAGAATGGTTGACAAGTCATGAACTCCTTCTGAACACCTGATGCCACTGAGTAAATAACTGTTTCAGAGCTTCTGTGCCTGGAATTGTATCTGCGCAGCAATTAATGCAGCATTAAATTGGGTCCCCAAGCGCTTAACTCTCACCTTTGGGAAAACATACTTGCCTACATCTAGCTGATTATGTATCATAGTTCCTGGGTGAGGATTATAACAAAAACTATAATTAAGACTTTTGAATCTGGCTACTCAACAATGGGAACTGCCGTTATTTGACATTGGTGTTTGTGGCACCCTGGACCTCTTTGTTGGAATTGGCTGCCACCTAGAGTGACACTTGTGTTTGCTTGTGTTGTAGGAGGAAGAAGAGGCCTGCAGTTGTTAGCAGTAACTATAGACCAGTTTAGACACAGGACAGTCTCACCTTCAGCCAGTGTGGTATTGTACCTTGAAGGTACAGGACCAGACTTGTTTCTGCCACCATTCTCTTGGTGCTAAGGATCTGTGGAGTTGCCACCATCCTTGAACGGACAGGCAATCGTCTTGTTCTTTTCTGGGAAATAGTGTCAGGCCACCAGAATTTAAATTGTACTTCAGCCCTCATGTGTTACATAGTCATGCCCTAATCTCCATATGAAGCATTCTATAAAAGAACTGACAAGAGCCAGTTACATTTTTCTTATGACCTCTTTGATTTGTTCTTTTTGTACATGCGATGGGTATGATCATACTAGTTATAATAAAACAAGATTCAGAATCTGAGAAAATATTGCACGAATACTGTGTGTGTATGTGCATGTTTTCTTTTGATCAAATTTAGAACTTGAAAACAGATAGTTTTCAAATCGAGCAATAATGTGTATCTGTGCATGTGCATTTTAATATACACTTTTAAAAGTGAGACTTTCTGAAAATGGAAAATGGCAGTGTATCGCACATTCAAAATCCTGGGCCACGGCCAGCCCAGAGAAACTTGGGAATGATGCCCACTCTTGTTGATTCTCGTTTCCTTCCGTACGGTCTAGAAACTTTGTTCTTGGGGATGAAGATACCAGATGGGTAAATCCCCCCCATACCCCAAATTAGTTTAAGGAGAGATTGGAAAGAAATATTGGAATACTTGCATCTAAAATCAACCACTTTGTTTTGTACTTGATTTTGTGCTGTCACCTCAGCTCTCTGTGGCAGGTACAATAAATTTGCTCAGTAAACACCCATTCCAAATTCTTTCTTCCTTCTTCTTTACCCTAGAAGTGAGAAAACAAAAATAATCAATTTCCTAGCCTCCTTTGCAGCTGGGATTCCCAGCCTCCTTTGCATGATATAATTGTAGCCGAAGGGGTGGAAGTACGAATCTCTGGACCTCCCCCTTCCTCCACCCTGAGGACATGGGCATAATAACTGCAGGTGCAGTAGCTACCTTGAACCATGAAGACAGAAGTCAACTGCTCGGGGTGGCTACAAGGGAAGACAGAAGAGGGGGCCTAGTTATTTGTTGATACACTTGCATAGTTATATCAGCCCTGAGTTTCCCATCCAGATTTCTTATTACACGAGAAAAATAAACCCCTTACTTGTTTAAGCTACTGTTTCGAGCTTCAACTGTTACTGTACTATTATTGTAGTTGAACACATCTTAAGTGATATACATTTCCTTTTTGTGGTAGCATTGCAGGCTGAAGTGTTTGTCAATTTGTAGTAGATATAATAAAGGTAGTATTTCTTTTCATCCTCATTATAACATTATTTCATTTACTTTAGACTTGTCTCTATCCCATCCTGTTTTAAATATGAGCAACAGTTGAAGTGCTGTTTAGAATTGCAGGTGTCACTCTAACATTATTTCTGTGAGTTTGTGTGTCATGTAGTTTGCTGAGTGCTCTAGGTATAATGATGAATAGGACAAGATACCTACTCCTAGGTATGCTTATGGAGCTTATGGACTAGGTGGGGACCACACAGAAATACATGTTGGTACAGTGTGGTAAGTTATAAAAGTCTCTTCTTTGTAAGAACACAGAGAAGGAGCATAATCAGTTAGCTTTTACTATATAATGAACTACCACAAACTTAGTGGCTTAAAACAGCTACCATTTTACTCACATCCTGATTCTGCAGGTTACCAATTTGGACTGTTATCAGCTGGGCTCACTCCTGCTGAGTTGGCTGAGGTTTGGCTGCTCTAGGCTGTCCTCACCATAGATAGCCTGTAGTCTCTCTCCCGCTTGCAGGCTAGCCTGGGGTGATTGACATGGCCCTGTGCAGGGTTGCAAGAGAGAGGCCCAGGTTTGAAACTGGTACACCATCACTGTTGTCGTATTCTGGTGCCCAGAGCAAGACACAAACACAGCCCAGACTGAAGGGATGGGGAAGTAAACTCCATACTCTCATCATGAGAGAAGCTGTGAAGTCATGTTGCTGGGGTCACGGATATAGAAAAGAGTAAAGCATGGTGGCCATTTTTGCCATCTACCACTGGGTTCTGAGAGAACAGGGGAGGGTATAGCAATAATTTTCTTAGAGGATTTCATCTCAGATTTTTAAAATTCAAGATAATAGCATGCCCTTCTTTATTAATACTGAATAAAAGGTGATACCATCAATCTTCATCAGTTGTGGAATCATTTTTCAATATTGCCAATTACCTTTTGAACATCAGTTTAAAAAATAACCCATAAGAAAATGCCGCTTTGAGAAAAGAAAAGTTGCATGCCGGAAAGTACAGGATTGACATGTGGTTGGACTTTTCTTTAATCTGGCGTTTCTCATGGACCATTTTAGGAGATTCTCTTCCCTCAAGATGCTCCATGAGCAAATCAGTTTGAGAATCATGAACAGTAGTTCTCATCTTAGAGATTCACATATAGAGTAAAAAGCAAGGCCTTGGGAAGTCTTGGCATTAAAGTACTTTGGCTGTTCAATGTAGTTAATTGGATTTCATTAGTGATAAGGTCAAATGTTATTGGTTTGATTTTTTTATATGGGCTGGTTAGTTAATTCCGTAGCTATTAACGCTCCTGACACTGGTCCACTATTGTCTTCATATTTCCCATCCGTCTTAAGGAACAGAAAAACAGAACAGGTAAGCAGTGTGAGCAACATTCACCAATGTCTGGTTAATGGAAGAATAGGCTTTTGTTTTACAGATTTAAATTTTTATTAAAATGGCTTTTTTAAAAAACCACCCCACCCCACACTATACAGTTTTTTTCCCCCTGTTCAAATAATTTTTAATAATAGGTCACATTCCTAAGTCCCTGGTGCTACAAAGAGTTTTACATATATTACCTTATTTAATCCCCAGAGAATCCTATTAGGTAATCATTGTTACACTAGTCCTGTTTTACAGAGGAAAAGTAACTGTTGAGGTTAAGTAACTTACTCAGTTTCACAAGGGTAGGGCCATGATTTGGCCATCTGGCTCCAAAGTCCATGTTCTTAACCACCATGCTGTACTGCTAACAATCGCCCACCTAAGTGCGGAGTTCTGTGGACGACATATGCATAGGTTTTACAGGAAACGTATTAAAAAGTATGTACAATGGAGCATTCAGTCTCCCCACACAGTTTGTTGCCCATGTTTTCAGTAATTGATCCATGGTGCCTTAGATTGGAATGTGTTTTAATACAGAAAATCAAAATACCTATTGTTTCCAATGATGCCTTGTCTATTAAAATAGGTGACAGAAATATCTTCCAAATATAGAGAATTATATTGTTGTTTTAGATATAGTTTACCTCCTAGGAGCTTACTTGGCTTATCTTTGACAAGGATGTGCAAGTCTTTATCAGATGGTTGATAGTGCTAACACATCTAAGAGGTACTGTCATTCTACTTTAAATTTATGAGATCTACCTTCTCAAAGAGTCTTGATGGAAAACATGTTTTATGCTTATATCAAACAATAAGACTTTCTGTTTTAAAGAAAGAAATTATTAAATCACACCTTTGATATTTGAATTAAATCACATGTACCTGCCACAAATTTACATTAACCGTACCATTGGACAAATCATGTCAAGTATTTTTTCTGCTGTTTATGGGGCAGGACAATATGCAGAGTGAATATGAATGAAGATAGTTTTTATTTTAGACTGTAAAGGACCTTATAGGCACAGAAGTGATATGTTGTTACACACAAAAAAATGATTATTCATTAGAAGATCACCTTAGACCACCTTGTAAGATCATGGACATCTTTCTTTCTCCACATTTTTTTGTTTTTTTTGAGACAGGTCTTGCTCTGTCGCCAAGGCTGGAGTGCAGTGGCACAATCTTGGCTCACTGCAACCTCTGACTCCTGGGTTCAAGCAATTCTCATACCTCAGCCAGCCGAGTAGCAGGGACTACAGGTACCCGCAACCACAGCTGGCTAATTTGTATTTTTAGTAGAGATGAGGTTTCACCACGTTATCCTGGCTGGTCTTGAATTCCTGGCCTCAAGTGATCCGCCCGCCTTAGCTTCCCAAGGTGTTGGGATTACAGGCGTGAGCCACTTCGCCCGGCCCGTTTGTTCTCTTTATTTATCTTTTTAAGGTCATCTTAATGGATTTCTTCCCCATTCCATATACTGTAAGTAATTACTCTTAACAAATTTGGGAGGGAATGTACACATCTTCTTTGGAAATAGGAATGTGGTTGTTCCTTATTTGAGCACAGATCATACAAGTCTTACAATTCAGCTATTAGTAAATGATCAGACAAATTGATATATATCCTACTACGAACTGCAGGGTTAACCAAAGAAAACAGATGACATTAAAGTAACAGTCATCTATAATTAATAAACAAGATAGCAGCATGTGCAACCTATTACCATCTCAAGACAACAGAGATAACAAAAGCAACCTTTCTGAAAATAGTTGTGCTCCTACCTCTCAGTACCCATTCAGGGTAGGAACATTGTGGTGTTGCTAGGCAATGTGTGAAGACAGAGTTCTTGGAGGAGTTTGGGGTCCACCAGTGATCTGCCAACAACATTGGCAGAATCACTAATTTGGAGTACCTTTGTAAAGATTATAGCTATATTTAATTATGAAAAGTGGTTATTTGCCATCATTCTTCAAAAACACTGATTTTTTTTCACTTTGAATGGCAAGCTAAATACTATATTATTCTCGCATTGTTCTAGAAACCCTGTAGTTTACAAATTTAGTGTGTGTATTCAGAATCACCCAAGCTGCTTGTAAATAATGCAGCTTCCTGGCCCCATCCCCAGAGATTCAGGATGTGGCCCAAGACTCTACTGTTTAATAAGCTCCATAAGTGACTCTGAAGCAGGTGGTCCATAGACCTTGAACCAAGCGCTCACAACAAAAATTAGCTGGGTGTGGTGGATGTGCCCCTGTGATCCTAGCTACTCGGGAGGCTGAGGCAGGAGAATCACTTGAACCTGGGAGGCGGAGGTTGCAGTGAGCCGAGATTGTGCCACTGGACTCCAGCCTGGGCGAAAGAGTGAGATTCCATCTTAAAACAAATAAACAAAAACGAAAGAAATCTATGTACCATCAGAACACTACAGTAATCATTGCTGCAGGCAGGACTCGCCAGTGGATACCAAAAGGTGATGGACAAAACTTTGAGAAGAAACAGACCATTTGTATAGTCTCAAAGTATCTCCTGCAAGATATCAATTACAGGAAGGAAAAATGGTAGCTTTGTTGTGGAGAATCCCCGCAGACACCACTTTAATCAGGTAATCAAGGTCAACCTCAATAAAAAGATCTGTTGCCATAAGGTAGCCCCTGAAATCAGGCAGGAGAAAGGCATATTGCTTCTGTAGAATTCTTCCCAGTAGTGCATAAACTCTTAACCATGAGAAAACGCCAGGTGAGCCCAAATCACGAGTCACTCTACAAAATATCTGACCAGTATTCTTCAGAAGTGTCAAGGTCATAACAGAGAAGGAAGACTGAGGAACTGTTACAGATGAGAGGGGACTAAGGAGCCATGGCAATTAATACAACATAGGATCCAAGATTAAGTCCTGAAACAGAAAACGAACATTAGTGGGAAAACTGGAAATAGCTGAATTAAGTCTGTAGTTCAGTTACTACTATTGTAACATTGTTAAATCATTACCTTTGATAATTGTATTATAATTATCTAAGATGTGGACATAAGGGGAACCTAGGTGAAGGATAGATGGGAATCTTTTGCCTATTTTCTGTAACTTTAAAATTTTTTCACAATAAAAATGAAGAGAGTATGTTTGCTTAGTATTGTGTATACACTGCAACAGTTTAGTATTCAAGAATATATAAAATCCCCACTTAGCCAACCTTTTCAGGATGTGCCCGCCCTGCCCAATACACTTTTATATTCTAGCCAAACAAAATCTTGTATTGTTAACCCCTTTGGAGGGAGGTGGGAGTAATACAATTTTTGTCTGTATTATAAAATATTAAAAAAAATTTTTTTTTTTCTCGAGATGGAGTCTTGCTCTGTCGCCCAGGCTGGAATGCAATGGCGCGATCTTGGCTCACTGCAACCTCCACCTCCTGGGTTCAAGTGATTCTCCTGCCTCAGCCTCCTGAGTAGCTGGGATTACAGGCATGAGCCACCACGCCTGGCTAATTTTTTTGTATTTTTAGTAGAGACTGGGTTTCACCATGTTGGCCAGGCTGGTCTCGAACTCCTGACCTTGTGATATGCCCGCCTCTGCCTCCCAAAGTGCTGGGATTACAGGCATGAGCCACCGTGCCCGGCCTATAAAATATTTTAAGCCAATGTAATGACTAGCTGCACGCCCACACCTCATTTTTAAAAATATAGCAACCCAGCAAAGCCCGTGTTCCCATACTTTGTGGCATCCTGCTCCTTTTGTGCACTTCCACCACACCACATGACTGCTGCCACTCGGAGATCATCAGTGGAACTTGGTGTTTACTATTCTTGTTCATTACTTTTCACTTTTCCAATCTTGGCATAAGGTACATCGTACTGATCAGATCTACCACTTTTTTGCTCTGCATGTTTGTCTAATTCATTCCTTTACTTTGTAGATTTTCACTGTACGAATACCCAGTAGTTATCCGTTCTCTCATTGGAAAACAGAATGAGTGTTTTTTGTTGGGTTGGTTGTTTTTTTTTTTTTGTTGTTGTTGTTTGTTTTTTTTTTTTTGAATGAGTTCTGTCCATTTGTAAAAGTGTCTTCTGAGGCCAAAGGAGATCTCTACTCTTTCTGAACTCCAGTAACACTTATCTATGACTTTTAACTCGGCATTTGTGACTTTCCATGATAATAATTGTTCTTTTCTCCCATGTCAGATGGAAAGCTTCTTGAGCATCTGATTCCCAAAGATGGATGTTATTAGGACAGTAAGAATTTAATTTTCTTTCACAGATAAGTGAATACTTAAATAATGAATTAAACACTGTCTACACATAGATCTTGAGAATACTTGTGTTTATTCCCTTGGTTGTTACATGATGTTACCTCCTGGGGACTTTTCTTTGTTGGAAAGATTTATGCAATATGGGAAACTGGTTGCTGAGGTGGAAGTATGGAGCATACATAAAGCCTAAAGCTTTAATTTGAGAACTATGTGCTAAGTTTTCAAGCAACACAGGTACTGGGTTTTGTGTGTGATTGCGTGTGTGTGTGTGTGTGATTGTGTGTGTGTGTTTTAACATCCTATAGGAAAGTTAACAAAATTAGTAATAATTTTACTGCATTTGGCATGGCAAAGCAGAGAGGAACTGACTAATTTGTATTATGGCAAACTGTTGCTTTTGTGCACATTGTTAATAAAACAAGTAATACTTACTTTTTACCATTTAGAATCTATACCTAGAATGGAATTACCCTAATTATTTTCCTCCAAAATTATTTTATTGAGATGTTGATGTACTCTGTGAAAACATTTAACAGATTTCACAGCTCTCTTGCCTATCTTATTTGATTTCTTCAACAGCTTTGGCAGAAATAAGCAGGGCTAATATTATCATCCATACTCGATGGGTTAGGAACACTGGAAGGGAAGCTGGGGGAGATTAAAGACCTGCTCAAGGTCACAGAACAGAACCAGAAACCAGATCTGTCAGCTTAGTCCTGTCTCTCTCCAGATATTACAGTTCCAGTGCTTAAACTAAGCAAAAGTATTAATTAAGATGTTATTGCTTAGCCAGCATTTTAGTAGATAGTTCAGTAACATAATACCCACTCAACAGTTCATTAGAGTAATTTGGGAGTTTCTCATCTTTAGTGAGAGTAACTATTGTTAGTGATTAGTAACTGCCTTTTTGCTACATTCTTTGTTAGAAGGGTTCAAAGGAAGGATTACACCAAACATTGCAAAAGAGCCTGTTGTGACTGGTGTGTATTTTAAGGGAAGAAAATCTTATAAGTGAAACAGATAGGAAGGTGTGACATAACCTTAAGTTAAGTATCTGAGATGACAAATGGTTTTTTGATAGCTTGAGACCTACAGAGGAGTTAAAACCTCTCGGCATATAGACAATTACAGTTGATCACTCAAATTGCAATTTTATAAAATGCAGCAGCAGTACACTTAGAATATTGTCTTCATGTCAGAAATGCACCTTTGTGCTTGAAAATGATAAAAAATTACAATCGATCCTTACAACTGTTCTGTTCATCTTTATTGATCAGGTGCAAGAAAGATAAATCGTAGCCCAAATAAGATTATAGTAAATGTTAGCATCGTAGGGGACTATAGGTTGATAGAAAGCCATTCATCATCTCAAATGGTGACCTGTCTATGGCTCTAGCCACCCTGAGTCTGCTATCTAATCACATACCTATTGATTTTATCTACATCCAAGAATCCTGGATGTGACTGTCATTGGACAACCAAGATTGTTAAATGCAAAGGGGTCACTGGTGTGAAGAGGATTTCACTTTCATTTTTTCACCAACCAACAATGATTTATTAAAAAATAAATGATTGCAAGCCATGCATTTGAAACCTGAGTGATTAGAGAATGAAAGGTACACAATAGACTACCGTATTGTGGTGGTGTTTTGTTGTTGTTGTTTTTTAATGCAGTGCATTTTGCAGGATATTTCATTGAGTCTTAGGGCTCATGGGGTCATTTAGGCCATCTCCTGCAATAAGACCAGTTTCAGTGTAGCTAGTCAGTATGGATAAATTTTGCTGCCCCAGGAAAGGCATTACTTTGCCACTGCATCTTGGTTTATGTTGTTTATGTGTCCATTCCTGTTCATAGTGGAAACATTTTTTGTTATTAAAATTATCTAAATCTGCCCCCTTGTTCCTACTGATTAGTTATAAATGTTGTTGTTCTTGTGGTCACGTGGAAATGATAGAACAACTTAAGCTCCATAAAGAAAACTTTTTTTTTTTTTTGAGATGGAATTTTGCTCTTGTTGCCCAGACTGGAGTGCAATGGCTCCATCTCCGCTCACCGCAACCTCCACCTCCCGGGTTCAAGCGATTCTCCTGCCTCAGCCTCCTGATTAGCTGGGATTACAGGCATGTGCCACCATGCCCAGCTAATTTTTTTTTTTTAAAGTAGAGACGTGGTTTCTCCATATTGGTCAGGCTGGTCTTGAACTCCTGACCTCAGGTGATCCGCCCACCTCGGCCTCCCAAAGTGCTGGGATTATAGGCATGAGCCATACCATCTTGATGACAAAAATATTGTGTAGAAAGAAATGATCTTTAATATCCTAGTAGGAACACCAATGGAATAATATATAAATACGAATGTGTGTGAATTTCAGTTTTTGATCTCAGGCATCCTTTGATCTTACAAGGGTAGATTCCAAATAATGGCAATCTAAAGAATCTTTCCAAAATGTTAGGAATTTTCTCCAAAGGATCAAATGATAAGGAATTGTAACTGTGAACGTTTACTCTGTAATTATAATCCGCATACCAACAACTCTACTGTTATTTAAACGAGTAGCTTTACATGTGTTTTATAAGTATCCATGCCACCTATACAAGAAAGTCTTCTACTGCTTGAGTGGCTGAAACAAGGTTTTATGTGTTTTTTGAAGTTGTAAATCTTCCACACATTTTGTCATCTTGGATAGTGAAACCTTTGCTATCAATCTTTGTCCACAGAGCTCAGAGTTCTACAGAGTCACCACTGAACAATATCAGAAAGCTGCTGAAGAGGTGGAAGCAAAGTTCAAGTAAGTTTTTAATAGTATTATAATTATTTACTATTCTTAACAAGATGAAAGCACAGTTTTAGTGCTTTTTGCACAGATCATAGTTTGTTATATAGCACTCTAGAATACTTGGAAGAGTTTTGGGGTGGTTGAGATGGGGGCCATGTTATCTGCTATACTGGAATTCAGATGCCAAGACAAAGGCATTTGATGAAAGCTTGTTACAAATCCATGTATTTTATGAACTAGGGGGAAATTGAAAGCAATGGTAATAGTATTATCATTTGTAATAATATATAAAATAGAATGCTCTTGATTATGAAGGTCATGTTAAATTGCTACTGTATTAAGGGAAACATAGAAACCATTCACTTTTGTATAATAAAATGATGGGCATGTCCAAATTTGGGTATCTGCCTTTCTCGTGGTTAGGCTGTTTTCATTTCTTCACATGTACCTTGAAAGGCTTTAAATCATAGACTTTACCTGGCCCTTGATTATGAAGGTGATGTTAAATTGCTACCTCTCTTAATCCTTGGAGTGTTTAAATGAATGTTCTGTAATTGATGGATCAAAGTGTCCGTGTCCCATAGCTTTGTACTTTCCCTTTGCTGCCAGTTCTCACATTAGGTTAGAAGACATCATTCAGAATTTTTCTGAGTATATAAATAGTCCTATTGTGTAACCTCTATTAGTAGCACATGCGCAAATTAGTGAAGCAAAAAAAGTTGTTGTGACAGCTTTAGTTGAAAGATTGCATCGGGCTCTGACCTCCTTCCTTGCACATGTTTACAAGCATTTGATAAAATGATTAAACCCTAAGGTGGAATTACTACTTTCTGCTACAGTACAATTTGTGTGTTAATGGATATTAGTGTTATTGTAATGTGGATTAAAATAAAATTTTTTAAAAATTAAAGGTAGTTTGAGGTTTATTTAAAGAGCCAAAGCCCTTCAGCCTTCTGTAGTGAACTATCTCTTTAGAGGCAGCAGAGAGAGACCTTCCAAGGATGGGCCACAAGTCTCACTATTAGAGATTAATGTGAGATCTTAAGAATTTAGACATATTAATAGAACTGGTTATAGATTTTTTAAGTTACTCTACATATATTATTTTAAGTTAGGTGTTTATTTTTCTCCCTAATGATATAATGACTTTTTTTTAGGTGGTAAACCTTTTTTTGTCTCTATCCCATGAGAACCTTCGAGTTGGCTCCCCGAATATTTCTTTATTCTAAGACAATAGCTATAAAAACAGCTAAATTTCGGATACATTAGAGATCAATTTTGACTAGAGTGATCTGTGAAGTTTTCATAAAGAAGATGACTTTTTAGTTGAGCCTTTAAGAAGAGTATTGAGTAGGTGGACGGGAAAGATATTCAGAAGGAAAACTGTGCTCTGTAGTTGGTGGGTGACAAAGCAGTGTCTTGAGTCAGAAAGACTGGTGCAAGATAAAACTGGAAAGGTCAGTGGGTCATTAGCTGCTGGGCTGTGAAGTTTGGTCTTCATTGAGCAATGAGTCATGGGAAGATGTTTGACCAGATGAGCACTCTGATTTCTGGGCTCCTGAAGGAAAAGTAACCTGGCAGTGGATGTGAGGTTTAGTTGGAGACATGAAAAATAAGAACTTGAAGAATGAGATAAGGTCAGCTGTGGTGGTTCACACCTGTAATCCCAGCATTTTGAGAGGCTGAGGCAGGAGGATCGCTTGAGGCCTGAAGTTCAAAACCAGCCTGGTCAACATAGTGAGACCCTGTATCTACAAAAGAACAACTTAAAAATTAGCCAGTTGTAGGGGCATATACTGGTGGTCCCAGCTATTGGAGAGGCTGAAGTGGCAGACTGCTTGAACCCAGGACTGCAGTGAGCTATGATTGTGCCATTGCACTCCAGTCACAGAGTGAGATTATGTCTTAAAAGAAGAAAAAGAAAAAACAATCAGATGGGAAGTCTCTACAAGTGCAAGAGAAAAAAAAAGTTGTTGAAAGTTTAGACATGGCGCCAGGCGTGATGGCTCACACCTGTAATCCCAGCACTTTGGGAGACTGAGGCAGGCAGATCACTTGAGGCCAGGAGTTCAAGATCAGCCTGGGCAACGTGGCAAAACTCCATCTCTACTAAAAATACAAAAATTAGCTGGGCATGGTGGTGCATGCCTGTAATCCCAGCTACTGAGGTAGCTAAGGCTAAGGCAGGAGAATCGCTTGAATCCGAGAGGCAAAGGTTGCAGTGAGCTGAGATCATGCCATTGCACTTTAGCCTGGGCAACAGAGCAAGACTCTGTCTAAAAAAAAAAAAATCAGACACATGAATTTGTGATTGGTTGGTGTATTAGTTTGCCAGTACTGCAAAGTACCACAGACCGGGTGGCTTAAATAACAGAAAGGTATTTTCTCACAGTTCTGGAGGCTAGAAGTCTAAGGTCAAGGTGACGCCAGGGCTGGTTGCTTCTAGGCCTCTCTCCTTGGCTTATAGATGGCCATCTGCTCCCTGTGTCTTGACACAGTCTTTCCTCTTGTGTCTACATGCTAATCTGCTTTTCTTACAAGAATACCAGTCATATTAGACTAAAACCCTCCCTTGTGACCTCACTACAATTTAATTATCTCCTCAAAGACCCTCACCCCAAATACAGTCACATTCTGAGGTACTGAGCAGTGGGCTTAGGAATTTTCAGGACACACAATTCATCCCCTAACATTTAGATAAAGGGGGCAAAAGAACCAGAATTATGAGGTTAGCAGATTGGAAAATCAGTGGAGAGTGGATTTCATAGAGAAAGATAGGTCTGGATTTTAGATGCAAAAATCTCTGTCCTGAATCTCTGCCCAGCTGCCATGTCATTCAGCCTGAACTAGGTTTGGAGTGCGAGAGGCCACGGGAAGCACAACGTTGACATCATGATGGCTGACCTCCTGCAAGTCAGCAGGGCCCTGTAAGTTAGGCTTTGTTTTAAACAGAACCTCAACAGCATCATTCTGTCTTACCTATTAAATATTATTCAAGAATAATTAATAATATGGCCAAACTGTGTAGTAAGAAATTGGCCTTGGCCAAAGAGAGGTCTGGATTTTGGACCAAGCTCCTGAGAAATTCTAAATCCTTCGAATTTCCTAGTGATAGAAATTGTTATTCTCAGCCAGGCGAGGTGGCTCATGCCTGTAATCCCAGCACTTAGGGAGGCCGAGGCGGGTGGATTGCTTGACCCCAGGATTTTGAGACCAGCCTGTCCAACATGGTGAATCCCTGTCTTTACAAAAAAAAAAAAATACAAAAATTAACCAGGTGTGGTGGCGCATGCCTATAGTCCCAGCCACTGGGGAGGGAGGCTCAGGTGGGAGGATCACCTGAGCCTAGGAGGCAAAGGTTGCAGTGAGCTGAGATAGCACCACTGCCTTCCAGCCTGGGCAACAGATCAAGACCCTGTCTCTAAATAAATAAATAAATAAATAAATAAATAAATAAATAAATGAGAGGAAAAAAAAGAAATTGCTATTCTTGCTGGGCCCCTTGGACCATGTGGTATCAGTTCAGCCTCTGGGGAGGTGAGTTTATCATGTGGACCATCAGTCAAGCAGTTTAATGAGGCTCCAATAAAACTCTGAACAGTGCTGCTCAGGTGAGCTTTCCTGGTTGACAGGACTCCATGGGCACTGTCACACATTGATACCAGGAGGGCAGCAGGTCCTAAGGACATTGGAAGCTTTGCATTTGGAAACCCCCAGGCTCAGTCCTATGCATCTCTTCCTTTGGCTGATTTTCTGTATCATTGCCCTATAGTAAACCATAACTGAGTTTAACAGCTTACAGTGAGTTCTGAGTTCTTTCAGTGAATTATTGAACCATTGAATTTTGGCTGGTTTGGACCCTCCCTCCCCCGCTCTGCAAACTTGCTGTTGATGTGTCAGAAGTGAGAGCAATCTTGGGGACTGTGCCCTTGGATTTTTGCGTTTTGACTAACTCCATTGCACACAAAACCTAGGTTTTAACACACTTTGAAGAAATTCTAATAGCTAGTTTTTTAGGGAGTGGCTTTCATTATATCGTTTTTTCTCCCAGCTACTTCCTGCTAGGCTGAGCTTCCTAGAATGTTGTATTTTGATTTGCAGTGAGTTCATTAGCTTCACACCTAGGAAGTGATAGTACATTGGGTATAGGAGATGCTTACCATCTTTGAAGGCACAGAGATTACTTAGTAGACTGCTATTTCTTTTTAGAAATTTGGCCATCTCAGATAATCAGGACTTTTGTAAGACAATATATAATATTTGCATTGCATGACAGGGGTTTTTCGCCTGGTCAGATTATTTTCACTGGCTCCTATCTGTATGACCAGCTTAGCACCTGTAAGCATCACCTTGAGGAGCTCTATCTTGAACCTGAACCGGAACTCAACAGTTCCTCTTAGGCAACAAGTTCTGAAGGACTTTGAGGAGAATTTAGTTAATTGTATCTGATGAAAGTAGGATTCATTTATGTGCATCTTGGTTACAGGAGATAGAAGCTTTTTAAAGTGCAGTGTCAAGGGCAATATTATATACCTGATCAGGGGTCATACAAATCACTGTAAAGAGAAAGAAAGCTAAGAGCATTTGAAGCTGCCCATGACTAACACCAGCATATTAATGTAACCTACCAGGATAGCTAATCGAATTATTTTAGGGATGCTTAAGATATTAACTCATACTTCAGCCCCTCAATGTATAGTTTTGGCAGTAAAATACTTTGAGAATTAATGGATTGTTTCTCCTACTTTATCCACACATCATTCATTCATAGAGCCCCTGTGTGACAAGCCAAGCCTGAATATACAACTAAGAAAACAGGCCAGGATCTTATTACTAGTGTGGAACTCAGAGTTCATCAGAGAAAAACAAAAGGAAGACAAACTTTTTAAATGATGATCTTTTTAAAAAATTCAAAGTTAGTTCTCCTCTTTTGGGGTGATTACATTTCCAATGCATATCAAGTTATTAAAAATATTACTTACCATGATTTCAGTGGGAACTAAGGGATTCGAAGATAATTTGGACTGTTTATTTTCCCACAATAGATTTAAAATTTTAGCTCTAAAACCTAAATCACTGAGCAAATCCAGCATTCTTCTTATATGTAACCTTAATTCAAAAGGAATACCTTTTCTTTTCTCAATCCAACTAAAACAGTAATTGTCAACACTTCATGTCGCATTTTATAACAACTTAGGGTGCTAGTTTCTATTATATGGCGCTAGTAATGTTACAGCTCATCCTAATGCAAATTATATTTTATATTAATCCTTATGCTGTACCTCATAGGTAATTAATTAAACAAAGTATTATTTTAATAATGTTACATGTGTAGTTCTTAACACAGACCTAGCACAAAGTAATAAATACTGCATTTGATTATCAAAAGTTATGAAACTATGTGCTATCGGAGAAATCTCTGTATTTGTTTTTAAACAAATTCTAGATGCTGCTAAACCTCTAGCACATTAGAAGGAGTTCTTACCCTTATGGAGCTCATACTCTAGCCAGGATGACCGGCACATAAAGCACTCATGATAGAATAGCATGTAAGAGAAGCCTCACAGCAATGTAGCTGGAGTGCTGCCGGCCTCCTGTTTCTTGGTCAATGTCAGAATCAGATCTCTGTGGCTACATTGGAGCTGATATGCCACACCTATAGAAAGAAGATGTTACCAGAGTGTTTATGCATGTGAATTGTTTTTAAAATAGAAAAGCAAATATCAAGTAAATGTAAAGCAAATATCAAAGACATGTTAAATATTTTAAAGGCAATATAGGCATGGTAAAGACAATGTGATAGTAAACAAATGAAAAGCATTTTACAGGACAATTGATACTTCATTCTCATTCTGTCCTTTACATAATGAAGTGGCGAGTTTCTATTTTCCATAAAAGAAAGAAAAAATATGCATGGAAAGTGACATAGATCTATTGAAAATATTTTTGGAATGATTTCATTAGAGGTACAACTTTTTAACATGGCTTCAGTTTCTGTGAAAGAAGAAGCACTTCTAAAGAAGTACAAGTCTATGAACTTGGAAGTGAATACCAGTAATACTCCTTTGTGTGCCAGATTTTAGAGGGGTTTTCGCTTTTATCCCTGAATGAAGTTGTTGAAACCTGACTTATAAATTTAGGCTCATAGAAGAAGCTTAGGTTATCCTTATAAAGTATTAAAAGATTAGTTACCCTGTAAAAGTAGTTTAGGTGATTTTAGAGTATCTGAGGAATACTATGCAGAACTCATACAGATAAAATGGATTTTGTAAATATTACCATCTTTAAAGGTTTTCTTCAATGTAAAACCCTTTGACTTTAAAATGTCCTTGATTTTTTTTTCTTTTTTAGGGGTTGCACTTTCACTGGCAATATTGTTTAGTTTCTTTTTTGGATGTAATATTTTAATAGCTATATTACGGATGAATTGGTGAAGCCGAGGAAGACACGCCAATAGTATCAGCAGGTGTTTCTCATGTTCTGTATAATTACACATGTGTATCATGGACAGTTTTAAGCAATGGTGTTTAAAGATCCTGCTTAATTGGCTGTAAAATAATTAAATACGGTTTTGACTGGCAAATTTATAATTCTGCTAGATGCATAAGCCAGTGAGCCTGAATGTCAATGCAACCTCATTTTGGAAATATTAGATTAATAGAACTAATTGTACTAAAAGTACAAAGTTTACTCTGATTAATAGTCTTAAAATTCTTCTAGAAGTTTAATCAGGTAAATTTATGTTACTTATCTTTCTTCTTAAACTTTTAATTAAAACTTATTTCAAAAGTTTGAGCTATTAAGTTCTGTGCTTCTCTTTCTAGTTTCTCTGAAGTTGAGTTCTTGCAATTTGTCAGTGACTCCAGCTCCCTTATTGAGTAACATGCCTTATCAAAAGTATTAAAATTATATGCTGTTTCACGTGTATTTGTATCTGCAGCTGACAGGTATCCTGAACATCTTCTCTAACACGTATTGATGTCTACTTATAACCTACTTTAGTGCTGTGTGAATGGATCTAATATACCAAATGTACATGATAAATGTTTTATCTCTGATTCTCATTGATCAGTTTTGAAATGATCAAATGGTGTATCTCAGTAAGACACTAATTCACATTGATCAAATTCTAAATGATCAAGTTGACTTGGTTTCTGCTGAACACAAATTGTATTAAAACAACATTACTTGAACATGCTGCCTTCTCTAATGCAGGAGTTATGTTACCAGCAGTTACATTATAACTAGAGTTATTGTATTATAAAGATGTCTCCTTCATAATGAAAAGTTTACACAAGAAGAAAAGAATGCGATATTACAGGAAGAACAGGGCTTCAGGCAAGGATTTGGGCTTTTACTAACTAATTAAATTCTGCATTTGTATTGGGCCTTTTTTCCCCCTTTTTTAATTTGAAGGGCTGTGAGCAAGAAATATAGCAGCTGCAGTGGTGACATTTTATTCCCCACGGTCCTTGGAGCCAAGTAACATCTTGATTATTCAGTAAGAGACTTAGTAATTGAAGAGGCAAAATTCTAGATAAAGTAAATATACCTGTACCCTTTGTGCACAAGCCTCTTGGTTACAATTACGTCTTTAGAAGTTTCGAGTTATTTGTTGGTTTTTGTTTTTAAAACATCAGCTCACCTATGTCAACTTCCATAGTATATCATGTCCCCTCTGGAATTTGCAAATGTGCTGCTGGAGGAGGATTTCATTTCTGAAATTGAAGAAAGATGTTAATGTACTTATGAATATACTTTGTATATGAAGCTAATGGCAAATACACATTTGGCTGTCACATGGACTCGGTTATTTAGAACACAAAATTCCTCAGGCAGGTTATTTATTATGTCTTTGACTTGTGTCTTCCATCTATAAAATGTAAATTATAACTGTCACCTTCTGTAGGGCATATAAGCTGAGAAAGTTTAAAAGTTAACTGAGAAAGTTGTCTTTGATCCTTATCTAAAAAATGGTCGTAAGTTGTTTTATTCAACTGCAAGATAGTGGCTCCCATTTTAGGAAAGTTGTAGATGATGCAGCTCCTTCCGTATCTCATCGGGGATATGTAAGGTAGTGCCAGCTCCCAAGCTGTCAATCTGCCTGGTTTGTTTGTCTGTCCACCTCCCACCAAGCAACAAATTAGTCCAAGGAAAGTGAGACTGGCTTTGGAGCATGCCAATATTTAACAGTATTTCTTACGATACCCATTTAGAATTGGTTATATTTACAAAGAAAGCTTCGGTATTAATGCTTTTTCCCCCCTTCTAAAATTGGAGCCCTTCAAATCAGATCTGCCTGGTTAGTTATTTACTTTCTTTTTAGTTCCTTGGGTGAGATCTCTATACTTGGTCTAAATACTATTTTCTAAGATAATAGAAGTAAATGTCAAGAAACATTAACAAGAGAGATTTCCATCTGCATTATCTCTCTACTCCATGACTGGTCGCCACAGTATTCCACTCAACTCAGTGGTATCCTGCAGAAAAGGGCAGGGCAGATGGCAAAGCTGATTGGGAATATAGGGATAAAAAGGGCAGGAGCAGGAGTGTACACCAAGGACAAGAGAGTATTGTTAATTTCTCTAAAAAGACAATGCAAAATGCAGCCATCTCATGAACATGGTCACAAGACCAAAAGGGTCACTTTGGAAACTTTTTTCCATCACTTCAGCATAGGGTGTAAAGGAATCTCAGCTGGTGAAATAAGCTGCTGATGGTGCAGCCAGATTGGCCACGTCCTTCGTAAGTCCATGACCTGGAGCATTCTTCTCTGTTCTTGCTGTGGCAGTTGGGGTTTATTGGTGTTGCACCAAGCATCTTCTTTCCTTTCGTATAAGTGGTTTATGTGTAAACATGTAAATGATCAAACCATTCTTGTGGCAGCTCTTAGGTTTGTGGCCATACACTCCTGGATTCATGATTCGTTCTGTGTGAGCTAACAAATCATTCTGTCTTCCCCAGCAGGAACATCAGTATTGAACTTTCTTCTTAATCAATACGATCCATTAAGAATCTAGTATACCCTACATGGTTATATGAAATATTAATTGCACACTGTTAGTTAGATAAATGAAGATTCTGCCAAAATGATAGCTTATTTCCTTCCTTGTATCATAATATTTTAAATGAGATCATTCTGAGTTCTAGGGTACATGATATTTTGGAATTTGTTTATTGATCCTTGCTTACTTGAGTAATTAACTACACAGCTCACAGTTGGAAAAGACATTTCTAACTGAGACTACTAGGTTTGTCCTCTTGCCAATTCCAACTAGAATTCATTTACTTGTTAAGGGCTTCAGTTAAAAATCATGCTTTCAAAGATAAGAAAACATATTTTGCGTTTTGAGTGCAACTAAGCTACAGTGAAACTTGTAGGAAGCCAAGTTAAGAGTTAATTGTCTGACTGACCTGCCCTGTTATAAGATATCCAGAAAGACTTCTAGAAGGTAGAATTTAAATTCTGTCCTTATGTCAGATATGCAAAGTTAACAATCTTAGGACTTGAGCACAGTTAAAGATTTTATCAAAGAAGTTATCTACACATAAAAATGGTAGCTCAGGGTAGTTTCTGGAACATTATATAGGTTCAGCCATAGTATAACATCAAATTAATTATGTCTTATCACTCCAGAGTTTGGTAAGCCTATCCCAGATGCTATCAGCCCTTCCCTGGTTTCAGTCAGATAATTAACTTATGAATGTATTTAGCTGCCCATTCACTCTGCCTGGGGTAAAACCACATACTAAAATTGAAACCAGAACTTTCAGGATACATTGTATTTAAACTTGTATTCTTGTTGCTCATTTGAATGTATAATTACCAAGTCACCCCTCATGGTTTCAGTCTTGTCAAGTATTCTTATTTCTGGCTCTTCTGATTTTTCTTAAGAGATAAGCAAACAAAATACAAAAATTGTTAGATTGGACCTTATAAAATTTTAAAATTCTGCCCATCTTAAGACATCATTAGGAAAATTTTTTTCATGGGCAAAAGACTTGGACACTTCAAAGGAAGATGTAAGAATGGCCAAATAGCACATGAAAGGAGTTTCTACATCATTAGATACCAGGGAACTGTACATTTAAAACATAGGAATGGCAAAAATCAAGAAGACTGACAATACTAATTGTCTGGAAAGATTGTGGAGAAACCAGAACTCACTTTGCTGGTGGGGGTATACAATGGCAAAAGTCCTTTGAAAAAAAATGTTGGCAGTTCCTTATAAATGTAAAGCATACACTTGCTGTATGATGCAACAAGTCTAGTCCTAGGTATTTACCCAAGAGAAATGAAAATATACATCTACAAAAAGACTTGTACACCTATGTTCATAGCAGGTTTATTCATAGTATCAAAAACTAGCAACAATCCGAATGGTCATCATTGAGGGAATGGAGAAACAAAACAGACAGTATTCCACTCAACTCAGTGGTATCCTGCAGAAAGGGGCAGGAGAGATGGCAAAGCTGATTGGAATATAGGGATAAAAAGCGCAGTTTTCTACTTTATATTCATACAGTAGAACACTATTCAGCAATAGAGAAGAGCAAACTATCGATACATGTAACAGCACGGATGGATCTCAAACATCATGGTACACACAAAGAAGCCAGATGCAAAACAGTACTTCCTATGTGGTTCATTTAAACGATGTTCAAAAATAGGCAACATTTGCCTGTGGTGGGAATAGAGGAGATTTGATTGGAAAGGGACCCAAGCAGCATTTCTGAGATTTTGGGAATATTCTGTTGTATTCTGAGTGATAGTTTTACAAGTATATACAGGTATGTAACTTCTAATACAATATGAACACTGAAGATTGGTGCATTGTGATATACAGGCTGAGCAGCCCTAATCTGAAAACCCCAAATCCTCCAAGATTGGAAACTTTTTGCATGCCAACATGATGCCACAAGTTGAAAATTCCACACCTGACCTCATGTGACAGGTCACAGTCAAAGGCAGGTCCACAACATGTAGTCTGTTGACTGTGCCTCAGGAAGAAAATGACCTTCAGGCTATGTATAGTATATATGAAACATAAATGGATTCCATATTTTGGTTGGGGTCCCATCCCCAAGATATGTCTTTATGCATATGCAAATATTCCAAATTCCAGAACCCAAATTCAAAAACACTTCCATTCCCAAGCATTTCAAATAAAGGATACTCAACCTGTGTGTTAATTATACCTAAAACACCCTAAATTAAGAAAAAATATACCCCAAATATTGGGAATTCCCAGTTTCTATCTGTAATTTGTCCTAGATAAAATGCTTCTTCAATTTAATCACAGTCTTAAATGTAGGATTCCTAATCCTATCCATAATCATATTTTTTTCATTAGAATTTGAATCCCTTATCTCAGAGTCAGGGCTGTTCATTCAGAGTATTTTATTACTGTAGAAATAGAGAGGGATAAATCTTGCTTGTATTTCATTTATTTATTTTCTTAAAGAATCAGTCTTTTTTCCCCCCATTAAGTTACATTTGCCTGTTGTACTCTCCTCCTCTTCAACCTAGGACCTTGTAGGTAGGCTTGGATAAGGTTTGAAAATTACTTTTGATAAAGGGATTTCAAAGGCAGTATTTGTGAATGAAACATTTGTACAGTAGCACTGGTACTTTTCAATATAATAATCATATGCAGTAATTTGTTCATACTATTTATTGAGTCCTGGCAGAATGCTTGAAAACTTGTAAAAGCTTGCGTCTTGGCCCTTCCTTACATGTTGAAATGAAAGCACACATGTTCATATGTTAGTGTCGCCAAGCATCCCCAACTTGCTCACATGCCTGCCTTAAATTATTTCATGTGCTTTCCCATTCAGTGGCCAATAGTTAAATTGCTGTGTTCCTTTTGTGAGTGTGTATGTCTAAATGCTGGTAATCAACCGAGTCCCTGGAAAACTGATAAATGTGCTCATTAAGGAGAGTTCTTGCTCTTGGCTCTGTTTCACAAGTCACCTCAGCTAGTGTTTCTGGATGAAGCTGGCAAGAAACACTGTGCAGTGATACATCTGGCTTTATACTCCTTTTCAAGGACTAAAACCTCCTTTTTTAGTATGTTAAACATGCATTGTAGGGATATTGCAATTACAAAGAAGTAAGCTATTTGCCAATTACATTATTTACACAAGAAAAACCAAGGGCTGCTGCTGTGTGGTGAGATTTTTAATTTTTTATGCACTGCCATTTGCTCCTCCTCTTGTTCTCTTGAGCATCTGAGATTACACAAGTGCCTATTCATTTGTGAGGCAGAGCCATCTATGCAGACTCTGAAGTCCACCGGCTAGCCACTGGCATAGATCTCAACAAAGCTGACTATGTGAGAGATGCATTCAGCATGGTTTATGATTGGAATGTCGAAGGTAGCATACACCTGTTCCTGCTTTCAGGATGAAAAATGAATTGCCAATTATAGTAGACATGTTCAGACAGACGCTTCATATGGTAGAAGCTTGCTTGGCCTGCTTTATGCTGGGCCTCCAACTATGAAGCCATCAGTTCTGAAAAAGGGGTGTGTTGGCAAGGAGGAGAAGAGAGAAGGGTATCGATCCTTGATCTGTTACCATGTTTTGTGCTTGTGCAAGCTGTGGGCAGGAGGTCAATGCCTCACACCTTTGTTTCCCAAGCAGAGCTCTTGAACAAGATGAAGTGATCAAAGCTGGGTGGTAGTGCATTATCACAGTCTCATTACTTTGCAAGCTGCATGCCCAGATGCTGCTGTTTTCTGCATCAGGCTTCGCTGATTTACATTCGTAACACCTCCATTACAGCTCATTTGATACTGCTCATAATCAACCAGTTCTTGTCTTTTCCTGATAGTGTTTCTCCAATACAAAAGACGCTAGTGTAATGAAGAAAATTAGCATTGCTGGTATAGAATTCATCTTTAAGACATCCTGGTTAATTGACAAGAAGTGGGAACCAAATGCTTTGTCATGACTTAAGTCATTTGTGGTTTTGGTTTGGTTAGTTGGGTGTTGGTTTGGGGCTGTTTTTGAAGTCTTTGAACTTGAGTTGTTGGATATTGCCAGCAGACCTATTTTGACTCTTTCTGTCTTGGGAGTTCTTTTCTGTTAGTGAATTCCGACACCCTGTCCTTATTTGTTTGGTTTCTTCCCCTAGTGAGCTCAATGGCATATATCTATTTTTTTAAAGATATTAATGCAACAATTTTGCTTTGAAGAACTTACCATCCTCAGTATTAACACATACATTCATCAAGGGTCTCTTTGATGTTCCATGTTCTATGGGCCCTGAAAATACAGACATATCAGTTTGAGTCCCTGCCCTCAGAGGGCTTATACTCATTGGGATCATTAGCTCGACTGCAGAAGCATCAAAACTTGATGCAGGAATTATTACTAAAAGATTTGTTCGTGAAAAATTTTGAGTATCTTATACATTCCATATGGTTGTTATAAGTTGGGAATATAAAAAGTGACCAAAACATGTTAAATGCTAACATGAAGGTACAAACCATAAAATGCAGTAGGACTAGGAGGTTCGGAATCCCAGGGGAATCTGGATTGCATGAAGAGGTGACTGGCATAAGCTGGATCTTCTCATCTTGAGATTTTCTTAAGGTAAGAAGAGGGAGAATGGCCTTGCTATGAAGAGGGCATTGAATAGTGAAAATGGCTGAAACAGTGTGGGAGAGGTCTAGTGGAATATGAGACCACAAAGCAAGACTGGAGTCAGACTTGAAGAACTTGAAATGCCGTATTTTAAAAGGCAGAGTTAATAGGGCATAAAGATTCAACCAAGTGTTCTACCTACTTGGTGGCCGAGCGTGGTGGCTCATGCCTGTAATCCCAGCACTTTGGGAGGCCGAGGCAGGCAGATCACAAGGTCAGGAAATCGAGACCATCCTGGCTAACATGGTGAAACCCTGTCTTTACTAAACAGAAAATTAGCCTGGCGTGGTGGCGGGCACCTGTTGTCCCAGCTACTGGGGAGGCTGAGGCAGGAGAATGGCGTGAACCCAGGAGGCGTAGCTTGCAGTGAGCCGAGATCATGCCACTGCACTCCAGCCTGAGCGACAGAGCGAGACTCCGTCTCAAAAAAAAAAAAAAAAAAAAAAGAGTTCTACTACTTGGGAATATTTTTTTCTTTCACCTATCCCTGGTCCCCATAATTGTCACCACTAGGATTATGCCTTTTGAGTTGGTCATTGTTTCTGGAAGTCTTCTATCAAATAATACAATATAATATTGGGTGCATAGATGTTGTATACGTTTATTATATGATAATTAGAGTTTACTGCACCAAATTAATGACTATCACTCTTAATATACTAATGTCCACTCAAAAATAACCACATATTAGCTTGCCATATTGATTGAGAGCAAAGTTCAGGGACTTGAAAGGACGGAACATAGTAAAGATTAGTTCTGATTAAAAAGGTGGGGAGGAGAGAGTTGAGGAAAGATTGGGTTCATAGGATGTTGCCTGGGGAAGTCCTAGGGCATTAGGCAGAAAAAGAGCCTCATCTTTTCATACCAATTGAAATGGTATATGATTAGTTTTCATTACTCCTAGCTATGATATCTTTGAATGGTGTCCTAAGAATTCACAAGGTACCAGGTTCTTTGTGTCATTGCAATGAATGTGTGAGAGACAAACGTATGTGGTTTATTCAGATGTGTTTTATCTGGATGTCTAATTTTTAATTTATGTCTATAATTCTGATTGAATGTGCCCAAAATAGATAAAATTAGCTCACTTACTAGGCAAATTTTCTATTGCTAGTCCACTTGATTATTAAATGAGCCTTTTAAAGTATTCTCTCTCCTTCCCATTGAATTTTATGAACAACTTTTCTCTTTTGATATCCTTCCTGGAGACTTACTGTAGCGAAAAGGATATGAAATTGATAAATAATACAGGTGGCCCCCCTTATCTGCAATTTTGCTTTTTGCAGAGTACAATAAGATACTGAAAGACTACATTCACATAACTTTTATTCTAGTATATTGTTATATTTTATTATTCTTGTTGTTAGTCTGTTACTGTGCCTAAGTTATAAATTAAACTTTATCATAGAGGTATGTGTAGGAAAAAACATAGTTTATCTAAAGTTAAGTACTATTCATGGTTTCAGGCATCCACTAGATATCTTAGAATGTATCCCCCATGGATAAAGGGGAACTAATGTATTAGATTTTTTTCTCTTTTAATTTATCAAGGAAGTATTTTTTTTCTTGTAACAAGGGAAATGTAATTTTACTCCTCTTTTCTTTTCCAGATCAACCTTTTAAAAGTAAAGCATGTGAAGTTGCAGTTTGATATTTAGCCTTTCACATTTATCTCTATGAGTAGATATGTTAATAAACATAGATTTTGTTTTGTTTTCACAGAGTGTAAGACTATACCATACGTATTTTAACTTATATTTATTATGGATACATCCCCCTGGGTCAACACATAAATTCAACGCCTTCTTTTAAATCCAACTCATTCTTCTAAATAGCTGCATCATGCCTCATAGGATTGGTCTGTAGTCCTCTACTGAAAGTTTCTTTCAAGTGATTGGTTTTGGTTTTTTGTTTTGTTTTGTTTTGTTTTGTTTTGTTTTTGGTGGGGGGCGCGGTGGGGGCGGATAGTGCAGAAGAAGGCTGCAGCGAAACAAACTCATACCTAAACCCTAAGGAACTGGTACTTTTATTTCCGTAACATGGATGGGGTTTGAATTGTGACTGTTCCTTCCAACTGTGTAGCATTAAGCTACTTAACTCTTGATCTTCTTTTTGCTGATATAGGACATGTACATATAATACCTCATGGGTTGTTAATAAGGGTTAATGAAATGTGGGTAAAATTCTGGGCATATAGTAGGTACTCAACTCTATACAGGTCAGTTTCTTTTAGGGATCTAGTAGTTAAGAGTCAGGGCCCAGGTTATTTAACCTTAGAAGTTGTATCACAATATGAATCAAAAATTGGCCTCCCAAGACTTTTTTTTTTAAATTAAAAAAAAGGAAATCATGTTTTGTGAAAATTATAGGCTTTTTTGACTTGTATAATTTAAAAATACTGCATTTTGGCACAACCTTTGCAGCTTTTGCTGCTAGTTTGTAATTCCCTAGAGGTGAATTGAAAACATTAGTGGCAGAACTTTTTCCATTAACTCTGAGAAAAACTACAGAGCAAAAAATTGTCCTTTGGCAGAAATGTCAATCCATACCTCTTTTGAACATTTGGAAAGTGAAGCGCTGAGAAGCTGATATAATAGGAGAATTGAAAACCAAAATGTATACACATCTTCACCTTTTCTAACAGACGACAAGACAAATGAAAAATACATCCTCAGAACTTGATGATGCAAAGAAAATAGGATTGTTGCTCCAGAAAGTGCATTAGGCTGGGATCTTTAAAAGAGGCCGAGGCGGGTGGATCATGAGGTCAGGAGATCGAGACCATCCTGGCTAACAAGGTGAAACCCCGTCTCTACTAAAAATACAAAAAATTAGCCGGGCGCGGTGGCGGGCGCCTGTAGTCCCAGCTACTGGGGAGGCTGAGGCAGGAGAATGGCGTGAACCCGGGAAGCGGAGCTTGCAGTGAGCCGAGATTGCGCCACTGCAGTCCGCAGTCCGGCCTGGACGACAGAGCGAGACTCCGTCTCAAAAAAAAAAAAAAAAAAAAAAAAAAGATTTGAGTGCTAAGCTTTTGGCCACGTTCTTCAGAAGGGCTGATCCATTCTTATTAATGATACATCTATTTGTACTTCATGTCATAAAATTCTACCTTTATATGCTACAGTATCTAGGAAGTAGACGTAAGAAAGAGCAAATGTTTAATATACTACAAGTTTTGCTGTAGCATCTACCAGAAAATATGCTTATTTTCTCTCGTCTGTGGTTCCTGGTCTTCCTGATTTCTTTTTAAGTTTATTAGGACTTCTCTTCATTTTTCCACGCCATAATGTCAATATAGGTACAATGAAATAATAAGTATCCACATGTTAAAATGTTTACTGAATATAATGTTTATAGATATTCTTCACATCATTCAGTAGACCTATTCTAGCAAGTTACTTCTCATTTTCCACCCCACCCAAACCCCACAGTCTTAGATTTTATATCTGTGAAATGGTAATAACAGAGCTGTTATATTGGAATTAAATGAGGTCCATTTATGTTTTTAGCATATCCTAAGCAGTGAATAGTGAGCTATTAATAATTACTGTAGTCACAATAGTTGAATTTTCTGTTGGGTGAATTTTGTGTTTTTTTAATTGATGCTCATCATATGATCTAATATATATTTCCCTAGAGGATAATTCTTGAACGCAATAAAATTACAATTGAGTATACCAGGCCTCTTAAAAGCATGTGTTTAAAGGTAAATGCTTTCTGTCAAATTATTAACCAACAGTTAGCAGCACTACTCAAAATAATAATTCTGTTTTAATATGCTACATGAGAACTACATAATGTGGTTAGACATACATACGCAATGGTATGCTCAGACAAAATGCAGCCATTGTTAGTTCATGATATAGTTCTCACCTAAAACCTTGTCATAGTTTTAGAATATTTTTCTTCACTTGAGATTCTAGACAACGATAGGTTGGTAGTGTATACTGAACAAACAAGATTCTTCCTAACGTGTTCTGTAGTCACTTGCTCAGCATTTGGGCCATATATATATTTTTTTTTCCAGAAGTAAAAAGGACAGTGTGGCTAAGTGTCTAGATTAGTCCCCAAAAGCCCGTTTAACCCCTGCAGTTCAGAAAAGAAGACTAGATGTTAGGGGCAATAAAAAAAAAAAAAAAAAAAAAAAAACACTAGCACATTTTCCCATGTTTGTGCATACATGTGTGTTTAAACTACATTCTGGATTTAAAAGCCTGGGCTAACTCAATCACAGGTGCAGCCTTGTTTCTATGAAAGGAGATAAATTCCTATAGAGAGTGAGAAAGGGATGCGGAAGCCATAGCAAAGAGAAGCCTCCCTCCCTTCCAGTCCCTCCTGTTGTTTTCAAACATTTTTTGTTAGCAGTTAGCGGAATCCTAATACCCACAACTGATAATATGCTATCTTAATACTATTACTCTAGTTTATAAGCTTACTTACAACCTTTGCTCATTATGAAGAGAACAATGAAGCTTATTTTTATGAATACAACATTTAAAAATTAGGGGCCAAGGATGATGGCTGCAGTCCTATATCAGTCCCAACAGCCAAAGTTATGTGTTTGGTTGAGTGTTACGATGATCCTGATTTGTGGTGATAAGTAGTGGCAAATAATAACTTTTTTTTTTAACAGCTTGCCTTGCAACCACAAGATGCTCATCCATCAATCTGATCCAAATGATTAAAAGCGAAATAAGTTTCTGCTTCAAAGTTAAATAATCGACATTATCTAATAAATCATAATATAGAAGTTGGGACAAACAGCCAAAACTTTAAATATTAAACCACATTATGAAAATAACCTTGGATACCTCCTGGGCTGATCTTTTGCCATCTTTTCTCATGCACTTCAGTGTTCATTCACTAAAGGGAGGGAAGGCCTTCCGCACTCACGCTTTGGCCCGGCTCACGCTGCCCCCGCAGCACAGCCACAGCACACCTCACCTTCACCACCTTCCTCCCGATAAACTCAGCCTTTTGTTAGGACCTGTCTCATGTGTTAATTCCTCTGCTTTCTCTGTAAAGTCTTTCTAGACACCTCCCTTCCTACTAAAAAGCCATAATTAATTAATTGTTCCCTGTGTGTTTATGTCACTCCAGCCCTTATGACAATGTAAGTGGCATCAGTGTTGCCTGTGCCCCATCTCCCTTCTCAAGTGTGAACCGTTTAAGGTACAAGCTGTATCTGAGCCAGCTTGATGGGAGCATGCCTCTCTCTAACAGGTGCTCAATTAGTATCAATATTTCCATCTACTAAATTGAACTCTTATAAAATGTCCATGCTTCTTAACTTAGACTCCTGCAGTTCAGAATGGAAGACTAGAGGTTAGGGGCAACAAAAAAAGCAAAAAGAAAAAAAAAAGTGCGTTTTCTCGTGTGTGTGCATTTAAACTACATTCTGGATTTAAAAGCCTGGGCTAACTCACTCACAGGTGCAAATAAGAGTGTTTTTACTCTGAAAGGGATCTAATATAGCTCTGAATTTACACTAGAGGAAACTGTTGTCTAAAAACTAAGAATTATAGACTTGGGAGTTTGAAGGGCCCATTGCCAAGGTTATAGTCTAGTTAACAGCATGTGAATCTCATTCTTAGTTGAACTGAAACCTTCTTGAGGGCAGGAATTGTATTTTATCCTCTTTATCGATCTGCCCAAGCACCTGGCATATATACTGTGCTTGGATAATACATATTTAAATAAATGCATTCAGCAAATTAGGTGCCTGTGGCTATGTTGACATCTCTGTGTCTGGCCTAATGGTTTGATTTATCTGGCTGTTAATGGTCTTCATTACAGGCTGTTAATACAGGGCTGATTTTTGTTGGACATTAGCTAATTGCCAGAGTTCATCTCTAGTACATGCCAGATAGAAGCTGGGCTTTTCTCTTGACGGTATCAATAGGATAATTAAGACTATAGCAAAATTCAAAACATGATGGAGTATTTATTACATTAAGACTTGTCATTAATTGGGAATTCCTTCAGTTCAGATTTCTATATAGTGTGAATTTTTGTCAAGGGAAAGTTATTGATATTAAAAATTTGTTGACTTTTGCTATTTTTAAGGACTGTTTTTTTTGCTTCTGTTCATGTAGACAGATTTATATATTTTCTAGTTTGAAATTTCAACTTGAAAACACAGCATCTTCAAGTCAGGTAACTGTCTATCAAGAACACCAATTAAATACTTCATAACAAGTTTTCTTCTTATAAAAGCCTACCCACCCACTTTCCCCCATGAGGTTTCTATTGTCTGTTATACCAGTCTATATTAATTATAGGCATTTTCTGAGCAAAGCACTGATGAAACTAAGACATAGAGGAGAAAATTCCTGTGTACTTTAAGGATAAGAGAACCATTCCTTTTTCTGGCTCAATTAAAACTGGACTGATTGTCAAGTCCCATTAACCTAGTGGGTCACTACCTTGCTTGCATTAGTGGCAGCCCCACCGTAATGTGGAGCAGTCTTGCCACGTCGTGGACACATTTATGAAGATTGATAACAGCTAAGGTTCAGTGTTAACTTTTATTGTCAGGCAGGCTGTACAAGAAACTGTCTGGTATTGGCTTTTGCTTTGATTTATGAAAAGGTTGCCACATGAAGAAGATATCACATAAAACAGCACTGCTGGCAGCAGCGTTATTCGGTGCAATTGTAACCATAGCAAATAATAACTAATGGTAATTAGGTTCAGCATCATCTCTTGCTACTTTCCATAGTTTGGCTGGGGTGGGCCCTCATAGCAATATAATACACTCCCAAAGGAATGGGTGACTCACTTGCTTTTGCTTGGGTTAGCACATATTTCTCCAAAGCTTTCCTTTTTTCTTTCTTTCTTTCTTTTATTTTTATTTTTATTTTTTTTTTGAGACAGGGTCTCACTCTGTCACTCAGGCTGGAATACAGTGGCATGATCATAGCTCACTGCAGCCTTGACCTCCTGGGTCAAGTGGACCTCCTGGGTCAAGTGATCCTCCTGGGTCAAGTGATCCTCCTGTCTCAGCCTCCTGAGTAGCTGGGACTACAGGTGCAGTAGCTAGCAGTGTGATGCTGGTTCTTTAAGAGAGAACCATTAAGAAATTGATTTCATGTTCAGTTATCCCAAGGTGTCAGTGATCGAGTAATTACCTGTTGGCTTTGCCTCAGGGGAGACATGTGTGCACAGTCTCCCCCATGAACCCCAGAGGTGGCAGGAGTCTGAAATTCTGACTCCTGAATATCTGCAATAGCTCCAAGTAGTGGCAGGTGGCTCTTCTGGAAAGTGGCACCTAGAGCTTCTTTCTCAATTGGACCTTTTGTCCCTAAGGAGAATAGTCATCACTTTGCCTCATTTTTTTTTTAATCTCAATGCACTTTGATATAATAGAGTATCTTTTATGCTATAAAAACTTTCCTTCCCTTTGAAATCTTTGGTCTCACTAGTCCCAGTTGCATCTTAATATTCAAGGAAGGCAGCTGTGTTTTCCTTTAAGCAAATGTAATTGTTGGGGGAAGGCATCTCAGTTTATCCCATGGACAAATACATTATGGGTAATGCCCAAAAAAAAAAAAGAAAGAAAGCTTGGGACCCCAGGAAAATTACATGAATCTTTTCAACTCTTCATAAAGCAGATGAGTGCTGCCCTTTTCTTTAGAGCTGGCAGCTGTGGAGGTTACAGACCAGCACGTGTACAGAGAAATCGCCATCTTTCTTTTAGTTCCCAGGTAAAGACAGAGAAGACAGGGATGCCCTTTGTGTCTCTTGTCTGTTTTTCAGGCAGCCACATTTGTCATAGTTGAACCTACTTCCATTTTGATATTCCAGGGTTTTTTTTCAGGCTTTTGTATGCCATTTATTGAATTCTGGCAAGATTTGGCCGTTCTCGGATCTTCTTTATCTAGGGAAATCCTTTGTGCAAATGTGGGAGGCAATCCTCTCAAGCAATAGAATGAAAAAATACCAGCAGAAGCATGCATTAGTTATCACTGGTAGCAGAATATGGCCCTGGCCCAAGCAGGTTGCATCTAATAGCCTCTTCTTGCCTGGAAGTCTTCTGGTTCCTGGAATGGCTTGGAGTGATCAGGCAAGCCGCTGCCATAAAGGAGGAGGCACAGCAGCAGCTGGGGAGAATCACATTTGGCCCACAATGGCAGTAAGATGGTGCCTGGGAAGCCCTGCTCTCGGATTTGGGGGGAGCTAAATTATGAAGGTTGGATGTGAGATGGTGTCATTAAGGACTTTCTGGAGAGATCGTGCAATTAACTATGAAGCCAAATGAGCCAGTGGGTTAATATATGGGGAAGGTACTCCTAAAATGCTCATAAAGGCAATCTAGTGACTGTCATAAAACTTTCTTTTAAACAGATACTTTTTGAAAGGGTAAATGCTAAATCTGAACCTCAAATCAGCTTTAAAAACAGACATAGCTAAGATCAAGGCTCAAACATTAATAGAGGCCAACTCTTTTACTCCAGAAAGTGAAGAAAGAGACTGCTAAGCCCAGATGATTTTTTTTCCTGGCTTTGCTTCCCTTTTAGAGGATGTGGATTGAGCCAGAAAGGGGCATTATCTGATCTCTATTATTTTCAGAAACTGTGGATTTTGTATGGCAAGGTGCTTATTGGAAGAGAGCCAGGCTTCTCATGAATTTCAACTTGACAAAATGCCCAGTCTGAACTACATGACCATAAGAAAGTGCCGAACCAAGAAAGTCCAACCCAATGCTAAAGATAGAACACTAGGGAAAAGTCTAGTGCAAGGAAAGGCAAATAAATTTTGTTTCAGGCACCAACTCCAATTGATCGTGGTGGCTCCCTGCAGTATTTCATTGAAAAGGATTCGGAGGCTATGACAGACTCAGCCTGAAAGAATGTCAAGATTGATTAGTGATGTCTGTCACTGGCTTAAGCATTGAATGAGTAGGCATTTTTCCTTTGTATTTGCTACTCCTGCTTTAGAAGCATATATAAAAATTTGTTCAACCCTTGACTGACGGTGCGTAAACCAGAAATAGGAAGGATCTGGTTGGGGAAGGGGAGAGAAAGGAGGAAGAGAGAGAAGGAAAAAAGAAGGACGAAAGCCTAAAGGACTGTATAATGCAATTTTCATATCTTTTCTCTGTTCTCTTTTCACTTTTTTTCCTACCAGCAGGTTTGGTGAAATGAAATATCACAAAACAGGACTCTTTATTTTGTTACCTCTTGTCCCAGTATGGCTCCTAGTAGGAGAACTCGTTACTTCTCCCTCATTTCAGGCAACCTGAGCACCAGTGAAACTGTGACTGGCATTTGCAGGGACCTAAAAGGTAATCAGAGTAAGAACAACTGGTAAAATGTCCTTTATGTGCAGTCATTCCTGCCATTTCCTTTGTAATTAATAAGAGAA
This sequence comes from Homo sapiens, assembly GCF_000001405.40. Taxonomy (NCBI): domain Eukaryota; kingdom Metazoa; phylum Chordata; class Mammalia; order Primates; family Hominidae; genus Homo; species Homo sapiens. The sequence goes on along the minus strand of NC_000007.14, from coordinate 132,815,394 downwards.
TATATTAACATTCCATTTTGCTTAGCATTTGTAATATATGCAAACATATTAACCTTTGGTACATTTTTGAAATAGTCTCCTGGGCAAAGGCCTTAGTTTATAAGCAGGGAAATAAGACTTCAGTCAGATGGCCTCACTCCTAAATACTGGAAGAAGGAAATGCTCCATCTGTTAAACAGTTCTTTCAGTCTAAATGTTGGCACTTATAACCAATATTGGAGATCTAAAAGTGGCTGGATTTGATGGTGTCTGATAAAAATTAATATTATAATTGATTTGCCATCACGTTGAAATGCCTTGATAAAATGCTCTCATTGCTTTATTTCATTATACAGTATGTGGTTGTGATAAAAATTATCTCATTATGCTATTCAATTTAGATAACAAAACCAGTTATTCAGACCTTAAACGAAAGTTATCATCCTGAGCAGTACTTAAGTCTTTCTCTTTCAGGGTCTTCAGTCCTAGCTCATATTGGAGTTGCTGGCCATAATCCTCCTATTTGACAGTTGACATTGATTAAATTAGGCCAACAAGTCTAAAATTTCAGTTTCATGGTCTGCTGTATAGCCACAGCCATTACATACCTCTAGTACCATGATATGATATATGATATGACATATGATCTGATTTGACAAAACTCCAGATTTTACAGGCTTTTCACATAATAATTTAGTAATGTGTAATTAACTTCTGAATGGTAATCAATCCACACATACTGTGATTTTATGATGTGTAAGGCTTCAGTTTCTCACTCATCCTTCACAAAGGCCAGTCACTCAGGCACAGGGAAGACCTTTAATTTTATCTGGGTTTTCTTTGCATTCAGCCATGGTGCATTTATAGAAAGGAGAATCCTCCTAGTCCATCTTCTTCCCCATTCCTGCTTATGAGTTGGCTACAAGGCCATTACAGGCAGTGCTGTCATTACCTGTCAATTTAAGACCATTTGAAAATGAAATCATCATTAGCACTTTCACATTTCTCCCTATTATTTCTAAATGTCCTTTGGTGGTTAAAGCTTTTGGGAGTATGGGGTAGGGGAAGGGACAGACCTCACAACATGAATAAACTGAAATGTTACCCAACATTTTAGTAACACCGGCATGTCTAGGCCTCCTCCAGAAGACTGCTAGCGTGGCTTCACAAAATAACATGTATGACCTTAAAGATACAGAAAACTCACAAAAAGAGGCTGAAAACCAGTTTCTGGCCTGTTTGAATACTGGTTTAACAGTAATAGAACTTTAACTGTGTGGGTTTATTATTCTTGAAACGTCCAACTTGTCTTAGGCGAGATTTTGCTACTATTAAGGCAAATTAAAGCCGTTTGCCATCAATTCTGTTGAGTTCCCCTCACTGCTTAGTCACAAGTAGCAGCCCTGCCACCAGCAGTGGGTAAATCTATGCCAAGTGTAATTACTTCAAATACAATTCCATTTATTCATAGGGTGGACTGTTGCTCCCCGTGAGCACGTACTTGGGGAAAGAAAAGATATGTAGGTTTATGTTCATTATGTACCCCATGCTGGAGGCGTGATTTTTAACATGAGTACAGCTTTTTAATCCCTTCATCAAAAACACATGCAGCAGCCCTCCTCTTTCTCCACCACCTGAACACTTTGTGGGTACCTTCAAGCTTCATGAGCAGTTACCAACTCTCAGATGTATCGTATTCTAAAACTTGGTTTTTAAGTTGGCTGTTTGAAAATAGCAGCTCATTTTTCTTTGGAAAGAAGATGATAACAAATGGGTAGGTTCCCAGAATAACCTGCAGAAATATATTAACAATAAATGTGTATTAATAATAACAACAGCTACCATTTATTACAGGCTTACTCAGTGCCAGACACTGTGTGGAGAGCTTAAACGTTATCTTACTAATCTTCACAACAATGTTAAACAGTAGGAAATGAGGAAAAATTTGCATCTTAGAGAGATCAAGAAACTTGCCCAAGCTTCCACTGCAAGTAAGAAGTAGACCCCCGTTTTGGATATGCATATTTTAGATGCTAGATCCTGTGTTTTTAACCATCACAGTAAATGGCTAAAACATAAGTATTGACTGTATTCTAGAACTTAAGTATTTATTGGGAAATTGGTTCTCGATTCCAGTTGGGATGTTAAGAACATGTGTAGTTTGGCCACTCTTCTTCACAGGTCTGCCTTGTTCCCCCACATATACACTGGCTAATACGGTGCTGATGAGAAGTGGAGAAGCTACCCCAGTGGCTTCTCAGGGGGAAAGGTTTGAGCAGCTGATGGTGTTTGGCAGATGTGACAAGCACTGGGAATACTGCCCTTTTGGAGCTTCTGGTCTAATGGGAGAAATAACTGATCATCCAAATAACTTGACAATGGCAATTGTGAAAAGTGCTGTCAATGCTATGAGAGCATGTCCCATGGGAATCGACTGTGAGGCATTGGAGACAACCTCTTAAAGCTGATATAAAGGCTAAAATAGTAGGCATTAGGGGAAGGGCAGCAGGGCCAATGCATGTTAAGACGCTGAGGAAGGAGCTGAGCTCCTTTGGGGTTCTGAAGGGAAATCTATTGTGAGAAAGTGTCGTAGAGAGAGATGGAGGCAGGGGTTACATCTTGTAGGACCTAGTAGGTCATAATCACTATTTTGGATGTATCCCAAGAGAGGTAGGAAATCTTGAAGAGTTAGGGTTGTAACCTAGAAGTTGTGAGACCAGATTTGTGGTTTAAAAGGGGCACTCTGGTTGTTGTTGTTTTGATAATGAATTGTGGTAGAGATGAGGGTAAGAGACCAAAAATGGAAACAGAGGGACTACATGGGAGGCTGTTGAAATAGTCCAGGCAAGTGGTTATGGTGGTTCAGACTAGGATAATGGCAATGGAAATACAAAGTGGTCCATTCCAGGCCAGGCGCGGTGGCTCATGCCTGTAATTCCAGCATTTTGGGAGGCCGAGATGGGTAGATCACTTGAGGTCAAGAGTTTGAGACCAACCTGGCCAACATGGTGAAACCCCATCTCTACTGAAAATACAAAAATAGCTGGGCTTGGTGGTGGACACCTGTAATCCCAGCTACTGGAGAGGCTGAGGCAGGAGAATCAGCTTGAACTCAGGAGGCAGAGGTTGCAGTGAGGTGAGATTGCACCACTGCATTCCAGCCTGGGCTACAGCAAGACTCCATCTCAAAAAAAAAAAAAAAAAAAAAAAAAAAAGAAAAGAAAAAAAGGAAGTGGTCAATTCTAGATCTATTAGAATTTAGACTAGACTACGTGACAGAATGGATATTGGGAATGAAAGGGGGAAAGGGGGAGGTATCAAGGACAACTCCCTGATCTTGAAGGGTCTATTTACTGAGATGGGGAAGAAAAAAAATAAATTGGAGGTAGAGGAGGGAATTAGTTCAGTTTTAAACATGTGGTACCTGTAATGCCTTCCACGTAAATAGCAATAGTCAGTCACCTATAAGAGGGCTGGGCTAGAGATACAAATTAGATAGCGACCAACACACAGATGGTATTTAAAGCCATGAGAATGGCTGAGGTGTCTGTGGAGAGAGGGGAGAGAGAAGAGCAAAGAGACCTCCAGGACCATCACTCCAAGGAACTCCAACATTGAGGGATCAGTTAGAAGACAATGAGCCAGAGAGCCGGGAGGAAAAACAGGAGAGTGTAGTATTATGGAAGCCAAGAAACTCTTTTCAAGAAAGGGGCAATTTACTGGAACAAGTCTGTGCTGATCGGGTCCTATAAGATGTCTACTAAAAATCATTGGATTTGACCACTTAGAGGCCTCTGATTTTAGCAAGAGCAGTTCTATCCAACAGTTGAATGAAAGCCACTTTGGCATGGATAGAAAAGAATGGATGGAAGGTAAGGAAGTGGAGGCAGAAATTGAAAGGGTATTTGCTAGAGCTGTGCTTCCAACAACATGGTAGCCACTAGCCACTTATGACTGTTTAAATGTATTAAAATTTAGTAAAATTTAACATGCATTTCCTTTGTTTGCACTAGTCATATTTCAGGTGCTTACTTGCCACCGGTGGTGTGACCACCATGTTGGGACAGCGTAGATTTAGTACATTTCCATCACTGAAGAAAGCACTGTTGGATAGCACTGTTCTAGAGAATGCCAGAATGTGGTGAGAACCATCTCAGGAGAGAAAATCCCACTAGCAGGCAAGGGTGGGGGAAGGTAAGAATTGGATCCATGCATAGGGATTGCCTTTCTTTGGATGAGAGAGACACTCTTCCTCCAAAGTATCAATAGAAAAGAAGATGGGTGCAGATCCAGATCTTATGTTGGGAAGATGAGGGAGTTATCTTTTGGTTTATTTTTTTTTTCTCAATGAAACAACAGGCCAGCACATTAGCCAAGGGTGGAAAGGGAAAAGAACCAGGCGAGATTTTTGAGGAGGCTGCAGATGGCATGAATAATCCTAGTAATAGGGGGAGAGTGAGTTTACCAAAGAAGTGCCATAACATTGTGGCAGGATTTAGTGCCTGTGAATTTATAGTGATTCTAGTTTCCCTAGTTTTGTGATTTTTCTCCAGACATACTCAACTGGAGAGTAGTATTAAGGGGCTGTCATAAGGCAGCCATTCTTAGGTTGGGTTGTGTGTAATGGCATATATTAATACTGCTGAATTGGAACCCTTAGGGAGATGTAAAACTAATGGAGCTCAGCATGGTGAATCCAATCCAGACATGAATTGAGAAATGCATTATTTGGTCCTACAGTAATATATCATTATCCCTTTACGTAGAAATCATTGAGATTCCACCTCTGAAATACTCGTGTATGAGACTCATCATAATCATTTGGAGAATCTGTGTGGTAGATTGTTGTTTTCTATACTTCGTAGTTGGTCTTGTTCATTTTAGTCTCAGCAGCAGACTAGAATGTTAAGCCAATTTGCTAAATCTTGCCTGTCCTCTGTAAAATGCTTAAATCCGTTTATATAATACAAAGGGATATGTTGGAATTTAATGCCTTCTTATGGCATCAGTACTGAATATTTAATCAGAACAAAAAGAGAAACATGTTAGAATTTTCAAATTACAGAGTTACCGTGTGGATGCTTCACAGAGGTACGTGCAGTTCAGTGTGCTTATACACCCGTATGAACTTCTCACATTTATTAGCTATAAAATACTTCGAAGGTGTATTTTCTTCTAGTTTTTATATTTAATTTATGGAATATTAAGTAGGAAAATATTAGCAACTACTTGGATGCATGCTGCACTTATTTTCTAAGAATTAGTAAATAATGTTATCATGTGTGATTAGTTGTGTTTAATGCTAGAGATGAGATATTACGAATTAGCAACTCACCTTCTAAGTTCTTTTCCTTACCAGTTACCTTAAACATATCCATTTCCCAAATAGAGACCATTTTCTCATTTCCAGGGACTTTCAGGAGATTAAAAGGTTAACATTTACAATGCTCTGATTTCAAGACTGCAAGGCACTATGTACAAAATTCGTATGTTGTTTGAGCACTTTTTTTAAAGCCTCTATGTTCAAACCTTTTGAAATGAATTTAGTTCCTATGGAAACTTATCGCTGCTGTAGATAGTGCCCTTATCCAAGAGAAGAAAATAAAATCAATTCAGAGAATGATTTTATAATTGTATAACATAGCTTGGGAATGGACATTAGGAATATGTGCAGTTGCGCTCTTCGGCTGTTATACTGGTTCATATTAGATTGTGTTTGAAAACAACCTTGCAAATGTCACCATCTGTCCTTCACTTTGAGGCCAGAATAGGTAATAGTGGTTTAACAGAAATTTCAGTGGGTACTCTTTCTTGCAACATCACAAGTAATACCTTGTGAGGAGGCAGGGGATATGATAAATATTTTGGAAGTAAAATTAGCTTTGGTAGGTGGAGGAGAGGGAGAAGGAAGAATGCTGTTGACTCCTGGGAAAGATTGGCATTTTGCAGGCTATTCATTCACTAGAATTCGTGTAGATGAACACAAAAAGGAGGCAGCTGAGGCAGATAGACTATTTGAAAGTTAAGTAATAGTAGTGTATGCTTGAAGTGATAACTTAGCCTATGGTAAGGATATGGGAAACTGAGGAATGTTAAAAGTGAAAGGTATTTTAAAACAGGAACTAACAATCTCAGTGACTTCTTGAAAATAAAGAATTAGCCGGTGCTGTGGCTTATGCCATATCCTAGTACTTTGGGAGGCCAAGAAGGGCAGATCACTTGAGCCCAGAAGTTTGAGACCAGCCTGGGCAACATGGTGAAACCCCATCTCAGCAAAAAAAAAAAAAAAATCACAAAAATTAGCCAAGTGTGGTGGTACACGCCTGTAGTCCCAGCTACTCAGGAGGCTGAGGTGGGAGGATCACCTGAGCCCAGGAGGTCAAAGCTACAGTGAACTGTGATCACAGCACTGCACTCCAGCCTGGGTGATAGAGCGAGATCCTGTCTCAAGAAAAATAATAATTTAAAAAAAGGTTTTTTGTTCTTGCGATAGTTTACTGAGAATGATGATTTCCAGTTTCGTGGGGGGAGGGGGGAGGGATAGCATTGGGAGATATACCTAATGCTAGATGACGAGTTAGTGGGTGCAGCGTACCAGCATGGCACATGTATACATATGTAACTAACCTGCACAATGTGCACATGTACCCTAAAACTTAAAGTATAATAAAAAAAAAAAGGAAAATAAATAACAACAAAAGAACCAAAAATTGATGTATGATGATGAGCTAACAATATTGCTGTTGATGAAAAGTAGGAGGAAAATCTTGTTTGGATAAGAAAACAAATAATAAATTGACCATAACCAGTTGATACTTAGAGTCTTAGAAGGAATCTAAAAGGATCGTCAGATGTAGTCCCTGGCTTCAGATGGCTAAGATTACTGATTGTATATTTTATAGAAGAACTGAAGACTAAAGAAACCTAAGATCACACAGCTACTGACTGGTGAAGAGACTCGAAATCCATTTCAGTCACAAACAGAGTCGTAGGAGTACCTCTAAAGAAAGAAAATACTTTCACAAGGAACTGTAGAAGAGGAGTAGGGACATAGATCTGAGCTTTGGGAATTACTTATAAATAAAAGTGGAAAGCAGGTGGGGAGAGAGCAATTAAAAAGACAGAGAAGGGGCCAACTTACAATTTCATGAATAGAGAAAGCTTCCAGGCTTTCCAAATGCTCGTGTTACACCTCACACCCAATGGCTTGCCCCATGACTTCAATAATGTGTTGGTTTCTCTGTGTCTTTTCTCACAAGGTTACTGAGATACTAAATCAGAAGGGTTTGTGCCAAACTTGTGCTGAAGGCTGATAATGTAGGGAGCATTATGAATTGTTTCCCAGCTTACATTTTGGTCTTTGTGTAGAGTTTGCATGTGGGATTTCATATCTGTCGTCTTTAAGTTTTCAATCAGTTTTCTATTTAGTGCCACAAAACGTGTGGAAATGGCATCACCATTAGGAATTGTGGTGCCCAGGCATCTAGAGGGAAAAGCAAACTTCATTACAGCAATTTCTCGGAGGATACAATATATATAAATAAAATGCCGTATATTTTTGAACATTATTTCTTGATAAGCAATATATGCACATGATAGAAAATGTAAATATTATATGCAAAAGTCAATCTCCTTCATAACTCTTTGGCCACCTATCCAACTCCCCTGCTTGGAAGCAACTGCTATTTGCAATTGTGTATTTTTTCAGATATATTTTATAATCATTTCTCAGCCTTTTGGCTAAGATCAAGTGTAGGTATTTATGTCAAGTATATATATATATATATATATATATATATATATATATATTTATGTGTATGTTAGCATATACATGGTATATGATTTTAAATTAAACTTGTGAAATCATGAGCTCATGCAGAATAAGTAATCATTGCTGTCTAGCATCCATAAACTCTTATTCCATTTTCCATTACTCATTAACCATTCATTTTACTGCACGTCTGTTTTGGAGAGCAAGAAAGGACTTGGGCTGGAAGTACTGGACACTCAGTATAAGTGTGAGGTGAAGCCCATCAGTAAATGAGTAAATATATTCCTGCCTTAGATATACTTACCTTATATGTAAAATTAGATGCTGTAGTGGAAAGTACAGCCTGGGGGGCAGAGAGGACCTGGAGTATCCCTTGCCAGCGTTGAGCATCTCCCATCATGGGGTCCCCTACACCTGCTCAGGTACCACTGCAGGGCCAGGCAGCGGGGCCTCCCCCAAGTTCATACTCCGTCTCTGCTGTTCTGTGTCCAGCTCCTTTAGGAGAACCTTCTTCTCATGTACTGCTTTTTTCTCATGCGTGGGCTTACTCACCAGAATCCCTCTTGCTATCAGAGCACTGACCCAGCTGGTGAGGTTTCCCACCCAGCAAACCATTTCCTTCCACTCCTCCCCATCTCACCAGCCTCATTTTGTAATATCCTTCACTGTGGACACCCTTCTTAGGAAATCGAAGTGTTATTCCTTAACCACACCAGGTCTGCAAGGACCATGCCCTCCTTTCTGCCTGCCCTTCTTTGTCTTTCTTTCAAAGAATTGAAAACTCACTCTTTTCACACTACCTTCCCTGACATCCTAACTTTTAAGCACATTTTTACTGGTTCCTCTACTTGATGGGAATGTCATGGTCTGCTTGCAGAATGTGTCCTTGATGAAAGTGTTTTGGCTCTTTAATCTGTATGTAAATTTCCATGTGAATCTTAAAAAAAAAAAAAGTCTGTTAGAGATGTCACTGCCTCCAGCTCTAGCCTTTTCTTCTCTCTTCTTTTGCTGCCTTTCCTTCATTTACTTGTCTGTCTAGAATGCCTTTGTATCCCATGTCTAACTGCCTAAGCCCTTTCCATTCTTGAAGACCCTAGTGAAATTCCATTATCTCATCTAAAACTTTTCCTAGTCATCTCCAGCCAGATGTAATCCTTCCCTTTGGTATTTTACTGTTGCCAGATGTGTCCCTTTAAAGCAGTTCTTAATGGGCTAGATAGGTCTGCCTGACTCAGTCTCTTGGTCTTGTCCCACAGTGCCTAGTATCTCACAGGCACTCTAAAGGATATGGAATTGACCTCATCCTGCCACCTCCATTTCTTCTTCACTGCCCACTTTCTTCTTTACCAATTTCTACCTGGCTTCTGCCTCACGCTCTCTGCTCAGATTCTTTCTCCAGCTTGCTATGGAGCACATTCCTTGGCCATTTATCAGTCTTCCTTCTTTTTGACTGTCTTCTCTGTCGTGAAACTCTGGTCTCCCCAGCCTTGTGATGCTGTGTTACACCAGTTCTCTCCACGGTCAGTTCCCCTACTGCTCCATCTTCCTTCCCTGTCACCCCCAGGTATGGACTGTTCCCCAAGCTTCTGCTGTCCTTTCTGCCCTTTGCCTCTATGCTCCCCACCACATCTTGCAGGGCATTTTGACACTGCAGCTGTAGCCCTGCCATCATGCTGAGCTCCAACTCCACGCTTTAGATCGTGGTGAGGAGGTGTCATTTCCACTTGAGCTTCCTGTCATTACTCGAGCATGTTTATTCTTTAAATCCCCAAGGCCTAAGCCATCCTGTGATTCTCTCAGTCCTTCCTCTTCTTTACTTCCATGTCCTCTCAGTTACCACATCATTCCATCCTTGCTTTCCATGCCTCCATTCTTGCCGGATCATTCTCTTCATCAGCTTGTTTCATCTTTATAGCTGGGTGCTGCTCCACTGACCTCTCTGCCATGGAGTTCCACTTCTATCCATCTGATTTATTTTTACACTGGATCCGCCTTCTCAAGATGGTACCTTTATAACTTCACCCTCTCATTTAGAAAGGCCAGTGGCTTGTCAACACCTGCAGGATAGACTCTAGGTGTGCTGTCTCTTCTTGGCAGACTGTCCATATCCCGGCCCCTCCCTTCTTAGCACTACCCAACCCTTCCAACCCTCTACTACAACCTGAGTCCCTTGAATATGCCAGACTCGATTGAGCCTGGACCTCAGCTCACCTAGATCCTCTCAAACGCCCTCTGAGTCTTACAGTCCTGCCCTTCACTCTGTGGGATTTTTAAAGTCCCATCTCCTCTCTTCCTTGGAACCCCCCCAGACTACCCCTTCCCCCACACTGTCCACGCACAATAGAATGGTTATGCCCTCAGAACAGCTGTAGTGTATACTGCCTGTACTGTTTCCTTGACACTTCGGTTGCCTTGTGTTACTTGTGACCTTTATGAGTGTGTATGTTTCTCCCCCAGTAAATAAGTTTCTTGGGGGAGTATTTAGTATTCTCTCCCCTCCCCTTTGTTCCTGCACATCCTTTACTCCCCCTTCCTAGTCTGTACACAGTGGCACAGCTCTGATGTCCACATGACATTCTTTCTGCCTCGCAGCACTGCATCCAAGGAAGTTTGGCAGCATGGCCTATTGGCCCCATTTTGGGATTTCCCTCTTCCAGTAGCAGTGCCTAAGCATTCTCCTCTTCAAGTAACCGATAGGGATGGAAAACAGACAAAAGGCTTGACTCTACCCCTCCTCCCACTGCTGCTCCCGCCACTCTTCATTTTTAGCACTCTGACACTTAAAGGGCAAATCAATATGGATAATTTTTTTTCTTCACTTGTCCCTAAAATAAATACATTTGCAATTCTTTCAGTTAAGGGAGCCAGACACAGTCCTTCCAGTGTGTATCTGGTATTTGGATCTTGCTTTTAAAATGTAGTAGAAAAAAGTGTATCACGTAAAGTAATGTAACACGCTCTCTCACCACAAACTTAAATTTTGGTCTTAACCTAGTTTTTTAGAATGTGTCACAGTCCTCATTGAGATATGTGACAGTTTTGAAATTTTTAAAATTAAACTGTTCTTGACTTCTCTTGGTATTAAAAGCACTCTCTTAAATTTGATCACGGCAGGGAAGAGGTAGGGGTACTGGAATGTATTTTTATGCATGGACTACTCAAATGAAATTTCACCAAACTTCGCACCACCCGAGTCACCCCTCAGCTGAGAATGAGCATATAAAATTCATCCCAAAGGGCAATTCTTTGTGAAAAATTATAATCACCTAAAAATAGAAGCTCCGCATGAATGTGTGCCCACTTATATTTCTGCACAGAACGCAGCTTGCATACTACCCAACAGCAAGAGTCTGTGATTGTAAGCTATTATAATAGATTGAGGAAAGTGATATAAGAAGGTCCATGAAGTATGTATTTCTCCAAATAGGGAAGGATTATTTCTGGGAGGGTATGTTTGATGTTCCCTTCAGTTTTCTCATTAAGTCTTAGGTTGATTGTTAGTATCCTTTGTTGGAAAAACCTTGTAGATTGCCAGGCCTGGTGCCCTGTCCCTTGGCTACATTGGGGACTCCCGTGTTGGCTATTTCCAGTTATCTACCTTCTAAACATGAGGTTTTCTGCAGGAAAAATGGGTGATAAAGGCAGTACCACCCCTTCAAGAACCTGAAATTAAAGTTACCTTCGAAGACAAGATGTCATAGTTTGCTTTAGTTCCCAGCCTTGAACTCCCCATTTCTCTCCCTCGTCATTCCCAGTGGGTGGGTTGCTGTGCCCAGCCAATCCCTCTGTTTTTTCTCCACCTGCCAGATTCGTGCAGGTGGAGAAAAAACAGAGGGACTGGCTGGGCACAGCAACCCACCACCGGGAAGAGTGTATTCCTTCCCTTTCTCCTCTAGTTCCAATAGATTATTTTGCTTCCTAATATCTTTCTGCTTTCCTCAACTTATCCCAGTTCCTCCTGTCTTCCTTCTGTTTTGGGAGTGACTGAGTAGATAAAGGAATAAATGAACCAACCAACCCTCATGTTTTTAATCCTAAGACCAATTTTGATGAACATTCCAAAGTAGCATCATGAGGGATTGGAAATAACTCACAAAGCCTCGAGGGTATCACCATAAGTAGAATACATTATATAGATATTTAAGAAAATAGTTATTTAAGGAAAAATCTATGATTGATGCATTGTATATGGCTCATGATGAACATATTTCTGTTATGTAATTAAACAGTTGTTTTACGAAGTCAGGAGAGAGTAAATGCCATGCCTTTATTTAATAATAGTAATAATAACGATGCTTTTCTTGACCCTGAAACCTAATTGAGATATTCAAATAAAAAGTTTGGTCTGTGTTAAGATTACTTGGTCTCATTCACACATTGATATATCCTTTGGAGATTCGGATTTAACAGTTTCATTCCAATACCTGTGGATCTTTTGAAAGGACAAAGAGAATAATCTTCAAATTTGCAATTATTATAACCAAGGGCTACTTCTATGGGCTGTGATTTTATTCTGTTCCCACTATGTGCATGCTAGGAGGTAGTTCTACCCAGAATACTTTATATAACTGCTGCTAGAAAACTGCATTGTTAACCCACTAGTGCTTGTTTTTATTACAGCGTTATTATTTGACATTTGTTAAGCAATAACAATATTTCAAGCATTGTTAAGAAAGAAAGGGAGGGAGGGATGGCTTATAGCTCTCTAAATAAAGGCTTCCCACCCAGACGAAAGCGCAATTTGTTAGCTGTAGAATTTTGCCTGTTGAGAAGACTTTGTAGGCTTGAGAAAATAGCATCCCATGAGTACATGGTTGTTCTAAATTATATGTGATCTGGAAGTTTATTTGGGGTCCTTCCAGATTGAGTTCATGTTGCCATCAGTTATGTTGAGTCACCAAACTCTGTACAATTATTGCCTCTTAGTCCTGGTATCTTTTAAGTAAGAATTAAGTAAAAATTTTATCTCCCTTTTTAGCGATATGTAGCCCAAATATAAGTCAAGAACACCAAGATATGGTGGAAAGTAAAAATTAGCCAATGGCTTGTTTCTTCCACCTCATACCAAATGTCTGACTTCCCAAATCCTTCCACCTGTTAAACAACTAAACAAAACTGGGGACCCTCATTCTTTGGAGACCCAGTTTCCTAAGTTCAGACCTCTAATGAGGAATAGGAACTCTCCAGCTCTTCAGTTGTGCTGGGTGAGCCCATACAGTGGGATCCAGCTCAGGGTTTGGTGCAGTTGGCAAGATCCCAAGAGGGTTTTCTGTGAAGGGTAGAATGAGAGCTGTGGCTTGAGAAGAAACCAGGCAGCAGGGGAGTCCCATCGTGTCAGGGTGTGTTACTCTCCCCTGAGCACCACAGAGAAGACACCAACCCCTACCAGCTGTCACGTGGCCACATGTTATTAGAGTCCTGCTCTCCTAGGTTTTTCCACCCTGCCCCCCATCATTTCCAAGGACCCAATATTATTGAAAAAGAAAAACATATTGCAAAATTGAAAAGTTGTTTGCTCACCTTACACTTTGGTATGTTTGTACCCATCTGTTTAGGGTGTATGAGGCCTATTGGCATAAGAACTGTGTATCTGTGTATATAGAGTACTGTTGCTCATTTTAGCAGGGATAGGTGGCCAGAGGTCCTCTCTTTTGGATTTTCCTGGGTTTAGGGCTTTTACTCAGGGTCCTAACACTGGAGTGGAAGGCTGGCAGTGCTTTCCCCTCCTGCCCTCCAGGTCACGTTCCCCACGTAGATCTGACTGTGGAATTGTGAACCTGACATCTTTTTCCAAAGTCAACAGTGGATTAAAATTAAAATGTTAAGTCTTAAAGTATTTTCAGATAGAAACTATTCTTTCAAACCTTGGGTTTATAGGATAGAATTTTATATGCTCTGTTTTCTAGCTAGCCAAAGCTAACCTTTTCTTTTAAAGCCCAAGCTGTAGCTATTTGATTAAATAGTATGGCCCTCATTACAGGTCATAGTCTGCTCTCAGTGTGACTGGTTCGTTGAGCTAAGTACTGAGCTAGGTGATGTCCAGGTTGGCATTCCTTTCTCTGGTAACAGTGGAGGCTGCTTGGCATTTTGTGTTGTGATGGTAGAAAACATATTAGTTAACATTCATCATGTTAGTAATCAAAAGAAATAGCATCTCAAATTGTATATGAAAACAAATGGAAACAAAGCAGGCAGCTTTTGGAGCTGTTTGGACCACTTTAGAGAGGGACTTCTGAAGTGTAATTGTGGAAATTTGATTACAGCTCAAATGGAAATGTCATTAATAAAATGGTTAGCAGTTATTAAGAATGTCAGGAAAGCTTAAAATTGAATTTTTCAGATCTTGCATAATTAGAGACTACATTTTACTCTGAAAACAAATATTAGGATATTTAGATTTAAGGTAAAATTAAAAATAAAAAGTTAATATAGTACATTTCAGATAAATATTTTCTTCCTTCATATTGCATTTTACGATAGATTAATTATAAGTGATGAGAAAAACAAAAGTGAATGATTACATATTTTTAAATATTGGCAATGTGCCTAGTAGCTTTAGTTTTGTGTTTTAAAAGAAAAGCAGAAATCCTGATCACTGGGTTTAACAGCTAATGAAAAGTTGGTAGAGAAAAAATTAAAGTTTTTGCATTGTGCTATAGGAATTAGACCTAAAGATTTGATTCCCTGACTGTGTTGTGTGTCGGCTTTTAGTGTAAAATATGGTTTTATGAGACCACCTGATCCCATGAAGGATGCATTATCAGAACCTGTTAAAAAAAAAATAGAATTCTCCTTTTAACACCAGCCATTCTCATCTTCATTTTCTCTCTCCCTCCTTCTTTCCTTCTTGTTCCCTCTCTTCTCCCTCTCTCTGGTATTTCATCATAGTATCTGTAGAACTCTCTCAGCATACTTCTGGTTCAGGTACAGGGAAAGGATCCTTTCTTTGCATGCCTAGACTCGTAATGAGTGACTTCAGTGTCCTCTAGAGCCTTGGGAGTTGTGGCTGCTAACTGATTGTCATTACATGATTTTTTTAGCCTTCTGAGTGGAGAGTGGTGTGAGGAGTGTTATCTCCACATTTTTTCCTTCTCTGAAGTTACCTTATTATCCTTACCATTAATATTAGCAGAACTAAAAAGATGGGTAAGTAGTTTTCTTGAAATGTAAAGCTCAGACCCACATCAAAGAAGGTTCTAAGACTTGAAAATAGAGGCAGCAGTGGAACCAACAGATAGTTTTAAAACAGATAACCGAGTGTAACTGTGTTATAGAGTCTTAAGAGGGGACTTCTGAATACTCCCTTGGCTTTGTTTTTGCTAAAACTGTTTTCGTTTCTCTTTGATCAGTTAATTTAACTTACAGGAAAGTCTCCTAAGGTAATAATCAGAAATGGTAGTTAATAATTTATGTCCTTCACCATGTTTTTTAAGCAGTGAAAAATTAGAAACAGCCTAAATGTGTATCTTTATTCTTTTCTTTTTCCAAAGTTTCTACAATAGACCTGTTAGTATAAGGAGAAAAAATACTTGGATATATATTTTTTTAGATGCCTTTTAAGTGAATATTAACATTAAACATTAGCCAAAGAATGTTTTACTGGTGACAGGCTACAGAATATCTACCAGAAGTGCTTCTTTTGATTTTGTTCTGGGGTCAAATCTTTGGGACTCCAGTTCTACCTTTGGTACTGTCAGCAACCCCTTGGGCCTTTGGTGCCACTGTGTGGGGTAGGGAGGGCCAAAGGGAGGGCGGGCTGCTAGTGCTTGTGGAGATGAGGGGAGAGAAAGGGAAGAGCAGAGTAAAAGAGTATAAGAAAGAAAAGAAAAGAGATGTGCATACATATGGTAGGATCCATGAAAGGTTCCCAGTAATTTCAAGTGACCACAAAACTGGATTTTTTTTCTTGTTTTTGTTACATGTATATTTTCAAAGGTTGACTCTATTCCACCGATTTCTTCTTGCTAAACATGTTTTTGAGTAACTATTAGATCTTCCCACTTCTTTATTAGTGTTTTAAGTTTTCCAAATCTATATTTCATCCTTCTCTTACCATTGTCATTCACCATTTCTTTGCCTCTTCCTTACATACAAAGAAATTAACTTGTCTAATCGTCCTTTGCTGCTAAGACTTAATTTTCCTTCCTAGGTATCTTGAAAGTCTGCCTTTCATTATTTTTGCCTAATAGGGGCTTTTTCCATCAGCAGGAATGAAAGCAGTCAATAAAAGTCAATTGCTGACTCTATGAATATATGGAGGGTTTACCATAATGCATATTGGAAATGTTTTGAAACCTTTATCCTGAATGGAAGGTGCCATGGCTTGTGTTTTATGGCCTTCTAATGTTAGACAGCAATCTCATTTAGCATTTTCCCAAAGTGAAAACAGTGCATTAGGGCAGTATAACAAGCTTTACAGATCAATACAGAGGCAAACCTTTACCCTTACAGATTAATCCAAGAAAATGTCCCAGAGTCTACTCCTGGAGCTGGAGGACAATTATGCTGATTTCCATTCCTCTTCCCCTCTTTCTACCATCAAATCATTAATACAGATTGAAGTGTGTACAAAAAGAATTTCAGAGGATGACTGCACACACACACACACACACACACACACACACACACACACACACAGAACAGATCACCAAACAGGAAATCAAGAGCCCTGGAAGTGAGTAGTATTGATTTGTGGTGATAAAAGTATATTTTGACACATTTCAAATCATAAATAACGCATGGACTTTAACTTGCATGACTAATAGCTCAACCCAGGATACATGCTTATCTACAACTTAAACTACCTCTTTCTAAGGAGTCCATAACATGAGGTGAATTATCCCATCGTGAGTAGACTTTTTAAAGGAAAAAATAAACTGTCTTCTTTATGACATGCAGTGTGTGGATGCTCATTTTTACAGTCTTTTCCCGTATGTTAATGAGGAAGGGCTGCATATCTGGTCAGGGTTGTTCTAGCCTTCCCTCCTCACCTCCTTCCCCCTGCTTTTAAATCTGAGACACATTGGAGACACGATCAGTTGTCAACACTAGGATAGAATGTAACCTTGCTTTCCTATGAGCTATTAGTCATTAGTCATGTATTTGCTAGGTTCAGCTGATCTGATGCTTAATCATATTTTATTCGATATTTATCTAGATGCAGGTCTTGCTATAATTAGTCACTTAGTGGTATCTGTGCCTATACTCTTTGAAGCACGGCTGATTCCTTTTAAATCCTGATGTTCGTGGTAAAGGATTAGGGAAATCTGTGTCCAGAAAAATTCACAGACATCTGAAGTTTGAAATCTTAAAGCATGGAAACTCCTGGGATTCTATTTAATTCTGTTCTTAGGTATTTGACAAAGCAGTAAGGTAATGAATGAAAAAGTAAAAGTGATGTTATAGAAAAATTGTTGAAACATTTTTTTTTCTCTGTATGTCTGTGTTCTTTAGAGGATAGTAGGAAGTCAGGGAACCACCAACATGCTTTGCATTTCTATTCTAGTAAAATATATATTAGCTTAGTGTACTGGATAAAAATAATGAGACAAATCATCACCCAGGCGTTTCCTTATTGATGAGAAATATTCCCCCTGTGTTCTCTAGGGGTTTTGTTTGAACCCATTAAATTTAAAATAATGTGATTTCAAGATTACTATGGAAATAACAAATTTAAATTTCAAAAATAGAAGTGATAAGACTGGAAGCTTCTTGTATTAAGACTAATTTGAAAAAACACGAATTTCAAGATTAAAAGTAGTAATATTGTGCTTTTTTTCTCTGTATGTATTTAATCCTTGCAGTCCAAACTTCCCTGCCGTATTAATCAGAATATTTTACCTTCATTCGTATAACTCATTTGGTTCATTATCATTTTTCAAGCATATATTATAAGGTTTTTGGAAACATTTACATTTGGTCTCACATATTCACAGAAGCAATCTGACTAAAATCTGAGATTTGTAAGTATAAGTAGCAAAATTTTAACCCAGGGGACTTTAAAATGTTTTCTTTGCACCGATTTGTATTCATTCAGTAAATGTATTACATGACTTCTGTAGGGTTCCGATGTCTAATAGCTGAGGTAACAAAGAAAATAAGTCACAGTCCTTGGAATTTACATTCTAGTAAATGTAGGTTGCTAAATTGTATTAGACTATGGTGTAGTCAGTGTCACATGCATGGCAAGAAAAGTGAATACGGGACCAATGGGGTCACCATAAAGGGAATGATAGACTGTACCAGGGTTGGGGGGTGGAGAGCTAATGAAAGCTGACACTTGAGTGAAGTATCAAAGGATGAGTAGGTTTTTTCCAGATATAGAGGCATAGGTGGGAGTTTGGGCGTAGAGCATTTCCAGAAGCAAGAGCAGCATGAGCTTAGACTTGAAGAGAAGTGTAAGAACGAAACCCTGAATTGGGTTTGTCCAGGCTTCAGCTGTGTGCAGGGTTGGGGGGTGAAGGCCACAGAGTAGGCAGGAACCTGGTCAAGAAGGACCAGCCAGCTGGCCTTGTATTTTGTGTAGAAAGTGCTGGGAAAAGAGACCATCTTCGATTTCCTATGGGAAAGAACCCTCTGGAAGGTGTGTGCAGGCAGGAGTAGAGGGTGTCAAAGCTGAGAGACCAGCTGGGAGGTTGTTTCTTGAATTCAGGATGTGGCTCACTTGGAAGCAATGTAACGACAGTGAGTGTGGAGCAGGAGGACCAGGCCGTAGGGATCTCCAACTTTGTGACCAAGTGGATATGGGAATGGAAGAGAGAACTTAGGGCTTCCAAGTTTCTGGCATGTTGATATGGTTTCGGTTTGGAAGGGATGGTTATATTGTCCAGACTAACTCACAGTAGTGTCAATTAGTGGAACTAATTTCTTAGAATTTATTTACCCTTTGTCATTTTTATCATGGGAAAAATTTAGCTATCTTTGAAGTTTAAGGAAAATTCTTTCTCTTAAACCTTTTTCTACATTTGCAACATCTGTGTCTTACTGTGCGTTTTATGTGTTCTTTAACCTTGATTTTTATTCTGAATGAAGACCATTGGTCTCAGCGGTCCCTGTGTTTGTTTTCAGGCGATATGAGTCTCATCCAGTCTGTGCTGATCTGCAGGCCAAAATTCTTCAGTGTTACCGTGAGAACACCCACCAGACCCTCAAATGCTCCGCTCTGGCCACCCAGTATATGCACTGTGTCAATCATGCCAAACAGGTAGGTGTGCCAGCCAGGCCACTGGGGGCACTGGGCAAATTGAAAACTGGATGACCTGGGGCAGTGGTAAGGACTAAATGGGCCACTGTGTGTGAAAAAGCTTTCTAAGCCCTAGTCATCATCATCAAGAATTACTGTAATGAGTTGATTAGGGCATAACTTGTGTCCGATCATTGTCAAAGAGCCCATATCTTCCTTATGTACAACTCATTTACTTGCAGAAAAAAGGATTCTACTACAATTATACTTTTTTCCACTTGCCCTGAACTTTTGTCTTCTAATAATAATGTTCCCAAGGTCATTCCTCATACTTTTAGGCCAATATTTAGAGCTAGCGAAGAGGATACAGATTAAGAGCTGGCACCTTTGGGCCCATAAGCCGTAGGTAGGCAGAGGGCCAGGTTAAAAAAAAAACAAAACACCACCGTTCAGTCACTGTCCAACGCTTCCACCAGTTGATAGAGTTCACTTAGTTGGACAGGGAAAGGGAAACCAGAGATAGCATTTTAAAAAGAATTTCCACTGCTTTTATAGACCATAGCCATATTCTTCTCTTGACCCTTCATATCAGAACAATATGATGTTCACAGGACGTGCATTTTCTCTAATTTATGTACTTTAGAAAGCTAATGATAAACCCTGAAGCAAATTATCAATTCTGGCAGGTCACATAATTGCCTATCATTTAACCAATTTAACAGTTGGATATGGTTGTTCTGAGAGGCAGAAATTGTTGGAAACGTTGATTCCTTCTGCTGACAAACTCCATAGATTTGACCTTCTAACCCAACTAAATCTAGTGTTTAAGTTACACAGCATGCCTTTCTGCAGTCTAATTTGATGTAGTTATAATAATATCACTTGGTGTAAAATTTTTATACTCTACAAATATCCGACGGGAGGGTTAGTATTATCTGGATAGCTGGAAAATAAAGTAACATTAGTGGAAAGAATATAATCAAGATTTATTAAAAGCCTATGTTGTCCTCAAAAGCCTAGTGGCTGGCAGCTTTTTTCTGTTTCTTGCTTGTAGCTGCACTTGTATAACTCTTAGTAGTATGCCAGGGATCCTTTTCATTAAAGGTCTTTGGTACAGGTAATGTTGCTAATGTTAAGTTAGTACGTTTTATTTGTCGAAAACAGCTTCTGATATGCTGTTAATAAACCCCAGCCTTCAATATGAATATGAACTGAAGGACTTGAGACTCGTAGGTTGATTCATGGATTTTTCTAACTTGATAATAGTGCCTTATTGAGCTGGTGGTCAGTGGAAAAGAGTGGTTGTGACAAAGTGTATGTTTCAATGCTGGTCTCTAACATACGTGCCTGTTTGTACCATGTGATTTGTAACATTACCACAGTGGCAGCTGCAGGGGCATTGGGAGTGCTGACCCCATCCTGCCTGTCTGGGTTGTGTTGAATTATCTACATATAGTCTTGTGACATCAATGGTATATATTTATAGGATAAAGCAAAGTTAACTTGTGACAAAAGCAAATACGCCACATGGCGCGATAGTGAGTTTGAATCTGGCAGACCTGGGTTTGTACCCTGTCCTTTTACCAGCTCTGTGACCTTGGGGCTTGAGTTTTCTCATCTGTAAATTGGGGTAATGTTGTGAGGATTACCTTTATATAAAGTATTCAGTAAATCTTATTTTTCCCCTTCTTTCCTCAGTTGCATTATTGTGCTGAAATTTACTAAACAGGTCAGCCAAAAGCATCAAATTATTATTAATGATTTCAAAAGAGACCCTCTTTTTTCCCCCTCACTCTCCAATCTTTTATGTTCAGCTAGTATGTTTGGAGTATCTATTGTTTTCGTGGCTCTTATATTCAGTTATTAGGAGGTGTATAATACAAGTTAATAATAAAAAGATAGAAGCCCTCAAACCTTTTTTCCTGAGATGGGCAACATTGAAATGGACGAGAACCAAGAACCTGCACCACCTTACATTTCGGCAGTAGTTAGGATTGCAAGGTCATTTCACATCCATTCTTTTACTTGTTTTTTTATGACAACCTGAGATGTAAATAGAGATGGTTTTATTTTCACCATTTTCCAGTTGAGAGCATTGAAACTCAGGGAAGTCACAATAGTGAATTTAACAGCTAGACCAAGATGTACCTTGCCATAAAAACAAAAAATTTCAAAATACATAAGTGGCATTTGGTTTTTGAGTGGGTAAGTTTGTGAAGGGGCATCCATCCATCATCCACTAATGCAGAAATAAGGCAGTAAGGGAAAGTGAGAGCGAAAGCGATAAAGGGAGGACACAGAATGTGGAAGATCTAATGAGCGGGGGACAGAGTCTGAAGGTCACACATGGGGAGTGGGTTGATGAAGCCCGTGATGAAAGGGGCAACTTGGCACTGGCCCATTTTAAGATCACGCCACAGTGGCCAGAAGGAGCTTCTATCAGTGTTTCATGAGCAGTTACTTTCCTTCCAATACCAGGTTGTCCTTTTGCTCCTTGTGAATTTAGGCTAACCTCATGACCCCAGCTGTGCCCCTGTTAAGAGACTCCGGCAAGATACGTAGTCCCGACTGCCTATTTTAGCAGTTCCTCATGGGCCAACTTCTTACATTTTCTTCTTATGTTTCCTGTTAAATCCAGAGAACAAGCTGGACATGCTAAACATGGAAAATACTATACATGACAACAAGCCATTAGGCAGTGTTGTCCATATCCGACACAGTGCAAGGGTTTCCCCCATGGAATAATTCCAATGGCTAAGTCCACTCCACTTTTAAATAACTCATAAGATTGGCCTTTCACGGGTTCCCTGGGGCATTGTTCTAGAGACTAATAGGTTTTACTGTTAGGAAAATTTCCGGATATTCCTTAGCCTTACTCTTCCTCTCTGCTTATTTATCCACTTATTCATATCAGTGTTTCTTCAGCTGTTCTTCAACAATTTCTCATGGGTTGACATGAGACATTTAGGCTATTATTTCTTGTGTATTAACTTATGTGCTCTTCATGAGGGTAAAGAGATATTAAATAGCTCTAATTATTATTTCTAAGACTTAAAAGCTACCAGCTGGCTGGCTGTATGAGATACAGCATTTACAAAGGAAGGAGCACATCGATTGATACATAGTCCTGTGTCTTTTGTTTCTCATATCTGCTTAGCCTCATAACTTTCTCAAGCTCAGCAAGATTGGATTACCTCTTCTTACCTTTGATACCTGGTTCCCATTCTATCTTGCTACACCTACCTAAGGTAGGAGAGGTGCTGCTTGTACCAAATAGGTCATGTCTCTTCCTCTGAGCGTGCCTATGAACAGGCATGCTTATGCACACCACCTACCTTACAGGAGAAATGGAAAGGAGCGGGAATGAGAAGCCAATAGTATTTGCTCATGGGTAGACCAAAATGTGCCCAAGTTCTGTTTTTTAAAAAAGGGGAAGGGTGTCGAAAGGGTTTGCTGTCAGATCTGCATTACGTCTGGGACCATTCCCTGGGACATACCACCTCTCTACTATTTACTTGTAGAATTGGGCTGCATTGGGAGTTGCTAGTCTAAGCATTTCAGCTTTTTCCCAGCCCTGCTGCTATTGACAGAAAAATGCAGAAGCTGGCTGGACCCTTCTGGCACATTTTGTGTTCACTGGGAGGGTGGGGTTTATAGGAAATACTGCTGCTGCAATCCTAATCTAATTATAGTGACTTGAGCTTCAGTTGCTTTGATAAACTGAAGGTTTGAACCAGGTGATCCATGAGGGCCATCTAGCTCTGTTATTCTAGGACTGATTCTGCTTTGAAGTATATAGAGCAAAAGATGGTGTGCATAAGCATGCCTGTTCATAGGCGCACTCAGATGAAGAGACATGGCCTATTTGGTACAAGCAGCACCTCTCCTTTTGAGACCTCCAGTATTTGTGCCTTCGCCTCTTAAATTTTGCTGTCCACCTTAAACGTTCACTCAAGAAGAACACTTGCATTTCTGATTGGTCTGCTGCTGCCTGGCCTCCCACTGCTACGTACCCTTTCTTTGAGGTTCACACTCCTGACAGCCCTGGGGAAGCCAAGGTGGCAGAAAGAACTGGGAGGGAATAGAAACAGTTTCACAGTTTCTCCAAAGTCAGTGAAGTGAAAAACAGCTGTCTCTGCACTGGCTGGCAGAATGTACCCTGCCGGCTAATAAAGGCCATTAGAAAATGCAGGCTCCCTCCAGCCAGCCGTAAGCCTCCCCTGGATCGTGATGCCTTTCATCCTGTGAAGTACCATGGGAAGTGTGACTCTGAAAACAGAGCAGGAAGCCAGGAACCTGGAGCCTGACAACCAAGGGCAAACTGGGACCAGAGGCAAGGACCAACCCCAGGAGATGCCCAAGGGACAGAGGTCAGTGTGGGACCTGCAGTTAGATGATGAGTCTGTCAGGGGTCCCCCAAACCATAGCAGAAGTTTCAGTCAGTAAGCAGGCAGTGGGACAGTAGCCACGCAAACAGTTAGTTCAGCTCACAATAAGGACGTCTTGTAAATGAGACAGCCCCACCTCAGACCTACATGCTTCCTGCTGATCTCTTTGGAGAGATCAGAAAGGAACCTGGCCACAGTGAGGAACTTGGGGTCAGGACCCAGTAAATGAGGCTAGATCCTAATGTGACAGCTCTCCAACTTAAGGCTAGTGCACCCCGTTGTCTCGTTTCTAAAATATCATTGACATCTCCAGTATTTGGTTGGCTTCCTAAGTCAAAGCCTCAAGATCAGTGCATATGGAGGAATTTGCCCTGGCACAATTTCTGTCCGCCTTCTGAAGGACAATTTCATCTCCCCGGTGAACTGTATTTATATTAGACCAGGATTCTGCTCCTAAGTCTGTGACATATTTTGAGTATGAAGGGGTCCTGAAAACATAGTAGTAGCTTTTGCTTAAAAATCAAGGTTCTTGAAAGAAAAACCTATTGCCAGAGCAAGCTGTATGTTATCATTGTTTTCAGATGAACTCTACATTAGATGCAAATGATTTAATAGACTTATAGGCTGTTGGAGCTAAAAGGACCCTAGAGATCATATAACCCAACCTCATTTTTTTCATGTGCAAAATTAGCTTCCAGAGAATTTAAATGATCTGTAGAAGGGCAGAACCCAGACCAAACAGCCCACTCTTAAATTCAAAACCAGGGTATTTTTCCTGTCGTGTCAGATCTCAGATGTGGGTGAGCATCAGAATCCCCTGAGGGGTTTGCTTAAAATGTACCCACCCAATCCCCATCCCTGGAGATTCTGATTCAGAAGGTCTGGGGTGAGGCCTGGGCATCTGAACTTTGACCAAATTTCCCAGGAGACTCTGTACCCAAAGTTTGAAAACCATTGCTCTTAGAGCCCATTGGCCTGAATTGCATTAAAGGTCTTTGACCTTTCAGAGGTCCTGCCAAGTCCTTGTTTTCCATCTTTTGGGAGATGGGGAGCTATCACTCCCTATAGGTCAAAGCTACCTGGCAGAGGTCTCATCAGACCAACCCTAGGAATGAATCTTTAGCCTTAAGAACAAATTGGAAGATGATGTGGGAATCAGATGGAAGCCTTGAAAAGAGATCCCCTTCCCCTCTTCTCTTGCTCCCATTGAAACAGTAGGTGACCCCAGTCCCCTGGCTAGCTCACAGCTGTGACCAGACCCTCCCTTGGTTCTACTGCTCCCAGTCACCCTGCTTCTCTCCCCGACCCACATCAGGGTCCCCCCGATGTACACGGTGGCCACTTTCAGAGAGCACGAAGATAATCAAGAAGGTTAACTTTCTGGGAAGCCCCCCAGGAGCATGTTTTTATTGTGTTCGAAAGCTGCTTTATCATTATCGCTTGATGACATTTATTAATTGCCCAGCTGGGATGCTGGTCACAGGGTGACTGACACGTGGGTATTTCATAATAGATTTCCCATTTTTTTGGTAGGGCAGCCCTTTGAATTTAGAGTCAGATCAAAGCAAACAAAATTCCAAACTTTAAATTTCCTATCCCAACCTCTTCCATCATAGGAATCCTTTTCTAAACCACTTTCTGAGAGTAATCGTTGCTTCGTGACATTTTCTCTTTTTTTAAATCTGAGTTTAATAGAAGAAATACTACCATGGTAATAGATTTTCATTTTTCTTAATAGGTATTTCTTTTCCCATGGTCATCCTTCAATTAGAACTGCAGTATGTTAGTGTTTTGTCTGTTATTGCAGCCAGCTGTATAAACAGTTAATTACTTGTAACTTAATTTGAATATTATACAGAGCATTTGTCATAGAAGATATAAAACAAGATCCAGGCAGAAAAAAGTTAACTTCTATTTCCTCCAAAGCAGGAGGAACAAAGAACAAACAGCTCTTGCTGCAGGGGAATAGACACATATTGAAAACAAAATAAGTGATCTAATCAGATTTCCAGGTAGTGAAGAACAGTACTTGGTGCACAGGCAAAACTCGCTTTGTGCTTCCCATAAATTCAATTTATAGATGACTTTTCCTTCCTGTCTTATGCACAGTCTTCTCATTCTGGCTTTTTCCTCATCGAAGCTCCAGTGTCTCCCACTCCCCACTTTTCCTGACCCTCCTTAGTAAAACTCGTGTCTTAAGACCAGGTCTGTGCCAGGACACATCTCCAGTTTCATTTTTCCTTGGTTAGGTAGACCTTCCTGCTTCTCTACCCAGCTTTATGAGGCCTGAAGTCTTGGTGAGGCGCTGGGTAAGTTCATCCAGAGACAAGCACCCTGAGTGGTATCTTAAAAAACAAACCGCTTTTCTTCTCTTCATGATGATTGGTTAGCAACCCAGGGTTGCCATCATTTCTCTTAAATTATCAACACAACCAGTAGCTGGCATGCTGCTATGATAGTCAACCCCTCCAAGAAAGCTGTGATTCAAAAATCAGTTGATGAGATTACTGCTTAACAGAAATATTTGAGGCAAGCGGTTAGGATGGTTAGTAAGGTTTTAATAAGCGGAAATGACACGCAATCTCAGGTCTCCAGGGGCGCTGTTCTTATTTGTGAGCTGCCGGTTGTTCTTCAGTGGCTGGAATGAGAAAAAGACTTGGGAAAAGAGCAGTGTTCATGCCTGAACCACTCTCTTCTTTTGGTGATTTACCCAGCTGTTTATAAAAGGAGTTTCTGCAGGCCCAGATACGTGAATGATGAGCAAAAGCAAGGAATTTCTTTCTCCACATTAAGATTAAGTGTTAGCAGTTCCTTAAATGAAGGAAGCAATTTTTTATAACTTGCAAAGCTTCTCCCTCATTCTTTAGGGAATTTCCTATGTTAATTTATGCAGTGTTAAATTTATGCAGCGTTGAAATTCAGCCCAACAGCAGTACTTACGGAACCAATACAGAGACAGTAGAACCTATAAGGTGAAAGCTGAATAACACAGACCCCACCAGACTACGGATCCCTCCAGCCAAAAGCCCTGAGTTCTGAGTTGGAGCAGGTTTTGTCGCATAGCTGGAATATAATAATAACCCAAAATGTTTGACAGATGAATTCATCTTTTTTAAAAATCCAGCCTGCCATTGTGTTTGTTAATTTCCCTGATAGAATTGAGATGGTTTTGTACCACCCCTGCCACCCTTTGGTAGCAAGTGAGTGCAGTTTGACAAAATGTTTATAGATCAGCCCTGGTGCTTTTCTGTGGTGGTCCCACATGTCTTCAAGGAGTCACCACAAATCAGCTGAACCACTGTGCTATCTTGGAGGATTAGAATTTTAATACATGTAACGGTATTTTGTGAATGTGGCTAAAGGGGTTATTAAAATGTTACTTCTTTTAGTGTCTTTATGTGAGACTGGCCTGCTCATCCTCAGACCAGCCAGGCCCCATCTTGTCTCTTTCTGAAAGAGAGCCTAACATTCTTAGCATGATATGATTTGGCTGAAAAATTACCCATCTATATTTGGTTGAGGTTGCAGAGAGAATAGTAAAAACAATCTCTAGACTCGTGAAAACACTCTTTAACTGTTGCTTTCCTTAAGTTGTGGCAGCTGCAGGTTATTTTGCAATATTTGAAAGGAGGTACATTGTCATGTGGTTATCCTTGTAACCCTAAGCCCAAAATTGTAGAGAGGGGTACAGCTATGTAATCTTGACCAGGCAGATGACAACTCAAAGCTCCCATCAGTGTGTTGAAGAAAGCAGTGAATCTATAACCCCCCCAAATGCAAATGGCTAAGTGGCATCATTTATAAAGAGATCACTTTCTCTAGTAACTGCATTCCCTTAGATAGGCTCAGTATAGATCTGCTTGATACTGGCTTCCATTTTGTATTTAATAAAGCATGATGTAGTGAGGTTGTCTATATATCTGGAATTTATAGAACTTATCATCTATGTGATTGGAGAGGCTCACACAGATCAATTCATAAGCAGGTGAGCATAGCTGAGATGCTGTGACGCTGTGACACTGCCAGGTGGTGTCTCTTACATGGTGGGTGCTCAGCGTGTTATTTTCCCAGCGAACATGGGGCTGGTGCCTCACATTCCAGTATGAGTTCTTACAGGACAACTCTCTGCTGAGCAATCTTCCACTGCACCTACTTTGTTTTTCCTGTTTTCCCTAAATGCATCTAGCTTTTCTAATTTACCTCCTGTATGACAGAATCATTGTTTTTCTCACCACTGTGTGTGTTATGTCTAAGTTTGTCTGCCTTTATATCTGTTCTTTTGTGCCCTATGACATAGACTTCTTAGAAACCTATAATGATGAACACTTTAGGATAATCTATCCACCCTTTGCTCCTATGACCCAATACACCATCTTGTTTGACTTCTACTCTTTCTGTTCTGTCCCCTTAATTTCAATCATTTTTAAATTTTTGACCCTAAATTGTTGTGTCTAGAGACCTTTGACCTCAGAGGGCCTACAGCGTCCTTCTAGACATTTCCATTTTGGATGTCTCACCCAAAATTGCCTCACAAACCCAAAATTTAAGTCATCCTCCTCCTTCCCAGGCTCCCACTGACTTCCCTGTTTCTCTTGGTGGCCCCATCACTGTCTTTGTCACCAAGGATCCTCCCATACCTTGGGTGTCACCATCTCCCTTTTTCTTCCCATGTAGCTCTAGTTCTTGTTTCCACCTTTGTCTGGTTTCTAATCTGCCTCCTCCTTGGGCTTCCTGCCTGCAGACTCCCCTCTGTTGGATCCATCATGCTGAGGATGTCAGGTTAACATTCCTAAATGCCATTCTCCTATGTAAAAGCATTCCTCCATGTTTTCTGTGGCTAGCAGGACATGTCTCAGCCTGGCGTCCGTCCTGGGCCCTCTTTCCACCCTTTCTCTTGGTCAGTCCTGAGCATGTACCCTTTCTTCCAGCTAGGCCTCTCCCCTCAGGATTCTGTGTGTGCTAGGCTTCTTCCCCTGCTGAATCCTGGCCACCGCTTTCTCCCCTCACTCCTCCCAGTCCCACCCCAGTCCTCCACCTGGATTCTCTCCATGGTGGAAGGTCCTTGGAGAAGCCTTCCCTGCTCGCTCCAGCTACAGGGTTGCCCTCTGCACCAGGCAGAACCATTCCTCTTGTGAACTGTGACCATCTCTGGAAGGGGACACAGAAACTGGGAAACGGAAGGAAAAAATTACTTTCTACCAGATACTATTTGGTTCCTGTTAAATGTTATGCTGTTTACACAATAAATTTTAGCATGTATTTAGCAAATAAATAAAAATTAGCAAATTATTACCTTTTATTATTCCTGAATTTTCCACAGGTGTATGTATTAGTTTCCCCAATGCACTAAACTGAGTGCAGTGGTACCTGGTAGGAGCTCAATGAAGAGATGGCTGGAAGGGTGCGGGTTGGCGGGAGGCAGGTGGGAATGGATAAACTAGAGGCAACCTCGGCCTCACCTTGCCTCTCTGAGTGGTTGCAAAACTAGAGGGGAAAGTATCACTTTTTTCTTCTTAAAGACCTCTAAAAATGAAGGCAGTATACCCCCATTTCAGCTGGTTATAGAGTTCTCATCTGATAGTTAAGAATTCTTCCTATCTACATCCTCATCTCCCAAATAAATAACTAAATAGAATGTAGGGACCATTTCTGCAATCTGGGAATAGGTACCAATCTGTGTAGCTCTGTCCAGCCTCATGAGCACATGAACATCTGCGTTCTCCCCCTCTGGGAAGGAATCTTGTGTTTCTCTAATGAAGAGATTCCCTCTCAGAGCCTTTGGAGTTGGGGTTTGATCCCTGCACTGCCTTGGCCATAGCTTTCCCCCGGTCACTGCATCCATCAGCCATGCTCCCAACATTTCCAAATGCCCCTACCAGGAGCACTTTTGCTTTCTATTTGAGACAGCAAAGACTGTTGCCCAAGCTGGAGTACAGTGGCATGATCATGGCTCACTGCACCCTCTGCCTCCCAGGCTCAAGGGATCCTCCCACCTCAGCGTCTCGAGTAACTGAGACTACAGGCACACACCACCATGCCCAGCTAATGTTTTTGTTTTTGGTAGAGATTGGGTTTCATTGTGTTGCCCAGGCTGATTTCAAGCTTCTGGGCTCAAGTGATCTGCCCACTTTGGCCTCCCAAAGTGCTAGGATTACAGGCGTGAGCTACTGCGCCCGGCCTTGTTGGGGTTTTCAACCCATGTGGTGGTGAGAGGGGTCATTTAAAGATCATATTGATAAAGCAATGGTGTTGATTAAAGGAGCAATATTTTGAGAACAGGAAGCATATGCCTTGTTTTCTGTGTTTTTAAAATTAGATATTTGAAAAGCAACACAAATCATACTAAATAGTTAGTGCCATTTATTTTTTGTCCTCTCCCGGTGGTAAAACTTACTCTTTCTGTTTTTCTTGCAGAGCATGCTTGAGAAGGGAGGATAAAAACTTTCAGAATGAGCAAAACACCATCAACGTTAATTCCAGAGATGGAACATTTTTTTTCCTAGTGAGAAAACAACCCATTTGAAGAGAAGACCACTAATGAGAAGACCACTAAAGAGAGACATCAAGAATGGATTCAGCAGAATCATTTCACGTTTTGAACAGCAGCAGTTTGAAGGGCCAAAGCCTTGATCAGGGATCAGTCATTAAAGGACACTCTTGAGTATTAGTAAACCCTCTTATGATGATTAAAAGAGAAGGGCAGCCCTCTCCACCTTTTGGTACTTTCTATTCAACTTGCACTGACCATAAAATGTTTCTCTTCTGAACAAGCCCCATCATTTGGTGAACCTCCACCCTAACAAAGTAGGATGGGGTTGGGGGCTAAATTAATTGGAGTGGGGCGAGGAGAGAGCCAGAAAACATAGATCCGAGGGCAGCAGTGCTGGGTGGAGAGAGCCAGAAAACAGATCTGGAGGCAGCAGTGCTGGATGGAATTGTCTAGGCTGTGGCATGTTGGTTTTGTCTTTCTTTTCTCCTTTGATTATGTAAGAGCTATTTCATTATAACTTATTATGGTGATTATACAGGCAAGAAGACAAAAAGGAGAGAAAATGTACCTCTTCTACTGGAATAATGTTTATGATTACAAGTGAGATAAGGTATTTTTATCAATATGAAGGCAACCTTGGCTGATAAAACCTCTATAGTGAATACTCACATCTTTACTTCACTCACTATCAATAATAAATATATTTTCTGACAAAGACTGGCATTGTAGCTCCTCACACATTCCTTTGGCTGGGTTAGATGTCTATGCTTACGGGAATTGAGCTGATTTATATTGTTAATAATTTGCATTTGTGCTGTACCTTTCCTCTCAAAGGCTCCAGAGCATTTCGTGGAGCCTCCGACAGGCAAGTGATGCTTATAACTTGCCTATCAGGTAGGTAGAATTCGGGAAGATCTTTACAAATTGTGTGAACTTTCCTTTCTTTGGGATGACTTAAGTCATCCTGCCTGGGGCAAGAACTAGATTAGATAACCTTGGTTAGGACCTTCTGACCCTGCAATACTAAAAAACGTTTAAAGAAAATAATTCAACCATTAGGTTTTTTTTTCCTCTTTCCAATTTTTCAAAACTTCCTGATTATAACTCTCCCTTTTTTTTTTTTTTTTTTTTAACCATGATTGGTGCTTCAACCCTGGAGTTGAGTGAGTTGGAAATAAGTAGTCACACTGAAGCTAAATGAGAAGGTTCTTTTCAGACATAGGAGTACCAGTGCTCTGTGATATCCTTTAAGTGTCTTTTGTCATGTAGGATTTTTATTTTATTACGAAGCAAGTGAATTTAGCAAAATACAGGTTCTGTATTCTTAATCTGTGTACAAATTCTGGCTCTGCTGTGGAATTCAACCAAGTCAACCAATACTTCTTCAACTGCAAAAAGGGGGCAAATGGAAGAACTAATTTTTAGGCTTACAGTGAAGAGTCCAAATGCTGACTCACCGCATACGTTTGGTCAGACCCAGTAAATGCTGGCTTGTGTGATGATTCAGTAAACTGGCATTTGGCGTTGGGGGCATAGAACGTATTCACATGCCCAAGTACCTTTTATTTAAAGTTGGATGTACTTGTGATGGAACAGTCTCAGCCAACGCATGTGAGTGTAACTGCAGCTGCTTATTCATTCAGGTTCCCCAGGCGATGGCTCCCTCCGAGTGACATGTTCATAGACACTTGGGGACACACCTGCTGGCCTAACGTTGATTCTGAGCAACACTAGAGGCTCTCCTGCCATAATTACTGATATCCTCTGTGATGACTGCTTCATGAAGTTTTTTTTGTTTGGGTTTTTTTGTTTTGTTTTGTTTTGTGGGGGGCTTTCAGGTTTCTTTTTTAATGGTCTGAAAGAAGCTGAGTTTATTTCAGTGTGAATAAGGATTCACTGGTAACTTGAGGAGCAGCACATTTTGATGCTGTCAGGGTGGCATCCAGGTAGCTGCCTGAGAGAAATGGAAAAACCTGAGAGACACAAAAACAAATGTTTACATGGCGACTTGCTCTAGTGTTTGCAAATCAGCTAACTCACAAATTCCCTCCTATACTGTTTTGTTTTGCAATTGAGAGCCAAGCACTTGGCACATCCCAGGCTGCCAGTCTTGCCTCTGGCAGGCAAATGCAGCGCTGTAGAGTCAGGCGTCTAAAGTGGGCGAAATCCAGGGGAAGGGGGGTTGGTTCGACAGGCCGCTCCTCCCAGCATTGCTTATTAATTTATCATTCTGATAAGCATGGTAGGTGCAAGACAAAAGCCAGCGCTTTGGGGAAGTAAAAGGATGAAATGATGCCTTTCTCTCCGTCCTTGGAGAGCTCCCTGCTGATGGCATCACAGCTCTGCCAGGTCACAGTAGCTTTCCAGACCACTGCTTGGGAAGAGTGTTGTGATTTATATGAGGCTGTGGAGTGGTACATTCCAATCAGTTTCTCACTTAAGTAGAATGCACCTTCAGCCACAGTAGCTTAGCTCATGAAGCCAAGAAGAATAAAGTGTCTTGAAAGCTGATCAGAGGATATCACACTAAACAAATGTTTGAGGAACTTATAGAACACAGCTGGGTTGAATCAGCACGAAGTCCTCTTTGAGAAGTCAATAACATTACAGTAAACTTGCCAACATGCACTAGTTTAGAAAAGTATTGACTAATCATGATTAGTAGCAAATGTAGACTGCTAAAAGCCAGATGCCTGTGGCCAGTTGGTCAACCCACAAGACTCCCTACAACAGTTTTTAGCTTAGAACTGACCAGGTAGTCACATGTCCTCGACTTCTCGGGCTGAGAAATGGAGAATGTGTGGTTCTTCACTTGCTGTCTTCCAGCCTGCAGGTATAATTGCTTTTGCCAGAAACCCACATTGCAGTGAGCTGTAGGAGATGACCCTTTTGAGATTTAAGAATTAAAGCAACAAAATCTCAGTTAGATTAGGAGGAATAGTTCAAGAGATCTGTTGTACAACATGCTGACTGGTTAATAATGTTACAACGTATTCGTGAAATAATTTTTTTAAAGAATTAGCAGTTGAACAATTGAAAGGGCAGCAGTAACTTGCTGTGATTCAAACCAAGTGAGTTAGGAAAATAGTCTGTTTAGAATTAATCCTCTTGAAAGGCTAATGTTGTGAATGAATGCGTTGATACTCATTGTTATCTCACTGCTCTCCTCCCGTCTTCCTCTCCCAAGTTTTCCCAGTCTCTGCTTCCTCCTCTCTTCTCTGCCATCTTCATTCCCTCCTCTAACCTCCTCTGTGTGTTTACACTTTTCTCAGTCTCTCCAGCCTCCCTCCAGAGAAGCAGTGACAACGGAGTGCACAGTGCATCCTCCTGAGTGCAGAGTCCTGGGCTCTTGATCCAGCTCTGCTCCATTTGTCAGTGGGGACAAGTCACCTCCCTCTGGTCTCTCACTGTACAGTGGCCTGTTCGGGGTCCTTTCCATTATGATTTGTGTTTTTTGATACTTCCCTTCTTTTCTTCCCCGGCCTCCTAAATCTTTTAGTCCTATATTTAGTACTTCCTCTCATTTAGTAATTTCTTATTCTTACAGTTCTTATAAACTGGGTAAATTTTCTAAATGAAAACTATATTTGTATTTCTTTCTCTGTGCCCTTGATGGTACTTTTCCTACAGCTTATGGTCTCCATTAGGTTTTTGTTTTCCATCAGTGCCCTGAGGGATTTACTCCGTGGGCAGGCTGCATCTAGTCTAGGAAGTCACCTTAGGACACGTAGGCCATTTGTGCTGATGACACCCACGGTCCAAACCACCCCCAGAATAGGGGACTGTGGTGCGGGTGTTCCGAGGCCTGCACCGGCCAGTGAAGAATACATGTTCTGGCTAAGGAGTCCACGGTTTAGTTTAAACCTTTATTCCTGGCATCTGTTTTAGCTTCTTCCTCCCAGCCTTTAAGAGCATGTAGAATGGAGCAGATTTCAGTTTTTACTCTCCTTCCCTTGACCCACTTGATTTTGAGGTACCAACAATAACTGAAGCAACATAAAGGAAATAAAGGAGGGGGATAAAGACCTGTTTACTGTCCATAAAGTAGAATGCTGGCTCGTGGTGATCAACGCTGTGCCTGGAGAGGACTGGATGTGATTCCCAGAAGCTCCTTTCACTCTCTAGGAGCTTTTTTTCCCTTTTTTGGCCCTTTTTTTTCCTTTTTTTTTTTTGAAACAGGGTCTTGCTCTGCCACCCAGGCTGGAGTACAATGGCAAGGTCTTGGCTCACTGCAACCTCCACCTCCTGCGTTCAAGCAATTCTCGTGCCTCAGCTTCCCAAGTAACTGAGACCACAGACACGCGCCACCCTGCCTGGCTAATTTTTATATTTTTAGTAGAGATGGGGTTTCACCATTTTGGACAGGCTGGTCTGGAACTCCTGACCTCAAGTGATCTGCCTGCCTTGGCCCCCCAAAGTGCTGGGATTACAGGCGTGAGCCACTGCACCTGGTCTGTAGGTGCTCATTCTGACTGTACCATATATGAAAAAAAAAAGTCACTTTTAATTATTCCACTGCAGGTGAGTCAGAGCTATATCTGTTTTACAATCATCCCTAGCCTGCGCATGACCCAGGGAGACTGGAGTGGTTGGTGATTTTTCAAGCTCTGTAATGGGAAACTTCAAGGCCCCCCTTGGGTATTGGGAGGCTGGTCCTGCCCATCTCCCTGGGCGAGCTCTGCTACTCCTGGATAGCACTGCTTTATCCATGATGGAGGATCAGATTGGTAAACAAAAGACAAAGTAGATTTGTTCCCCCGTACCCGGAATGAGAGTCATCTTCCTCACCCAAAAAGGTTCCTTATGCTAGGAATTTTAGCCAAAGCACCAGACAGCTTCCGGAGCTTTCAATTCCATTACCTTCCAAAGCCCAGAGTCATTGGATCCTGGCTTTGGGAGAAAAACGACCAACCGCCTAATTCATTCTCCTACCTCCAGGCTGATGTTTGAATGGAGATGATGGAATTTTATATTTCATGTTGTGCTCTCTCTCCTCTGGTCCCTCCAGCCTCAATATTGCTGGCAGAGCCCCTAAGAAGAGTTGAATTGCTTTAGTTTATGGGGAGAAAGCAAAAATTACCCAAATCAAAGGTATCTTCCACTTTTCCTACCCTTCCAAATAGATTCATGGTCTCTAGATCATGATAATATGCCCTTGTATTTCAGGGGACAAGCCTATGTTAAATCCACTTTGGATTCCGAAAATATGGTCATCATATTGATGCTTTTCAGTTAAGGAAGTTGGAAACTGAAACCATTTCATTCCCTGCAACTCCTCAAACCAAGTCAATTCTGTGGCAAACAGCTTTGCTTCAATTTAATAGAGTACTTCAAAACTCTTGCAGTGATTTGGATTAGGTGAGGCCTCTATACTCTTCAAAGGCTTTCCCATGCAGAAAGACTTTACTTACCTACCTCTCTGCCCCCCACTCCCTGGCAGATAGTCTCTCTCCTGGGAGGAGGCTTATCAGGCAGGCAGTGGTCACTGTCCCTTTGTTGAGAGGCCAGTCTGCTTCGAACATAAGCTTGCCTTCAAAGTAAATTACATTTATATATCATGGCTTTGAAATGCAAACATGGAAGCCGGAGGTCAGTGGTCAGTTGCAGGGTACCACTCTGCTTAGCTGTGTGCCTTTCTTCCCAGACTTGCCCCAGCACAGAGCAGCCTGCCAGGTCTGGAGTCCAAGTGGCTCATACTTGGGGAGCCTCCTGCGGACTCCCCTTCCCTGTCAGGTCTGCCCTCCTCACTGCCCACAGCACAGATTGAAAGCCTCTGTTCATTCTCTCTCTCTGCCCCTCCTTGCAAATATATAAAATCGAAGTCGAGGGCCCGATGACTTGGGCCAACTGCCTATTATCTGCTGCCTGTGCAGTCCAAGGGATGAGGGTAAAACCATTTTCTTCACTTCATAGCCACAAGCCGTGTTTCTCAGTCAGCATCAAACCAGCAACACCATGCCAGCCTGCACATTTTAGCTTGGCTTTGCATCTCCCTAAGGTAATGTGCATCCCGGTCTCAGAAGCATGACCATGAAGTCATTGAAAACAGTATTCAACCTCCAGTTGAAGTGGCATTGTTGTTTTATTTCAAGCTTGGAAGGCAGGCTGCAGAGCAGGGGCTGGGAACTCCACTTCAGCAGAGGGTGAATAGGATGTCGGGTAACCTGCTGGCAGGAGTTTATTTTCAGTCACCTCCGTGTTCTTAAAATGCCTTTGCAGCAGCTGCATGTTAAATGTGAACCCAAAATAAAAGAGCCCACACTCCTCACCCTCAGGTGCTTAACACAGAACTTAGAAGTATCAGTGACTAAGGCAGAAGGTGTTTTTCTTCTATTGGAAATGAGTTTATCAGTGAAGTTAGAAAGATGTTATATTTTAGAAGCAGAAGAGGGGTTATGAATCACCACTAAGGTGATGATGTTTCAGGAACATCAGAAGTTTATTGTCCTGAGTTTTTATAACCACTTTCAACTTCCTCATTAAAGGAGAAGCTTGTTCATCACCTGTGGCTCAGCATGGACCACTTAGTTCATCACTCCTGCCTTCTCTGGTTCCCCGGAGAAGGTACTGTTAGCCACAGTACCATGTCACACTGGCATTGCCTGAATCATTGCCTGAATTCAGCATAGCCTCTGTGCACCAGGTACTGTTCCAGGTGTCAGGGATATTGTGGTGAACAGGACAGACAAGGTCCAGGCCTCGTGGGGTTTACATTCTGGTGGGAGGAAACCATAACCATATGATGTCAGGTAGTGATGAGTGATGCGTGAGGTATGAATGGGTAAAGGAATGGAGCGCTCAGGGAGGGGGAATAGAGGTTTGTGGAGGTGCTGTGCTATTTTAAATTAGGTGGTGAAAACAGCTATAAGGTGGTCACATCTGAGTAGATTCTTGAATGTGGTGAGAGAACTGGAAACCAGGTATGGTGTCATGTGCCTGTACTCCCAGCTACTCAGGGAGCTGAGATGGGAGGATTGCTTGAGCTGGGGAGTTCGAGGCTGCAGTGCACTGCGATCGTGCCTGTGAACAACCACTGCACTCCAGATGGGGCAACATAGGGAGATACCATCTTTAAAATGGGAGACAAAAAAGGACCAAGTGAAGTGCATTCCAGATTGGAGAGCAGTAAGCACAAAGGTCCTGGGGCAGAAGCTTGAAGTTTGATGGGTTAGGGAAGCAGCAAGGAGGTCCTCATGGCCCCAGCAGAGTGAAAAAGGCACATTGCTCTGGGATGTGGGTTGACGGAGGTAAACCAGAGCCAGAACAAGGCAGGACATTTTTGTCCATGATAATGATTTGAGTTTTATTATGAGTGCAATGAAAAACTATTGGAGGGTTTTCTGCCAGGCCGTCAATCTGATTTACATTTATAAAAGACCACTCTAGGCTGGGTGCAGTGGCTCATGCCTGTAGTAGTGCTTTGGGAGGCCAAGGCGGGAGGATCATTTGAGGCCAGCCTGGCCAACATAGTGAGACCCAATCTCTAAAAAAAAATTTTAAATAAAAAAATTAACCAGGTGTAGTGGCACACACCTGTAGTTCAGCTACTCGGGAGGCTGAGGCTGGAGGATTGCTTGAGCCCAGAAGGTCCAGACTGTAGTGAGGTATGATGGCACCACTGCATTCTAGCCTGGGTGACAGCAAAACTCAGTCTCAAAATATCCAACCAAACAAACAAAAAAACACTCTTGTTGCCGTGTAAAGAACTAAAGAACTATCCAAAGTATGGGCAAAGTGGAAGCAAGGCGAATATTAGGCTATTACATTAACGATCGAAGCAGGAAGTGGCAACCCAGACTAGAGTGATAGCATGGAAAAAGTGAGAAGTCAGATTTAGGAGACCCGTAGACATTAGATAGACCCAACAAGACAGCCTACTGTATTAGATGTGGGGGGAGAGAGGAATAAAATGTAAGGACCCGAAGATTTGCCTGAGCAACTACTGAATGGTGGTGCCGTTTATTGAGATGGAGACACTTAACATCTGCGATAGTGGGAGGGGTGTGGGCAGGAAGCAGAGGTTCCGTTTTGATCATGTTAAGCTGAATATATAATTTATGACCCCTAGTAGAGATGGCTATGCAGGCCTTTGGATATATGTCTGGGGCTAGAGAGAAGATTTCAGGTCCTCGTTGTCAAGATGGCATGGAGCCTTGGCACTGGCCTTGGATGTGCTTGCCTATGGGATGAGTTTGTAAAGAGGAGAGGGCTGGGACAGCTACAGCTCTCTAACACTGGGAAGCTGGGGAAGAGGGAAGGGAGCTGGCCAAGAGGAATGTGAGAGAATGGCCACTGAGGTGAGAGACAACCGACTCAGACATGGAGACCAAGGGAAGGGAGCATTTCAAGAAAGGAGGAATGGCCAGCTGTACTAAGTGCTACTGATGGGTTGAGAAAGATGACCGCAGAATTAGCCAGTGAACTTGGCAACATGAAAGTCACTTGATGGGCAGGTGGTGACTGGGGAGAATGAAAGCCTGGTCAGAATGGGGTTGAAGAAAGAATGAGTTTGGAAAATGAAGACAGTGAGCAGCAGCAACACTTTTTTTTTTTTTTTTCTGAGACGGTGTCTTGCTCTGGCACCCAGGCTGGAGTGCAGTAGTACAATCTTGGCTCACTGCAACCTCCGCCTCCTACGTTCCAGTGATTCTGGTGCCTCAGCCTCCCAAGTAGCTGGGACTACAGGCATGCGCCACCAGGCCCAACTAATTTTTGTATTTTTCAGTAGAGACAGGGTTTCACCATGTTAACCAGGCTGGTCTTGAACTCCTGACCTCAAGTGATCCACCTGCCTCGGCCTCCCAAAGTGCAGCATTTTAAAGAAGTTTTGCTTAAAGGGCGAGTAGAGAGGGAAGTAGGTAGAAGAAATGTGGGCTCCTCAGGAGATTTCTTTTTAAGATTGAAGATACAGTCCATTTTATATGGAAAAAAGCAGAAAAAGAGGATAAGTTCAGTTGAAAGTCCTTGAGTAGGCTAACTGGCTGGGATCTAGGCTTAAACAGAGCAGGGAGAGTTTATCCATTGTAAATAGAAGAAAAGTTGAGTTTATGAGCATAAATGCAGGCAGGCTGGTGGATGGTCCTGAGAGGATGAGGTCATTCTCTTCTGATGGCTTCCATTTTCTGATCAGCCATGTGGCATGTCCCAAGTTAATGTTTGCTAGCAATAATTAAAAGTAGCTGAGTGCCTTCCTTTTCTCACTGCCTTTCTTCCTTCCTGAATAACTCAGTCCAAAAGCCCTTAGGTAGAGCCAAGCAAGGTAGTCCCCCACGCAGGGGATGAGGGGGGTGGCGGCCAAGACTGGGATGCCTGAGCCTGAGCAGGAAGAGAAGGGTGTCCATTCGTGGTGCGAGAACCTGAGTGATGGGAGGAGGGTGGTTGTGTTGGCTGGGGAAAGAAGGGTGGCTCTAGAAGTGGAAGAGTAATGACATGCAGAGGACACTGATCTAATAATAAACATATTGAGGATAATGAGAGCCAGTTTTCTGATTGTCAGATAAGGAAGTTACAAATACGGAAAGGGAGAAATTAAAATGACCTCTGTAGCATTGGTTTGGAATTGGAGATATTGAAGTGAAATTGTGGTGATAGCTAGATACTGAAACAAATATATATATATTTATTTCAGTATATATAAAGGATATATAAATATATATAAAAATGCATGCACATTTATATGTATCTATTCATACTCATATATTATGCACATATGTATGTATGAATGTACATTCATTCAGATATTCCTTAGATCCGTCATCGAGAGGAGCTGGGAGCAACAGCATTCTAATAGCAAAGAGCTCACCATATGCCCAGATCTTTGATCTAAACACCATCTTTCACTAGAAAGGAACCATAGCTTCTTGAAGAAATGGCTAAGCCCTAGGCAGGAAAAAATACAAGATGGGAACATACCGAAAGGGCAGTGCCATCTTGAAGGGGCTATCACTGGCCCCAACTTGGGCAGATTTAACCCACTGAGTAACAAAGGAATGGTCCAAACTGATATCATGGGTCAATGCTAATATAATAAATAATTAATAAATAAAAGGAGAAAGGAGAAATCTTTCCCTTAGTATAGAATGCAAACTAATAAATGTTAAAGGAGTGATATATTTATGAAATTATTATTTGACAACCACCATAGTAATAATTCAGCCAAGAAACATCAATTGCATGTTAAAACTAGGGGGCTACTCTTCTGAGGAACAGGATGGATGTTTACATGTTAAATTCCCTTCCAACTCATGAACTACAAAACTAAACAGAGTAAATTCTTACAAAGAAGAAACCTGACAGACACCACCTAAATCAAGTGATCAACATTAACATGACCAGGAATGGGCCACATCAAAATGTGATAGGATGCAGTGAGAACACAGCAGCGGTGCTTCTGAGACTGTCCCACCAAAAGGATAGCATGAATCTAATCATGAGGAAAACATCAGACATGCCTGAGGGAGGCCCAGTCTACAAAATAGCTGGTCTGTAACTTCTGAAGTGTCAAAATCATGAAAGTCACGGGAAAAAGTCTCAAAGAACTGGTCCAAATTGAAGAAAACTAAAGAGACACAATGAAATACAATACGTGATCCTGGACTGGATCCTTTTTGCTATCAAAGACATCACTGGGACAATTGCCAGAACGTGAACAGTGTCTGTAGACTCGATGATAGTAATATAGCAATGTTATTTATTTGCTTATTTTGAGGATTGTATGGTTGTTATAGAGGAGATTGTTCTTGTTTGGGGTATTTGGGGCTGATGGGGTATCATTTTGGCAATTCACTGTCAAATGGTTCAGGAAGAAAAGTTTGTACTATTCTTGAAACTTTTCTGTAAGTTTAAAAGCATTTCAAGATAAAAAAAGAATTACATGTTTTAAAAAGCAGCAAAGGTAAAAGAAGTTTACTTTAAAAAATGAATTGAATGCTATGACATTCTTAAAGAGCTAGATGCGAAGGCTTGCTCTACTAGAGTCATTATAATAAGTTACCACAATTAAAAGAGTGAAATGATATGGAATTGATGGATGGGACAGAATAGAGAGTTCAGAAACTGACCCATGCATATGTGGTTGGTTGATTTATGATGAAGTTTGTGCTTCAGGTCAGAGGGGAGAGAATGGTCTTTAAAAAAAATGGTGCCAGCTCAGTTAGATGTCCCCATGGAAAAAGAGGAAAACTGGACCCTCTCTTACTCCATACTTGAAAGTCAATTTCAATTGGAGTATCATTTAAATGAGTAAACACCAAAACTTCTAGAATATAGTATAGAAGAATAGCTCCATAACCTCAGTGTAAGGAACTGTTTCTTAAACAGCATACGAAAAAACACTACCCATAAGGGAAAATGCTGATAAATTGTATTCCTTTAAAATGGAGAATTTTTGTTCATCAGGACATTATGAAGAGAATGAAAAGGCAAGCCTTAAGACGAAGATATTTGTGAAACAGCCAACAAAAGGTCATATCCAGAATATATAAAAAAGGCCTATAAACCAGTAAGAAAAAGACAGCTGAATAGAAGAATGGGCAAGAGACTGAAATAAGCACTTCACACAAAAAAACGTAAATGACCAATAAGCTTATGAAATGTACTCCATGGAACTGCTAATTAGGGAAATGCAAATTAAATTCACAACGAGATGCTACCATTTGTCCTGTGACGTGGCAAAAATGTAAAAGATGGAAAATAGCGTTGACAAGGATATGAAGCAACTAGCTTCTAATACATTGCTGGTAAGATTATAAATTGGTACAGCCAATTTGGAAAATGATTTGACATTTTCTATGAAAGCCGAATCTATACATAACTTATGACTCAGCAATACCATTTCTAGGTACATACTTAGTGTTCAGTAGCATTATTCATACTAGCTACAGAGTAAAAACAACCAAATGTGCATCATAGTAAAACTGATTAAATATATTTAGGCATCTGGAATATGATGCAATCATACGGATGACTGATTTATGGCTACACATAAAAACACAGATGATTCTTACAGTGTTGAGCCAAAGAAGTCAAATACTAAAGAATGAATATTGTGTAATTGCATTCATATAAATTTTTTAAGGCAGAAAAAGGATAGTTTTTAGAGATGGATGCTTATGCAGTAAAACTTATGAGAAGTAAAGAAGTGTTACCATATATGGACGGCAGTTACCTTTCTTGGGGTTGGAGGGTGTCCTGATTGGAAGGGGACACTAATGGGATTTCTAGGGTCTTGCTACTATTCTGTCTCTTTGCCTGAGTGGTGAATGGGTGTATTTCATTTATGAGAATTCATTATCTGTACATTTGTTTTCTGTACTTCACTGTATTTTATACTTCGGAATAAAAAGGATTCAAAATAAATTCAAACAGGTTCAGGGTTATTCCTATGACAAAGTCATTTCCA
The DNA here is from genome assembly GCF_000001405.40 of Homo sapiens. Lineage (NCBI taxonomy): Eukaryota > Metazoa > Chordata > Mammalia > Primates > Hominidae > Homo > Homo sapiens. Next base: position 132,773,184 of record NC_000007.14, on the reverse strand, counting down.
CTCCCTTGATAATACCTACCTGAAACTGACATTTGGTGAGGGCTATTCTGTGCCAGCCACTGTGTTAAGCATCTCAATATCTCCTGTTGCCATCTGGGCACGGTGGCTCACGCCTGTAATCCCAGCACTTTGGGAGGCCGAGGCAGGTGGATCACTTGAGGTCAAGAGTTCGAGATCAGCCTGACCAACATGGCAAAACCCTGTCTCTACTAAAAATACAAAAATTAGCCAGGCACGGTGGCTCACGCCTGTAATCCCAGCACTTTGGGAGGCCGAGGCAGGTGGATCACTTGAGGTCAAGAGTTCGAGATCAGCCTGGCCAACATGGCAAAACCCTGTCTCTACTAAAAATACAAACATTAGCCAGGCACGGTGGCTCACGCCTGTAATCCCAGTACTTTGGGAGGCCGAGGCAGGTGGATCACTTGAGGTCAAGAGTTCGAGATCAGCCTGACCAACATGGCAAAACCCTGTCTCTACTAAAAATACAAAAATTAGCCAGGCATGGTGGCTCACGCCTGTAATCCCAGCACTTTGGGAGGCCAAGGCAGGTGGATCACTTGAGGTCAAGAGTTCGAGATCAGCCTCACCAACATGGCAAAACCCTGTCTGTACTAAAAATACAAAAATTAGCCAGGCATGGTGGCTCACGCCTGTAATCCCAGAACTTTGGGAGGCCGAGGCAGGTGGATCACTTGAGGTCAAGAGTTCGAGATCAGCCTGGCCAACATGGCAAAACCCTGTCTCTACTAAAAATACAAACATTAGCCAGGCATGGTGGTGTGCACCTGTAATCCCAGCTACTTGGGAGACTGAGGCAGGAGAATTGCTTCAACCCGGGAAATGGAGGTTGCAGTGAGCCAAAATTACGCTACTGCACTCCAGCCTGGGTGACAGAGTGAGACTCCATCTAAAAAAAAAAAAAAAAAAAAAGTGCAATAATCCTATAAATTAGGTATTTTTATTATTCTTATTTTGCAGGTAAGAAAACTGAGGCTTGGAGGGATTAAATAACCTGCTAAGGGTCATACAGTGCGTAAACAACGCAATCTGCCCTCCCTAGAAGTCTGGCTCTTAACTGTTGCATGAGCTCCTCTCTATCCAAGCCCCACCTTGACACTAGATCTTTAGGACAACCCTTGTTATAAACCTCCAAGTTCCCCCCATCCCCACGGTGTCCGGTACAGTGCATTTGTCCAGGACAAGCCTTCAATAAATGTTGAGTTGAATGAAGGAATAAAAGCCCCATCATTTTCGTCGGCTTTCTCTCGTGTACTGGGTGCAGTAGCACAAAATATCTTGTCTGTGCAAAGTTACTGAGATTTTGAGCAGAGGAAAAATAACTGGAGAACCTCCTGCCTGTGGCTGATGCTAATTTTGCTCACTGGGGTCTGTCAGGCAAATTCCCCACTTCCTTTTTTGCTTTCCCTGAGCTCCAAGACATCTGCCTAACTCCATGGTGTTCCCCCGCTCGGCCTGCCACCCAGGAAGTGGTAGAGGGGGAGACACAGCCAGGCTGTGTGCGCGTGCACTGCTTCTGCCTCCGGAAGGTCCCAGGTGCAACCACTCAGCAGGCCCCAGGTGGGCCACCAGGGTGCAGGGCACAGAGCCCAGCCATTCTAAATAAAACTCCAAGTCCATGTGGTTGCTGGGTTTTCAAGGTCTTCTGAGGCAAAAAGAGTTTGGAAGGAAAGTGACTGTCGGTCTGGAACTTTCAGGCCCCATTCAGTGGAGATTTGTTACTGGTACATTGGCTTTGGAGCTGGAGCTGCTCATGAATGCAGATACAAAGCAGATGGGTGGGGCTCCATGCAAAGTCACCAGCTCAGCCTTTGAGCCTGCCTTTGCTGAGCACCCTCTTCCTGTTGCTAGTAGATTAAAAATAAACAACTGCAGAAAAGAGAAAATCAAACTTCGAGAACTCTACACGTACTCTCTTGAACATTTTTAATTTTGTTTTGTGTTTTTGAAACACAGTCTTGCTCTTTCACCCAGGCTGGAGTTCAGTGGCATGATTTTGGCTCACTGCAACCTCTACCTCCCAGATTCAAGCGATTCTCCTGTTTCAGCCTCCTGAGTAGCTGGGATTACAAGTGCCCGCCACCACGCCTAGCTATGAACATTTTTTTAAGAGACAGTCTTGCTTTGTCACCCAGGCTGGAGTGCAGTGGTGCGATCATAGCTCACTGCAGCTTCAAACTCCTGGCCTCAAGCAATTCTCCTGCCTCGGCCTCCCAAAGCACTGGGATTACAGGTGTGAGGCACCATGCAGGGCCCCTTGCTGGACAATTTCAACCATAATTTCAAGTTGCCCAAAACACCTATTTATTTATAATTCTCCCGCCTATCCCTCAACTCTCCCCAACTGACTCCTCTTCCTCTTGACTTTATGACACCCTACTCACTCATCACATGTTTGTGTCATCTGGGCTTAAAGTCTAAGGTTCATGGACTCCCCCCCCCCCATCCACCTGATCTTACCAGCCCTTGGATACCATCAATTTGGCCCAGACAGCCTTTTAGAGCCAGGAGAACTTGGGTCAATTCTTGGTTTTATAGACATCTTAAAGCCACATTAGTAATGTCCTTAAAGTGAGGATTACTAGGCACTTTGAAGGTTATAGGCAGTCTGTAATATCCTTCAGGAAGATCGCTATAAATCTGTAGAGAGTGGTATAAAAGGGTCAAGTCTCTTCCAGTTCTTTTTCCATAATCTCTTGCCCTAGACAGTAGTAAATAATGTTCGCTGTGGCTTATCCAAGCGTTAATGCCTTCCTTAGTGACAGACCTTGAGTTTGTCCAAGTAGCAGATGGACAAGTGTTTCAGGGGAAAGGAGATCCCCTTCCCAGACCCAGGGATGAATCCTGGTTAACTTAAGCCAATCATAGTAATTCAACTTCCCTTGCCAGTGATTGGCTCAGGAGTGGGCATGTGACATGATTCTAGCCAATGACTTGTGAAGAAAGTCTGCTGAGTGCTTCTGGGAAAGTTAAAAGGGGGCACTAGTGATGCCAGGTTGTGTTTCCCCTGATGGCCTTTGATGTGTGAGTGTACAAGACCTGGAGCTTTGGTGACCACCTTGTGAACATGGAGTGACAGGTCTGAGTACAGAAACTGAGGCATGGGGGATGGGAAGAATCTATGGGTTTTTTTTTTTTGTATTGTTGAGCTGCTGAATTAATCAGTTAAAACTGTTCTACTATTAGACTTCTTATTACAAGAGGCAATACATTTTTTCTTTTTCTTATGTTGGATTGGGTTTGCTGTTATTGTTAGCTGAAACCTCCTAACTGATACATCTGCATTCAACAAAGAGGTGCTCTCCCTCTCTCACTCCTATTCTCTTTCCATCATTAGGGATCCAACTTCAGGCTAGCAGGGACATGGTTTTTTAGTGATGTCTTCATAATCTCTTACCGGAATCCCTGTCTCATCAAATGCCTGGTCAAGGTTAAGCTTCTAATTTCTAGTCATGGAATAGAACAGTGTTAAATGAAGAAGTCCTCAGCCAGGCATATCAGAATCACATGGGAAATGGGAAAGGATCTGAATAGACGTTTCTCCAAAGAAAATATACAAATGGCCATAAGGACATGAAAAGATGCCCAACATCACTAATCATTAGGGAAATATGAATTAAAACTTCAATGAAACACCAATTCACAACCACTAAGATGGCTATGATTTTTAAAAAAAGAACAATAACAAGTGCTGGTGAAGACACGGGAAAGTTAGAACTCTCATACATTGCTGGTAGGAATGTGAAATGATGCCACAGCCTGGCAGTTCCTTAAAAGGTTGAACATGGAGTTACCATATGACCCAGCAATTCTATACCTAGGAATATACCCAGGAGAAATGAAAACATAGGTTTATACAAAAACTTGTACACAAATGTTGACAGTAGCATTATTCATGATAGCTGACAAGTGGAAACCATCCAAATCTCCATCAACTAATGAATGAATAAAATGTGGTATATCCATACAATCAAATATTATTGAACAAAAAGGAATGGAGGTCTGATGCATGCTACAACATGGGTGAGCCTCAAAAACATTACGCTAAGTGAAAAGAAGCCACTCACAGAAAGACCACATATTGCATAGTTCCATTTATATGAAATGATCAGAACAGGCAAATCCACAGAAACAGAAAGTGAATGAGTGGTTGCTAGGGGTTAAGAGGAATGAGGAGTGACTGCTAAAGGTTTTCTTTTTTTGTGTAAAGAAAATGTTCTAAAATTAGATTGTGGTGATTAATTGCACAACTCTGAACATACTAAAAACCATCAATTTGTGCATTTTTTTTTAAAATTGAGACAGGTCTTGCTTTGTTGCCCAGGCTGGAGTACAGTGGCGTGATCATGGCTCACTACAGCCTCAACCTGCTGGGCTTAATCTATCCACCTGCCTCAGCCTCCTGAGTAGCTGGGACTACAGGTGGGTGCCACCACACCCAGCTAATTTTAATATTTTTTTGTAGAGATGGAGGCTTACCATCTTGCCCAGGTTGGGATTTCTGCACTTTAAATGGGTGAATTTTATGATATGTGAATGATATTTCAATAAAGATGTTTTTAAAAAGAAATGTGATTAAACCATTTTTGTTTTCTGAATTTACAAGAATTGGGAACTCTATTAACTTATTAAAAATTAACAGTATAGGCCAAAACAATTGCTATATAGGATAATAATAAATGTTACTTCTATGCATTTAACAAAAACCTCACATATCACCTGGGGAGTTTCCCTGGCATCACCTGAGACCTACAGATCTGACCTGGAGGGAGGCCTGGGAGTGAACGGCTCAAGTTCACCAAGTTCAAAGAAACCAGAGGGAAGTTCTTCACGTCAGAATAGTGGCTCTCGACCAGTTGAGGTATTTATTTGCAGGAAGAATGCTGAGTGTTACCTAAAACTGTAACACAATGGTCCAAGAATCCATGGTTACAGCAGAGTCTGAGAGTCAGACCTTTTACTTACTTATTTATGTACTTATACATAATAATTATTGATACATACTAACTGTACACATAATTGATACATAATTGTACATATTTATGGGGTACCTGTGATGTTTGAACAGGACTTATTTTGAGGCTGGGCGCGGTGGCTCACACCTGTAATCCCAGCACTTTGGAGACCGAGGGGAGAGGGTCACCTGAAGTCATGAGTTGGAGAATAGCCTGGCCAACATGGTGAAACTCCATCTCTACTAAAATAAAAAAATTACCTGGACGTGGTGGTGAGCATCTGTAATCCAAGCTACTCGGGAGGCTGAGGCAGGAGGATCGCTTGAACCCGGGAGGCGGAGGTTGCAGTGAGCTGAGGTCACGCCATTGCACTCCAGCCTGGGCAACAAGAGCAAAACTCATCTCAAAAAAAAAAAAACTTATTTTGAATTCTTGCTATGTTAACCTGAAAGCTGTGTAAACTGTGGAAAGTTACTCAAACCTCTTCAAGTCTGTTTCATAATCTGTAAATGGGGATAAGAAGGTTACCCCAAGGGGCTGATGTAATAAGACTTAAAAATTTGAAGTACTTTGTACCACGTCTGGCACCTAGTAAGCTTTTATCGGAGTGGCATGAAGGAGTCAACATTCTAAAGTTTGTCCTGATATCAATTTAAGTCTTAGGAAAACATTGAATTTGAAGTATGTTAGCCCAAGGGCACACACAGATGCCTTTATTGAACTACTAGTCATATGATGACGTCCTTAGAATATAAGCCCCGTGAGAGCAAGGCTCTGCATCGGGCTCTGTGCAGTGTCATCAGTGTCTGGAGGTTAGTTGGTTCTTAAATGTTTGTTGTGTGCATGAGAGGCATAGGGTTTTTTCAGCAGTTGCAAATGAATGTTCCGAGTCCTCTGCAGTATGAGTGACTCCATCTGCCATATGCCTCTGACTGTGGACCCCTGGTGTATTAGTCTGTTTGGGATGCCGTAACAAAGTACCATGCACCGAGTGGCTGAAACAACAGACATTTATTTCTCACAGTTCTGGAGGCTGGAACTGCAGCCGATTTGGCTCCTGGTGAGGGTGCCTTTCTGGGCTTGCAGATGCCTGGTTTTCCCCAGTGTCCTCACATACAGAGAAACAGCTCCTTCTCTTCCTCTTCTTATGATGCCAATAAGCCATCATGAGGCTACAATGACCTTATGTAACCCTCATTACCTCTCAAAGGCCCCATCTCTAAATACCATCCCATTGTGGGGTCAGGGCTTCAACATGTGCATTTGGAGGGGACACAGCTCCGTCCATAGCACCTGGCACCCCTCCTCCTGCTGCAGCTCACCAGTCAGTATCTGTGCTGCTTCCAACCTCCCCACCCCACCTGTCAAGACCAGTCTTTCTGCTCCTGCCCACTCCTCCTGCTCCCCTGAGAGTGTCCAGCCTGTTCAGCCTTTCTCTGTATTATGAGACCTGTTGATGCTGGCCATCTGTGCCATGCCCTACTCACTGACCCAGGATTGTTCTAGACCAACCTGGAGTAGGCACTCTAAGTAGAGCCTCACATCAGTCCTTATTCATCTTTGTTCTCAGTTCTTTAAATGCCATCCAGGAAAATGCCAGCAGATGTAGAAATAGCTTTGAAAAAGAAGACTTTTGCTGCCATGATGGTAGGACCAAGATCTTTGCTAGAACAGTAGGCATGCCAGGCTTTCCTGGCTGGCAAAACGCTCCAAATTGCATGGCCTTTCCCACGGCACAGCCCCGTCTCATTTGCTGGAAATTATCGCCACAATCTGAAGTCCACCCTTGTGCCTCCTAGGCCTGAAGAAACTGGCCTCAACTCTTTCCTCTGCCAGTGGCATTCATGCACATGCATGGATTTCCAACCCACCCCGTGTGGCTGGCTCTTGCCTGGGCTTCTAACCTCTCCCTCCACAGATTGTTTGCATTCTCTCTTAGAGCTGGTGTTTCTGGCACCTCCCAAATTAGTATCATCTGTGAATTTCATCGCTCCCTGTTTACCCCGCTTCTCCCTGCTCATTAGCAGCGCTGGAAGAGGAAGATGCTCTCCACTGCGGCAGGAGAGAGACAGATCCAAGCTGCTGTGAGCCCTGAGAGAGCTGCACCCAGTGCCAAGAGCTATAGGCCTCTGCTGAGATGGAGGCGGCACCTGCTCTAGAAGAAGAGAATCTCAGCGCTCTTTAGAAGCCGGTTGGGAAGCCGCAGCATCAGCTGAAGGTAAGGAGAGGATCTCCCTGGATCTCCAGGTGTCCTGGCCCTTCCTCTTGCGAGGAGCAGCTCTCCAGGCCTGAGCTGGGGGATCAGAGGCACCGTCACACCCCCCTGCTCCTGTCGGGGAGGTGAGAGGCCATGTGTCCCGGCTCCTTGCTCATCCCAGAGGCACCCACTCAGCTAAGAACCTTTCTACCCTTTATGTCTTCATCAGGCCTTAGGTTTTTGTCATTATATAGCTTGCCACTATGTCTCTTTTTTTGGTTTTGTTTTGTTTTGGAGATGGAGTCGTGCTCTGTCCCCCTGGGCTGGAGTTCTCGGCTCACTGCAGCCTCTGCCTCCCAGGTTCAAGCAATTCTACTGCCTCAGCCTCCCGAATAGCTGGGACTACAGGGGCGCACGCCACCACACCTGGCTAATTTTTGTATTTTTAGTAGAAACGGCATTTCACCATGTTTGCCAGGCTGGTCTTAAACTCCTGACCTCAGGTGATCCGCCTGCCTCAGCCTCCCAAAGTGCTGGGATGACAGGCACGAGCTACCATGCCCGGCAGCCACCTGTATCTTAATGCAGTTCTCTCTCGTTTTTTTTTGAGACAGGGTCTTGCTCTCCCACCCAGGCGGGATCACAGGGGCCCCTTAATGCATTTCTCTCTGACTTTATTTCAGTGATGTTAACACAAGGCTTGACAGAAGGTAAAAAAAAAAATCCTCAAGTGTTTGAGTGAAAAGCATCCACTAATAGTTCCACGAATCAACTTACAGTCAATATGAGACCCACAGTATTTCAAAACTGAGGGGTTTCAGACAAAAGCACAATTTGCATTTAAGTTGGACTGTCCAGTTTTAAAATGAGGTTATATCAATTTCATGAATTTTTTTTCAAAAACAAAACAGCTTTCTTAAAATATAATTCTCATACCATGCAGTCTAGCTCTCTCAAGTGTGCATTTCAATGTCTTGTAGGATATTCACAGGGTTGTTCAACCTTCACCACAATCTAATTTTAGAACATTTTCATCATCCCAAAAGAAACCCTACGGCCATTAGTCACCTCCATTTCACCTGTAGTCCTCATTCGCTGGCAACCACGGATCTCCTTTCTGTCTCTAGAGATTCGCCTGTTCTGGACATTTCATAGAAATGGAATCATGGGATATGTGGTTTTTCTGTGATTGGCTTCTTTCACTTAGCACAATGTTTTCAAGGTCGATCCAGGTTGTAGCATGTATCAGTCTTCATTCCTTTTTATTTCAAATAATACTGCATTGTGTGAAGATATCACATGTTGCTGTTGGACATTTAGATAGTTTCCACTTTTTGGCTATTATGAATAATACTGCTATGAACATTTGTGTACATGTTTTTGTGTGAACCTTAGTTTTCATTTCTCTTGGGTACATACTTAGGAGTAGAATTCCTGGGTCACATGGTACCTGTGCTTAAAAATTTGAGAAACTGCCAAACTGTTTTTCTTATTTATTTTTATTAAAAAAGAGACAGGGTCTCACTGTGTTGCCCAGGCTGGTCTTGAACTCCTATGCTCAAGCCATCCTCCTGCCTCGGCCTCCCAAAGTGTTGGGATTACAGGTGTGCACCACTGCACCCAGTCCCAAACTGTTTTTTTGAAGCGGCTGTAGCATTTCACATTGCCACTGGCAGTGTGGAAGGTTCTAATTTCTCCACATTCTCCTCAGTATTTACTGACCTTCTTTCTGAACTTAGCCATCCTAGTTGGTGTGAAGTGGTATTACATTGCAATTTTGGTTTACATTTCCTTGATGACTAATGCTGTTGAGCATCTTTTTATATGCTTACTAGCCATTTGTATATCTTCTTGGGAGAAATATCTATTCGGATCCCTTGCCCATTTGAAAAATTGGATTGTTAGCCAGGCATGGTGGCTCATGCCTGTAATCCCAGCACTTTGGGAGGCTGAGGTAGGTGGATCACTTGAGGTCAGGAGTTTGAGACCAGCCTGGCCAACATGGTGAAACTCTATCTCCACTAAAAATATAAAAATTAGCCAGGCATGGTGGTATGTGCCTGTAATCCCAGCTACTCGGGAGGCTGAGGCAGGAGAATCGCTTGGACCTGGGAGGCAGATGCTGCAGTGAGCTGAGATCGTGCCACTGCAATCCAGCCTGGGCGACCGAGCGAGACTCAGTCTCAGGGAAAAAAAAAAAAAAAAAAAAATTGGATTGTTTATCTTTTTATTGTTGTCATAAGCATTCTTTCTATATTCTGGAAACAAATCCCTTATCAGAGCTAATGATTTGCAAACATTTTCTCCCATTTTGTGCATTGTCTTTTTGCTTTCTTGATGGTATCATTTGCAGTACAAAAGTTTTAAGTTTTATGAATTCCAATGTATCTTTCCGTTTTGCTCCTGGTTTTGGTATCACATCTAACAAATCAAGGTCATGAAGATTTATGCCTATACTTTCTTCTAAGAATTTTATAGTTTTAGCTTTTACATTTAGCCTGTAATTTATTTTACGTTGATTTTTGTATATAAAGGGAGGGAGGAGTCTAACTTTATTCTTTTGCATGTGTAGTCTTCTTGAAATCACAAAAATAACTCAGACCCCCTTTCTATTAATCCAATGGGCTGTCAGGTTGCATCTCGTGCCCTGGCCCATGCACACCTCCCAGAGCACCTGAGGGCAATTGAGGTGGTACCTGAGATGTCATTTTGCGAGAGATGTGTGTGAAACTAAGAACTAAGCCATAGAGGGACAAGCTTTGGATCTGAACTGGCAACATCCCTTTTGCAGCTGCCCACTCCTCTCCCGGGTAGTAAACTGGGGGCACCATTACACTGGGGGGCACTCTGGCCTTTTAACAATATATTAAAGGTTAAGTTGAGCCTCTGTGTTCTTGTCCTTGGCAGAACACTGACTGGAAAACAGCCTACGTCCCGGGCGCTGTTCTGGGCGTCTCACCTGCATGCCCGCAGCATTCAGGGTACTACTCTTGGCGCTGCTCCACAGTCCCCTGGCTGCACATTCTCAACAGCCCCAACTCTGCTGGCCTCCCGCTTCCAGGGAGGAGGGTGGAGGCAGCAAGGAGAGGATGGAGAGTGTGGGGGAGTGGTGTTAGGGGAGAGAAACCAGTAGAGGAAGAAGATGGCAGGTGTGGAAGAGAGTGTGGAGTAGACAAAGATTTTCAAGGAGCAAAGCAAAGGTAGAAGAGACAGGTACAGGCAGACACTGGACCTGTAATGCTCCTTTTCCTCCTTTGAGCATCAGGAAAGATGACCAGACCACGGCACCTGTGCGCAGACATGCTCTTCTCCACCAGGACTGCCCAAGGGGTGCTCAAGTGTGTGTCGGGGGCAAGTGGGGGCTCTCTGGGTGTGTGTCTTCCTTTCTGGCCCCTGCTTCCTCCTGGCGCCCCTGTGTCTCCCTCTTGCCCAGGTGGCCCTCATGCTGTGAGCATCCACCATGCTCCAGTTCTTCAGGGAGGCCCACCGATCCTCACTGATTATCTGAGCAAGTCCTCTCAATCAGCTGCAGGTTATCGAAGCCAAGTGATGTATTTGCATTTTGGTTTATCAGGCTTCAAGGCTTTCACTTGGAAGGAACCAATGTAAGGGTCTGCAAGGGCCTCATTGGGTTGGGGAGGGAGCAACATAAGGTGGGAGAAGGAATATTTTCTCCTTGTTGCTCCAACTCACATAGGCCTTTCAGTCCCAGCACCTTGCTGTGAACCCAGACCGGCTAAGCCAGGCTGCCAGCCCCCGGGCAGTGGGTCTTTCTGATGTGATCCCCCCAGACTCCAGTTGCTGCCTTCATCACGAATCTGCCTCAACCTTCCTAAAGTTGGATGAGGACCCGGAACACTAGGGCTTCAGCCCTGCTGAGTCACAAGCCACCTGTGTGCCCTTGGGAGTTAACTTGCCACCACCAGGCCTCATCTGCCTGGATAACATGAGAGATTCAAACTGGACCCTTCCCCATCCCCAGCCCCAAGTCTTCTGATTCCCATGACATCATTTTCCAGGCAAAGCTGATTGCCCTTGGTTCCGCACTGGGTGTCCACAGCCGGTTGCTATTCCTGTGCTGACAGCTGCACCTTTCTCTTCCTCCATTTGCAGGGCCTCTGGGGCCTGCTCCCCTGTAGCCCTTTAGATCTGTCAGGAGAGCCAGATGCTGGGTTCACATCCAGTTCAGCCTCTTACTAGCTCTGTGAAGTTGGGTAAGCTACTTAGCCCACCCTGCCTCAGTTTCCCCATCTATAAAATGGGGATGATTGAAGGTCCCTCCTAGGGTTGTTGTGTGGATTAAATGAGTTGCTCTTGAAGCTCATTGAACGGTGCACATGGTAAGGGTGTACACATGCGTTCCCATTACCACTACCACCATGTTCTCTCTGTTTCCAGCCAATCCCTGTGTACTCTGGAGGTGTGGCAGAGAGTGTCCAATCACATTGCAGTCTTCTCCCTATATCCCCATTGTGGACCTAAGTTTCTAAAGATGGGTCCTGCTTTTTCTCATGTCTCCTCTCCGATCTCCCTGGTGTCTGTCCTCCCTGGGTCAGTATGTATGTCCATACAGGGACATACGGAGGTCAGATCTGGGGCCTCAGTCTTGGCATGTCTCTGACCCAGAAATCTGCTTATCTAAAACCAGCACTTCTACGCCTAAACAACCACTCTTTAGCCCACGGTTTTAAAAACCTTGCATTGGGGCCAGGCACTTTGGCTCACGCCTGTAATCCCAGCACTTTGGGAGGCAGAGGTGAGTGGATTGCCTGAGCTCAGGAGCTCAAGACCAGCCTGACCAACATGGTGAAACCCTGTCTCTTCTAAAAATAAAAAAATTCCCCAGGTATAATGGCACGTGCCTGTAATCCCGGCTACTTAGGAGGCTGAGGCAGGATAATTGCCTGAACGAGGGAGGTGGAGGTTACAGTGAGGCGAGATCACACCATTGCATTCCAGCCTGGGTGACAGAGCAAGACTCCGTCTCAAAAACAAACAAACAAAAAAACCCTTGCATTGCAGGTTACAGCTACACACCGTAGACCACACAGTGAGGTTTTCCCACAGTCTGCCTCCCTCCTCCATTCGCTCCATCCTCCTCTGCCTACTCTTTTATTAAATCTAAACTGTGGGATGGCAGATTATTTTAAATTATTTGTTTTGTATTAGTTTATAAATGATATCTTTGTAAATTTGGGGAATACAGAATATGAGATTAAGTAGAAATAAGAATTGGTGTTTTATCTGCTAATCCTACAAATGGAAATACATTTACATACGAACAATGACATGATTTAATACTTTAAAGAGATTTAGTTAACAGAGTGTCTTAAGTGACAAGTTTTAAGAGAGGAGTTAAATGTGGTTATTTGACAATGATTGTAGTTTTAATCAATTTCACTTCAATGATCTTTTATTGATTGTAGTTTTAATCAATCTCACTTCAATGATCTTTTATTTCTGGCGTAGTGAACAAGTGCTCACCATACTCTCAGTCATTTCTGCATCTTGCATCACCTTCTCTCTGGACCAAAATGTTGCTAGGAAAATCAGTTCTGTTGTCAAATGCTGAATTAGACAAACTTATGACAGCATCTTCATTGCAAAACTTCTCAGAGCCTTTAACTGCTAATATAATTGCCTAAGAAGGAAAGACTGTACGTGGCATTACCCAAACATGACTGTGCAACAATCCTATATGAAAACAAAAAGAAAGAAGTATGTTTTAGCATCTTTCTAGGAGTTAGGGTTCCTTGGAATTCCATTTGGGAAACCCATTTTTACATTGAGCCACCAAATGGTTCATTTCACAACCCAAAGCCAATAGCAGAGGCGTGGTACCATGTGTGGCGTGGGGCTGCGTGGAGAGCAGCTTGTGGCTGTTACTGATCTCTAGGAAGCAGATCTAGGATGAAATAGAACGCTGGGTGTGGCCTGGAATGCAGGTGTCCCCATTAACTCGGTGAGTTTGGTTACTCACAGCTGAGGCCGTTTCCCTGCCTATAAACCAGGGATAAGATCTGCCTCCCAGGGTTGTGAAGAATAAATATTACTTATGAAAGTGCTTAAATATAAATGCTCTCGACAAGTGATTTAAAGGAGTTGATTAGTATAGGAACAGACCCCAAAATTGTAACCTTGCTAATATTGTGTTTTATCAACTTGGCTTATGCTTAGTGCCCCAGAATTCCCACACCTCTCCAGCTGGGTACATCACAGCCTGGCCGCAGGACCTCCTGGTGAGGAGCAGAGAAGCGCCAGCTCTGCAGTGCCCAGCCCCTCCCCAGCCCTCTCTGGGACCCACTCCCATTCGCACTGGGAGGCGGACTGCACCAGGACACTCCCTGCCGGGCCACAAGAGCTGCTGCTTGCCTGCACGGCCCAAGTAGTAAAGAGGAAGCCAGGGCCGCTTGCTCCCCTCCCCACTCAACAGAGCCGAGTGTTGCCAGAGCCTAGGCCCCCAGGAAAACAGCACAATTCCCAGATCCAGAAACTGGAGGCACTGCTTGCCACAGGGGCCTCCTCTCCAGGCCCTAGGGCCAAACACAAACTGCTAACTTCGGGGTCTCCAAGTCTTCATCCAGGAAAGTATCTGAAAATGCCCACCTCATGACGGGTTTGCAGACAAGTCAGAAAAAAAGATGTCAACCTCACTGCCTTGATGGGCTTGTATCTGAGTCTGGGAGACAAGACACACATCTAAATAACAGCAGAGACTTTCTTATGAGGAAGTTGCTGCTGTGAGGCAGGCGTGGCACCCACAGGCAGTGGCACAGCTGCCTCTGCTGACCACGGCCAAAGAGCCTCCCTGGTCATTGTGTGATGGTGTCTTAGCTCAGGCAGCCACAACAAAATACCATAGACTGGGTGGCTTCAACCATGGAAACGTATTTCCTCACAGTCTGGAGGCTGGAGCAGGAGGTCAGGGTGCCAGCATAGCTGGGCTCTGGTGAGGGCCTCTTCTGGGCTATGTCCTCACATAGCCTTTCCTCGGTACATTTCAGTGGAAAGCGATCTCTCTCTTCCTCTTCTTATAAGGGCGCCAATCCTATTAAATTAGAACTCCGCCTTTATGACCTCACTTAACCTTAGTCACCTCCATAAAGGCTCTCCAAGTACAGTCATACTGGGACTAGGGCTTCAATATATAAATTTTGGAGGTCTGCAATTCAATACATTGCACATGGTAACAAGGCCAAGGTCATGCATCGTGTTCCCCGGGGCTCGTCTGGCTCACCCTGGTTGAAGGCATGAGGAACATTCTACCAAAGTCTGCTCACAGGGGAGGGAGGCATGGATTTGGTGTAGACAATTAGAAGGGCAAAATGTTAAACTCGTTTGTGGAGTCTAGTTCACTCCTTACTTCCAAGGACGAGAAAGTCACAACTCACAGAAATAAAGATGCCACAGTCCAAGTCTCTTGATGAGATTAACACTTTTAAAATGTGATTTCTGCAATAACCATGCCCATGTAAGCCACCTGAAACTAGTTCTGGGGCTGCCCATGTCCTGCATCCCAGGCAGATGTTCCCAGATGTTGATCTGGCTTCATGTGAAGCTTTGTAAATAGACCTTTAGCAGCTCCTAGGATTAACTCTCGAGGCAGGGAATCCAGAGCCCAACCTACTGTCTTCATTCTACTGACCCCTTAGAAACTTCTGGAGCCTCCGAGGAAACCCTAGGGCTCCAGGGACACAAGTGGGAATTGACTTATCAGAATCCAACATTCTTAGAGACAGTACACAGGAAAGTGACGTGCCCAAAGTCACGCAGGGACAACAGAAAGTTATTGGCAAAACCTGGAACAGATCCAAGGTCTCCACTCAAAGCCTGAGAGTTCCTTCCAGTCCAGAAGATCCCAAACTCAACCAAGTGTCAGAACCCCTTGGGTGTTTAAAATATATTTTTTTCAGGCACCATCCCCAAAGGATTCAATTCAGTGGGTCTGGAGTGGAGCCCTGGTATGTATGGGATTTGCAGTGGTTTGGATGTGGTTTGTTTGTCCCCACCAAAACTCAAGTTGAAATTTGATCCCCGGTGTGGTGATGTTGGGAGGTGGGGCCTGGCAGGAGGTGTTTGGGTCATGGGGAGGGATCTCGCATGAATGATGTGGTGCTGTTCAGGCAGTAGTGAGCTGTTCTTACAGGAGTGGATTTGTTCCCATGAGAGTGGGTTGTTATATAGCTGGAGACCCCTCAGGATTCCCCCTCTCCGCACATATTCACTTCCCCTTTGACCTTTCTCCCTGTGTCAATGCAGCAGGAAAGCCCTCGCCAGAAGCCAGGGCCATGCCCTTGAACTTCTCAGCCTGCAGAACCCTGAACTAAATAAACCTCTTTTCTTTATAAATTATCCAGTGGCAGGTTTTTTTTTTTCTTTTAATAGCAAAACAAAATGGACAAAGACAGGGATTCTTAAGAAACATTAAGTGACTGACATGGCTGCTTTTGCTATAAGCAGGCATTTAAGCTCAGCATGTGTAGCAGCTTTAGTGACGGCAAAACTGTTGGAGGCAGGGAAATAAGTCCCTTGGCTGGCAGTGCAAATCTTTGCTGGCTTGGTCCCTCTAGCACCAAGACTATTCTTGACTCTGCAAAAGAACCAAGGGTGAATCCTAGAACTGTAGGCTGTATCAGATTCCACAGCATCACTCTTCATGCGTCTAGAAAGTTCCCCGCACATTCCTATAGGTAGAACGCGTACATAAACAATGACAGGTGCAGACAGGCGAGCCCACTAATTATCACCATCTGGATGAATAGACTGAAGTAAAAAAAAAAACCTATGTGATGGAATTTTCTCCTCTTTGTTTTCTTATTTCTGGTGGCTTAAATACTGTGTTTAGTTTAAATACAGACATGATCCGACCACAAACATTATGGGCGTAAAAGCCAACACAGCCGACTCCATAGAGAGACTGTTGCTTTCAGGTATGAAATAAAAATAGTGTTTGCTGCATCTCCAGGTGTTCCTGTCTCTTCTTGGCATGTGTCACCTCACTCCTCCACAGGACTTCTCTGGGAAGTTAGTTTACTCCCATTTCAGAGAGGAGTAATCGGCAGAGGAGAGTTTAAAAGGCTCAAGGTCACAGACAATAAGTGACAAAGTTGAGATGAAAAGCCACATGGCACATATTAGCTACAAGCAGGTCTAGCCTTGGTTCCTGAACCCAGAGGCAGGGCTGAGAAGAAGGACTGGGTTCATGGCCTCCTAAATAAAGGAAGTGGTAAGGGAAGTCTGGGCCACTGGGCTAGTCTTTGTTCTGATGTTGAAGGAGGAGCGTTTGAAAGGTAATCGTCTGTGTCGAGTGCATTCCACTCCTGTGCTGTGTCTCCTGGCCCTTGGATACTAGGTGTCTCTGCCCTCATGGCTAACAGGTGGGAGAGAAGGTGCTGAGTTCAGCTGCCAGGACACCCTGGGGACAAGTGTCCCTGATCCACTGGACCCCTTCAGCATTTGGGAAGATGAGATTTTCATCTTGAACATCTGGTATTGGCCGATTGGCAGGCTTTACACTGAATCTCTGGCGGTCTGCACCTGGCCTCTCCCAGTGTCTGGAAGACACTGTGTGTGGGGCTGACCTAATCCTTGGGAAATAAGTGAGTGCTAGTGGCCTGCCTGCCTTTTTTTTTTTTTTTTTTTTTTTTTTTTTTTGCAGCCTGGGATCAGAGCCAGGGCTGGTGCAGCTGTGGGGAGCTGGCAATGCCATTCTTGTCCACTAAGCACTGTGGATGCCATTGTTATCCACAGGGCACTGTGGCACTTGGAGATGAAAAAGATGAAGTCCCTGCCTCCCCCATCGAACTTCCCAGGGTAATGCTGGGCTGGAGAACACAGGGTCTGGGCCTGCTCAGGCAGGTTCTTTGGGAGCAGAGGGCAGAAGGGCCCTTTTGCTACTGGGGAAAATGGCTGAGGCAAGGTAAGGCAGAGGTGAAGCAGAGGCAATGGGCCTCTCCAGGCCTCTAGAACCAGACTCTGCAATGTCTGGAGCATGGCACCCCCCCAGGTGACTTATGGAATCTCTTCAGCTTGTTTTACATCTCTGTGACTTTTGCAGGGTTCAGATGGCATAAAGCTGTTGGGCTGGCCAATTTCTTGGGGTCTCTTTTCTTCTGTGGGCAGGGTTGGCACCTGGTAACTCCCTGTGAAAGCAGAAGCATCTCTTCTGCCACTGGTCTCTTTCGAGGTCAGGTCTTGGAGCCTTGTTAAAGGGCAAATGCCATCTGGCAACATTATTTGTTGTAACGCCTTAGTTCCTTCTCTTTGCTTCTGTGGGTGGGGTTGGCACCAGGTAACTCCCTATGAAAGCAGAAGCATCTCTTCTGCCACTGGTCTCTTTTGAGGTCAGGTCTCGGAGCCTTGTTAAAGGGCAAATGCCATCTGGCAATGTTATTAGTTGTAATGCCTTAGTTCCTTCTACAAAGTGAATTTGCTACTTCCCTACCAGGACCCTGGGAGGGCGAGACTTGGGACAGGTCCTGTCTTAGCAAGATGGGAGATGGAGGGAAGAGAGCTGAGAAGGACCCTGGCCATGTGCCCTGTTCCTTGTGGAGAAAGGGAATTTGCTGGAGGACCTGGGCAGATGATAAGCTGGGGCTGGAAGAGTCCTCATGCCTTGTGCATCTTCCCTTGGCTAATTTTAATCTGTATCCTGTAGCTGTAATAAACCATAATTGTGAGTATAACAGCTTTTAGTGAGTTCCATGAGTCTGTCTAGTAAATTATCAAACCTATGGGTAGTCTTGAGAACCCGTCAAACCTTACAGTTGGCGTCAGAATTGAGGGTGATCTTGCGGATGACTGAGATGACTGTTTCTTCAATTACACAGGTGGGTAGAATCATTTACCACCTGAACGCCTTTTAAATGCTGGCTTATGTGCCGAAGCTAACTGACCATAGACAGAGAAACTAGATTGAACATGAGAATCTAGGAAACAGTTCTTGGAACACAGGCTTTTAGCAGCAGGCGTCACAGAAGCTCCCCATGTGATGGGCCTTGGGAGCCTCCAGTGTGGTGACTACCTGAGAAAGCTGGGCTCTGGCGGAAGCACTCACTGCTGCCAGGATGAAGGGAAATCCTAAGTGAAATATGCAAGTTATGATGACCGTAGTAGGTTCTTGTTTGAGGGAGGACTCTGATTTCCATGGTGAAATGGGCACAGCATCTGGGTGGAATAGGGGTGGAAAGATGGGTTGGTAACAGGGAGCCAGAGAAGGAACAGAAGATGAGTCAGAAGCCTGGGATTTTGATCCTAGTATTGCTGCAAACTGGTCATGACCTTGGGGAGGTTAATGATATTGTGGGTCTCCTCATTTGGTGCCTTGAATGTGGGAGCCCATATAGTTGATGGGGCTATGGAGATAGATTCAAGGAGGATCATGGAAGAGAATGTACAATTGGGTACCTTCTCTGCCAAAGGCATGCTGGGGCTTGACTTAATGGAATAATCAGGGTTTTCCAGATAAACAAACATAATTTTATCGCATTTTTTTTTTCCTTGAGACAGGGTCTTGCTCTGTCACCCAGGTTGGAGTGTAGTGGCGCAATTGTGGCTCACTGCAGCCTAGACCTCCCAGGTTCAAGAGATCCTTCTGCCTCAGCCTCTCTAATAGCTGGGACCACAGGTGCTCACATACAACTAATTTTTTTAAAAAAATTTTTGTAGACATGAGGTCTTGCTATGTTGCCCCTGCTGATGTCCTGGCCTCCAGCAGTCTTCCCGTCTCCGCCTCTGAAGTGCTGGGATTATAGTCATGAGCCACTGTGCCTGGCCCAACTTTGTTGCATCCTTGAGGCAAAATTTCTCCTTCTTCAAGAAACCTCAGTCTTTGCTACTAAGGCCTTCAACTGATTGGAGGGGGCTCCCCAAATCAGTTGAATGGAGGGAAATCTGTTTTTGGTCAAAGTCTACTGAATTAAATTTAATCACATCTAGAAAATTATTTAAAAATCATAAAAATTCACAGCAACATTCAGAGTGGTGTTTGACCAAACGGCTGGGCACCATAGCCTAGGCAGGTTGACACATGAAATCCACCATCACACTCTTTTACTTAATGCCCACAGCAACAACAAAAAGGTGGCAGCATTAGGAATCCACAGTGCTGAGGCTGGCTCTGAGGTGGCTCTGTCTTCATCTTCTCATGGTACTATGCTCTATCTTGTAGATGATCCCAAAGATTCCCCAACTGGAACACTTAAACTCCTTGTGACTCTCTTTTTCCCCCTGCAACTATCTTTATTGTGGTTGACTCAACATAAGATGCTATCATAATCAGCAGAATTATAAAACTGCACAGGAGGTACCAAAATAGGCCATTTACCATAGGTAATGACCCTCATATCATCAAACTTTAAAAATACACAGGAAAGTTGTACACTCTAGACATTTATAAAATATATAGCTAAAAAGAAGATATGGGGTTCCCTCTTTGGGAGGCTGAGGTTGGCAGATTACTTGGGCTCAGGAGTTTGAGACCAGCCTGGGCAATGTGGCAAAACCCTGTCTGGACAAAAAATACAAAAATTAGCCAGGGGTGGTGACATGTGCCTGTAGTTCCAGCTACTTGGGGGGTTGAGGTAGGAGGATAGCTTGAACCCAGGAAGTCAAGGTGGCAGCGAGCCGGGATCACCCCACTGCATTCCAGCTTGGGTGACAGGTAAGACCCTGTCTCCAAAAAAATTAAAAAAAGATACGGGGTTCCACAAGGAGGATTATATTACACAATTAATACATACAAATTAAAGAGCCTCCATGGAGAAACCACAATGGCACAGAATTTTTTTTTTAAAGCAACCACATTTTCTATTTTTCCTACTGTTCCTACCCCAAAAGAGCTCCCAGAATTGACCCCGCCTCCCTTTTTGTTCCTTTGTTTCTTTTTAACAGTCAGTGTAACTATGACAAGTCCTTGCATTGGCAAGTGACACACAGGTGGCCAAGGTGGCCACAGCCACACCTGAAGATACTTTTTCATCACTCCAGCACCCCCTTTTCAAAGCAAGGTCATGATCTGCCAGTAGCCACAGCCTTGGCATTGTGTCTCACTCTGACACTTACCAGCTACTTTGTAACCTCTAAGTTTGAATCTCTGCTGAATAGTTCACGGAAAGCCACCATTCCCTTCACAAAGTCGAGAAGACATTTGTGAGGTACCAGGCATTGGTAAGGACTAAGGCCATAATATGACTGAGACACAGACCTGTTTGAGTTGCTCGGTGTAGCCAATCTTGAGAAGATTATGGTACAATGAGCAAATGTTTGGAAGGTGCTTTTCATATTGTAAAATGTAAGCTCTAAGTTTTCACATGCTCATTGTAGACACTGATTGTACACACTTCCCATGAGCCGATGAAAATAATATAGTTGGCTTCATTGTCACTGTGGTAGTGACTACACATTGTGTTATTCTAAGCATTTATTTGCTTAAAGGTTTAAGAAGTATGCTAATTGCTTAACCACTTGTAAAATCTAAGGAAACCCAGAAGAAATGCTAATGAAAAATGTGAACTGATACTCCACAAAGATTTTCACCAAAGAAAGGAAAGAAAGATTAGGAATGAGGGGTATCATTAGGCAGGATTGATTTTTTTAATGCCAAATGCTAAAAATCAAACTTTTACGAGTGAGGAAGAACACAGCATGGAAAATGTTACATCCATGAACCTGAAGACTCCCCTCATTCCCCCATAACTTGTATTCCACTTGGGAAAATGCCTTCTTCCAGGAAGATAAGTTCTGTAGTTCAGCTGCCCCATGATTGGAGAGGGAAGGGGGCAAATTTCTGTTATCCATTCATCACCTATAATGTCATAGATGACTCATTCTCAGGGGAACTATATTTGGGCCCAAGGGTTGAAATTAGAAGAATAATGTTTTCACCCTGAAATGTATGAATAATTAAAACAAATTTTACCAATATAAAAGGATTATTATTCCTTGACCAGTGATTTTAAAGATACACTGATGGTGAGAAAATTAGTTTTCCCAGTTCACATAGGCTGTAATATAACAGTGACCTGGAATTAAAAAAAAAAAAATCCCGAATGGTCCCCTAGAAGCCTAAATTTTGGCCTAGGAAGAGATCAAGGACAGTCTCTGTTCAGATGTCTTTTTAGCAACTATTTAGCGTTCATACCCCCTGGTACTCTCCAAAAAGCTAGTTAAGTCTATTCCCTTTAGTTTAAAAAAAGTCTGTAACTGAGCTTTTTAAATAAATTATTTAAAGTTAAGAACCAAAATAGACTGTGGACAAATAAGGTTTTTGTTCGTGTTCTGCCCCTACTTCTTTTTTCTGGGCCTCAGTTTCTTTATCTTTAAAATGCAGAGGTTGGAAAATGCGTAGGTTTTATCTCTTTCTGTTCCTTCCAGATTCCCGAAATCACAGATCCCTCATATCATGACCTTTCCCCAGTGCCGCTTAGATTGCTCAGGCCGGCGAAGCTGGGGAAATCCCAGTTGATTTCATGAGCTCTGCCTGGAACTGAAGCTTTGTGCTCTCCTTCCTCTTGGCAGGTCCTGGCTGTGCCCGGACTGGTGTGGGCAGGGATGGTAGGCAGGATTCTGGGGCCAGGCAGGGTCCGAGGGCTTACCTCCATCCCTCGGAAGTGCCTCTGAGACAAACATTTGGTGAGGAGGCAGGGGGATGTGTGGGAAGGGGGTTGCTATGGCAACCCCTGAAATGTGCAGGCTCCAGACCCATTGCCTGTCCCCTTTGGCCTCGTGCTGCTCCTAGAGGTCTTTTCTGATGGGAGGGGAACAGGAACAAATATTGGGAGTTACATGGAGATCTGAGCGCATTCCCAGAAATCCTCCCGTAGCCTCCAGCCTCACTACGGCTTCCAGAGGAGAGACCCAGCGCCAAGACCCCATATAGCTCATGCAAGCATGCCGCGGCCAAGAAACAGCTTCTCTGTGCCTCGCAGTCTGTCTACAAGGCCCAACTTAAAGCCCACCTGCTCCCTTCCTCTGGGCCCCTGTGTGTTTGTCAGCACTGATGTGCATTATTTGTATGTAAGTATTCATAAGGTTTCTCAGCTGTTGCAGCCTGCACATCAACAGAGTGGTTAGCCTCCGTAGAAACTGTTTACGTGGTAAGTCATGTGTTTATGCATCAGTAGCATAGGAAGAAATTGCTGGAGTGGGCAGAGAGATCTGTGCTCCGGCATAAGCTATGGATAAATGAGGGGAGGGGAGGTCAGCGTGGGACTTACCCAGAGAAACCAGGGAGCTGAAGAAGAGAGAGGGAAAGTGGGAGGGAGTGGAGAGAAGGGAAGAGGGGGAAGAAAGAGAGTGTGTGGAGAGAGGGAGAGAAGGGAGGGAGAGTGAGATTGAATCATGAGATAAAAGATTAGCTGATGCTTTGGAAAGGAGGTAAGAAAATTAGAGGCAAAGACAGGTACAATTTAATTAGGCAAAAACTACATGTAAACAACACTTCCTGGCTACAGTAAGGAAACAATTTTGGTTTCAGTTCCTGAGCACTGGGGTCTGCAGGTCTCCTGTGCAGGGCGGGCTCTCTGCATTTTTCTCTGAAGCCCCTTGCAGACCCTGTCTGCTGCTGTCTGCAATGGCTGGAGGGGAGTGTAATCCACTTGAAATTCATGAACAAATCCTCGGAATGGCCTCAACTGCTCCCTTTACTCTTCAACCACAAGCCTGTTCCTGCTGAAAAGATTTCTATTCTCTCGGCCACTCCGCTGCCACGGAGCTGTCAATGCAAGCAGCTGTTGGGCCAGGGTATTTGTACACATGTGAGTTCATCACAGTTTGGTGTTTGCGTGGCCAAGCTGATGCCAGATTGGTTCATCCTCTTCTACTCTGTTCCTTCGGCTTTTTTTTCTCAGACTCCCTTGCTTGGAAGAAAGTTCTGGCAAGAGCCTATACGTAAGATATGAAAACAAGATTCTGTGTATGCTATATATAGTTGTGCACAGGTGTTACATAAGAAATTCATGTGCTATGGGTATAAAACGTGGTCAGAAGACCCAGATGCATAAATCTATTTATTCACAGCCACGTGCATTTGTTTGCAAGTGACCTGGTGGTCCCGGCCCTGGTCCAGAGAATTACTTGGGACCATTCAAAATGAACCATACTTGTCAACATGTTCTCAAAGCCAATTAATGAAAAAAGAAAATGTCAAGTTGCTTCCAAATTGATCTAAGTAATATTTTTTAAAAATGTTCCCAATGAAAGTTATTTATGAGACAGTTCCTATCATTTTACAAACAGAAAGCTTTAATGGCTGTTGTCTTTGTGGGGAGAAAATTCAGATTCTGGCTGGTCATTTAGGGTGCTCCACAGTCTGCACCTAGGATTATTTATCTCTAAGGCTGTGTTCACCACTGCTCCTAACACAGAGTTTATTTTTGATTGTATCTTTTGACCACATGAAAACATCAGTTTCTTGGACACATATCATTGACATGCATGATCAATTTGCAGATGGGCCAAGGCTAAGAGGGATAATGAACTTATTTATTCAACTAATGTTGAACACCTAGGCTGAGCTGGGCTTGGTTCTAGCACTGGGCATGCAGCAGGGAAGGAAACAAATAGAAAGCTTGTATGCTAGTGGGGGAGACAGACCCATGTGTCCGGAGGGGTAAGTGTTATGGAGAGCCAACCTGACTGCAGAAAGGTGGCCTCTCCAAGAAGGTGGTCTGTGAGAGGACACCTATATAAAATGAAGGGGAGCATCTACTGAGATTCAGGAGATGGGTGTTTTCGGGCAGTGAGAACAGCAGATGCAAAGTCTCTGAGACAGGAGTATGCTGGGAATATTTGTGCAGCAGCAAGGAAGCCATGTGTGGCTGGGGTGGAGTGAGTGAGGGCAAGAATGATGGGAGGTGAGGGCAGGGAGGCAGCTAAAGCTAGATCGTGCAGAGCGTTCTGGCCATGGTCATGATTTGGGATTTTACTCTGAGTGACATAGGATGCCACTGGCCGGTTTTGAGAGGGGTGATCGACTGTGTCTCATGTGATGACTCTGGCTGCCACCTGCAGAGGAGGCTACAGTGAGGGTCAAGGGCAAAAGCTGAGAGACCAGTTAGGCAGTTATTCTAATAATCTAGATTAGGACTGTGGTGTTTTAGACTAGCTGAGTGATAGAGATAGTGAAAATAGTAGGATTCTGGTGATACTTTGCAGGTAGAGTTGCAAGAATCTGTTATAGAATCAGATACGGAATGGACAGGGGGGTCAGTGATTCTAAGAATTCTGGACTAAGCAATCAGGAACATTGGGAATAGAGCCGTTATTTATTGAGATGGGGAGTAGTCTGGGGGGGGCGTGGTGGAAAACCAAGAGTTCTATTTAAATAGGTTTAAATGAGTCCATTCATTGTGCTATGAGGATATTTAGTAGGCAATTTGATCTATGAGTCTGAAATTCTGGGGAGAAGTTAGGACTTGAGAAATCATGTTGGAAGCTGTTCAGATGACTTTAGAGAGTGGGGGTAGGTAAAGAAGGGAGGAAGTCCAAGGACCCAGCAAAGAGTGGGAAGGAATGGCCAATGGAACAGGAGGAAACCGAGAGGGGGCTTCCTCTGAAGACAATGAAAGAAAGCAAGAGTTCTCTCTCACATTGAGTTGAAATCTCTCAATGGTAGATTTTACACTAATGGTCCCCAATGAATCACATCTGTGGAATCCATACCCTTCTGTTGTCTGCAACCTTGACCCAGGAGGAGGGAATGACCAACTCTGTCATTCTGTCATTCTCTCATGTCATCATGGGAGGTCATTGATGGCAGTTTCAGTTGAGTGGTCCAATTGAAAGGCTGATTATAGTAGGTATTATGGATTGAAAATTGTATCCCCCAGAATTTATGGGTTGAAGCCCTGATTTCCACGTGATGATATTTGGAGATGAGGGCTTTGCGTGCTGCTCCCACTGCCACCTATGCATGTGAAGGAAAGGCCATGTGAAGACACAGAGAGAAGGTGGCTGTCTGCAAGCCGGGAAGAGAGTCCTCACCAGAAATTGAATGTGCTGGCACCTCGACCTGGAACTTGCAGCCTTCAGAACTGTGAGACAATAAATGTTTGCTGTTTAAGCCACCCAGTCTGTGGTACTTTTTATGGCAGACTGAGGAGACTAATATGGTGGGCTAGGAGACAATGGAGGAAAAGTGGCAACAGCTGGAAGGAACAGATTTTGCTAGAAGAGTGTGATCAGGAAAGTTAGGAGAAAACATTGCTATATTTAGAATTTTGGCTTAGAAAGTTCCTAACCATTATGATCAATTTAGTGGGAACTCACTTGTTTGTTTGTTCGCTTGTTTTTTTGTTTTGAGGCAGGGTCTCATTCTATTGCTCAGGCTGGAATGCAGTGGTGTGACAATGGCTCACTGCAGCCTGCATCTCCCAGGCTCAAGTGATCTTCCCACCTCAGCTTCCGGAGTAGCAGGGACCACAGGCACATGCCACCATGTGTGGCTAATTTTTAAATTTTTTGTAGAGATGAGGTCTTGCTATGTTGCCAGGGCTTGTCTTGAACTCCTAGGCTCAAGCAATTCTCCTGCCATGGCCTCCCAAAGTGTTGGGATTATAGGCGCACCATCGCACTTAGCACTTAGCACGTGTAGGTTTAAATGGTAAAGTTTTTATGTGCAGGATTTGAAAGATGTGACTTCACGCAGTTCATGAGAAAAGGCCTTGGATTTATGGCCCTTCATGCAATATGAACCACTGCACAATGAGGATGTCAGAAAGGCCACGTGGACCCTGGCTTGGGCTCCTGGAAGAAGCAGAGCATCTGGAGCAGTGGAATTACAGTGTCCCTAAGGGTCACCGTGCTGGAACATGATGAGTATGTTACTATGCTGAGCCCTGTGCTTGTAAAAGAGAAGGGTAAACCAGAGCACCTTTGGAGAAATTTTTCAATAGTAAAAATCTATTGAAGAATGAAAGGTGTTCAGCTTGGAGAAGACCCAGGAGGGAGAGATCTGTCTTCAGCCATTTGAAGCTTGTCACATGGAAGAGGGCTCATACTTGCTTTTACAAATCAAGTATAGAAGATAAGGGAGAAGTGTTTCAGTTATCTATTTCTCGGTAACGAACCACCTTGGAAATGGAGTGGTTTAAAACAACAATTTATTATTTCTCACAATTTCGTGGGTTGGCTAGGTGGTTCTTCTGCTGGTTTTGTTTTTCCTGGGCTGACATGACTATATTCCCATTGTGATTGGCAAGGCTCTGGGCTCAGCTGAGTCCCTTGAACCATGAGGCCTTTCATCCTCCAGGAGGAAAATTTGGGCTTCCTTGAATGGTGATGGCTGTGAGCCAAGAGTGTAAGCCCCCAAAACAGGACTTATCAAGCCTCCGCTTGCATTACGTTTGTCCCATTAGCTACAGTGACTTTTATGGGCAAGCCCTGGGTCAAGGTTGCAGACAACAGAAGGGTATGGATTCCACAGATGTGATTCATTGGGGACCATTAGTGTAAAATCTACCATTGGCAGATTTCAACTCAATATGAGAGAGAACTTTTAAGCAACTATAGCCATGTAGTTAGCTGCCTTGTGGAATAGTTGGTTCCCTGGTAGTAGAGATATCCCAACTTGAATTCATGTGTTCATTCTCCCATTCATTTAAACATTTTATTAAATACCTATGTTGTGTGAGACACTGGGTTACCTACTATGGAGAATAAAAGATGGCTAGAATAAAGTCTGTGAACTTATGACTTTTACAGACCACTGGTAGAAACGGGGGTGGGGGAAGGAATTATTGAGAGGGACTTATAGGTAAAGTGCAGTAGGAGAGCAGAGAAGAGAGAGAACTTCTAGATGGAGTCGGCGCATGGAAAATAGAGGCGGTCGCTAACATCTTTACAGAAGAGATAATATTTTAGCAGAGGAAAGGGAAATAAACTAATTCCTAATGAGCTCTACTGTGTGCCAGGCACAGTTCCAGGCTCTGTATGAATGGTTCACCCTTTAATCTTTATGACAACTGCGTCATTCCCATTTAACAAGTGAGGATGCTGGATCTCAGTATGTTTACACAAGAATTGTCAAACCTAGAACTTAAGTCTTGCTCTGGCTGGTCCACAGTATATTCCTATGAAAGCAAGGCTGCCTCCATAACATTACCATGTACATTACAATTAAAAAATTTGAAAGTAATTCACATACAAAAGCTCATCCAAGTTGGTTTTTACAGTATGAGGAAACTGTTATCCTCATTTCATAGCTGAAGAAACTGAAACTCAGAGATGTTGATTCTGACAGAGAGGGGGCTTTTGTGATAACTCTTCTCTCTGCCTGGAATGCTGTTTTCCACAACTATGTGGCTGGCTCCCTCCTGTGATTCAGATCTCAGCTTGAATGTCACCTGCTCAGAAAAGTCTTCCCTGATCACCAAGCCCAATGTGGCTCCCAAGTCTTTGGCTCTCACATCATCCTATTTAAATTCTTTGTGTAGCACTTGTTACTGTTTAGATGATCTGTTTCTTCTTTTCTTTTTTTAATTTCCTTAATTGATGATTGTCAGTTTCCCCAGCTAGAAAGTAAACTTCATTAGTAAAAGATTTCAATTTTTGTTTTGTTTTTCAATGCTCAGCTTGATTGTAATTCCACAAATCAGATATGTATGTTATACTTTATATAGTCATATTTATTTTTAGTTTCGCACATTTACTATTTTTTATTGCTTAATAGTCATTCTTACAGTTCACCTTTTTCTAGTATCATTTTTCCACTTCCTAAGGTACATATTTTAGTTCAGACATTCCTTTAGTGGAGGACTGTTGTAATGAGCTTTTTGTATGTCTGAAAATAGCTGCATTTTTCCTTTTTTCTTGAACTATAGTTTCGATGCATATATTTAAAATAATTCTCAGTTGACAGTGATTTTCTTTTTTCTTTTTCTTTTTTCTTTTTGAGAGGGACTCTCACTCTGTCGCCCAGCCTGGAGTGCAGTGGCGCGATCTCAGCTTATTGCAATCTCCGCCTTCCGGGTTCAAGCAATTCTCCTGCCTTAGCCTCCCCAGTAGCTGGGAATACAGATACGTGTCACCATGCCCGGCTAATTTTTTTTGTATTTTTAGTAGAGACGGGATTTCACTGTGTTAGCCAGGATGGTCTGGATCTCCTGACCTCATGAGCTGCCCAACTCAGCCTCCCAAAGTGCTGGGATTACAGGCGTGAGCCACCGCCCCCAGCCAACAGTGATTTTCTCTTAGCATTTTGAAGATACCATTCTACTACTTTTTAGCTTTCATTGTTGCTGTGGAGGTCAGCTGTCCATCTAATCTTTGTAATCTCCATTCCTTGAGTAGTGCTTTTCCCTCTTCTTTTAAAAAACTCCCTGGTTGTTTCTAAGATCTTCTTTTTGACTTTGGTTTTCTACAATTTTATTATGATGTGTCTTGCTTGGAATTGGTTGGATTCCCTGAAACTGAGAAGCAGTGTTGATATGGTTTGGCTGTGTCCCCACCCAAATCTCACCTTGAATTGTAATAATCCCCACATGTCAAGGGTGGGGCCAGGTGGAGATAATTGAATCATGGGGGTGGTTTCCACCATACTGTTCTCGTGGTAGTGAATAAGTCTCACAAGAACTGGTGGTTTTATAAGTGGAAGTTTTCCTGCACAAACTCACTCTTGCCTTCTACCATGTAAGATGTGTCTTTGCTTTCCACCATGATTGTAAGGCCTCCCCAGCCATGTAGAACTGTGAGTCAATTAAACCTCTTTTCTTTATAAATTACTCAGTCCTGCATATGTTTTTATTTAGCAGCGTGAGAACGGTCTAATACAGATGTCAACTCTGAAAAATTTAAAGCCATTATTTTTTCAAATATTTCTTCTTCCTTTTCCTATTTGCATATTCTGGGACCCCAATTATACTTGTGTTGCATCTTCTCATTCATTCTTTCCTGTCTTTTTACCACTTATTTATATTTTTCACCTTTTTCTCCCTGGTGCATTCTGGGTAATTTTTCAGCTATATCTTACAGTTTGCCAGATACATTTTGCTGTGTCTAATGTGCTGTTTGACCCATCCAATGAGTTTTGAATTTAATTTATTATGATTTCATTTTAAGGTAAGTTATATTTGGTTTTTAAAACTATTTGGTTTGACTTTGATAGTCTCTTGCTCCTTTGTAATATTATAAATTCCCTTTTATTTCTTTATATTAAACTTATTTAAAATTCTTTATGTGACAATTCAATACCTGTAGGCTCTATGGGTCTGATTCTGCAATTTATTGTTTCTGCTGATTCTTATTCACGTTGGCTTGTATTCCCATGCATGTAGGGATTTGCTCTTTATTTGTAAAAATTACAAGAGGTCTAAGTTGAGGATTCATTCCTTCAGAGAGGATTTGTGTTGTTTTTGCCAGATGCTTAGAGCACTATTCATCTGGAAACACTTTAAACTGTTTGGAGTTTTAAATTTTTACCTTCTGGACCCACAGGTGGTATGAATTCCAGCCTTGAAGCCTTATAAATATTAGCCTGTGGTAGGAAATATTAGGTAAGATGTTTTTCTCCCTGCCACCTTCTTACTCTAAGGGCCAAGGCTGAGTCAGAAAAATCCTTTTTTGTGGTGCCACTGAGGTGTCATTTCATGGGCATTCCTGCTAATAAAAGTCCCATTCTACTCGGGTCCTAGGATTTTTCTCCAGTCTCATGTGTGTCTCTTATGTGTCTTATATGTCTCTAGGCCATTAGGAAATCCAAGGATTTCCTAAAGGAAAATGCTTCTGTGGCTTACTTATCCCCATTGAATTTTATTTCCTAATATTTATTTCCTCTGATTGTTTTCCTTATTCTCCTGCTAACTCAGCCATGATCTAAAAATATGTTTTATGTTTAGCCAGTATTTTGATGTTCTATACTGGGAAGGTGCTCTCTTCTCATTTAGTTCAACATTTGCCAGAAGCAAAAGCACCTATTCTTATTCCACACCACACTACTTTGCCTTCAAGCCCAAAGAAAACATTCAGAGATGTGGCTGAAAGTCATTTTTGTAGTGAACAGTGTTACCAGGATCCTGTTCCCTGTTGTTAGAATTTCCCTCTTTCTCCTAGCCCTCTAACCATAAAGAAAATCAAGAGTCTTGGTATAAAATGAAGGGCCAATATAGCTGGATCATGGTAAGAAATGGGAAAAGAGAAATGAGAATAAGTTCGAGATATAGATTGGAATCAGATTGTGAAAGACTATTTGGGGGGCACTGGTTTTTATTTTGAGTCAACTGGGAAGCCACTGAAGGGTATTAAACAGGAGAGGGATGTGAACTAATTTTATTTAAAAAATACAAATGTGGATGACAAATTCTTGAAGAGCAGAAATGGGAAAGGGACACAGGTTAGAAGGCTACTGCAGGAGTGCAGATAAGAAAAGAGGCAGGTTGAGGTAGCATGGTAATCATGAGATGCAAAAATGTAGATG
This sequence comes from Homo sapiens, assembly GCF_000001405.40. Taxonomy (NCBI): domain Eukaryota; kingdom Metazoa; phylum Chordata; class Mammalia; order Primates; family Hominidae; genus Homo; species Homo sapiens. The sequence continues at coordinate 132,742,601 of NC_000007.14, read as the reverse complement.
GGTACATTATCTGTTGTTGTGTAACTACCCCCAAATTTAGCAGCTTAAAACAATAAACACTTGTATTTCACAGTTTCTGAGGACTGAAAATCTAGGAGCAACTTAACTGGGTGTTTCTGAATCACTGTCTCTTATGACGTTAAATTGAATCATTGTCTGGGGCTGCAGCCATCTCAAGGTTAAAGTGGACTGAAGAATTCACTTCAGAGCTCACTTGTGTGATTGTTGGAAGGCTCAGTTCCTTGCTGGCTGTTGGCCAGAGGCTTTCATTCCCTGCCACGTGAGCAATGTTTTCTTAATCTAATCTCTAAGTGAGATGCCGTCAACTTGGCCACATGTTATTGGTCATGCAGTTCAAACCCTTGTACAATGTGGGAGGGGACTACACAGGGTATGGATATCAGGAAGCGGGGCTCTTTGGGGGCCATTTGGGGCTGCCTACCATAATGAGTATGAAATCTACTTTAGTTGTAGAACAAACAAGACTTTACTCATGAATTTGTTGTGGAATATGAGGAAAAGGGAAGCGTCAAGGATGGCTTCTGGGTTTTTGGTTTGAGCTACTTACTACCGCGGGAGCCACTGGAAGAGAAACATGTTGGAAGCCAGGAGAAATCAAGAGTTGTATTTTCAACTTCTGAAGTTTGTGAAGCATTTTAGATACCCAGTGAACATGCCAAGTAAGCAGTTTGAATGAATAATTCTGGAACTCAGGGGAGAGCTCAAACAGAAGATTAAATTTGGGAATCATAGCCTGTGGATGGATTTAAAACCTAGGCACTGGACAAGATCGCTGAATTGCAGTCATTCTCAAGCTTAGCTGCCTATTAAAAGCTTTAAAACATTCCAACACCAGGCCATTCTCCAAATCAATGAAATCAATATCTCTGGGGGTGGCACCCAGCCACGAGTATTTTTAAAGCTCCCTAGTGATTCTAATGTACAGCTAAGTATGAGGACCATTGACAAGGGAGAAAATGTCAATGAGAAGAGAAGGGATCCCGAGACCTCTTCGTGTGTGTGAGGGTAGAGGATCATAGTGTTGCAGAGAGATAAAGCGATGGCAGAAGGCACAGCCTCTTTCACAGTACCTGAGAATTTGGTTGATCTTGCGGTTCGTGTGCTCTTGAACCACTGAATTCCACATACAGAGGTTATCATTTGTGGCAAATTGAGAGCATAAATAACCTTGGAATTTCAAAATGTAAGAAGCCGAGTACACTGATTCCATTTTGCAAGGCAATCAGACTTAATTAGACCCAAAGTATTTACCAAGCATTCTTCTGGCCTTTTTAATTAGGGATGAAAGTTAAGCAATTTTGAATCTGACAGTCTTTAAGAGTGGATGATTTTGTGCAAAGACGTGGCCGGATTCCAGCTGGAAGTTTCTGAATTCAGGCTATAAGAGGGAAAAGAGTTAAGTATCCAGCCCAGTTTAACTTCAAGTTAACAATAATATCCCAGTTTTTACATGTGTAAAGATTTTGTGCACTTCATTGTTAAGTAGATATTTGGAGATATTTTTCCATTTGTGGGGGTTTGTGCATTTGAGAGATTCATTTTCTAATATCAAGGCCTCTATTTTCTACCCTGTTACCTCAGACTTTTGCAGATTGGTGTACTTTAGTGAGCTAAGAGATAAATAGCTTACAGCTATGTTCTCAACCATTCTTCCTGAGATGTTGAAACTGTGATCTTGACTCCATTAACTTATTTTCCATGACTCTTGACTAACAAATTGAACAGGTCAAATTTATAACTATTTATAAATAACAAGGTAATTTACAACTTGGAAAGTATATAGCATATTCCCTCATCCCATACCTACACCTGATTGGGATATTTTAAAAGATATTAATTTGTCTATGTTTTTGTTTATGATTAAGAGGATTGTTAAGGGAACCCCCAAATGCTCTATATTTGGAGTCTAAAGACCTAGGTTCAAGATTTAGCTCTATCACCTGCTGGCTATAAGCCCTAAGGCAAGCTTTATCTTATTAAACCTGTTTCTTCCTCTGTAAAATGAACTTGATCCCTGTCTTACCTGTTTCCTGAAGTCATCGTCCACATAGAATGGGGTAACTTGCTTTGAGAAGTGTACAGAAATATGTAAATATAAACAGCCTTATCTTCCTGATGTGAGGATTTGCTGCATTCACCATTTCTCCTCTTCTGGGCGTATGTACAAGCCATTCACCTGCTTTGGGCATCTGCTTCCTAGCCTTCTTGCCATCTGGTCTTTCCTTCCTTCCAAATCTCGTGGCACAAAGCTCATACCTCTTCAGTAAGTCCTCTTTGATTAACTCCATCTCACCTGGATCGTCCTTGATGTTTTTCTCCAACGCCAGAATATGATGTTCTCTTTAAATTAAATACCATATACTTGTGTGTTTCTGCCAAGTGTTCATTCTGGCTTCTCATTAAATTGTTAGCTTTTGGAGGGCAGTGACTGGAGATTATTTCCCACATTTGCAGCAGGCATCAACAGCAAAGTCCTGTTCATCAGTGTGGACCACTAACTTGTCTTTACATCCCACGTGCATTTCTCACTGATCTTCACAAATTAGCATTACCCAAAAAGCAATCAAGTTTAGGATGTTTGTAGACATTTTCCTGCATGTATAACTCAGTCTTTTCCTTATTAAAGCAATGCCTGGCTCTCAAAGTTTTATTGGTATCAAAGTTTTAATTGAGTATCAGCCAGTGAGGGAGGGAACAGAAGCATTCATTTTTGGTTTTCATTCGCAGGAGTGTGTCTCCATCAGCACACCACTGAGATTTCAACATCGCTATCCTTCCTTCCTTCTCTTTCAAGTCATTCCAAGCCCAGCGATATTCGAAGGGATGAGTCATTGTCTAAATGTGGAGGCTGTCATTCTGCATGCACAACTGTGCTGGCTTGGGTACCATCCCAGTCTGTGATGGGAAGCATGGCTCTGACCTCACAGGGAAGAGAATTCTGAATGTAATCCTCTGTAAACTTAGAAGTGACATAAATCATGATTTGATCTTTTTTGGGGACTCAAGCTGATGCTCTGGGGATTTACATAATGAACAGACTGCTGCAGTGCAGTAGAAATAACACCATTCTTGGAGACAGGAGACCTCAGTTGGAGTCTAGCTCTTGCACTCACTAGTTGTGTGACCTTGGGAAAGCCATGTTACCCCTCTGGACCTCAGAGAGGAAGCAGGTTAAACTGGATCATCTTAAAGTTAGTTTCCATAAGGACCCAAAATTCTACTGAAAGTTATAAGATAATGCGAACCTAATCAACAAGGACTTTGTAATGTTTTCTTGGTCTCCTAATGTTTCTGCTGATCTGGAGAGGTGGTGGGGAGAGGGAGACTCTTCGGGAGTAACTTTCTGGATGTCTAGCAGATACATATGTAACAGGTTGTGAAAGGAAACCAGAAATGAGAGTGGAAATGGGGAAAGAGATGAAAGAAAAGTAGAAAAGAGGACGTTCTGTGTTTCCCTCCACACTGCCATCCCTCTGGTTAATTGTAGGTTTCTGACTGCTTCCAAGCTATCCAGGGTAGTTACTGATATCATGCAAGGCACAGGGTGTGAACCTGCATCAGCCCCAATTCAGGGCTGGGATGATCCCCCAAATCATTGTGTTTCAGGGACAAATGTTTATGGGCATTCTGTCTGCCCTGAGAGGCTAAACCCACTGACCTGGGACACTCAGGTGTTGAGCCCTAGTCCTAAATTGTGGCTTTCTTGATTATTACTTGTCAGGGTTATTGTTTCTTAAACCTGCCTTCCGAAAGAAGTGTCTTGTGACAAAACCAGCCTGGAAAATATGCTGGGTTGGATGAAATCAAACAGATTTCTACATTGCAAGGTTTCTTAGAGTCTTTTATTGCTAAATGTATACTGCGTATACTGCTAACATCTAAGAGGGGAGTATAATATGCAACATTTCTTAAACTTATTTGATCATGCAGACCCCTCCACTCAAACTCAACCTCTATTTATTTACTTACAAGACTTCTAATAGACCTCTGAGAAGCAGCTTTTTGGGAAATACTGCTCTAAGTTGATGACTGTCTAGAATGTTCCACCCTAAACCTCATCCCTTTGGGAGGTCAGTCCTGATTAAGTCCAGGAGGATGGATGAGTCAGGGCTGACAGTGCCATTCCTGGCACCATTCCTCTTTAATGAAAACCTGAAAACCAAGAAAGGAGATTGGACCACGTGTTCAAACAAAGGCTATGTGAGTCAAGTGAGTGTTATATTAGGGATCCTGCATCCATATGACTTTCAAAGCCCCAGATGCTTTCCACAAGATGAAATAGTTAGAAGCGATTTCATCCACTCCTAGCCCCCACCACCACCCCTGCCTCGCCCTCCCCAGGCCCCATCTGAGATGTCAGTCACCCGCCTGGCATTCCCAACAAGCCTGTTTGTGAGTGCCTCAGTGATAGGAGGCTTCCTGTATTCATTACATCTTTGAATGGCTCTGTTTAGTGAAAGTCTTGCCATAGACAACTCCTCAAAAGAATTTTGCTCCCTGGGAGAGACTCTTTTCCCATTCATTTCTTAACAGATATTTATTGAGCACTTACAATGAGTAGGAAATAATGAGTGATCAAAGGTATAGAACAGTATCCTGACCTCAGGAAGCAAGGAAGACATGTACACAAAGAAATAGGAGGGTGCTTATGGCTGGAGGTGAGAAAGTGCTGGGAGTATCAGAGAAGGGAGAGACCAATTTCTGCTAAGGTACCCAGAGAAGCTTTAAAGAGCGGGCAGCCTCTGAACCATGCCTTGGGATGAGATTGGGGGTGGTGGTCAGGTAAGGGCATTAAAGATAGAAGGAGTGGCCATGGGAGGCAGGACTGGGGGCAGGTTCTCAGGAGTGCACACCCGTGAGTTGGGGATTTGGGGATGATAAGCAATAGCACCAGTGGCTTCAGTCCCAGGAGGATTTATTGGAAGAACACAGGGGTCTCTGCCAGGGCAGGGAAGCTGTGGGGACTCCCAGCAGCAGCTGCTCATGAACTTCCTCTTCCAGGCCCTGCCCCAGGCCCCTCTATCCCTGTATGTCTCTGAGCATGCAGGTTCCCAGGAGAGAGAGCACGGATGCCTGAGGGAGGGTCATGACACCACCTCTGGGGTCTGTTGCAAAAAGAAGGGGAAGGTAATAATGAAGCATGTGAAAAGTGCTTGGAATGGTGCCAGGCATCTAAGAATTGCTAAATTATACAATGTAAAGTATATAAATTATGCTGGGCAGTAAAAGCAATACTCCCCCAGAAAGCATCTTATGGAAGATCAGTCTGCAAGAATAGTTTGGGTCAAGGTTAAGAAGGGGTGTGTGGTGGGGGGAGGGAAAAGGGGATGGCAGTGAAGGCTTTCAGCATGGAGCAAAAGGGTCAAGGTAGCAAGATTCTTGTAGGGGCAGTGTGGGATGGACTGACAGTGGGGATCAGTAGAAGTATTGTAGCCGTCCTAGACTTAAGAGCGGGGTTAAGATCACAGATGGCAGCAGGAATGGTTGGAGTGGAGATGGAGGGGCCTCATTCTAACTCTCTGCGTGGTACCGTGTGAATCCCCTCACTGGACAAGGCTTTTGGCCTTCCTCTGGTCTACTTTAAACCTCGGCGCTGTCTGACCTGGTTTCTGTATCAACCACAAATTTTCCCTGGTAGTGAAAGTGCTCAAGGATGCCTAGCAGCCAAGGCTGGGGGTGCTTGTCGTGGTGGGAGGGGCAATTCCAGGAAGAGAAGTGGACAGTGTGGGTTCCTGGGGCAGAGGTTCCCAAATGCCAGTCCATAGAGAGATGCCATGAGACAGGTGGCAAAGCTTTCATCCTTCTCAGTGAAAACACTGGTGTAAGGTTAGCAGCTGTCCCTCTGATGGGCCATCCTTAGCTTGGAAATTGTGCTCTTGCTTTTCCTGTAGATATATTCAAATATCCTCTCCCCTCACACCACTCACCCGTCTGCACCTCCCCTCTCCTTTTTGAATAAAATAATGGTCAAAGTGGATGGTAGGACGTTTTCCTCCTTAATTGTCCTCACTTAGCAAACCAAAGAACTGACAATTCCCATTTTTAAGTTGTATAAGTCTATGGATTCTAAAAGTCTGGGAAAAATTGATGGCAGACTAGATACACAGGGTTATCTCTCCTCCTTCCCCATATCCATGAAGATGACAAAAGAAATAGGAAAAAGTCATAAAGGTTTAAGACTTTGGAGGGGTACCACTGAGAGAGATCAGAAGAGTGAAGAATATATATACATATTTTGAGACGGAGTCTTGCTCTGTCACCCAGGCTGGAGTGCAGTGGCATGATCTCGACTCACTGCAACCTCCACCTCCCAGGTTCAAGTGATTCTCGTGCCTTAGCCTCAGGGTAGCTGGGATTACAGGTGTGCACCATCATGCTCAGCTAATTTTTGTAATTTTAGTAGAGATGGGGTTTCCTCATGTTGGCCAGGCTGGTCTCAAACTCCTGACCTCAGGTGATTCACCCATCTTGGCCTCCCAAAATGCTGGGATCACAGGTGTGAGCCACCATGCCCGGCCAGAAGAGCGAAGAATTTCTGAAACATAATTAGGTCAATGAATGCATGGGGAAGTAACATAAAAAGAAACATGAACGGCCAAAGAAGCATGGAAGTAGGCTCAGTTTTCCTAATAATTAAATGCAAATCAAAACAAAAATGAGATACCATTGTTTTGGTCTTATAGATTAGCAAACCTTTTATAAGTTTGATAAAAATGCAGTGTTCTGTGTGGTCAGGATGCAGAGAAACTATCCTTTTCATGGTTGGTGTTTCATATGTAAGTTATGAACTTCTGAAGGGAAATTGGGTAATATCTGTCAAATAAACATATATAACACACCTTTTGGATTCAGCGATTCTACTCTCTTAACTGACTTTCAATTACCCAGCTCCCAGTTCCTGCGGTAACACGCTCTGATAGATGCCAGGAATGCACTAAAGGCTTCATAGAGTTTCTTGCCTTCTAAGAATCTACTCTGTTTATTCCCAAACCTGTTGTACTTGGTGATCTTGTAATTTTATCACAATTATGTGAATCTTTGAAATCTGAGTGGAAAAGTAGTGTTTTTTTTTTTTTTTAACTACAAGTACTGCTTTGAATATATTTTTTTAGAGGAAAAAAATAAACTTTTTATGTTTAACAGTGTGGAGATGGTTGATGAATTCTGATTCATCCCTGAGATGAAATATTATTCTGCTAATAAAATTATGTTCTCAAAGGAAATGCCAAGTGAAAACAATAAAGATATATAATTATGTTTCAGTGGGATTCTGATGTTATAAATATACATATTGGTTTACAGTGCCTCTGGATGGTGGTAATACAAGTGATTTTCATTTTGTTCTTGATACTTACTTTCCAAATTCTATATAATGACTACGTATTACTTTAGTCATCATGAAAATACATTTAAGAAACTTATTTTCTGAACATACGTTGATAATAATCATAATAAAAAATTGCTAGTACCTAGCTGATAAACTAGCAATCTCATGCAAGTTAAATAAAGGACTTCCATGAATTTGTTTTCAATAGAGCACTGGCCTACTCTCAAGGCCAGAGTCACAGGATTATCAGCTACATTATTGGTTAATGGGAGACAAGACACGTATAGCTCAGGATAAGACCAGCTACTGAGATGAGGGGCAGAGGTGGGTAATGTGGGCTGGACACATTAGTTTAGAGGGGCCAGGAATGCAAATGCGAAATTTTGTATTCCAAATTTTCTTGGTCAGTGACTCCTTTTTGTTTTAAATTGGGAAATATTTTAGATATTTTAAAAAACTCCAGAGACTATTTAATGAATACTGAAATGGGAAAGGTTCCCTTGTCCCCCTCGAAGGGTTTGCCACAGAGGGAGTAGCTCGCTTCTTCAGTGCCCGGCTGCTCCAACCTCTAGATGAGCATACAGACGAGCAGGCTCTGGGTCTCTGACCCCACGGTAGTGTCCACGGGTGAATGTTTACAGCTCCTGAAGCCCCAGTGGGCGTGTGTTGCTGTGTGCTCTTTTCGTTTGCCGTCTATAGGAGGCTTGTGTTAACCAGCTCAATTAGACCCTCTACCTGTTGCAAGGACAGAGGGCTTTCTGTATCCTGGGTTCTTACCTTGGTGTACCGGAAGGATCGAATCACATGTGGGCTTGGAGAATGAGTGCAAAGTTTTATCGAGTGGAAGTAGCTCTCCGCCGATGGGGGAGCCAGAAGGGAGATGGTTTTTCCCTGGAGTTCCTCCGATTGCCCCAGCCAAACTCTGCCTTGTCCTGCGGGTTGTGAGACCAGCCAGAGTGCGGGTGTCCCTCTGTTGGTGTGTTCTTCTGCCAGCATGCTCCCCTCGATGTCCCCTCGATATCCAGCTGCTTGTCTTCTTCCGCCAACGTGTTCCTCTCACCGTCCAACAGCTTCTGTCTCTGCCTTGCTAGGGTATCCGGTTTTTATAGGCTCAGGTGGGGGCGTGGCAAGCCAGGGTGGTCTTGGGAAATGCAATGTTTTGGGAGAAGTCAGAAGTGCCTGTCCTCACCTGGGTCCCTAGGGTAGAGCCCTAACCAGGGACCACGCCCTCCTCTACCCAGCCCTTCCCCTCCCTTCTTCCTTTCACTTAAAGGGACCACGCCCTTCCCTTCCCAGCACTCCTGTATGAATACTATGCATCTTCCTCTCAGTTTAAGAAACAAAATATGTAAGTATAGTTGAAACCCACCATAGTTATTTTGTCCCAAGATGAAACAAGTGTTCTAACTTTGATGTTTTCATTTCCATGCATCACGTATTTATACGTTTAATATCTACACTTTTTTTTTTTTTTTTAAGAGACAGGGAGGGTCTTGCTTGGTTGCCCAGGCAGGAGTACAGTGGTAGGATCATAGCTCCCTGCAACCTCAAACTCCTGGGATCAACCGATCCTCCATCCTCAGTCTCCAGAGTAGCTGGGACTACAGGCATGCACCACCACACCTGGCTAATTTTTAAATTTTTTTGTAGAGACAGGGTCTTGCTATGTTGCCCAGGCTACTCTTGAACTCCTGGCCTCAAGTAATCCTCTGGCCTTGGCCTCCCAAACTGCTGGGTTTACAGGCTACTGTAATCCCATGGAGCCACAGCATCTGGCCACATATGTCCTTAATATCTTGCTTTGTGTACTTTTTACTTTATATAAAGGCATCATACTGCATATATCTGCCTGAAAATTTTTTTTGTACAATGGATCCAAATTGATACATGTTAAGCCCTAGGTTTCTTAATTTTGACAACTATGCACTTTTCCATTACATCATTATTTATGTATTCTGTTGATAAACATGTGTGTTGTTTCCAAGTCTTTTTCTGTTAGAAGCAAAGCTATGATACACATTGTCATGCATTCAAGATTTTTCCCAGAAGAGTAGATTTTAGGTGCTCTTACTATATATAAAAAAACTGGGCAAATTTGTGGGAAAATTGATATTTTAATGCAATATAGTAACTATTAATATTTCATTCTCTATATGTATATTAAAACATCATGTTATGTACTTTAAATATGTATAATAAAATTAAAACAGAAAAAAGAAAGAAGAAATAATCTTATATTTAAACCCCTAAAAATAAAAAATTCTGCATGTGAAAAAGTTAATAGAAATTTAAAAGTAAATAAAAGATTGGGTTCAAATGTAAGCAAATAACCAAGGTTTATATCTTTATAACCCCCCGACCCCCAATGTTTTTCTGCGTCTATGGAGGTGTTTATCTAACATTTTAAATTATCTTCGTAATGATCCTGGAGCTAGGCAGCTCATTTGATGGAAACTATGAGATGAGGTAAAGATTCTTGTGAAGACCAATTCCTTAAAGTTTTTCAGAACATCACCCTCCAAGAGGGCATTTCAAATGTCACCTCCCACAGTAAGGGAGTTGGAAAAGAATGCGGGTATTGTCACACGCTGCCAGTAATTCATCACGCGGTAAATGGGGATGTGTGAGCTGGAGTGTTGTGATAGCTAGGGACTGTTATAGAAGAACTGAAGAACAGCATGCTTCACACCAGGTTATTTGAACAATATATGATTATTATGGGCCAATGCCTGGGGCTTGGATATGTTTTTGTTAAGGTGAAATTTTCTTTGTAATAGAATTGGTTATAATGGGATTTGATCTCCATTCATCTCACTTACCCGTTCTCCCTCTGGCTGCTTTGATCGCTCTTGCTCTCTTTGCAGCAGTCAACTCAGCGTGTCTAAGGACCCAAGCATGCCTCTAATTTGTGACCAAAAGCTCTCCAATGAGGCTGTCCTTGTAAGCCTTAGATCTCTTTGATTTACCAAACATTCATCCATCATTGATGGCCTCACTCAATCTGCCTTACAACGTGTTTATTGTCTTACTTAGCTTGTGCCCCTTGGAACTCTCCTGGCCTGTTTAGACGCATCCTGGTTTGTCACACGTTATGGATGATGAACAGTTATGTTCTGGAGGGTTCTGAGGTTTTGCCCCTGGCCAGGGTGAGTGCCGTGTCTGTCTGGGCATGGGTAGCAGGCCGCCATTAGAGGATGATGCTCATTTGCTTCACATCCCAGGTTTTGAAAGGCACATCTGCCAACCATCTTGCAAGAATGTTTGGAGTTAAATTGCTACGTTTGACCAAGGAAAAGGGTGGGCATGATGCAAGATGCCACCCACCAAATCGCCACTGCAGCCTACACCATTCAAAGGCCATGCCCTATGGGCACTGGTTTTGTTGGCCAATGTTTGTGCACATAAATAAGTTCTCTTCTCCTGAGTTGCTGTGTTAAGTATGTTAAACATTGGCTGTGTCCACCTAATCAGTTTCTTCCCTTTCTTGTTCTGTACATAGGTTGATTCTGCAAGAAGGTGAAATGCAGGAAATTGTCCAATGGCATTTCACTTAAGGGGTGGTAAAGGGCTCCTCCCTAGACATGTTTCCTTAGCTGAAGGGCCTGTGATCCTACCATTCATGGCTTCCAGGAAAATGTGACGATCATGGTTGGGGAATGTAAATTGCCGTCACTTTGATTAATTAATTAATTAGCTTAGCCAGAGGTTTGAGGCTCACAGAAAGTGCAATACGATGTTTATTCATTCTGAAAACTTTTCATAAAGAGGGGGCACGTGCTGTGTCAGGGACTAGTGATCCAAAGATATTGCCCACATCTTGCTGTGCTCTGCCCTAGGTAGGGGCATAGTCTAGGGGTATGTTTGAAAGAGCACTGAACCTGGGAGCTGTGCACCTTGAATTCTGATGCCAATCCTGTACCAGATCTGAGAGCTGGCTGAGCCAGGGAGTCTTTGGGGCCACCATTTCCACATCTTTATAGTGGGAAGAGGGTGGAATAGGATCTCTAAAGTCCCTTCTAAGTTTGCCTGCTGTGAGTGTACAGGTGTTTATTTTTCTTGGATAGGTATTAACATCTGTGTGGTTCACACATCAGTACAAAATGTCCTTCCCTCCCTGTGCCTCACCTGCTCCTCTCCCTACTCAAGCAGCCACCACTGGTGTTAGTTTCTTACCTTCAGAGATTTAAGAAATGTAAGTAAAAGCTAATGCAAGTCTAAATTCTTTATCCCTCTTTCTTTTTATATTTTGATATGGGGCCTCACTCTGTCACCCAGGTTGGAGTGCAGTGGTGCAAACCTGGCTTCCTGCAGCCTTGACCTCTTGGGCTCAAGTGATCCTCCCACCCTAGCCTCCCAGGTAGCTGGGACAACAGGCATGCACCATCATCCTTGCCTAATTTATTTATTTATTTTGTAGAGATGGAGTCTCCCTATGTTGCCCAGGCTGGTCTTGAACTCCTGAGCTCCAGTGATCCTCCTGCCCTGGCCTCCCAGACTGCTGGGATTACAGGCATAAGCCACCATGCCCAGCCCCTTCTTTCATCTAACATAAGATATGGCATACTATAAACAGTGTTCTACATCTTGCTTTTTCTCCCCCAATTAACAATGTATCTTGAATCTTTCCATGTCAATATAGAGCTTCTTCAATTTTTTTATAGCTATATAGAATTCCATTGTACATATGTTCAATACTTTAACTAGTTCCCATACAGATGACAATTTGGCTGTTTCCATTCTTTTACTGCTATAAGCAATGCCAAAATGTATAAGGTTGTATTTATATCATTTTGCTTGCTGCTAAGTGTGTCAGTAAGATAATTCCTAGAAGCGGAGTTTCTAGGTCAAAGATACACATTCTGGTAATTTTGAAAGTGTGATTTTTTTTTTCATCTTTTTTTCTGACATCACCTCTGACATCAAATGTATGTGGGGTTTCCAATACCAAGTCTCTGATTTTCCGGCACCAACTGTGTGTACAACCATTCAATTCAATTTTGACAGTAACTACTGAAAGATTGCGCTGGACTCCACAGGTTTAAGGCCTCGGTCCCACAAAATGCCCCCACTTCAGATGATACCTACAAAGGGAATGGCTGGGCTACCCACACTTCTGCCTGGCCAACTGTAAATTCTGGGGTTCCTGCAACACCCCCTTCCCTTGCCCCTGAATGGCTCACAGAACTCGGGAAAGTGCTTTACTTACTGGTTTATTATAAAGGATAGAAGTCAGGAACAACCAAATGGAAGTGATTTCCATGGTGGGAGTGGTGGGCAGAGCCCCTGAGTCCTCCAAGTGCCATTTCCTCAACATATCAGCGTGTTCACCAACATGGAAGCTCCCAGGATCTCAGCATTCAAAAGTTTTTAGAACCTAGTCTCCAGACCGCCTCCCATCCTGGAGGTCAGGGGCTGAAAGTTACCCCCTCTGATCACGTGTTTGTTCTTTTTGGTGACCAGAACCATCCTGAAGCTATCTAGGGGCTCCACCTTGCATCAACTCTGATGTGGTTGACATGGGACTCCTACAAACAACGAAAGATACTCCTAACACTCTGAAAACCCCAAGGGTTTTAGAAGCTGTGTGCCAGGAACTGGAGACAAAGACCAAATGCACTTTTCTTTCTTTCTTTTTTTTTTTTTTGAGACAGAGTTTCACTCTTGTTGCCCAGGCTGGAGTGCAATGGCACGATCTCGGCTCACTGTAACCTCTGCCTCCCGGGTTCAAGCGATTCTCCTGTCTCAGCCTCCTGAGTAGCTGAGATTACAGGCATGCGCCACCACGCCTGGCTAATTTTGTATTTTTAGTAGATATGGGGTTTCTCCATGTTGGTCAGGCTGGTCTCAAACTCCCGACCTCAGGTGATCTGCCTGCCTTGGCCTCCCAAAGTGCTGGGATTACAGGCGTGAGCCACCATGCACAGCCATGCACTTTTTATTATAACACAGAAAGATGCAGTTAAAACATCCTAATAATCACTCCCAAGCCTACCATTAGTGAATTTGAGGGTCTGTTTCCCCACAGTGTTGTCAGCACTGTTTGTTATCACACTTGCAGCCTTTTGCCAACTTAAAAAATATAATTTATTTATTTATTTATTTATTTATTTTTGCAGAAATGAGGTCTCACTATGTTGTGCAGGCTGGTCTCGAACTCCTGGCCTCAAGCCATCCTCCCGCCTTGGCCCCTCCAAAGTGCTGGGATTATAGGTGTGAGCCACCGTGCCCGGCCCTTTTCCCAACTTGATAGTGATAATAGAATCTCAGAGTAGTTTTAATTTGTATTTCTTTTGTTCTGAATGAGGTTGAGCATCTTTTCATATATTGGTGAGCTGTCTACATTTTGAACAGGTAGGTTGAGGGGAGGAGAATGGAAGGATCCAGAACATTATACTCCTTACAGAAGGTGAGAGGAAGGGCTGTGGGGTCCCACAAATGGGAGTACGCAAGGGTCAGATATGAACTGAAGGTCTCTGATTTTTTTCTTCCATGTTTTTATTAGAGTCAATCCCATTTGCTTCATCTAGTGCCCACTCCAAGGTCCCAACCTGACCCCCTCTGGGTGAGCCAGTCACAGTTCCATTAGTAGGAGACCTCAGGCTTCCTGGAAGATCCTCCGGGATGAGGTTCCCTGGGCAAGCCCAAGTGACCATGCCTAAAGCCCCGCTGAGAGACTGGTTGCTGTGTGCTGCTGGTCACCGCATTCTGATGCCCTTTGAAGAATCAAAATTCCAGGGCAAGGAGCGCCTGGGACCTTATTCAGTGCCTGCCTCCACCTCCCTCTTGACACCAGAAGGTGGCATTGCTGTGGTCCCCTGGACCTTTGCACATTCAAGACAGGAGAAGAAAAATCCATAAGACTCTGCTGTCCTTGAAACAGTGGGAAGAGGAGAGAGAAGAAGGGAGAGAAAGGTGGTGACCCTGTCCTGGGGACTGACAGTCGCTGTCAGCCCCGGCCAGTACAGATGGATTTATGTCCAGCGACCCCGTATTCCAGGACGCGCGGCTGCCAACAGGCTGATGCCTGAAGGGCTGTCCAGAGAGGCGCATCCTCTGAAGCAGCAGAGGCAGAAATGTGACAATGTTTACTCTCCAAGAAAAAAGATTTAAACCATGCCTGTTCTTCCTGACTCGCACGCAGCCTTGCTTCTCCTGTCTCTTTTGAAGAGGTTCTCCAAACTTCTGCTGCTTTAGTCTCCGAGGACTCCTCCACCTCAGTGGCCTCTTGGCAGGTCCCCTTTTCTTCATCCCCCTCAGCAAAGACTGCTTAGAAGTGGGCACACTGGGAACCTTCTAGCATAAACCTAGTGGTGCAGGTGGAGGAAGGTCTGGAGGGCTGTGTGTGTCACAGGCCGGGGTGAAGGGGCTGTGAGATCTGCTAAGACCAGGGAAGCCAGGTTCTCTGTGTAACTTAGGGACCCAGCTCCCGAGAGTGTTTTGTGTGTGTCCATTTTACGGCACTTGACTCTGTTTCCCTAAGCTGTAAAATGGTTGTAAGTATTCCTATAGCCTCCTCATCTCTGGAAATGTTGAGAATCCCAAAGACCCAAGAATTCCAACCAGAAGAGCTCAGATCTTCTCCAAGGAGCACAGTGGGTGGGTGTGGATAACTGTCCTTTCCCTGGAGTTTGAACAATCCCAAGGCAGCGTGTCCCCCAGGCAGTGATAGACGGAGGTCCTCGGCAGCGGGCTCTCTTGGCAGCAGCCTGCCCTGCGTCTGACGAGCAGCCAGCTCAGAATGAAGATAAAGCACCGTGGGGCTTTGATGGACAACAGGCCCAGCTTCTCTTGAAATTGGTCTCTCAAAACAATATACAAACTAATACACAAATCAATGCAAAGTGTTTCAACTGCCAGGAAAACTCAGTCCATCTATCACACTTAAGGGGAAGTGGGGGCTGTGGCGCTCGGCCATTGCCTGAGTCCCCAAGGCCCAGGGGAAGGGATGCTTGGTCACCAGAAACTGACTGCCTGATTGAGCATGTCCCTATTGAGCATGGACCCCAGGGTGACTTGAAATTAGAAGTGGGAGGGAATTCCCGGCCTCACCATGCTGCAGGGCTAGATGAGAGGGGCTGCCGTGCCTTTGTCTCTCTGCTCACCATTGGCCACTCATGGATGGGCTGAAACTTTGAGCGTAGCCATTGGCTCAGGTCCTGCGGGAGAGGGGTAGTAGCTCCAGGCCTTGAACTAGCGATGATGCACAAGTGCCGGTCGTAACTCAAGGTGACTAAGAGCCGGGCAGCCTGGGGATCGGCTAACATTCTTGGGTTCTCCAGAGTTGTTTGCAAGTTGGTCACTCCTCAGCATCCCTCCGGCCTATTCCTCCTGCCTCTCTGCCCATCTGGGAACTTCACGTTTCATTCTCTCCCCAACTTTTTTTTTTTTTTTTGAGTTAGGGTTTCACTCTGTCACCCAGGCTCCAGGCTGGAGTGTAGTGGTACAATCACAGGCTCACTGCAGCCTTGATCTCCTTGCCTCAAGTGATCCTCCCACCTTAGCCTCCTGAGTAGCTGGGATACAGGCACATGTCACCATGCCTGGCTAATTTTTTAAAAACTTTATTTTTTATAGAGATGGAGCCTTGCTATGTTGCCCAGACTGGTCTCAAACTCCTGGCCTCAAGCAATCCTCCAGCCTTGGCCTCCCGAGTAGGTGGGACTATAGGGGCACACCACCATGCCTAGCTAATTTGTTTATTGTATTAAAATTTTTTTTTGTAGACAGGATCTCGCTATGTTGCCCAGGCTGCTCTTGACCTCCTGGCCTCAAGTGATCCTCCCACCTTGGCCTCCCAAAGTGCCCAGCCTCATTCTCTAAATAATGACGCTGTCTGCCTTGAGTTAGGCATTCTTCCACTGAAATCAAGTTGTTAGCTTTATACCAATCTTATTTACTCTAGAAACTTCTTAAAACTTATATGTATATCATGCCTTGCAGTTTGCAAAATCGTTTCATGTACATGGTTGGTAGCATCATCTCCATTTAACAGGAGTGGAGATTGAGGCTCAGAGAGGTTAAATGCCATGACCAGGCTGCCAGAAGGGAAAACCTGGTAGGAATTTAGGAAAAGTGTTGCAGTTCCAAGCCCTGTTCACAGAAGCTGGCCTCTGGCATGGACTCCGTGCCTCCCATCTGATATATTTCAGATGTGTGTGTCCCTGCCCAAATCTCATGTTGAAGTGTAATCCCCAGTGCCAGGGTGGGGTCTGGCGGGAGGTGTTTGGATCATGGGGGAGATCCCTCATGCCTTGGCACTGTCTTTGTGATAGTGAGTTGTCAGGAGATCTGGTCATTTAAAAGTATGCGGCACTTCACTGCCCTATCCCACTCTCTCTCTCTCTTGCTCCTGCTTTTGCCATGTGGAATACCTGCTCCTGCTTCACCTTCTGCTGTGAATAAAAGCTCCCTGAGGCCTCCTCAGAAGCAGATGTCACTGTACTTCCTGTACAGCCTGCAGAACCATGAGCCAATTAAACCTCTTTTCTTATAAATTACCCAGTCTCTGGCTGGGCGCAGTGGCTCACACTTGTAATCCCAGCATTTTGGGAGGCCAAGGAGGACGGATCACTTGAGGTCAGGAGTTCGAGACCAGCCTGGCCAACATGGTGAAACCCCCGTCTTTACTAAAAATACAAAAATTAGCCAGGTGTGGTGGTGTGCGCCTGTAATCCCAGCTACTCAGGAGGCTGAGGCAGGAGAATCACTTGAATCCAGGAGGCGGAGGTTGCTGTGAGCCAAGATCGCGCCACTGCACTCCAGCTGGGGCAACAGAGCAAGACTCTGTCTCAAAAAAAAAAAATTACCTAGTTTCAGGTATTTCTTTATAGCAATGCAAGAACAGCCTAATACACAGTCTTCCAAGGACTCCAAAGAAGCGTTAGAAACTCCATCCTTCCCTTCCATTGTTAGTTTCTGATCTCTTGGTGGCACTACCCATGTGGCACATGGTGGCTGGCATGAGCATCAGCTCCTGTTCTTCAGTGGGCTGACAATTTGCCCAGAGTAAAAGACGGTTATTTTTTAAGGATTTCCCCTCTGTGACTAAAAAAATGAAAGAATAATCTTATCTGCAGCCATCAGAATAAAGAAATGACTGGAGATCCCAGTAAAGGGATTCTGTAACTCACAGGGGCAGAAGAACTCCTAGACCTTACCCATCCTCCTATCTCCCTCCAGGCTGTATCCACAGTGACCCAGCCAGGTCTGTGGCTGACTTACCCATGGGCATTTCCAGGGAGATAGAGATGACCTCCTGGAGCTCATCCAAATGGTTGGAAGTTCATCTTAAATCCCTCCATCCACAATTTGGGTCCATGGTCTTTAGTTGGTCTTTGTCCTAGTTATGGTGTCTCAAACCTGTGAAGCCGTTCCCTGAACCCGTTGGCTGTTCTCTGTGCTGTTGGAGTCACCCCTGATATACGTGGTCAGTCCTGGATGTCCTGCTGTATTGAGGATATGAGCAAACTGGAGGCACCTGGAGGGGTGAGCAGGACATGGAGAGGATCAATCACCATGCTACATTGAGAACAATCCAACAATGTGCATCCTATAGAAAAGGGACTTGACTGATTGACTGGGGTTCAAAGGGGATACACTTAGGAAAAGGCAGGGATGTGTGGGGCTTAGGAGCATGAAGACAGGGAGCTTCTGGGAATGAGGCTGGAGGCCTCACACAGTCTTGGGCATTTGTTCCTGAGGGCAGTAGGGAGCCAATGAAGGTTGGTGCATGGCAGTGGCCTACTTGGATGTGTGAGCAGAGGTCAGCAGGTGGCCACATGGAGAAGGGGCTGGAGGGGACAAGGCTGAAGCAAAAAGGGTCTTAGGAGGCTGGAGCAAGGTCTGCCTGTACCTGAAGCAGAAGCTCATGGCTCTTCTCTGTTGCTGGAGAGAGGCTCTGGGGATTACACGGGCTCCTCCTCTCCCCTGGAGGCTCTGATCTCAGAGGAGGGGATGGTGTGGGTGGTGGAGGGGGCTTTGCTAGCTGACCCCCATCAGGGGAGGGGGCACGCTGCTCTTGCAGCAGATCACATGAGGTGTGGCCAATAGTAGGACTGCTGTTGTGAGAGTGTCTCCCCTTGTGGTGCTGTCTGGGGACTTATTCAAGCTTCTGGGCCTCAGGGCTTCTGGGAAGGCCAGGTCCTTAGGGTGGAAGATTCTAGGCTCACTTCAGGGGAAAAACCCCAGAATGGTCCACAGAGGAGCAGACAGTGGGGTGTTTCTAAACACCTATTCCTTGTTTCTGTGGCTAGAAAAACAAACAAACAAAACCTTTTATTTTTGCAGGAAAATAGAAGGCAGAGACTCAAGGTCATTCCAGGAAAGCTTTTGGGGGTCGTGGTTCTGGTGTGAGGAGTCATGTTTCACTTGGCCCCAGAGGCCACAGCTGTGCACTGCCGTAATAGAGTAGGGCTCATGGAGGTTGAAGCCTTTCCCACTACAGACTTAAACAAAATTACAGTAAAATATACATCACATAAAATGTACCATCTAAATGTACCATTTTTAGTGTTCAGTTCAATAATGTTAAGTACATTCAAGTTATTGCACAACCGTCACCACCATCCATCTCTGAAACTCATTTCATCTTGCAAAACTGAAGCTCTACTCCATTGAAAAACAGCCCCCCATAGCTCCTAGCCCCCCAGCCCCTGGCAACAACCCTCTAGCTTCTGTCTTTATGTACCTATTCTAGGTGCCCCACGTAAGTGTATGATTCCACTTATATGAGGCACCTAGAATAGGTACCTTTCACTTAGCAGAATGTCCCCAGGATTTATCCATGTGGTAGCCTGTGTCAGAATCTCCTTCCTTTTTAAGTCTGAATAATATTCCATTGTGTGTATGGACCATGTTTTGTTTATCCATTCACCCATCAACGCATATTTGGGCTGCCTCTGCCTTTTGGCTATTATAACGAATGCTGCTATGAACATGGATTTGCAAACATCTCCTCGGGACCTTTCTTTTTCTTTTGGCTATATACCCAGAAGTAGAATTGCAGGATCATATGGTAGTTCTATTTTTAATTTTTTGAGGAACACCATACTGCCTCATAGTAGCTGCACCATTTTCCATTCCCACTAACAGCCACTGCAGCGTTTTTATGATATGCCTGTAGGCTACAGGGCCACCATGGGAGGCTAGGATGCAGACTGAGTTACAGCCACATTGGGCACATAATTCAAGCCTCAACCATACCACTGTACAGTCCTGAGCCCCAGGGGAGCAGAGAGCCGTGGAATCTCCCAGCCAACTGTAGCTCAAAATTGCTTTTGTTCAATTTCAGAGCCTTGGGTTTAAATGTAAAAACTCCCCCTAAATGTCCATTTAAGGAACAATAAAAGTTTTGAATAAGCTTTCTCAGATCCAGGGCTATATACTCTTTATAGGGCCAATTGCTTCACTTCACGGTCTTTCTTCACTTCCTTTTTTTTTTTTATTTGTTTTGTTTGTTTGTTTGAGACACAGTCTCACTCTGTCGCCCAGGCTGGAGTGCAGTGGCACGATCTCAGCTCACTGTAACCTCCACCTCCTGGGTTCAAGTGATTCTCCCACCTCAGCTTCTTGACTAGCTGGGATTACAGGTGTCTGTCACCATGCCTAGCTAATTTTTTTTTTTTTTTTTTTTTTTTTTTTTTTAGTAGAGAAAGGGTTTCACCATGTTGGCCAGGCTGGTCTTGAACTCCTGATCACAGTCAGGTGATCCACCCGCCTTGGCCTCCCAAAGTGCTGGGATTACAGGCATGAGCCTCTGCTCCCGGCACACTTCCTTTTCTTATTGGGAGGAATTTTCAAATGTCTCATTCTAAACAGGACTTTGTTTCTGGGGATGTCAAGATGCTATAACGGCTTTTTGCTACCCTGTTCTGTGAGATTACCCTGAAGTCAGAAGATGCAAGAGCTAATATCCTTAGCTATGGCTTCTCTAAAGGAGGTGTAGATATAGTGACCCCTCATTAAGGTGTGGTCTTAGACTCTCCTTTTTGGGAACTGCACACCTCACCCCAGGCCTCCAGTGGCCATGTGTCTGCTGTGTTTTCCTGTCTCTCTTGTTTACCAACTTAGGGACTGACTAAGTTATTCAGTGACCCACACTGAATACTTCATATTTTTCTGAAAATCTGGGTTGTGTCTAAGGCAGTGGTTGGTGATCCAGCCAAATTCTGCCCATCGCCTTCTTGTTTTTGTAAATAAAGTTTTGTTAGGACACAGCCACATGACCATTTATTTGCAACTTGGCCATGGCTGTTTTCATGAAACAATGGTCAGGTTGAATAGTCATACCAGAGACTGTAAAGTCCATAAAGCCGAAAATATTTTCTATCTGGCCTTTATGGAAATTTGCCAGCCCTTGGTCTAAGGAAATGTCAGTCTCTGTGCATGGCCAAACCAGTGTATGTGAACCCCCAGTCAGAGGGGTAGCCACATTCTGCCACGTAGACAGAAGAGAAGAGAAAGCCAGTCTACAGGAAGAGAGAAACAGGACACAGAGAGGGCTGGAGTTGGGAGATGAGACATGGAGGCAAATCCTAATAGCTCCCAAGTCCTCAGTCCAATAGCCTTTCTTTTTGTTTTGAGACTAGGTCTCACTCTGTCACCCAGGCTGGAGTGCAGTGGTGCGATCACAACTCACTGCAGCCTTGACCTCCTTGGGCTCAGGTGATCCTCCCACCTCAGCCTCCCAAGTACCACAGGCACATGCCACTATGCCCAGGTAATTTTTTTGTATTTTTGTAGAGATTGGGCTTTGCCGTGTTGCCCAGACTGGTCTCTAACTCCTGGGCTCAAGTGATCCCCCTGCCTCAGCCTCCCAAAGTGTTGGGATTATAGGCATGAATTACCATGCCTGGCCTCTACACCCTTTCTAAAGTCTGTTGGGTTTCATTAGTTACTCCCAGACCTTTATGATAAAATCACCTTTTTTTCCTTAAGCTAGCTCAAATTCATTTCTGTTTTGGCAATTAGAGTCCCCAGTAATACGCTGGAGAAGCTCTGTGCATCTGTTACTCAAAGATCAGCGGTGGCTCAGCACATCAAAGCCTAGTCCAGGGCTGGCCTTACCTCCTTCCTTTCTTCTGAGCTGGTGATTCAGAAGGAAGCAGGTGTGTGCAAAGTTGGCAGCTAAGCTGACATGGAGAAAAAGTTGTTGGTGAGGAGTCGGGGGTCACAGCCCTGGCGCACGCCTCTTGCTCTTGACTGACAGCCACTGCCTCCTCCCGGCAGGAGCTGAGGTGGCCTCCACACCTTGTGTGCTCCAGCAGCTGCAGTCAGGGGGAATGCCAGAAGCTGCCAACCCTGGCCTTTGTGCCCTTGAACTCTTTGAAACTATTCTCTCAAGTCTACTTTGAATTTTCTTTAGTAACTTTTTAATAAAAACAGACCCAATGTAATCTTTAGCCTAATAGTTTTTGTACTGGCGGCCTATGAAAGTCAGATACAATGCTTGGCATATAGAAGAATGGTGTTTCTAGTTGGAATTTGTAGTAGACTTCAAACAAACTTTTAATGAGAACTTCTGGTTCAAAATGGTGGGCTGAGTACATGCTTTCACCTTTGTCACTTCTGAGATGTCTATCATGGCAAAGAGATTGGGGAGGAAGATTGTTGAATGCAAGAAATCCCAACACATTTCTGGAAGATGGAATGAATGGGATTTTGATGCAAGCAACTGTCGGGAAAAGGCATAACCTGGAATAAAAGTGGGGCTGCAATGGATGTGGGAATCCATATGCTTGTTAGAAAGCAAAAAGGATTCTGGGCTCAGAGTTGGCAGGTACAGTGGAACACAGGAGTGAGAAATGAGACTCACAAGAGGAGGAATGGTTAAAAGTTGCTATGGTTGGTACAGCCCACCTATCATACTTTGGTACAGATAATCTGGTATCTGCTTCAAGATAAAATGTAAAGGGTATATCTGTAAATTTAAATCAGCCCTCTGTGGAAAGCTAAGGCATCTAGTGCAGGTTTTGGTGGTCCAGAATAGAGCCCTCCATGTTCTGGCATTTGGGGAGTTCTTGGCTTGGTTTTTAAGTGAGAGCCTCATACATTCGTCCTAAAGCCAAAGCCACCAGCATGCCACCAGGCAATAATTCACACCCCACGGAGAGCTCCTAATCAGGATTCTAAGGAAGAGAGCTGCTGGGAAAAAAAAAAAGAGACCTCTTGGGTTCCGACATAATGCAGAAAAAAAAATCCCACATCGGCTGCCTTGTCCAGTTTAACTATGGAAGGACAACCAAGAACCACAAGAATTAGAGAAGAACCAGAAGCATGAAAGAGATAGACCAAGATAGGCAAACTGACCCCACTGGACACCAAGTCCATCTCCAAAAAAGTCTTGTAATTCATATACTCAAATTCAGTGATATATTACATCCATAAAACAAGCATAAAATGCAATGAAAAAGGGACAGAAAGAGAAAAAGAGATAGTTCTTACAGATTTAAAAAATCTTGATTATCAAAATTAAAAATGTTCAAAACAAGCTTGGAATGTAAAGTCAAGGGAATCTCTCAGAATGTAGAAAAGAAATATAAAGAGAAAAAATAATAGTGGAGAAAAGGTAAGAGACATGAGAGCTCATCCTTGAAGTCAAACATAAAATGAAGATCAATCCCAGAAAGAAAGAATAGAAAAAATGGAAATTAGCAAAGAAAGAGTAGAATAAAATTTATCAGGGCTGAAGAAGGACCTTAAGTTTAAAAGGCCCCAAATATCCAGCATAGTAAATGGAAAAACAAAACAAAGCAAAGCAAAACAAATGACCCAACACTTAGACATTTTTCTGCAAAATTCTAGAGCACCAAAGACAACTGGTAGATCCTACAATTTCCCAGAGAGACAATGCAAGTTATCTCAAAGAAACTAAACTCAAACTGGCAATTGACTTTTCATCTGTATCCCTCAGTGTTAGAAGACAATACAAGAATGCCTTCAAAGTTCTGAGAGAATAGGACCTAACTTAAAAAAAATTATTTACTCAGCCCAATTGTCAATCAAATATTAGGGCAGAATAAGGCCAATTTAATTTCCTTATACCTTTTCTTAGGCAGCATCTGAGGTCATATCCCAGCAGCATGGGGAAGTAAACAGAGGAAGAGAAAGACATGGGATCCAGGAGACAGGAGATCAGGTCCAATTCAGGAGAACAGCTAAGGAGACCCCAGAGTAACAGCCAGGCTGATCCTGGAGGACGAGCAATCCAGACTGGAAAAGAAGAGCAAAGAGTTCTGCAAGGGGGAATGAGAAGAAAGAGCACTCCTGTGGTAGGAATATCCTCTCAAGGATGGAACATCTTAAAACATGAAAAATGACCATTAGTCAAAGGAAAAAATGTGCTTGGAAGCACCTAGATAAACAAGAAGCTGTACCACAAAGTCAGTATCCCAATAAGCAAAATGTATCATGACTTTAAGCAATTGCTGGAATATAAGAAAGGGAATTCATTGAGCTTTATGCTGGGATGACCATTATTCTTTGAGTGGCCTAAGGATTGCAATTTCAGATTTGTAGAAAGGAAATTGACACACTGGCCCCACTTGTTCAGGCAGAGCAATTTGTGTATTGTGATCATAATTGTTGCTAACAACAACAACATTTAGAGTGCATCTATGGAAGCTCAGAGGATAACATTGTAGTTACAGAATGCAAATCTTAATATCAGCTTTTTAATGTGAAATTTATTCGACAGCAGGTTGGAGACAGAAGGGAGAAGGATGGGTAGGGGCATAAATACTCCCATCTTATCTGAAGGAGAATCAAAATACTGACTAAAATTGATGGAACAGTAAATGGAGGTACTGTGATTTAATGTTATAAAAGTAAATATATCAATAAAAAATATGAAACCACACACATTGAGCTAAGTTTTAAATGAGGACATTGTAAGTTGAAAAACCAAGAAGTAGAGTTATAAATATCATTTAGGTTAAGGTAATCACCACCAACATGGCGCTGCTTGATCCTCTAGGTTTGCTGGAGGGTCATGTGGGGCCAGGAATGGCGTGAGCTCCAGCCTGGTCTCTGGCTGCAGTCAGCACCTTCTGCTTCCCCAAATGCACTAAGTAGTACCACTTTCTATTTGTGCATTGAGCAGAGCAAGGTTAGGGAGCATTATGTTATAGAACCTGACTGGCCTTCACCTCCTTTTTCTCAGCTGATGTATGGTCTGTGCTTGTTGCCTGGCACTTGTTTGCATTACAGACAGACACCCGTGTCCCCCAAGGGTTCTGTGTGGTCCACAGTGGCCTACAGGATACCAGCAATCTGAATAGAAGTGGGGAGCCCTTCGGACCCACGGAAGGCCTGAGTATCTACCACCAAAATGTCTCTCCAGCCGGGCCTGGAGCAGCTGTGTGGTCCTCTGCTGGTGATGTCTGAGCCTCTGAGCAAGTCCCAGTCTCTTTGGGTTTCCCCAGAAGATCCTTGTGTGTGCTGCTGCTAGGGTTGTTTTTATGGTAAACAGCCTACACACTTTAAGGAGGGAAAAAGAGCGAGGTGTTCCACTTGGTTAAAGTGTGTGGAAAAGTCAGTGAGAAGATGGTGCTGATGACACAAGCCTATGAAGCCCTCAAGCCACCTGTGGTGGAGGCCAGTCTTTTGCAGTTACAAATTCTGTATTTGGCAGCACTGAGTAAATATCAGAATAGGCCTTCACCTGAGGACATGGTAGACTTTTCTGGAAAAGGACAGAAAAGCCAGCTCCCTGAACTTTCACTTCACGGACAGACACTGTCACTCAAAGATGCATCAAAATCCTTCCAATCCTAAGTGACTGATTCATAAAACATCTTACAAGCATTTTAGAACAGTGGAGAACAGAAGAGAATGATGGACAGTTTGAATGAAAACACTCATCTTCAGGAAAGACTAGAACTGCTTGCCAAAAAAACCGTGAGATGGGAGCAAAGAATGAAGGAACTGAAGGGACAGAAAACCTGCTTGAAAACGCAAAGGGGGGAATGAAATAAGTCATGGGTGATAAAGTGGGCCAGTGAACATCTCTGATGAAAACCTTGCTGAAGATCGTAGGTGTATCTGTCTCTTTAGAGACCACATGGCTGATGGCAGCTTGAAATTAGAGAAAAAGAAGAAAGCAGAAAGAACTGGAGATCACCAGGTCTATCAGTTACAAGTTGATTTGAAGAGACTCCTGGATGCTGTTAACTTAAATGTTTTCTTTAGAAGATTTGAAGGGAAAAAGCAAAAAAAAAAAAAAAAAAAAATCCAAGAAATTATGTGAAGAAAATCCAATGAATGAAGAGCTTCCAGGACAAACAAAGTCTCCAAACTGAGCAAGCATCTTTGCCGACTGAAAATTCACAGCTTCAAAGTGAGATTCAGAAGCTTCCTCTGGAACTTGAAATACATCAAGAACATGTAATGAAACTTCAGAGAAAATCAATGGAGGAGGAAATACACTACCTAGAAACAGAAGAAACGTTCTACAATGTATGCAGAAACATGAGCCATACATATTGGAAGTACAACCTCTACAGATGATGGCTGAAGATATGGACAATGGGTTAGACAGAACCAGTTCCTTCTTTCCTACCTTTTTTTTTTTTTTTTTTTTGAGACAGTCTCGCTCTGTCACCCAGGCTGGAGTGCAGTGGTACGATCTTGGCTCACTGCAAGCTCCGCCTTTCAGGTTCAAGCGATTCTGCTGCCTCAGCCTCCCGAGTAGCTGGGACTACAGGTGCGCACCATCATGCCCGGCTAATTTTTGTATTTTTAGTGGAGACGGGTTTTCACCATGTTGGCCAGGCTGGTCTCGAACTCCGGACCTTGTGATCCACCTGCTTCGGCCTCCCAAAGTAGTGGGATTACAGGTGTGAGCCACCGTGCCTGGCCCAGTTCCTTCTTTCAAAGCTTTCTTTCAAAGTCTTCTGTGAGAAAAGTACTCCAGAAAGTTGGATGGGTAGGTCTGTCAACAGAAAGAAGTCTCAACAAGCTCAGAAAATAAAATGATAACAGCAAATATTGGCTAATGCTGTGTCTGAGTCCCAGACTCTCTCTGGTGGCCCTTTTGCTCCACACGCAGCCCACAGAGGCCTGGAAGTATCAGGGGAGGACCAGGGCCTTCAGGTCGCCCAGGAAACAGGAGGATAAAGCTGTGAGAGTGCAGGGATCTAGGGTACAGCTCAGTATGATTCAGCCTTCCCAGAAGCCGACCACAGCAAGACATTTGCCTGTGTTCTTGCAGTAAAAGTTTTGATGTCTCTCTTATAGTTTAATGCTTGCCATTCCATGGATGGCATAGTTGCTTTCATTAAAATTTGATAGCATTAAGAGAAGAAGCCAGGCGTGGTCACGTGCACTGATAGTCCCAGCTACTTTGGAGGTTGAGGCGGGAGGATCCCTTGAGC
Source organism: Homo sapiens (assembly GCF_000001405.40). Lineage (NCBI taxonomy): Eukaryota > Metazoa > Chordata > Mammalia > Primates > Hominidae > Homo > Homo sapiens. The sequence continues at coordinate 132,715,883 of NC_000007.14, read as the reverse complement.
CAAGGAGGTGGAGGTTGCACTGAGTTGTGATTGCTCCTCTGCACTCCAGCCTGGGTGAGAGACCCTGTTTCTTAAAAAAAAAAAAAAAAAAAAAAAAAAAGTAATAATCACAAAAAGAATTAAAAATGGATTGGATTTAGGAATTGTCTGTGGGAAGTGAAGTGGGCAAGAGTGCAGAGACCGCTGCTGTGCATGGAAGCTGGAGGAGCGACTAATCTGGATAGCCCTGGGGTCATTTCCTGCCTTTGGAGCACCTGGTCCAGCCAGGCCCAGCCTAAGCCCACCTCTTTGAGAATGATGAGTGCTCAGGGGAGCAGATACACTCTGCTGCTTCTCTGGCTTGTAAATGTTCCATTAGTAACCCCTATTGTATATTTACACAACCTGGCAATAGCTGCTTATGCCTCCACACTCCCTTTGCACAACACAGCACTTGTGTATGATTTGCTTTGTTTCTGTATGCATATCCTTTTGAGAAAAAATTAAAACTGTAAGAGCCCATTTATTGAATTTCTACTGTGTGGCAAGCATAGTACTAGGTACTGGTGATTGGAGGGTAAACAATAATAGAAGCAAAAATCCTTCTTGAATGACAGGAGATCTAAGGGCTGTGTTTCATAGAGCTTCACTAACACTCACAGAGGGATGTCTGTGAGTTCAACTCAAACATCTGCCTGTTCTCCTCACCCAGTACCCTCTGCCCTCCTGGGGAAGGAGCTCTCTAGTAAGGGTCCCAGGGCAAGGGGCTTCTGAGATAACCAAACTTTCCATTTGTGTACATCTTTGACCAGCCGTGAAATTTCAGGTATCTGGTATATGCCGTGGCAGGAGAAAGGGCTGGGGGTGGGGTCGTAGCCTTGAGAATATCCTGAAAATGACTGGATGGTAAAGCTGATGATTGATATGCCCTTGAGTTTAGCTTTCACATTGAAGGAGGGATAGGCAAGTTGATGGAAAAAACAGGATTTAGGTTTGCTTTTTTATTTTTTTGAGACAGGGTCTCTCTCTGTTGCCCAGGCTGGAGTGCAGTGGCGCGATCATAGCTCATTGCAGCCTCAAACTCCTGTGCTCAAGCAATCCTCCTGCCTCAGCTTCCCAAGTAGCTAGGAATGCAGATAAGGTAGGAATAGATAGGAGTTCCTATCTACCACAACCAGCTAATTACGAAAAAAATTTTTTGGTAGATGTGGGGTCTTGCGAAGTTGTCCAGGCTGATCTTGAATTCCTGACCTTAAGCAATCCTCTTGCCTTGGGCTTCCGAAGTGTTGGGGTTACAGGTGTGAGCCACCATACCTGGCCTGCTTTTTAAAAATTGAGTGCCTTCCTGTTTTTCTAAGCTTGAATGCCCTTTATAAAAACGAAAATAAAACAAATTTTAAAAACCCCACCATTTATTTTCATTCTAGAGTAGTTGACTCAGCCGGGGTCAACAGGGCCAAAGTGATCAACTCAACCCCTGAGATCTGTGTTGCGAATGTTAGTCGTATATCTGGAGGACGAGGACTTCCTATCTTATTTATCCTCGAACCACTTGTGTTCAGAATAGTTCCAGGCACATATGGCTCAAACAAACTATTGTTTAATACAAAGTAATCTGTAGTATATCTTACTTTTGTATCAACCTAATACTAAAATCACAGATGTCAATAAATAATTCACTAGTAAATGTGTCTCTTAGTTATAAGATTTGGTCCTGAATACATAAATCATGTGGCCCATCCCCTTTCCTCCCCTCAAAAGCTGAGTGGGTGAATGGGTAGATGAATGGATGCCCTGTTCAGAAGTGAGTTTGCCATGAGAGTGCAGAAGTTTAGCTCAGCCCACTCTCCACTATAGGAGAAATGACTCAAGCACTGTCAGCAGACAGAGGAATAGCAATACCATATATAAATTTATCAAAACAAGACAGCATCTATTTTATTGTCAATACCACTTCAACGAAATTAATTTCCTTTGCGGTTTTTGTTTCTGTATTTTGGTAGTCGAATGTAGTGCCCAGCACACGCTAAATAATGGTTTCCTTCATTTTCTCATTTTTGTCTTTTTGTTTTTTTCAGAAAGCCCCTGATTGATTAAATGTCTCCCTGCATATTGCCATTAATCCTGTGCTCTTCTCCCCCAACCCCCTCTCCAGCACCCAGGCATTCTAATTTCATTGTGCAGGGAGCTGGCTTGAACCAAAACAAAGCGGCACACGAACACAGTACCAAGCAATATGGCACAGAAGTGCCAGCTCCAAAGGATTTGCCAGCTCAGGAGAGAAGAGGGGATGGAGGCGGGGAGGCCATGGGTCAGAATGTGATGATAGGATTAGAAAGGACTTGGAAAGAGATAGAGAGCCGAGCTGCTCTGTGCTCCGGACTTGGATGAAGCTGTCATGACAAAGTGATATGGTTTCCTACCCACCTTCTCCTGCTCTGATCCCAGCCACAAAGTTGTAGAGAGGCATGGACAGAGTGTTTTATTACTGTTGAAAATGAAGACCTTTTTTTTTTTTTTTTTTAACCTTATGGGCTGCAGGAAAGCTCTACCCTTTTAGTCCCCTGTTTTCCCTATCTGTAAAATGGGTCTCCTAATGCTTGCTAAGGAAGGCAAAGAAGTGTCTTCGCAAGCACTGGCCTAACGAAACTGACCTTGTCATCTGCTGCACAAAGAAATGAAAAGCCATGGCCAGGCCAGCTCCCTGCTTGACTGGGATCTAAACCTCTTGGGGGGACGGAGCTGCCTCCTGCTCAAAGGAGAGCCCTTCAGAGGGATGTTTTACAGACACTGCTGGAAACATAGAGTATACAGTAAAACACAAAGACAAGTGCATTGAGCTAGAGATCCCATTCATTGTGCTTGACAGACATAAATTACTGACCAGACACAGGCATTTCCCCTCATGGTCATCACCCAGTGAAGGGGAGAGATTTTATTTTCTAAATGATATATTGATCCAATAAAATTATTATTACATCATCTCTACTGGCCATCACGACTCACAGTGGGAGAGCATTACAGGGAAAGTGAATGCTCCCTCTGGAATGGGGTATAGAGATGTATGTGGGTGTGTGCGAGTGTGCATGTTTGTGTAAAGATTTCTGACAGACAGGAGATCGAGACCATCCTGACTAACACGGTGAAACCCCATCTCTACCAAAAATACAAAAAAATTAGCCAGGCGTGGTGGCGGGCACCTGTGGTCCCAGCTACTCGGGAGGCTGAGGCAGGAGAATGGCATGAACCTGGGAGGCGGAGCTTGCAGTGAGCCAAGATCGGGCCACTGCACTCCAGCCTGGGCAACAGAGCGAGACTGTGTCTCAAAAAAAAAAAAAAAAAAGATTTCTGATAGAGAAAGATGGGAAGTTGCATTAATATTAGTTGACTGAGCTCCAGCACTCACATGCAAAACCAAGCATCTTTCCTGGGACCTTCCCCAGTGGGTCACTATTGAAATAAGATGCTATTAGGGAACAACTTGGAAAGGATATAGTAGACCAAGGCCCCAGGGCTTAAGGAGTGAGACTGAAGGGCTCTTGTTAGACTCAATATGTCTTCCTTGAAGTAGGAGGAGAACAAGGAAGAATATACAATTTTATTTTTTTGAGACAAGGTCTCACTCTGTCACCCAGGCTGAAGTATAGTGGTGCAATCATGGCTCACTGCAGCCTCAACCTCCCCAGGCTCAGGTGATCCTCCCACCTCAGCCTCCCAAGTAGCTGGGATTACAGGCACGTGCCACCATGCCTGGCTAATTTTTTTTTTATTTTTTTATTTTTTTTTAGCTAGAGACAGGGTTTTTCCATGTTGCCCAGGCTGTTTTGAACTCCTGGGATCAAGTGATCCTCTCACCTCAGCCTCCCAGAGTGCTAGGATTATAGGGAGGACCGCCATGCCTGGCCAGAATCTATAATGTTGACTTTAAGATATCTGATATTAGGTATATGCCATGGCAGTGGGGAAGGGCTAGAAATAGAGTAGTTTAGTGCAGGGTTCTCAGACCCCCAAAGCCTCAAACCATCTTGTATAGCAATCTAGGAGGAGAGCCTCCTACAATCATGTAAAGATCACAGGAGACTGTCTTCTCCGGAGATAAGTTATTGATGGGCTAATGACCTTGAGTCAAATCGAGTATGTGGAACTATGCCCCTTTATATTGACAAAGGGCTGAGATGTGGTAGCAAGGTGGAGTGGTGAGTGAGACCCCAAAGCTGGATAGTTCTAACCACCTCACCCCTGCAGGTAGCTGTGTCTGAGTCCTCAGTTACTCCCTGCGTCTTAGAAAGCTGAAGATATTAATAGAGGATTTCTCTGACTTCAGTGAGTCGGAGGGAACAGCTGCACCTGGGGAGTTTTTCCACTTGACGAGATGGACTGCTTCCCAAAGCATCGTCGCAATCTGCCATGAAGCCTTGGCATACCTAGGAGCTCTGGGATAGAACACAACCACACAACCAAGCCTTGAATAGCTTTCAGTGTTGGGTATCCCAAAACGCAGACTAAGTAGTTGCATTCCCATTCTCTCTCTCTCTCTCTCTCTCTCTCTCTCTCTCTCACAAGATGTTTAGATACTTGACAGTATGAAGTAGTCATTCTAGGAAAAAATCGGAACCAGGCTGGACTTTCCTACCCTTATAGTTTAGTGCTATTTTTATTTGGAATTTCACATAAGGGGGCTCAGTGTTTTGGGCCCTGGGTAATTTGGATGCCTTGTGCCCAGAGTTCCCTAAGTGGAGGGAGCTCTGAGAAGTGCATTGTCCTCTTGGAGAAGCTTGGGCTCAGTGGGTTTGGGTGCAGCCTGGTGAGACATAAACCTCACAGCGACCTTTGGGGCTCCTCATCTCCTGAATTCTCATGAACTATTCTTATATTCAAGTTTATACTTTTGAAATGCAATTTAGTGGGAAAAACTATACCTATACAAGTTTAGATAAAGAAACCAGCAGTGCTGTAGTCTCCCAGCCTAGGTTAGGTGAATTCAACCTTGTAATACTTAAGCTGCTGCCAGGTCCACAGGGCTCTGTCCTTTTAGGACCCTGCCTGCCCCTCAGAAGGGAGCCAAGAGGAAGGACAGATGGCCATGGGGACCCCCCCAGTCCACGGACCACTGACCATCAAGAATGTTGCTATGGGTTTCTCTAGGAAGAACTGGGACCACCAGGCCCTGATAAAAGGAGTCTATACAAGATGTGAGGATGGTAGATCTGTCCCAGGGAATATCAGTTTTCCAAACTAGATGTGATTGTCAGTTGAAAAAAAAGAAAAAGAGTCCTAGAAGGTAGGGAGAGAGCTTCTCTAGACCACTACCAAATATATCTTTCAACAACAGCGGAATTGTCATATTACTCTGTTTCAGAAAATCTATGTTAACATCCTATTTTGGTCCACAAGACACTTAGCTTTCATGGTGTTAACACCATCTCAACACATCTTAACTGCACAATAATGCTTGTCTTTCTCTCCTCAAACTCCAGCTCCATCCCCTTGAGGACAGTCTCCACAGTGGTTTTCATGTTCAATTCAGCTCCAAAGTCAGATAGAATCACGTTCTACCCCAGCTCCACCCCTTGCCACCAGTTCCTTATCCTCTTTCAGCCTCAGTTTCCTCTTTTGTAAAGTGGAGATAATAATGGTCCCTACCTCCGTAGCCTAGCTAGCACCTGGCTTGCATTTAAGTGTTTGATCAACGTCTGCTGCTGTAATACACACAAGTAATAATAATAATAAATGTCAGTTGGTTGAGGAGCCCCCTGGTGGTGGTGATTCTGGAAGGAGTATAGGTTCTCTGCGAACACAAATGCAAAATGAGAAAAAAAACCTCTTTGAATATAGAGACAGGCAAAAGCACCTGAATGTTGAGGGTGTGCCGCCTCAGCGGTTGTGCTTAACTGACAGGCTCCATAATGGTGTGAACACTTCACGCCCTGGCTATCTATTTTCTGTCGAACTTAATCCTTATTTTCACAAACCCAAGACAGTTTCAAAAATGGTCTTTGTGGCCATCTTGGAAAAGAACAATGCGGTTATCTGACAACCTAGCGGTTCCATGGCGTTTACTGACATTGCTTTGTTTTTTAGAATCACCTTAAAAGTATTCTAGAGATGGTAGGGAAGGATGGAACTCTGAAAGAAGAAAACCAAGAGGGAGTTGAAGGGCAGAGTAAGAGCTCAAGAAATCTGTTATCCATTAACATTATCTTGGAAGTCAAGACTTAAGAGATACCCCAGGATGAGTTTTCTTTCTCCACAACAGATGATTAGTTACACTTTCGCTAATTTGTGTGGTTATAAGAGTTTATTTGAAACAACGACAACTCATAGCTCCAATAACTGAATGTCACTGGAGGAATTCCCTCTTCTGATCTCTTTGTGCCACATCAGCTTCACTGATAGAGGCTCACACACTTCCAGTGGGCACTGAGCCTCCCTCCCATCCTTACACAGGATGGTCCTGTCAGGGCGAATCCTGGTGAAGTCTACAAGATTCTTGTGTTCTTCCTGCCAGATGCCAGGGTCATCTGTGCACTCCTCACTTTCTCTCTTAGCAACTATGGTCAGGCTAGTTTTAGACTCTGCAAACTCATTCATACTGAGGAGTAAGTGATTATCGATAATTAAATCCTTGCAATATGGGTGCTTTGTAAGTTGAGGCCATGTCTTCATTCAAAGGCATGAGTCTATAATGTCAGATTTTCAGGCCTCAGGTATACATTGTGGCAGGGAAAATGTATTGAAGAATAGGTGATTTAGTGCAAAGTTCTTCTCAGAATTGCTCCAAATTATACCACACAAGTGACATACCCATGGTTTAAGGATATAGCAATAATTATAGTCTGTGGAAAGCCTACTACCTAAAGGAAAAAGTTTAGAAAATGCAGTGGAATCTTATTGTCACAGAGTAGACCCTTGACATTCTTAAAGGCTATGGCCTTGGACCTTAGTGAATTACCAAATTTGAGAATGACATCAAGTCGTGTAATTTCTACCCCGCAAGGTAATAAAGTATAATTGAAAAACCTAGTACCTCTTTAAAATCCATAATGGTTCTATAAATACAGCACTTGGGTAATTCATAAAGCCGCTTTCTGGCCTAGACCATCACGTGATTAGTTAGACCTCTTCTCTTCCCTGCCATGCCAGCAGCTGTCTTTCTTTTCACACCCAGTTTCCCACAAAGAAGCACAGGCTTTATCACCTCTCATGTGCTCCATGACAAATGGAGAAGAACAAAGCCACCAGCCCAGTGCCCTGTCCTTACACCCGGCTCTGAGTATATGACCATGCCTTGGCAATGTGACAAATGACTGCACATCACCCGTAGTAAATGATGGGGTCATTCATGAATAGTTAAAACCATGAATGCGAAGCCCTTGAATGCCAATGGCCTTCTGGGCTGATATCATGGAAATGACTTTAACACTTGAGCCAGAGGCTGAGAGACATCATCGCAGGCCCTTTCTTCACCAGGGGAACATCTCCCACTTTGTGGTGTCCCCAGTCACATGTATCTGGTGGCCTCTGTCTTCATTTCTTACGGCTGCCATCATAAAGTGCCACAAACTGGGTAGGATGACAGGAATTTGTTGTTTCACAGTTCTGGAGGCTGGAAGTCCAAAATCAGTGTCGGCAGGACCAGGCTCCCCTAACAGCACCAGGGAAGGAGCTGTTCCAGATTTCTCCTCTAGTTTCTGGAAGCCTCAGGCCTTCCTTGGCTTGAAGATGGCTGCTTTCTCCCTATCTCTTCACACCATCTTCCCTCGGTGTGTGTCTCTGTCTCCTCACCTGGCATACTTTTTCATAAGGACACCAGTCATGTTGGATTAAGAGCCCACCTACTCCAGTATGACATTGTCTTAATGAATTACATCTGCAATGACCCTATTTCCAAATAAGGTCGCATTCTGAGGTACCGAGCATGAGGACTTTAGCATATGAATTTTGAGAGGACGCTATTCAACCTGTAACAATTGCATACACTTCCTCGAGGCTTCGGCTAAGTGGTGAGGGGCCACTTACAGGCTTCAAAAGAGTGATAAACACCTAGTCTACCTCATTCTTTACCCATCTCACTGTACCATACACACTCACACACCTGGATGCTTTTAAAGAAGCTCTGGCACCTCACACCCATTAGGATGGCTATTATCAAACAACAACAAAAACAATAACAACAGAAAGTAAATATTGGCAAAGATGTGGAGAAATTGCACTGTTGATGGGAAAGCAAAATTGTGTAGCCACTATCGAAAACAGTATGATGCTTCCTAAAAATATTAAAAATAGAATTACCATGTGATGCTGCAATACCACTTCTGGGTACAGACCCAAAAGAACTGAAAGCAGGGTCTCAAACAGGTGCTTGTCCACCCGTGATCATAGTGGTATTATTCACAACAGGCAAAAAGTGGAGGTAACCTGGGTGTCCAGCAACAGATGAATGGATGAACAAAATGTGATGCAGGTTGAGTGTTGGAAATGCATGGGATCTGAGGGGTTTTTGAACATTTTTTTTGGATTTTGGAATATTTGCATATATATAATGGGATATCTTGGAGATGGGACCCAAGTCTAAACTTAAAATTCATTTATGTTTCATATATACCTTATACACACAGCTTGAAGGTAATTTTATACAATTTAATAATTTTGTGCATGAGGCCCGGCACAGTAGCTCACGCCTGTAATCCCAGTACTTTGGGAGGCTGAGGTGGGCAGATCCCTTGAGGTCAGGAGTACAAGACCAGCTTGACCAACATGATGAAACCCTGTCTTTACTAAAAATACAAAAATTAGCCAGGCGTGGTGGTACGCGCCTGTAGTCCCAGCTAACTCGGGAGGCTGAGCCAGGAGAATTGCTTGAACCCAGAAAGTAGAGGTTGCAGTGAGCTGAGATCGTACCACTGTACTTCAGCCTGGGTGACAGAGTGAGACCCTCTCTCAAAGGAAAAAAAAAATTGTGCATGAAACAAGGTTTGTATGCATTGACCCATCCGAAGGCAAAGGTGTCAGGTACCTTGTGGTGTTTTGTGGATGCTCAAAAAGTTCAGATTTGAGGTTTTTGGATTAGGGATGCTCAACCTGTATTTACCTACAATGGGATATTCTTCAGCTTTCAAAAGGAAGAGAATTCTGACACATGATCCAACATGGATGGACCTTAGGGCACTATCCTAGGTAAAATAAGCCAGTCACAAAAGGACAGATATCATGTGATTCCACTTAAATGAAGTACATAGAATAGGCAAATTCACAGAGACAGAAAGGAGAGTGGTAGGTACCAGGGGTGGCTGGGGGGAGAGGGAGTGGGGATGGGGACCTGTTTTTTAATGGGGTATGGAGTTTCAGTTTTGAAAAATGAAAAGAGCTTTGGAGATGGATGGCGGCAATGGTGACACAGCAATGTGAGTGCCGCAGAGCTGCACACTGAAACATGATCGAAGTGGTACATTTATATTATGTGTGTTTTACCACAGTTTTCTAAAAAGAAGCTTCGGAGGTCCTTTTTAAGATTCCTCTGCAGCTGGGCGCGGTGGCTCACGCCTGTAATCCTAGCACTTTGGGAGGTTGAGGCGGGTAGATCACTTGAGGCCAGGAGTTTGAGATCAGCCTGGCCAACATGGTGAAACCCCATCTCTACTAAAAAAAATACAAAAATTAACCAGGTGTGGTGGTGCCCACCTATAATCCCAGCTACTCAAGAGGCTGAGGCATGGGAATTGCTTGAACCCAGGAGGTGGAGTTTGCAGTGAGCTGAGATCGTGCCACTGCACTCCAGCCTGGGTGACAGAGGGAGACTCCATCTCAAAAACAAACAAACAAACAAACAAACAACCATCCATCTGCTTGTGCCTGGCCCTGGGATTTCACGCAGGTCATTTTCCTCTTCCAGCGTCAGTTTTCTCGTTTCCAAATGGGAATTGTGTGTCCCCCAGTGCCTCCCAGGGTGAGACCTGGGACCTGCCAGGGAACTAACCTCAGAAGAAGAGCCTTGCCCAGTGTGTCCAGAGGGCCTTGGGCTCAGGGGGCCTCCAGTACTGGTACTAGTGAAAACTGCTGGAGAATATGTGGGAGCCCAAACCTGGGTGCTGAGGAGTTAAATGTGGTCGGCTGGAACCGTCCTGAAAGGATAGCATTCATAGCCTAAGGCCTTTGGGGAGACTGGAGACAAGTGTTTTGCCCTGTTTCCTTCTGCATATAAGGCTGTGTCCTTGGAGAGAAGGAATGTGATCACCCCAGGTCTGGCCAAGTCTCCATGGACCACAGGGAAATGGGAACCAGGGTACCTTGGCTGTGCTGACAGCCCTGTCCATTCCCTGGCTGGAATGAGTGAGCAATGAAGTCAAAGCTGTCTAGGTTTCAAGATAAGTCCGCCCCTGTTCTCTTTTGTTTCTGACACCTAGAGGACATAAGCCCCTTTTCAGGGGTTCCCTTCTAGAGCTGCTTTTCAGAGCCACAGAGCCTGGCCAGGTCCTACTCCAAGGATCACGGGTGTTGTCTGCAGCTGAGAGTGTGGGTGAGAGAGAATGGAGAGCTGAAATCTAGGAAGTGCACTTTGTGGTTGGCACTCTTCCTCAACCTCAAGACTCTGCCTGCCAAGATAGATTTCACGTTTGCCTTCTTCAACGTCTTTGTTTCTGTTCTCACTCTTCTCCATTCATAACATTGGACCAATAAAGTATAAACCAGAGCAGACTCTGAGCCTGAGACCAGCACCTTCTTCAAAGGGAATCAGGGCCAACGGAAGGATTTTCTCATTCTTTTAGAAGAAAAGTGCCCCCTCTAGTAAGGGTATGAGCCAAGAAGGAGCCAAGCATGAACTCAGGGTCAGTCAACCAACACTGCCCAAAGCCATCAGCTAAAGCTGCTATATTTCCTGTACAAAGCCAACGTTGCTGTCCATGGGCTGTCTACTCTCAGGGAGTATTTATCTTGTGAAGAGGCTGGTGGCTTTGATTCATCTACACTTAACCCCATCCTCCTTATGGCTGGAGGCCCGGGAGTTGTGGACAGGAACCAATCTAAAGTGCTCATGGGTTATCAAACATGGAGTCTCGGAGGGTAACTTCAGTGATCCAACTTAAAGCAAGAAAGAACGTACCACTGTTGGAGCACCTGCTATGTGCTAGGGTCGCGGGAAGGGTGACACAGAATAATCTCATTTGTTTCTTACAATAAGCCTTCCAAGTAGATCGAGTGGCCATCATTCTTACAGAGGAGTCAACAGTGGCCAGAGAGGCTAACCAAGGTCACCTAGGGGAGCTTTCAAATATTCATGGACTATGCAACGTCAGAGTCAAAGTGAAAAAATGCAGCCACTATTTTGGGAATTACTCTGAGACAATTAAGCACTAGGAGAGGAGGAAGCGCCTAAAATCCAGGGACACCATTCCTGGCATTTATAATCTTGACCAATGGGACCTTCTGGAAATCTTCAGCGATGAGCACTTCTCTGCCCCTGGCAGAGGAGCTGCAAAGAGGCAAGCAAAATAGTTCAAGGCAGCAGCGGCTTTTGTGAACAAGTGTGCCATTTACAGAGGGGTGATTATAGAGCCTGGAGGAAATTCCTGGGTGCTTTTTGTGAGGGTGATGGAGGCCTGTGCAGTGCAGAGAGGGCATCTCTACCTGAGAGGAAGAGAAAATAGCAGAAATAAGTGCCCAAGTCTTCTCCCCACTCCCTCTACACATCCTTAAGCATCCACCTAAAAAAAGAGATCTAATATTACTTAGAAAAAGAAAAGCAACCCAGGCTTCCATTCCTATTTTTCTTCTTTCCCGACAGCTTGTGGAGTGCCTGCTGTTAAGGGCAGAAAAATGTCACCCCATGCTCTAAAACATGACAAAAATTACCACCCCGTGACTGCTCTGGTCCTTGGCAGGTGAGCTCCAATGTTGACAGGCCGGGCTTTTTGGGAGTGCCAACTCTCTTGTGACAAAAATCACCAGCAGGGGCACCAGCAATGGCTGAAGGAATTCACGGAGGCTCCCTGAGATGAGGTGGGGTGGGGGCCTGTCTTGTCCTCAGGATCCAGGCGCATGGGTGCGGGAGCCACAGACAGCAGAATGGACAGGTCCAGGCCAAAGCAGGAGCTTGGGCAAGCAGAGGGCAGGGGTGAATGTGGACATTAAACCCGGCATAAAGCCAGGGGCCATGGCTCATGCCTGGGATCCCAGCACTTTGGGAAGCTGAGACAGGAGGATTGCTTGAGCCCAGGAGTTTGAGACCAGCCTGGGTAACATAATGAGACCCCTTCTGTACAAAATAAAATTTAAAAAATTATCTGGGCATGGTGGTGCATACCTATAGCCCTAGCTAATCAGAAAGCTGAGGTGGGAGAATCACTTGAGGCCAGGAGTTTGAGACCAGCCTGGGCAACATAAGGAGACCTTATCTCTACAAAAAAATTTTAAAAAATTGGCTGGCTGAGGTGGCACATTCTTGTGGTCCCAGCTACTCAAGGGGCTGAGGTGGGCTGGGCATGGTGGCTTACGCCTGTAATCCCAGCACTTTGGTAGGCTGAGGTGGGTGGATCACGACGTCAAGAGACCGAGACCATCCTGGCCAACATGGTGAAACCATGTCTCTACTAAAAATACAAAAATTAGCTCAGCGTGGTGGTGGGTGCCTGTAATCCCAGCTACTTGGGAAGCTGAGACAGAAGAATTGCTTGAACCCAGGAGGCAGGGCTTGCAGTGAACCGAGATCGTGCCACTGCGCTCCAGCCTGGTGACGGAGTGAGACTCCATTTCAAAAACATAAAATAAAAAAATAACAAATAAATAAATAAAAAATATATATATAGGCTGAGGTGGAAGGATTGTTTGGGCCTGGGAGGTCAAGGCTGCAGTGAGCTATGATTGCACCACTATACTCCAGGTTGGGCAACAGAGCAAGACGCTGTCTCAAACAAACAAACAAAAGAAAGAAAGAAAAAAAAACAACAAAAAAACAACCCTGCATAAGCTTAGAATCACAAATGTGGACAGCACCAGCCAACAGCAGTGGCTGGCAAACTCTGGCTCTGTGAGCCAAATCTGAATGAAGGCCTGTATTTGTGCCGCCCTTGATGAAGCATGGTTTCTACATTTTTAAATACAGTAGTTGGGAAAAAAAAAAAAAAGAACAATATTTTGTCACAGGTGAAAGTGATATGAAATTCAAATTTTAGTGTCCATAATAAAGTTTTATTGACACACAGCTCGTTTATCTACATGGGCTGTGGCTGCTTTTGCTCTTCAATAGCAGAGTTGGGGTGACAGAGCCTATATGACCCAGAAAACCTGAAAGATGTACTATCTGGCCCTTCCCAAAAGAGTTTGTTGATCCCTGGCTAAGAGGGATTTAAATCCAAGCTCTGACACTTACAGGCTGGGTGACTTTGGGTCAGTTCTCTAACCTTTGTGAGTTTCAGGTTTCTCATCTATAAAATGGAGGAATAGTCATGCTTTTGCCATGTGGTTGGTGGAAGGATTACCTGAGACAGCAGATGAAAAGAAAGCACTAAGCAGAGACCTGGGGCAGAGCAAGCACTTGGTAAAAGTTTGCTTCTGTGATTCTGTTTGTCAGGCTTCTTAAGGAAAGAATTTGACCCGTATGGCAGAGACTGCAGGTTTGCTAATCCTATGGCTTTTCACAACAGGCTACTTTAGAGGCCTGGAAAAGCTAAATATTTGCTCACTCAGTCTCTCTTGCATCCAGGGATAATCATATGATAACAATCTGGCCAATGAGATACACATGGAAGTCTGCTCTGAGTATTCTGGGAAAGCTTTTGCTTTCTTGATGAAAAAGCCATGTCATGGCTGAGCTCCACCAATTCTTCTTCCTGCCTGGGCTATAGGTGTGATGTTTGGAGCTGGGGCAGCCATTTTGGGCCCATGAAAGCAACGGTCAATAGAATTATGGAGACCACTGACTCTGAAATCTGAGTCAATGTTATCAGCCACCTACTTTCAGACCTTTTGCTATTTAGAAAAATAAAACTCAATTTGTTTAAGCTATTGTTAAGTCAGGCTTTCTAATGGAACACGTTTCTGATGGATACATCATGTTGGAAGTTGAGTGGGATTCAGAGGAGCCATGGGTCACGAGGGAGGGCTTCTGCTTGAGGGAATCAGAAGTGACTGATAGATACAGGGATGTAAAGATGTACCTTTTGAGAAGCTGAGTCACAGACACAGGCACAGAGATAAGAGATAGGAGCTCAGAGTTCTGATCAAGCTCGGCTTTGGCGAAGAGAAATGTCATTGTCATGGCACAGCGGGGACAGGTGAAGAAGAGGTTTATTGCCTTTCCCCAGGGGAGCTGTTAGTGAAGAACAGGGCCTATCAGCATTCCCAAGGCTGCCTTAGAGGGATAGGGAGGTAATGAAAATATATTCTCTTAATTAAAATGTACGAATGTCTAGAAAACGTAGTCGTTATGTGCCTCCTTAGAGTAACTTAGCAGTCAAGTCTACACATTGGATCTAAGCAGCCCTAAATAAGGCAGCCCCAGCAGCACTTGGAGAAGGAGCATCCACTTGGTCCAGGGAGAGGTGATTCTCCTTTGAGCTGGCCTTAGCCCACTTAGATTTCAAAGAGCATAAAATGGCATGCTGCATGTAAATACATATATATATATTTATATATATGTAAATATATATATATATATTTAGCAGGTGCATGTAAATGCAGTGGCTCATGCCTGTAGTCCCAGCTACTCGGGAAGTTGAGGCAGGAGGATGGCTTGAGCCCAGGAGTTCGAGCCTGCAGTGAGCTATGATCGTGCCACTGCACTCCAGCCTGGGTGCGAGAGAGAGATACTCTCCATTAAAAAACAAACAAAAAAACAAATCAGAGCTTTTAATATATTTTCTCTTTGGAGAGATAATGCAAGTTTAGTATAGGATTTTGTTTAATACAGAGAAGTATAAAAAAGAAAGAAAAACCACTCTGAAATCCCCCATCCCATACCCCAGGCAACTATAGATCACCCTCTGGGCAAATAAGCATGTGTAATTAGAAGTTTTACACAAATGAAATCCTATCATGCTGAATACACTTTCTTTATATTTTCTCCTCTCGCTCTCTTGCACCCTATTTTTTATTTGTAGAATTTTTTTTGTATTGGTGACAATAGCTAGGAATCACTGTTTATATGATCCATGCCACATTCTTTGCATGGCTCCCTTGGGGAGGGAATTGGGGGAACCACTGGAATGGTAGGAAGGGGTCATCTGGCTGGAGTTGAAGCACGGGATGATATAGTAAAAGTTCCTGATGGATTTTCTAGTAAAGATGTAGGCTAAGTTGGAGACAAGAGGGCAGGTAAGAAAATGGCACCAGTAGGTGATCATGGGAAGAGCTGCATAGCTTCCTCCTCCTTCTGACCGTCTAGAGCTCTCTAGGGGATCCGCTGGCTGGCTGGATGCCCTCCTGCACCTGGGCACAGTCCCTGGCCCCTGCTGTGTTGGGCAGATGCCCCACTGGTTATCTGGCCTGCCTGAGGTGGACAGAAGTGAGCCACAGCACTCCACTCACCCTAGAGCCCCAGGAGGCTGCATTGCCAACCAGGAAATGAAGTGGATAAATGATCCTGGCCTGAGAACCTGCCAGGTTATTTGGTCCAGGCACAGCCTCCCCAGTAAACAGGCCCTTCAGAAAACCATGGGGTAGCTTAGAAGCTCATTTTAGGGATGCAGAGCCAGAGCAAAACATATTAGAAAATAATTTCCTAGATTCTGTGCTGTGATGGGAGGTTACGATTTTGACACTTCAATATTCCTTCTGGCTGGTCATTGAATTTCTTTTAATGGTGTTTTTGTTGTTGTTGTTGTTGTTTTCTTATTTGTCTTTCGTTCACCCTTTACTCCTTCCTGTAAGGGTCATCAATGTGGCAGAATAGAACACTCTGTAGGAGCTGGGGTCTGGTGTCCACCTGGCTTTCCATCGTGGTGTCATTACCTACCTGCTGTGTGAGTGTGGAGAAGTTATTGGACTCTTCTGACCGTCAGTTCTTCTCATGTAAAATGAGGATATTGACAGTGCCCGCATCACACCTGTGCTTTGGCCATGCCTGTATTTCCATGACCTTACTTAAGTGCATACTGAAAGGAAATGTCCATCTGCCTGGTTTCCCACCACCCTCTCCCATCAGCCTCGGGCAATTTGCAGATGATGATGGCTTGTCCTTCCTCTTTTTTTTTTTTGAGACGGAGTCTCGCTCTGTCGCCCAGGCTGGAGTACAGTGGCGCGATCTCGGCTCACTGCAAGCTCCGCCTCCTGGGTTCACGCCATTCTCCTGCCTCAGCCTCCCCAGCAGCTGGGACTACAGGCGCCTGCCACCACGCCTGGATAATTTTTTGTATTTTTAGTGGAGACAGGGTTTCACCATGTTGGCCAGGATGGTTTAGATCTCCTGACCTCGTGATCCGCCCACCTCAGCCTCCCAAAGTGCTGGGATTACAGGCGTGAGCCACAGCGCCCGGCCGGCCTTCCTCTTTCTAACTGTGCTTATTATTGGTACTTCTGGCTTAGAGAGCTCCTCAAAAATAGCTTTGGCTTAAATGCTTCCTACACACACCGTGACGGACAGAAGCGAATACAACGTCTTGGTTCAGGTCACCTCAGGACTTCAGCCTCAGCTTTGCTTGAATATGTTAATGAGGACCAGAAATAAAATCTTAACTAGAAGTAGGAAGCAGGGAGCGAGAATGAGAGCCGATGAGGTAGTGCACCACAAGCAGATGTGAGTGGGAGAGGAGATGGAGACCTCTCCCAAACAGCAGGGGTGGTGGGAGGGAGAAGGTGCTGTCCTCCGTCTGCCTCTACAGAGGCATGTGTCCCCGCGGCATGCCACGCATCAGTCCGGGCTGATGGCAAAGTGAGCTCCCAGCGCTGCTGGGTCAGTGAGTGATCCTCCTGCTTTGGAAGTAAAATGCTGCGGGGAAGAGACCAGAGAGCCACAGGTTGGGCCCTGGGATCACTGGACCGGCCGAGACCTTCGGCTCTGCATCTATCTTTCTCTCTTTCTTTCTCTTCTTTCTTTCTTTCTTTCTTTCTTTCTTTCTTTCTTTCTTTCTTTCTTTCTTTCTTTCTTTCTTTCTTTCTTTCTTTCTTTCTTTCTTTTCTTTCTCCTTTCTTTTTCCTTTCTTTCCTTCTTTCTTTTCTTTCCTTCTTTCCTTCCTTCTTTCTTTCTTTTTTCTTTCTTTCTCTTTTTCTTTCTTCCTTCCTTTCTCTCTCCCTTCCTTCCTTCTTTCTTTCGAGTCTGCATCTCTTTCTTTCTTTGCTTTCTCTTTCTCTTTCTACAGTCTCTCTGCATCTTCCTTTCTCTCCTCTGTCTCTTTCTTTCTCTTTCTTTCCTTTCTTTCTCCCTTTCTTTCTCTCCTTTCTCTCTCTCTTTTTCTTTTCTTTTCTTTCTTTCCTTCTCTTTCTTTCTTTTTCCTTCCTACTTTTTCTTTCTTTCTTTCTTTCTTTCTCTCTTTCTCTCTCTCTCTCCCTTCCTTCCTTCCTCTTTTGTTTCTTTCAACAGAGTCTGCAGCTCTTTCTTTCTCTTTCTCTTTCTTTCTACAGAGTCTCTCTGCATCTTTCTTTCTCTCCTTTCCCTCCTCTCTTTCTCTCTCTCTCTTTCCTCCTTTCTTTCTCCCTCTCTTTTTCTTTTGTTTTCTTTTCTCTTTCTTTCTTTCTCTCTCTCTCTCCCTTCCTTCATTCTTTCTTTCAACAGAGTCTGCATCTCTCTTTCTTTCTCTTCTTTCTCTTTCTTTCTAGTCTCTCTGCATCTTTCTTCCTCTTTCTCTCCTCTTTCTTTCTTTCTTTCTCTTTCTTTCTTTTTTTCTTTCTTTCTCCCTTTCTTTCTCTCATCTCTTTTTCTCTCTCTCTTTTCTTTTTCCCTTCCTTCCTTCCTTCTTTCAAGTCTTGCTCTTGTCACCCAGGCTGTAGTGCAGTGGCTCAGTTTTGGCTCAATGCAACCTCCGCCTCCTGGGTTCAAGTGATTCTCCTGTCTCAGCCTCCCAAGTAGGTGCAACTACAGGTGCATTCCACCACCCCTGGCTAATTTTTATATTTTAGTAGAGACGGGGTTTCACCATGTTGGTCAGGCTGGTCTCAAACTCCTGACCTCAGGTAATCCACCCGCCTTGGCCTCCCAAAGTGCCGGGATTACAGGCGTGAGCCACCACGCCTGGCCCCTCTGCATCCCTTTCCCTTCTCCTTGCACATTTTGGTGGCCTGAGAAAGCCAAAGAGACGGAACAGGACAGAGACATGGAGACAGAACAGGCAGAGCATCTAAGCTAGCTGACTGGCTTGTTGCCTGCCACCCAGCACCCGAATTTTCACCCAGCTGTGGCTTCCTGCCATCCCAGGCTGTTCCTCATGCCCCTAACTGCCTTCTTCCACCCCGCTGCTTTCCTACCTGCCTCTGGGGAAAAAGAGAAAAGCTTCTCTTAAAAAAAAAAAAGTCCCAGTGGAATGGCTGTAAAGGATAGATTAAGATGAATACATTTCCTGTAAACTTCGAATAGGAAGTGCTCTCCCAGATTCAGAAAAGGCCCCCTGCCCCTCCACTCCCTGGTGGAGCTCCTGGCCCGTGCCTTGCTGGGGATTTGTGGGTGGGTAGCACAGGGATGCCGCTCCTTTCCCCTCACTCCTTCCCCCACTTATCCCTCCCGCCCCATAGCCAGACCTCAGGCTAAGTCCTCTGCTGGGCTTGAGAGCCTGGCAGGGCGGTTCTAACTGCAGCTGAGCTAGCTCATGGGAGAGAATTCTGGCAAAAGAGAGCAGAATAGATGCTACTGCTGAGAATAAGATCCCTCCTAGCTTGGAGTTCTATGATTCCATGAACAATGAGGCATGAAAAAACACATTCAGCTGATTTCCATCCTAAGAGCACCATTCTCATCTTGGGTAACTGTAAACATGTAGCACATTTCCGAGAGGGGGGCCCAAGGTGGGAGAGGGGGCGCCGAAAGGACTGAGCCACTTTTTTTTTTTTTCCCAGATTACAGGAACCTCAGCACTCTGCCTCGAGTAAGAACAGCCTGAACCAGCCACTGCTGGCAGTATTTCCTTTTGTCTTAAAAAATAAACTGAATCCACTTTTGAGTAGAAAATAAGCATTCAATACAACACTTAATAACCTAAATTTTCATCCATTATTTGTCGACAAATGTACTCTTTATGTAGTTCTAATCACCATGTACATAGTATTTTATGTTGCTTTTCCACTTAACATGATTTAGAATGTGCATTTTCCACGTATTGACATAGACTGAGTCTTGCCATTAGGTAGCTGTATGAGAACCCATTACATTCAGACCCTTTAATTTGTTTATCCAAGCTATTCCCCTACTGCTGGACATTTGGGTTGTCTCCAGTTTTCACCATTATAAATAGAACTGGCAGCGACATCTTAAGATGGAACAATAATGATGAAGACCTGAATTGTTGCTGACTTTATTTTCATTGGCAACCAAATTTAGAGAGAGCCTCACTATTGCGCCTCCCAAATGCAGGAGTAATTAAACAGCTGCCTTGAAGGATGGCTGGATGATTTATAGGCAACGAGATGCGTTCAGTGGGTTTGTCAGTATCCTGCGGCATTAAGGATACGCTTGTTAATTATCTGTGGTTAATATGATAATTTAGGAAAAACAACACCTATTAAAGTTCTTCATTAGGCAAAAAGCCTTCTCACTTTTGAACAAACAAAGCCTCCAAAATTAATGATATTCACCTGTGATTTGTCACTGGGCAGAGAGAGCAAAGAGTCCCATTTATCTTTAACTTTTCTACAATGCCCTGGGTCAAAAAGAGGCTCCCTCTTGGAAAATTTTTCCAGGCCCTGTCCCTGCCTCTGTGGCTGCCTTTTTTAAAAAAAAAATATATATATATTATTATACTTTAAGTTCTAGGGTACATGTGCACAACGTGCAGGTTTGTTACATATGTATACATGTGGCATGTTGGCGTGCTGCACCCATTAACTCGTCATTTACATTAGGTATATCTCCTAATGCTATCCCTCCTCCCTCCCCACACCCCACAATAGGCCCCTGTGTGTGATGTTCCCCTTCCTGTGTCCAAGTGTTCTTATTGTTCCATTCCCACCTATGAGTGAGAACACTCGGTGTTTGGTTTTTTGTCCTTGCAATAGTTTGCTGAGAATGATGGTTTCCAGTTTCATCCATGTCCCTACAAAGGACATGAACTCATCATTTTTTATGGCTGCATAGTATTTCATGGTGTATATGTGCCACATTTTCTTAATCCAGTCTATCATTGTTGGACATTTGGGTTGGTTCCAAGTCTTTGCTGTTGTGAGTAGTGCCGCAATAAACATACGTGTGCATGTGTCTTTATAGCAGCATGATTTATAATCCTTTGGGTATATATTCAGTAATGGGATGGCTGGGTCAAATGGTATTTCTAGTTCTAGATCCCTGAAGAATCGCCACACTGTCTTTCACAATGGTTGCACTAGTTTACAGTCCCACCAACAGTGTAAAAGTGTTCCTATTTCTCCACATCCTCTCCAGCACCTGTTGTTTCCTGACTTTTTAATGATTGTGTGGCTGCCTCTTTATGGAGCCACCAAATTAACCATTGTGGGAGCAATTAGTTTTGTCCAGGTGTCTTAACGATTTTGCTCCATCTGCTGAACCTTTACCTGCTCATCTCTGGGACTGAAATGGAGCAAGTAGTGGTATTATTTTGTAAGTGAGGAAACTGAGGCCCAGGCATGGTGAGTGGCTTGTCTGGGGTCCCAGAGCCAGGCAGGGGACAGACAGGGTGACTCAGGTCTCTTGCTTCCCCACCTGAGTTCCTAGCTTCCCTTCCTTCCCTGCAACATGCCCTCCCTCAGGGGGATCCACCAGACCAGGACCGAGAGCGATACAGAGATTCTTGGAGTGCGCAGAGAAGAAGGGAATCGTATAATGTGATGCCGGAGACAATATCAGGAAGATCCAAAGAGAAATAACCTCACCTTTATTCTTCAATAAGTATTGAATGTAACTCATGGGTTGTATTCAATCACCACTTCCGGGTGTCATCCAAGTCATCCTCCACTACCCCATCTTCATATTTCATTTTGGCCTGGACAGTGCAAAATCTATTGAAGCCATCAAGAATAATTTTTATATATGGGGTCTCTGCTGAGCCAGCATCTTGCTGCATAGATTCCCAATTATCCTATTTGGTGGGGGCAGGAGTCACGGGCAAAATTGGGAGAGAGCTCGCCTAGGCTGGAGGCTCTCTGATAATCAGCCACGTCCAGTTTCTCTATCCCCTGGCTCTCTACTTTCAGGCAGTACCAGCTCCTATTTCAGGGAAACACCAAGACCTCTACATATGGTGTCCCTTTGGAAGAGTTAGGAGGAGAGAAAGGACAGAACACAAATTGCTGTGTCCTGGAGTTTTCGTTCACTCTTCCATTTACTTTTTGTAATGAACCTAAGAGATCTGTATTAAAATCCTCATCATATGGGTGGAGAAAGGGAGGCTGGAAAGGGTTAAATCCCTACTCAAGATCACACAGGGATTAAGTTGCAGAAGGGAGGATTTAAACTCAGATGCTGTTTTCTTTTGCCACTGTTCCCCTCACCTCCACTCTCCTTGGTGACTCTGACATGGACTTGGCCCTTAGCGGGTGAGGAGGGGTGGGGATAGCATGGTGTCACAGCGGAAGCTACAGGGCAGAGGCAACTTAGGGTCCCTGAAGGGGCATCAGCACCCCACTAGCACCCTGGGGTGATGCCTGTGGGTTGTCACATTGATGCTGGCTGTGGCCTCTGAGGACAATCAAGTTACTCCCTTTTACAAATTCATCTCCATCCGTGTCTGAGTGCTGACTTGACTCCAGGTGAAGTTGGAGTGATGGATTAGTCCTGGTTTTAAATTCCCACTGCTGCATAGCTAAATGTGTGCCCCCAGATCAGCCCCTGACTTCTTTCAGAGCCTCAGTTTCCTTTGTGAATCTGACATGAATAACATTTGCGTGGACTGCGTCCTTGGGTAGCTTGGAAGATCAACTCAGATGAGTAGGAAAGTGACTTGGAACCTGAAGCATCATTTTATTATGATGAAATAATGCCAGGGCTAAGACCAATGATTATATTTTATTTCACAGCTGCCCCTTCCTTCCTGACAAGTGTGTCTGCCGATATTTCCTTAAATAACCATCTCACCAGGGGTTTCCAAAGAGTGGTCCAGGGACCAACCGCATCAGACACAACAGAGGGTGCTGTGACAAATACAGATCGCCAGGCCCTACTCCAGACCAGAGCCTGGGGGAGTCGGGAGCCCTGGAGTCTGCATTTTAATTTGCTCCCAGGATGATTCTCCTGTCCAGGCATTTGCAGTTCACCTTTCAACTCACTTACAGATCCCCCAGTTTCTCTTCTCTGAGATTTGGGAAAGAAGGGTTAAAGGGAGCAAGTGGGTATTTGTGTTCCTTTGTCTAGTTTTTGTAGGTGGCCAGCAGACTGTGAAAACTTTTGGCTAGGCTTGGCTCTCCCTTTGTGAAGACAACAGTCCCTTAACCCCATGTATTTACTTTCAGCTTGACAAATCAAACCCGTGTTTAGCTTGATCAAGCAAACCCATGCCAGCCCCTTAGCTCTCTCCTTTCAAAAGTGTGCTCAGCCTGTTTCCGGGAGATGGGGTGCTGACTTGGGAAACACTGATTTGGGCCCTGCGGTGTCTCAGGCTTGCTGTGTGACATGGCCGAGCCCCTTGAATCTTTGTGTTTCAGGGCCTCACTCACAGTCAGGAGAGGTGCCTGGATCTGTCCAGTGATGCTTGGCTGGAGGACACAGTGCCCCTTGGTTTTGTGTGTTGGGCTTCCTGGTCTGTCAACACTAGTTTTCACCAAGTATTCATCTTTCTCCTAAAGGTGAAGCCTTGTGTAGTTGTGTGGCTTGACGGGTCCTTTCACGGGTCAGAAGGGCCCCCACCCAGAATGCAGGTGTAGGTGCCATTTTTCACTTCCTGAACAGTGTCTGTCTAAAGTGCACACTGTGACTTCCAGTTTGGTGTATCCTACCTGCTTGGAGTCGAATTCAGTACAAACTCTTGTTCTCAGACTCAGGCAGGCAGAGGATCAGGGAGGATGGGGAGGGCGAGGGGCAGAGGTTTGTGTTACTAAATGATCACCAGGACCTCATTCTAAGCAATTTGGACTCTCAGGCCTGGGCTTATTGTGCACACCTCTGTGTGTGGGATTAGAATAGTCGAGGAAGAGGCAGAGTTTGCATCAGGTTCTTTTTTTCTTTTTAGACAGGGTCTTGCTCTGTCGCCTAGGCTGGAGTGCGGTGGTGCCATCATAGCTCACTGCAGCTTTGACCTCCCAGGCTCAAGTAATCCTCTTGCCTTGGCCTCCCCAGTAGCTGGGAATACAGGCACATGCCACCACACCCAACTAATTAATTTTTTTTTTCTTTTTTGTAGAGACACAGTCTTGCTATGTTTCCCAGGCTAGTTTTTTTTTGTTTGTTTTTTTTTTCTTTTTGAGATGGAGTCTTACTCTGTCGCCTGGGCTGGGGTGCAATGGCACAATCTCGGCTCACTGAGGCTGCTGCCTCCTGGGTTCAAGCAATTCTCCTACCTCAGCCTCTCTAGTAGCTGGGATTACAGGCCCCCGCCACCATGCCTGGCTAATTTTTTTATTTTTAGTAGAGACAGGGTTTTGCCATGTTGGCCAGGCTGGTCTTGAACTCCTGACCCCAGGTGATCCACCTGCCTTAGTCTCCCAAAGTGCTGGAATTATAGGTGTGAGCCACCGCACCTGGCCTACCAGGCTAGTTTTGAACGCCTGGGCTCAAGAAATCCTCCTGCCTTGGCCTCCCAAAGTGTTGGAATTACAGGTGTGAGCCACCGCACCTAGCCTACAGCAGGGGCTTGATCTGGCACTCCACCCAGGACTCATGGAGACAAGAACCAGGTCAGAGAAGAAAACAAGTGCAGCTGCAAGAGGTTCAGCAGGGAATGAAGAAAGGCAGACACTGTTCCATCCTGGCTGGTGAGGAAGAGATTCCGCTATCTACCCAGATGAGTTAACCCCTAAGTTTCCAGGAGTACTGCTCCTTCCTGAAAGTCTCCCCTGAAGACCCTCTGCTGTGACCTGGCCACACACAGAAAGCCATCCCCACTGCCACCTCACTCACCACCAACTTCACCTCCTCTATACCTGCAAGTGACAGGCAGTAAGTGACATATTTCAAGGCTGCCCTGGAAGGTACGGCCAAAGGAGGGTTGATTTCATACTTCGCTTATTTCATCTTTCTCCACGGTCTGTACCCCATTCATCTTTCATTCACAATTCTCCTTTTTCACCCTTGACTGATCTGGTCCTTGCCTAATTCTAGAATCTATTTTTTCCTTCCTCTGCCCCCTGATCTGCCACTGAATTGCATCCATATTACTGTCTATTTCTATATTTCTTTTGCAATTCAGCCTTTTCTTCCCCTGTCATATCCTTTCAGGCACAGCGTGTGGGCTTGTGAATGGTGGTGAGTGCTGGAGCCACGCCTTCTGTCTCAGACACACCGAGACAAAGGTCCACCTCTAAGAAGCTCTGTGACTTTGACCCACACACTTTACTTCTTTAGTGTTTTTTTTTTTCATCTGTAAAATTGGATGATCTGAGCTGATCATCTCAAAGCCCCCTTTATCTTCAATATTAGTCAATTCTGTGGTTCAGGGTGCTTTGTTGATGGCAAATATTCACTCTACCTATGCAAAAAAATCTCTGCATCTAATTTTATATTTCATGATGACTCGCCCAGGCATCCAACCACCACCAGATCAATGTGGGCTCGGGAGAGGTAACATATTAGCCCAAACCTAACGTAAATCCAAGACAGCAATGGCCAAAGACCCAAATGCTAAGTGTTTATTGATTATTTTGTTTATTATCCAAGTTCATGCTCCCGTTCTCCTTTAGGGCATCCATGAATCTTAGCAGTAAATCTTGTTTATTGCAGAGTGGGGACTAGAACCTGGGCCTCAGGTCTGAATGAATGCTGGGGAGGCCCAGCTTGGCTCTGTGACGTTGGCAGGATGGACTCATTCTGGGTCTCTTGCTTGCCAGTTGAATGTGTTTGAGCACATTAGCCAAAGGTGTCCCCTCTAAGTGGAGGCATACCCACCCATTGTTAAAAACTTGACAAGTTTATGGCCCTGCCAGAGCCGTCTGCCCAAACTGAGGGCCATCTGCCTGAGAAAGTTACTTCCTAGAGGCCCAGTAGACCTGGACTTGCCTTACCCGGGGGATCACTCAATGGCCTGATGTATCAGGACAAGTCTCCCATCCATGAGGACTTGCAGTGTGAATCTGTACTGGCTTTGGTCCTTTTCTGGGTCTCATCACTTACACTCCTTTTTGGAAATTGGTGGGATATAAAAAAATACATTTATAAACATATCCTGGATTTCACCAACACTCATATATGCAGCCCGTACCCAACTGTCATATTAGGCTGGTGCAAAAGCAGTTGAGGTTTTTGCCACTACCTTCATGGCAAAAACCGCAATTACTTTTGCACCAATCCAATACTGATTTACACACGACTTAGAGTTCCTCAGCTTGTTGGTTTCTCCCTTGAGTCTTGACTTAAAGACTCTCCTACTAGTTGTTAATGTCCCAAAGGACAGTTGTTTCCAATTAAAAAACCAGATTCTCTAGGCTGGGCGCAGTGGCTCACCGCCTGTAATCCCAGATGAGGCGGGCGGATCACGAGGTCGGGAGATCGAGACCATCCTGGCTAACACGGTGATACCCTGTCTCTACTAAAAATACAAAAAATTAGCCAGGCATGGTGGCAAGCACCTGTAGTCCCAGCTACTCAGAGGGCTAAGGCAGGAGAATCGCTTGAACCTGGGAGGCAGAGGTTGCAGTGAACCGAGATCGCGCCAGTGCACTCCAGCCTGGGCAACAGAGTAAGACTCCGTCTCAAAAATAAATAAATAAATAAAAATAAAAACAAAAAACCAAATTCTCAAAATAGCACAGAGCTGAATT
Source organism: Homo sapiens (assembly GCF_000001405.40). Classification (NCBI taxonomy): domain Eukaryota; kingdom Metazoa; phylum Chordata; class Mammalia; order Primates; family Hominidae; genus Homo; species Homo sapiens. Next base: position 132,689,906 of record NC_000007.14, on the reverse strand, counting down.
TGTGAATGTACTTAACAAATACTACTAAATTTAGTTGAATACAAGAGGATCAGCCTCGGAGGAGAGGACGAAGAGAGGCCGAGACCTGGCCCCAGGTGAAACGTCGGAAACCTCGCCATTGCTTAGGAGGAGCGGATGTCTTCCTTCTTCCCATTGGTCCCTCCCTCTGCCCCTTCTCTTCCCACCCTGGCTCTAACAGAAGTTCTGAATGTCTTCTGGGAAAACAGTTCTTGATCTTACTGCTGATGAAAGTGGATAATGTGTGAAAAATTGACCTTTCAGATGACTGGCTAACTGCTTTCAGTGTTAAAGAGATTTTCCAGATGGGAAAGAAAGGGAGATGAACAGCTAAGAGGTTGTTTCCTGGAAGTGGCCTTGACAGCATTTGGAGGCCACTGGGACTTTCATTCCTTCTTTGCCCTTTATCTCCGCAAACCACTGTGAGTGCCTTTGGTGGGGAGAATGGGATGAGAGGAAAGGGGGTTGTTGGGGGGCATTCTCATGGGAGTTATGACCAGACCCTTTCTTCTCACCTCTACTCCGAGGACTTGACGCTCCATGGTCCCAGGTAAATGCGTTTTCCTGAAGTAGCTGATGTAGCAGTTCTCTTTAGAATTCCCGAGAGACAGCGGTATGCCAGTTGTTACACTTGTTGGCTGCTTGAAATAGGCCAGAGTGGGAATATTTACACTATGGAAATGGTCAAATGTTACAAATCAGATCTCTTTTTATTTTGAGAGTGTGTTTAGGTTTACCAGCACGTCACTACCTGGAGAAAGAAAAATCATCTCATGTCCAGACTTCACACCCAAGCCAATTAGTTTAGAATCTTTGTGTGTAGGGCCAAGGCATGCGTGGTTTTAAACTCTTCCCAGGTGATTCCAACGCACAATCCAAGTTGGAATCACTATTCCAACCAAATCTTCGCATTTTACATGGGAGGAATTGAGATCAAAGTGGTAAAGTGACTCCTCCCAATTCCAGCAGCTCCCAGGGAGCTAGCAACAATAAGCAGATCTTCCTCCAAGGACCTCCAGACGGCAGAGACTCACCTCTGTGCCATTTTGTCCTTTTTTTTTTTTCCTTTTGCTGACCTCTCTTCTTCTACATTTTCTTTTTTCTGTCTCTTCCTGCCAGGTCCCGAGCAGAGCTCTCTAGGAACTGCCACCTAAGATGTGCTCCTTCTCAAAAAAAAAAAAAAGATGAGTTCCTTGCTCTCAAAGTTAGGTCTCTCTGTGGGGAGAAGGTTACCAGAGGAAATAATGGTAGAGACAGTTTGTGCCTGTGTCCCCATGTGAGCGGTGCAGGATTTTCCATCTGAATAGAGGGGCCCAGAACTGAACAGAGCTGTCACAAGAGAAAAAGTTGATGTTTGCTGCAGAAGATCAACAAATCATTTACATTCTACAAAGTCAGAAAAATCAGTAGTCTGGTATTTCTTAGGGTAGTTCTGGGGTCTCCGCTCAAAAACTTGCTGGTCCTTCTGCCTGAGGAGCCTCCCTTACCTCCCTTACCCTCTGGGCCATCAAGTGGCTGCAGAAGGCAGTGGGGGGCTCTCCCCCCAGGAGGGAATGAGTAATAAAAAGAGTTTACAGAGTGCTTTCACAGGCATGATCTCATTTGGGTTGATGACCCTGGGGCTCCTGAATGGAGAAGGAAGTGGGGGGCTTGGGAATTCAAATTGCATCTCCATTGTCTTGGGAAACCCTTTCCGGCAAATAGGAGTCAGCAAATCCCCACCTTGCCTGTCCCTCCTTCTCAGGCCAGGAGCATTTAGAACTAATTGAATCACTAGATTAGCTAATGCAGCCTCCATTAAGACCACGAGATCCCAGGGGAGAGGCCATTGAAGAGAAACAGAAAGATCCACACTCAGCCCCAGCGCTGTCCCAGCCCCCAATACCACCGCCTTAGTCTCAGTATTCGTCGAGCCCCATGGACTGCCTGGGGTGCTTCTTCAGACTCTCCTGTGGCTCTAGCATTTGAGGACAGGACTGATTTATGCCCTCAGTTTATGCCAGTTCTTGATCCTAAGGAACAACAAGTATATAACAGATGGTATGTATTCCTTCTCTGGATTTTCTTTTAAGGTAAGCTCTTCCTATTGGAGCTCTTGTCCTGTGTCCAAGAAGGATCATAAAGGAAATAGCTGACCTCCCAAAGATTGTGAGGTGGTTTGCTAGAAGGACAGAGATAAAAACTCTGGTCTTTGGACTAATTTTTCTTTCCACCCAGACTGACAGCCTCTTTTCCATGAGGTGGGGTACTGGTTGGATTTTCTGTTATTCAGTCCCAGTTATTAGATGTCCACCAGTCACTGTGCCAACAGCTGTTGGGGAAACCACAGTAAGGAAGGCCATTGTGATCCTGAACTCCTGGAGCTGACAGTGCAGTGGCTGGAGCAGGGGTGCTCCATCCAAATTTGTGGGATGAATGGACAAAGGGGAATTGGCCGACCTGGGAAAATACTCCTTTTCTCAGCACTCCGAGGTGAATGGAAATCTCCAAAAATGGGATGGCAAATGTTGCCTAATGTATTTACTGTAGCTTTGTGAAGGCCAAGATCTTGCCCATTCCTTCTAGAGCTCTCTAAAAGCATCTTATTCAAACTTGAGTCCTTCCTGTCAAATCATCACCACTGTCCCACAACTGGTGCACACTGCCCATGCCCTGTACGGTAACTGGGTCCCCATCCTTCTTCTCCCAGCCCCCTTTCCCACCCCAGTGCACCTGCATGTCTGGAGAAGGGGACTTTATCTGACTTTTAAATCTTCCCTTCCTCCACATTCACCTTTTCTGTCTTCTCTCTGCCCTCTGTCCTCTCTACTGTTTGGGTTTCCTAGGAAATGATGGGCTTGCTGCTGGGATGGAGTTTTACACACCTGCTAAGGGCCCCTGCTGTCTAGCAGTCAGTGTTTTACTTTAATGATGAATTCCATCAAAGAGGTTTGATATGTTTTTAAAAACAATAATGCTTTGGCCTCTTACCAGGGTAATATCTCATTGTGGAAAAAATTAGAAAAGACAGAAAAACACACACAAAATAGGAATATCATCTGCTACCATCCAGGAATAACTACTGTTGTCATTTTGGAAAATTTCTTTCCAATCTTTCAACTATACACACACATACACACACACAGACACATTTGTTAATATGTATTTATGCACATATATATTTACATATAGATTTATACATATATATGTATGTTGTGTATATGCATATATGTATATATTAACAAAAGCAAAACAAAAATGAGTTCAAACTTTGAGAAGGTTTCTTTTCAGAGAGAACAATTCAAGCACAAACAGAGACAGCCACTCACTGATTATGGGGTGTTCTTTATGGCCAAGGTGACTCCCGGCATGGGCAGCCCTGTCCCAGCCATCTCAGTGAATGTGGGCTGTGGTTGCAGCTCCAAGAACCCCTGTCCTATGGGCACACTGGGTGGGTAGACAATCACCCTTGTGATTGTCTTGGTTTCCTCATCTGTAAAATGGGGAGAATATTGGTATCACCTCAGAAGGTTTGCATTTATATCTGAAAGCAGAGCCCGAGACAAGGAGTTGGTGCAGGTAGTGACCCAGGAATTTTCTTGATCATGTTGTAAGCTGGGACCTCTAGCCGGCAATCACCTCTCCACCCCGCTGTCAGTATTATAGCTTGTATCCACATTCAGTGGTTCCCAAGCTCTTGTCCTGTGTCCAAGAAGAATGAGGATACATTGACAGTTGAAGGGTGACAATGGGCAGAGAATAATTTTATTGAGCTATGGAACAGCTCTCAGTGGAGAGGGGATGCGGAGCTGGGGGAGAGGCGATCCTTCACCCCCGCAGTTGGGTGATTTTTCTCTCAGTGTGGCTGGGTCCGGGGTTTTTTATGGACTCAGGATGGGAAGTATATGCTCATTGGTTTGTGAGTATGCAAAAAAGGTTAAAGTGAAGACACCACTCAAAGGTGGGCATGACAGTGTAGAAAACCAATTAGGAAAGAGTAGGTATATATAAAATAGGTGAAGAGTGGGGATCAATCAGAGGAAAGTGCACCAAATGGGAAGACAGGTTCTCAATCTGACCTGTGGATTTGACTTGTAGCTTGGCTTTCAGGCTTTAAGCTATCTTCAGCTTGGTGGTGGGGTTTCACTGGGGACCTGCCCCTACCTGCCTACGCATTTGGCTGCCTTCTGCTGCTATCAGTAGTTTATTTGGGAGGGGACTCAAGAAGCAGGAGGGGGCAGCAGAGAAAAGCAAGACCATGGAGTCTTGGTGTTGCCGGGGCTTCTGAGCAACTTAGTAAGGATGCCCTGAATTGCCTGCCTGAAGACTGAGAGGCTGAGGCTTTTTCCCACTGGCTCCTGTCCTGTTTGGTTGGGTGTTGCCCTGGGGGCATAAACTCCCTGTACTTCAGGCTGCTGCTGCTGCTTGCAGGTCTAACACATGGTGACAGAGAAAGCCCTGGGGTCAGAAGGAGGTGAGCCTGGCTGCATGTTGCTAAAGTAGGACACTGTCAGAGGGGTGAATCTGAGCCAGCCTGGAACTCTGCACTGCAGCTGTGGCTGAAATCAGAGGTGGGCCAAGGAGGGATGCGGGGCACTGGGTTTCTACTGTATCACCCTAAAGATGCCTCTGGCCTCTGGGGTGAAAAGCCTAGCATCCAATTAGAGGACAGAAGAAGAGAGCCAGAGGCCAGAGGCTGGACACACACACACACACACACACACACACACACACACACACACACTACACTCTACCTCTCAGGAGAGGGAAGATTTCAAGCCATAGATTTTCTGAGGTCTCTGGTTAGAAAGAGAAGGCAAGGAGCCAGGTGGGAAGGAAAAAGAGACTTCTCAGGCCATTCAGCCTCTTGAACTAAAATCAGATTGCAGGGGAAAGAGGAGCTCTCTTGTCCTCGGCCTCCCAGGAAGAGGTGGCCCTGCCCTCACCCCAACATCCCACACCTCTCCCTTCCCCAGGAGAAGGCACACACTCAAATACAGTGTGTGGTGGATGAGTGGGGAAGAGGGTGTGGCTGCCTGTCTACCACGTTCCTGGTTCTGGCCCAGGCAGCGCTTTTTCAGATCTGCACATCTGTCCATAGCAAAGCGGTGGAGTAGCCTTGCATCTGTGGCCTCTTGTTGGGGCAAAGGCTTTATCCATTAGCTCATGACCAAATCGGAACCATTCAGGGCCTGAGCTTGTTCAGTTGTAAAATGGGCTCAAATTCAGAATAACATCATGACCCTCAAACCCACAGAACTCATCGAGGACATCTCTTCCCAAGTCTGCATTCAGTGGCATCTCGTTGGTAGCTTGAAATTGGCATAGTGGGAGTATTTGCACCAGGTTAATGGACAAATGCTACAAATCAGGACTTTTAAATTTGGAGATCCAGAGGTTAAATGTTTACCAGCACAGCACTGCCCTCTAGGAACTTTATCCATTCTGCAGGGAAATGGAAGATCATGGAAGAAAGCAGTGTGTGGATGGTGAAGTGCCCTTCACAGGCACTTTGATTTTGGAGGCAGAACTGGGCCTGCCAGAAGAAGCCACCATGGTCTCATCAGGCCAGGCCCCCTCAGACACCCTGGAGGTTTTGTCTGTTGCTGCTTCACTTTCAATGTGTGATTCCCAACTGCTTAGCTGCCTTTTACAGCGATGGGCTGAAATGTCCCCTTGGTCTCTTGCTCCTTCCCTTATTCCTCCAGCCCCACCCACCAGGAGCCCGCCTGCCACTAAATTGCCATGCCAGCAATTTTCTCAGCCGCTTAAAAGGCCATCAAGACAGCATCAAACTGCCTGTGCATGCTAAACCCAAACGCTTATGGAGCAGAGCCCAGAGTGGGATGCTAAATTGGATTCTATCAAATCAACATCAGCTGCGTGCAAGTCGCTGATAATGAAAGGCTCCTAACGATGGCGTTCATCGCTATAAAGAGATGACTAAGAGCTAAGAATGGATGGCTGCTGGCTCTTGCTGGGATGGGAAGGAGGCACCGGGGAGAGGCTGTGGTGATGGACTATCCCTTGTGGATGCTGGCTGGAGAGGGGAGGAAGGAGGAGTCAGATAAGGGATGTTCTCCATTTTTGGAAGGGGGATGGATATAGGAGAGATAGTCATGTTCTCCATTCTTTCTTACACACACTCAAAACCCAGAAACACATTGAAGTCATGAAGGTGGGTCCAGCCCAGATGTGGATATAGATTCTAACTTCTCATCCAGAAATCACTTTCTCTGCACTAACACCCCCCAACCCCCCAGTTCATGAACTCCTCAAGCCTGGATGGTTATTACTTAATGGAGGGAGGAGAGGCAGAAGAGTGAGTCCAGGAATTTGTCCGGGGTCTCTCCTTTTCTGCTGACTCCTTCCCTGTGCTCCAGGTTGCAAGAGGGTGCTTTCTCCACCTGGCATGTGTATTAGTTTCTGATTTCTGCTGTAACAAATTCCCACACATGTAGGCTTAAAATGACAAATTTATTCTCTTGGGGTTTTTAAGTCAGAAGTCTGACTTGGCTGTCACCAGGCTAAGATGAGGGTGTGGCGGGGCTGAGGTCCTTCCTGGAGGCTTTAGGGGAAGGTGGTTTCTTTGCCTCTTCCATATTCCAAAGGCCTCCCTCATTGCTTGACTCTTGACTCTCTTCCTTCATCTTCAAAGCCAGCATTGCTGCATCTCTTGGACCCTTCTTCTATAGCTGCATCTCCCTCTGACTACAGCTGGGAAAAGTTCTCCACTTTTAAGGACTTGGGTCATTAGATGGGGTCTACCTGGATAATCGAGGATACTTTTCTTAATGGCCTTAACCGTAATCACATCTGCAGAGTCCCTTTTGCCATGTAAAGTGACATAGTCACAGATTCTGGGGATTAGCACATGGACATCTCTCGGGAGGGCCATCATTGCCTACCACAGTGTGCAGAAATTGAAGCCTTGTTCCTCAGAGCCCCTTCGTTTGGCTGAAATGTCTGGTGACCAGGATGGAGCCAGTTGTGATCAATATTTGCCGCCTGGGATGCTGACCATGGGTAGACGATGCTGAGGGACTGGCATCTGTGGGTGTCACTGCTGAGGTCTGTACCAGCTGGGATGGAAGGAGAGAGAAGCTTGCTGGATGGGAGCTGCCTTGAATCTCTTTCCTGAAAACAGTAGTGCCAGTGATAGTGCTGGACATTGGATAATGCTTTATGGTTTTCAAAGCCATGTTGAAACGGGTTAGCATGTAGCTGGTTGGACTGGAGGAAAGTAGATCCATGTGAGAGGAAAACTGGGACTCAAACTGGATCAGTGCTATCCCCCAGTGTCATTGATGGCTTTATGATGAGGGTCTAGACTTTAATTTCTAGTCCAAGGCTCTGTTCAGCAGGTAAAAGCATCTAGAGATGGTGTCAATAGATTGGCTGAGATAAGGGCTCAGCAGATCAGCTTGAGGGCTGCAAGGAACATCAGACAGCAGAGAACAGCATCGACCTCAGACTCCCTTGTAGTTCTCTGCTTTCTGCACTTCTGGCTTACTGCTGCAAGACAGGGTTTCAGTTGCTCCCTCATAGGGAATGTTTGTGTACCACCAGTCACACAGTCTTGCTGGGTCCTGCATTCTGCAATCACCCATATATGTTTGCAGGGCACTCGCTAGCCTAGTTTCTGCAAGCATCAGTTGTGACCAGCCTGAGAACAGAATCTGGGGCCTCAGGTTCACCTTTGCCACCTTCTAGTCAGCCGACTCTTGCCCAGTGTTCAAAGGTGAGCTTGTTGCATGTGGCAGAATGGACTTTCATGAGTCAGCAGACTCGGCCTTGCCACTTAGAACCTTCTGGGCCCAATCACACTGACCTAGACTGATGCTGGTGAATGTAGAGGCCTATGAGATCACAGGAAGTAAAAGCATTGTCCTAGATATCTCATCTAGAGAGGAACCAGTTCTATCTCTAGTATCACATCTGCATTATTTTTTTCACTGATGCTTTTATATTTTGGTTGGCAAGCTTTTATGAGTACAAACCACACTGTCCCATGTTGGACCCTTTGCCAGCATGTAGCCTGCCCACTAACTAGCTTGTACCCCATCTTCACCTCTACCCAGAGGCTGCAGCTACTCTTAACTAACTGGTCCCAAGGAGTGTGGAGAGGAGTTGAGAGAAATTGGCTCCAGAGTCTGGCAGCGGTGGTCTTGGGCAAGTTATTTTACTTGTTCAAGCCCTAATTTCTTCATCTGTAAAAGTGGGGCAATAATAATTGCAGGTATTTATTTGGTTTTATGTATTGGGAACTGGGCTAATTAGAATTACACATAGTTTTCAGGCATAGCTCATTTAATTCTCACAATAACGTTATGAGAATTAACATTACATGTCAACTTGGCTAGGCCATGGTGCCCAGGTATTTTGTCAAACACCAGTCTGGATGTTAGTGTGAAGGTATTTTTTTTAAAGATGTGATTAACCTTTAAATCAGAAGACTTTGAGTAAAGCAGATTATCCTCCATAATGTGGGTGGGCCTCATCCATTCAATTGATTTATCCCTCCAACATCTTATCTTGTTAGTTTCAGTCCATTGTTCTGGCCCAGACCTTTTTTTGAATCTTCACTCTGTCCTCCAGCATACTGGCTCTCCCATCTAGCTTTGGTTCGTCTATCAATTTGTTAAGCATGCCTCTTATGTCTTCACGTATCTGAGGATAAAATGTCAAAGAAGACAGACACATTGTATGGTTCTTTGGAGAAATGGACAAGCCTCTTGTGACGCAGCACTAGGGGCTTCTTTAATGTAAGAGAAAAGACTGAGGTCCCTCTAGAGGAAGGTTTTCTGCCTCCAGACTGCCCTCGCACACACATGTGCAACATCAGCTCCTGCCAGAACTTCCAGCCTGCTAGTCTGCCCTGCAAATTTCAGACGTGCCAGCACCACAATCATATGAGCCAATTCTTTAAGTAAATCTCTCTCTTTCTCACCTATTGGCTCTGCTTGTGTGGAAATCCCTAACTGATACAGACATTATGAGGCAAGGAATGTTATTATGTCAATGACATAGGTGAGGAGTGTTCCCCAACCCACACTCTCCACATTTCTCAGCCTCCCATGTGCTGAGATGGGTCATGTGACTAGCCTGGCCAATGGAATGTGGGCAGAGTGGCATAAGTCACTGCCCCTGCCTTGGAATTCCCCCACCTCTTTGCACTTAGGCTAAATGGAGAAGACCCAGTGGAGGCCTCTGAGAAGGAGCCACTAGATGAGAAGCCTCAGTCCCCAAACCATCTATAGGAGGTCACCTGTGGGATTGGACTGTGACATGAACAAGAAGTAAGCCTTTATGGTATTTGGCCACTTAGGTTTTGAAATCATTTGTTGTAGCAAATGGCCCACTCTGGCAATTCATTGTCCACCGTTGTCCAGGCAGGAAGGTGTAGCATCAGTACTAAAACTCAAGCGGCCTGGCTTGCCTACCTGCTCCCTTCCCTGCACTGCAGCTGCCTGTGGTGTTGTTGGGAGGGTTAAATGAGGTGGTGTGTGGTAGGTGTGGCACTTGGTAGGCCCCTCGTACATGATAATTATTAAGGCAGCAAGGGTTTTATTTGAGGCGTGGATTTGTGGTGCCTCTTGCACTATTGTTGTGGACAAAATGGAGTAGAGTAGGCTGAATGATGGCTTCTTCACTAGTTGAACAACTGTCCCCAAGATGTGTTGGTTAACAAGCCAGTGTCAACCAGGAAGTCCTTAGTGCTGGGTCAGGTCACAGGAGGTTTGTCCATTTCACCAAAGAACCATACAATGTGTCTGTCTTCTTTGACATTTTATCCTCAGATATGTGGAGACATAAGAGGCATGCTTAACAAATTGATAGATGAAGCAAAGCCAGATGGGAGAGCTAATTTGTTGGATGACAGAGTGAAGATTCAAAAAAGGTCTGGGCAGGCCAGAACAATGGACTGAAACTAACAAGATAAAATGTAGGAGGGATAAATCAAAGTCTTGCCTTTAGTTCAAAAACTAACCAAATGAGGATGAATAAGGACAGGATGAGGGAAGCTTAATGCCATAGCAGCTCATGGATGAAAGTCCTAGGGCTTTCATTGTCTATTAGCCTGTTATGAGTCAAGATACTGACACAGACTCTTTAAAGATGAAGGACACATAGGCTGCATTAATACAAGCATCATGCCCAGACCATAGTCATCCACTCAACAAATATATTCTGATTGCTTCCTGTGTGCTGGGCATTGTGCTGAGTGCTAGGGATGGAGCAATGAGTGAGACAGACCAACACTGCCCTCATGTCTCATGCAGCTGACAGTTAGGGACAGAATTATCCTGGGACCTACACCTAGATGGTAAAGGGCTTGAAAACCATGTGATATGAGGAGTGGTCCAAGGAACTAGTAATAATGAGATTTACGGAAGCTTTGGAAATATAAAGGGTCATCTCTTCTAACAAATGCTATATACTTCAGAGGGACAGAGAGGACTGATGGCTGAGAAAAGAGGGCTGAGCTTTGGTCTAGGCACTGCCGACATTTAGGCTAGGCACTGTATTCTTGCTCTTTCCGTGAGTCCTCACAACAGCTCTAGAAGGTAAATATGACTTCCTTATTTTGCAGATGAGAAAACAAAGGCTCAGAGAAGCTCATGTCATGTGGACATGCTCATAGAGCTGGCAAGTGGCTGAGAAAGGCTCCAAATCCTGTCTGTCTAAATTAAAAGCCCCAGGTTCTTTCCCGTTCACCACCCCGATGCAGATTTCACCTTAGCTTGAGGAAGACATTTCTAACAACTGCAGCTAAACATAAATGGACCACCTTGTGCTTCCTCCACTAGAAGTGTTTTGGCAGAGACTGGATAACAGTCTCCTGGGATTTCCCACAAGGGGCTTCTCCATCAGTGCCTGGGAGATGGATGGGGTGGGGGAGGTCAGGCTTGGGTGGCATAGCCTCTATGCCTTCATCTCTGGCCTCACTGGCTACATTCCAGCCACACTGGGCCCTGGGATCTCTTCAAACAGGCCATCTTCTTTCCCGTGGTAAGGCCTTTTCACACACCAACCCCACCACCCACTTCCCATAGTTAACTTCTGCTTATCTTTCTGGCTTTAACCAAAACTTTACTTTCTTCAGGAAGCTTTTCCTGATGCTCAACACTAGGTTAGATGCCCCTCTTAAAGGCTGTCCTGGCATACTGCCTATGCTGTCCGTGGAGCATGCAGCATGCTCCTCCTGCTGCCTGGCTCAATGTCTGTCTGAATTTCCCTGAGGACAGGGAAATTCCCTAAGGGTCTGCCTTTATTCTATCCTGTCCTCAGTTCCTAGCACACAGTAGGCACTCAAGAAAGGCTTGAAGAATTCCTGACATCCTCTAAGATCCGGTGATTATTTTGGTGCCCTGGGAATGGCCATCATCCATTGGGTTTTCACCTTGCCTCCTGCCTTCTCAGTGCTTGGCCATGCCTGGGACAAGGCTGGATGGGTCACAGTGGGATGTGTGGTGGGGATGGGTCAGAGAGCAGCAGTGGCCACTGGCCCCAACCCTGCAGGCTTCTAATGTGCTGGAATCCAGGTGAGTGATGGCTATGGAGCCAGGTCTGGCAGAGGAGGGGTAGTGAGCTGCCCCAGTGACCTCAGCGATTACCCGGGCCTCTGTGGATGCTGGGCTGCCTGGCATTTCCTCCCTCTTCCAGTATCCCCAGGGCCCTGGCCTCTTTGAATGTGGGGGCTGCTACTCATTATTCCTTCCTCTGTGCATCCCTAGCTTGACTTCCTGACCAGGAGGCAGCAGGGAGAGAAGGGGGTTAATGATGAGTGGGGAGGTGGAGGAAGGGAGGATGATGTCAGCCAGGCCGCAAGGCAGAGACTAAAGCCCCTAATTGCTCTTTTCCGTCTTGTCAGAAGTGCAGTGGCTGACTCCATAGTTACTGTAATAAAGGCCCATGGACAGGGAAGGCGGCCCACTAATGAGAGGGCCATTGTTCAGTGAAGAGGGAAGCAGGAGACAGGCCTATGGGGCCAGAGCCCTGCTCCCCAAAGGGAAGATGGAGAAAGTCCCTGGGTCACCTGGCCTGGGCCATGAGCAGGGTCATGAAGGTTGTGGTAAAGTTGCATTTTAAATGCCTTCAGGAAAGAGCAGCTAGTCCTCTCTGTGACACACAGATTTCCAGGACCTCACTGGGAGAATGATCTGAGGGAAAGAGCCTGGGCCCTGATGGCTGTGTTATTTGGTTAACAAGTGGGATGACTTCCATCAGGGGGCAGATTTTGAGAAGGCATTATGATTGCTGGGAATCACCCTGAATATGGGGTCATTCCATCTTCTGTATAAACGTGTCCTGATTACTCTCAATTGAGCAATTCTTCCAGAACCTACCTCAGAATCAGAGACTCCCAGGAGCAGGAGGGAGGGCTGTCCATCTACCTATAACTAGTTTTTTTTTTTTTTTTTTTTTGAGCAATGCAGAGGGATTACTCCATGTCCTCGCCAGGCCGGAGGCTCTGCCACCTCCTCAGTCCCCTGCAGGCCGAGGATTCAGTGGACACTGTCACACAGCTATGCATGGGCATCCCCTCAGCCAGTTCATTTCCATGTGCCTGAGAGGATCCTGTACAAAGCTGTCGAGCTTGGGTCCCCACCCTTGATTATCCACACCTGAATTATCATCTTCTCTCTCCTCCTCTTGGAAAACTTGCCTCCTGCCTTCTGCAGGAAAGATACCCAGATCAATAACATGTGGTCTGTCTGTGCAATGGAATATTACTCAACCTCTAAAAGGAAGGAAATCCTAGCTGGGTGTGATGGCATGCATCTGTAGTTCCCGCTACTCGGGAGGCTGAGATGGGAGGATCACTTGAGCTCAGGAGGTCAAGGTGGCAGTGATTTGTGATTGTGCCACTGCATGATCACACTCCAGCCTGGGCAGGAGAGTGAGACCCTATCTCAGGAAAAAAAAGGAAGGAAATTTTGATACATGCTACAACATGAATGAAACTTGGGGACATTCTGCGAAGTAAAATAAGCCAGTCTCAAAAAAGCAAATACTGAAAGATGTGACTCACATGAGGTCCCTTGAGTAGTCAGATCCACAGAGACAGAAAGTAGAATGGGGGCTGCCAGGGGCTGGGGGCGGAGAGTGGAGAGTTAGTGGAGTAATGGGCACAGAGTTTCAGTCTGGGAAGATGAATAGAGTTCTGGCAATGGCTGCCTAACATCATGAATGTATTTAATGCCACTGAACTGTATACTTAAAAATGGTTCCTGCTCCTGAATGAGTACTGGGTACATAATGAAATGAAGGCAGAAATAAAGATGTTTTTTAAAACCAACGAGAACAAAGACACAACATACCAGAATCTCTGGGACACCTTCAAAGCAGTGTGTAGAGGGAAATTTATAGCACTAAATGCCCACACGAGAAAGCAGGAAAGATCCAAAATTGACACCCTAACATCACAATTAAAAGAACTAGAAAAGCAAGAGCAAACACATTCAAAAGCTAGCAGAAGGCAAGAAATAACTAAAATCAGAGCAGAACTGAAGGAAATAGAGACAAAAAAAACCCTTCAAAAAATCAATGAATCCAGGAGCTGGTTTTTTGAAAACATCAACAAAATTGATAGACCGCTACCAAGACTAATAAAGAAGAAAAGAGAGAAGAATCAAATAGATGCAATAAAAAATGATAATGGGGATATCACCACTGATCCCACAGAAATACAAACTACCATCAGAGAATACTATAAACACCTCTATGCAAATAAACTAGAAAATCGAGAAGAAATGGATAAATTCCTTGACACATACATCCTCCCAAGACTAAACTAGGAAGAAGTTGAATCTCTGAATAGACCAATAACAGGCTCTGAAATTGAGGCAATAATCAATAGCTTACCAACCAAAAAAAGCCCAGGACCAGACAGATTCACAGCTGAATTCTACCAGACATACAAAGAGGAGCTGGTACCTTTCCTTCTGAAACTATTCCAATCAATAGAAAAAGAGGGAATCCTCCCTAACTCATTTTATGAGGCCAGCATCATCCTGATACAAAAGCCTGGCAGAGACACAGCCAAAAAAGAGAATTTTAGACCAATATCCTTGATGAACACTGATGCAAAAATCCTCAATAAAATACTGGCAAACTGAATCCAGCAGCACATCAAAAAGCTTATCCACCGATCAAGTGGGCTTCATCCCTGGGATGCAAGGCTGGTTCAACATATGCAAATCAATAAATGTAATCCAGCATGTAAACAGAACCAAAGACAAAAACCACATGATTATCTCAGTAGATGCAGAAAAGGCCTTTGACAAAATTCAACAACCCTTCATGCTAAAAACTCTCAATAAATTAGGTATTGATGGGACATATCTCAAAACAATAAGAGCTATCTATGACAGACCCACAGCCAATATCATACTGAATGGGCAAAAACTGGAAGCATTCCCTTTGAAAACTGGCACAAGACAGGGATGCCCTCTCTCACCACTCCTATTCAACATAGCGTTGGAAGTTCTGGCCAGGGCAATCAGGCAGGAGAAGGAAATAAAGGGTATTCAATTAGGAAAAGAGGAAGTCAGATTATCCCTGTTTGCAGATGACATGATTGTATATCTAGAAAACCCCACTGTCTCAGCCCAAAATCTCCTTAAGCTGATAAGCAACTTCAGCAAAGTCTCAGGATACAAAATCAATGTACAAAAATCACAAGCATTCTTATACACCAATAACAGACAAACAGAGAGCCAAATCATGAGTGAACTCCCATTCACAATTGCTTCAAAGAGAATAAAATACCTAGGAATCCAACTTACAAGGGATGTGAAGGACCTCTTCAAGGAGAAGTACAAACAACTGCTCAATGAAATAAAAGAGGATACAAAGAAATGGAAGAACATTCCATGCTCATGGGTAGGAAGAATCAATATCGTGAAAATGGCCATACTGCCCAAGGTAATTTATAGATTCAATGCCATCCCCATCAAGCTACCAATGACTTTCTTCACAGAATTGGAAAAAACTACTTTAAAGTTCATATGGAACCAAAAAAGAGCCCGCATCGCCAAGTCAATCCTAAGCCAAAAGAACAAAGCTGGAGGCATCACGCTACCTGACTTCAAACTATACTACAAGGCTAACCAAAACAGCATGGTATTGGTACCAAAACAGAGATATAGACCAATGGAACAGAACAGAGCCCTCAGAAATAACGCCGCATATCTACAACTATCTGATCTTTGACAAACCTGAGAAAAACAAGCAATGGGGAAAGGATTCCCTATTTAATAAATGGTGCTGGGAAAACTGGCTAGCCATATGTAGAAAGCTGAAACTGGATCCCTTCCTTACACCTTATACAAAAATTAATTCAAGATGGATTAAAGACTTAAACGTTAGACCTAAAACCATAAAAACCCTAGAAGAAAACCTAGGCAGTACCATTCAGGACATAGGCATGGGCAAGAACTTCATGTCTAAAACACCAAAAGCAATGGCAACAAAAGCCAAAATTGACAAATGGGATCTAATTAAACTAAAGAGCTTCTGCACATCAAAAGAAACTACCATCAGAGTGAACAGGCAACCTACAGAATGGGAGAAAATTTTCACCACCTACTCATCTGACAAAGGGCTAATATCCAGAATCTACAATGAACTCAAACAAATTTACAAGAAAAAACCAAACAACCCCATCAAAAAGTGGGCAAAGGATATGAACAGACACTTCTCAAAAGAAGACATTTATGCAGCCAAAAAACACATGAAAAAATGCTCATCATCACTGGCCATCAGAGAAATGCAAATAAAAACCACAATGAGATACCATCTCACACCAGTTAGAATGGTGATCATTAAAAAGTCAGGAAACAACAGGTGCTGGAGAGGATGTGGAGAAATAGGAACACTTTTACACTGTTGGTGGGACTGTAAACTAGTTCAACCATTGTGGAAGTCAGTGTGGCTATTCCTCAGGGATCTAGTACTAGAAATACCATTTGACCCAGCCATCCCATTACTGGGTATATACCCAAAGGAATATAAATCATGCTGCTATAAAGACACATGCACACGTATGTTTAATGCGGCACTATTCACAATAGCAAAGACATGGAACCAACCCAAATGTCCAACAGTGATAGACTGGATTAAGAAAATATGGCACATATACACCATGGAATACTATGCAGCCATAAAAAATGATGAGTTCATGTCCTTTGTAGGGACATGGATGAAACTGGAAACCATCATTCTCAGCAAACTATCGCAAGGACAAAAAACCAAACACCACGTGTTCTCACTCATAGGTGGGAATTGAACAATGAGAACACATGGACACAGGAAGGGGAACATCACACACTGGGGCCTGTTGTGGGGTGGGGGTAGGGGGTAGGGGTAGCATTAGGAGATATACCTAATGCTAAATGGCTAGTTAATGGGTGCAGCACACCAACATGGCACATGTATACATATGTAACAAACCTGCACGTTGTGCACATGTACCCTAAAACTTAAAGTATAATAATAATTAAAAAAAATTGGTTAAGATCATACATTTTATGGTATGCTTATTTTGGCACAATAAAAAAAAGTCTTCCTGACTTCTCTCACCCTTTTTTAAAACATCTATAGAACCTGCCTCTTGAATCCCCCAAAGGAGAAGTCTTGCCCCTTCTTCTAGATTGTGGTCGCAGCAGAGACTGTATTTGTCTTGTATTCACAACAGGGCTGAGTACTTAGTATTCAGGACATACTTGCTGCATTGGGTTAAATGGAATTCACATCTGCATCCTCACCAGAAATCTAGACTTTTCACTTTGGGTGCTTGGGGTGGCCCAAGTTTATACCAAACAAGTTGAACTGCTTAAGTACTTAGTAAGGCTCCTGGAACCCCAGTACCTAGAGCTACCATAGAAGAGGAAAACATGATGTCATTTCAGGAGCAGCTGCCACCTGAGGACAGGAAGGAGGGCCAGGGTATGGTCCCCAGCTGTATCTTCCAAGGCCAGGTCTGTGAGGAAGTGGTTCTGTGGTCAGGTAGCTTTGGGAAGTGGCGCAAGCCAGGTTGATACAGCAGGAATTCTCTGATCCTTTAAATATGAGTGTGCCAAGAGGCCCACGTGGTGTGTGCTGCTTTGCACATGCATATCACCCCACAGTCCCTTTAGGGAAAACCATCTCCCAGGAGCTGAGCTTCATGGATCAGCCTCAGGGAACTTCCTGCGTGTGGGCTCCCTATAGATGACTGAAGGGTCCATACATCCTCACATTGGATCAGGTCCTGGAGGTCTGAACATCTTGGGCATGCCCAGTTCCTCCCCTTACCCTTCTTGGTGCCATCTGGTCATCCTGTCCCGGCTCACACCGGGATAGGAGCTGTAGGCTCTGCCCATGTCCAGGGCAGCCTCTTCCTGCTCCCAGCCCTATCCCTTCCCATCTGAAGGCTCATTTATCTTGTCTTCTGTCCTTCTTCTGTTTCCTTTTACACCCCACTCTGGCCCAAGGGCTATAATTTATTAACAATCCCACATCTCCGCCCCGCTGCTCTGAGTCACTGATCCCATCCATATTCAGTCGTGCATTATTTAAATCCAAAAAATGTTCTGGGCTTGAAATGAACAGGGAGAGACTCATTAATATGGGTCTTATAGATGTATTTTTTCCAACTCTTTGGAACTTCAGAGGGCTCTGCGACCATTATCCCAAATAGCTCTTTCTTCCTTTGAAGAGCAGAGGCCCACAGGCGGCCCAGTGGGTTGATGTTGGGAGGGCTGTGGCTGTGGTATCGCATCGGTACCAACCCTGCCACACAGGGAGGGCTGCGGGGAAGGGGGGATCGGCATGTGGGTCCTGGCTTTGCCACTGGCTGCGCATGCTGTCCCAGGGAGTCTCTTCCTCTCTCTGGGCCTGGTGTCCTCTTCTGTAAAGCAAGGCATCAGCCACATGGCTTCCCAGGTCCCTCCGAGTTGCTCATGTGCTCTGTGAAATGCATCCCTGCCTCTCCGCCGCACCGAAGAGGAAAAGAGTTAAAGTCAAGCAAATCACACTTGTCGACTCATATATCTTTCAAACACCTCTTAAAAGTCAAAAGAGCAGACCTATCACAAAGTGAGTTCATCCTTTTAAATCATTTCATTGCAATAGGAAACCTGAGAATGCCCAATACAGAAACTGTTTAAATCCATTGTGTTTATACAGCAGCTTTATTTCCGAAGTGCTTGAAATACATTTTCATATTTGGTCTTTGCAATCTATTTACAGAAGGTGAGTTGGGGAGAGTGAGTATTGCAGTTTACAGATCAGGCACTGAAGCCCAGAGAGACGAAATGCCTTCCTCTAAGCCACCAAGCTGCACAGTGGCAGGGGGCTGTGACATGGACTCAACGTTTCCTGGAAATTTCTCCACCAGGATACCCCCCCAAGTTCTTGGGCTTCACCTGATAAGTGGAAGCATCTCTTCCTCTCCCAAGCCTTTGTCATCCTCCTGGTCAGTCCCACCCAGGCTCATCTAGGCCTGAAATCTGGCCATCAGCCTCACTTTTGGGACTTTGTCATAATCCACATCCAATCAAGCACCAACTCATTCTCCTAAGAATTCCCTAAAACCTTTCGCTTTTCTACACTCTAAAGTCAACTGCCCTAGGTCAGACCTTCATTATGTCTCATCTCATCTGGACTGGGCTTTTTTTTTTTTTTAATCACAACTTCCTAAGTGGTCTCCTTGTTCCCAGGCTCCCTCAAACCCCTTCTCCAAAAATGCAAATCTGGCCACATCCACCCTCTTCCCCGCCCCTCCCACACTAGTTTGAAGCCCTTCATTGGCACTCATGATTTATTGAATAGCCTGTATTTTCTAGCATGGTGTCTGGGAACGGCTGATCTCATCTGGCCCATCTATCTGCACCACACCTTATGTTTTCCTAATACTGGGCCAACAGTAATTCTCCAAATAAGCCATACAATTTTCTACCTTCACGCTTTGGCTTGTGCTGTTTTCTCTGCCTCAAACAATGAGTGCAGTCCTGTTTGCCTATTCTTGGCTAATTCCTGGTCCTAATCTTTCAGAACTCAGCTCACGTGATGCCATGTGGCTGGATTAGCCACTCTGGCTCGTCTAATACCTTGTACCCATTTCCAACATGGAATCTTCTGTGTTATAGGTAGAAATAATCTGTTTACCTATTTATCTCCACAGTAAGACTTTTGTTTCTTGAGAGCAGGAACAAAATCTTATTCATTTTTATAGCTTCAGTGCTACAGCTACAAAGCAGAACAAAGTATGTGTGTGGTAGGGTTTGAAGGAAAACAACATCTTAGATTTTATTCTCAGAGTAGTGGAGGGGGAGAAAATGCCTAAGGATGTAGGATGTCCTAGTAAAGATGTTGTTTCTTCTTCTTTGTGCTGATTCTGGGCGTCTCTACCTAAGATACTTCACTAAGGTATAGATGCTTGGTCAAGGTCAACAATATCTGTTCAACACTGTCTCTAGTTCTGAGTCCAAGACTGTGACTCCAGCCCTAAAAAGAGCTATTTACTTGGCTTAGAGGAACCTTCTATTCCAAAGCCACAGATATTCCTGTGATCCTCGGCAGTCATCTTGGAAATTACTGTCATTGGCTCACAAGGAAGAGCTGGTGACAGGTCATGCAGACACCAAGGCAAACCCATTCTTCCTCCTTGTACAGGGGAGGAGAAAAAACTCCAAGGAAACCTTCAGCATCACTGTTTGCTTCCCAGCAGTGGCGGTAGAGGAAGCGGGGGTCAGAGGGCAAGTACCATTTCAGGGAAACATGTCTCTCTCTGTGTGTGTGTGTGTGTGTGAGAGAGAGAGAGAGAGAGAGAGAGAGATACTTGTTTTCTCTGCTGCCTAGGGAGACTGAATAAGTGTTGGGACAGAGAGGCAACAGCCAACGTTGACCAGAAGTAGCAATTGGATTTCCCTCCCATGAGGACACTTCATCCCTGTCTATCCATGGGCCTAACAAAGCAATCACTGTCTCCCACTGTTTCAACCTTTTACTCAATCACCTAATGATTTCTCAGGTCTGGGTGGCATGGCCACAGCCCTGTATTAGCACAGAGCATAATTACCCCCCCTATTCCTTGTGACTGTGCCTCCTATTTACTGCCCTTAAAAAGACCAAATTCCACCCCTCTTCTTGCTGTGGGCATAAAAAGGACCTCGGCCTCTTATCACTACCTGGGGCCTTGAAGCAGCCAGCCATAAACTGCAATATCTGCTTGTTTATTCCTGTTCATTCAATTGGCTCCAAATTGCTCTGAACAAATTCTTGGGCTGCAGAAGAAGCTGTGCAGGCCTATTTTCATTAGCGTGGACACTGAGCAGGCAGAGAGCAAGAGAAAAGAGGAAAGGAGAGGACACTGCAGCTGGGATTTTCTCTACTCCCCACCCCTACCTTACCCCTCAGCTCTTCTGGGCTCACATTGCCCCTCTGTGCAGGAAACAGGCCACTCCAGCGTGCCTGTGCCTGAGCCTTCTGCTGAGAACCCGGATCTTATTGACACAGACTCACCCCCATTAAATGTATAACTTAATGAGTCCATGATAGGAGGGAGAGCTAAACCTGTCTTCCCCTCTGGCAAAGCTGTACTTGCTGGAGAAGATGGCACTATCTGACCATCTTTTATCTTTCCCAGGGAGCTGGAGAAGCTTGGT
This sequence comes from Homo sapiens, assembly GCF_000001405.40. Classification (NCBI taxonomy): domain Eukaryota; kingdom Metazoa; phylum Chordata; class Mammalia; order Primates; family Hominidae; genus Homo; species Homo sapiens. The sequence continues at coordinate 132,669,255 of NC_000007.14, read as the reverse complement.
CAGGGGGAGACAGGGTCCCAGTGTGACCAGTTGAGCAGGGATGCAGGATCAGCTTTACAATGATCTTAACACATTGATATAGTTTGGATCTGTGTCCCAACCAAATCTCATGTTCAACTGTAATCTCCAATGTTGGAGGTGGGGCTGGTGGGAGGTGACTGGATCGTGGGAGTGGTTTCTCATGAATTGTTTAGTGCCATCCTCTTGGTACTGTTTTTGGGATAGTGAGTGATCTTGCAAGATATGATTTTTAAAAGTGTGTAGTGCCTCCTCCATCTCTCTCTTGCTCCTGCTCCTTCCATGGGAGACACCTCTTCCCCCTTCACCTTCTGCCATGATTGTAAGCTTCCTGAGGCCTCCCCAGAAGCAGATGCCTATGTAATGCTCCCTGTACAGCCTGCAGAACCGTGAGTCAATTAAACCTCTTTTCTTTATAAATTACCCAGTCTCAGGTAGCTCTTTATAGCAAGGCAAGAATGGCCTGATACACACATTGATGATTTTCCCCTCTTATTATCAACACTGTCCCCATGGGACCACCTCCTCCCAGCACCCTGGGGCTGAAAGAAGGATTCTGAGGTCAAGACATTTGGTTTCCCTGCCTTGTGTTCTTTCTTGATTTCCTGCCTGCTGCATTTACAGTTTGGAAGTTCTCAGGCAGTCTGATCTGAATCTTCCTTATATAACGAAAGCCTATGTCTTTTTTGTTTGTCTTCCCTTGGGGTGTCTATGCCTATAACTGTTTTGAAACTGGAAGTCAGTTATGAAAGTCTTGTCTCATTTCCCTCAGCCTCATGTTCTCCAGGCCAAATCTTCCCAATTCCAAGAGTCCCAGCATCATGTAACTTAAGGATCAGAAGGATGCCTGTTAACCAACTCTCCCACTTGACTTTATTACCCCTTCTACACATAAGTGACTTCCTTCAGATACTGCCCTATTTATCTGCAAGATTTTTTTAAAATGTGGGTGGTCCACTTCTATTTCTAACAGCCCATGTGGTTCTGGGGGCTGAAATGAAAACTTTAAAGAGGGGTTCTTGGTCTTCCCAGCTTTTTTTCTGGAGTACTGGAATGGAAAAACATTAACCTGACTCATTTTTCTCTTTCCTTAAGGACAGGGCAAAGGGGATGAGGTTTAGTGGGACTGTGGGTTTTCAGCATCTGGTTCCCATCTTTCAGCTTCAGGAAGGAGGCCTGCCCAGAGGAGGTGGGGTGTGGTAGGAAGAATAATTGGTTTGTGTCCAGGATGCATGAATTCTAGGTATAATTCTCCCAACTCTAGCTGGGTAACCTTGAACAAGTTGATTTACTTCTCTGGTTCTCAGCTTCCCTGTCTATAAAGTGAGGAAACTGGAGCAAAGGAATTCTAAAGTCCTCTCTAGTTCTGACATTTCTGAGTGAAGAGCCTTCTAGAGGAATGACTAGAGGGTGAGGGACACTGGCGATCCAGGACAGTGCTGCTGAAGACACCTGGGCCAAATGAGGCTTCAATGAAATAAGCAAGAGAATGTGATGGACAGGAAACAGGGTGGTGGTATTGACTCGGAGGGCTGGTGCAAGGTGTGTGGCATGGGTGGTCAGGCCCACATGTGCTGGGGAGTGTCAATCTCCTTTTTGTTCTTGTAGAAGCTGCTGCACCCATCCATGGTGCTCTTCATGAAATTGACTTCCGTCTTTCTCCTGTACCCATAGCTCATCTTTGAAGTAGGTTGCTTCAGATTTTTCATATCATCCAAGAACTACTGTGTTTTCCAGAGTTTCTCTCCATCTGGTCAGTCGGCAGGCAAAGAAACCCATCTAAAGGCTAGGATCATCTCACAGATAGATAATAAAACCTGCCAGCTTCAAGCGAGCCTTTTCTAACAAAAGAATCCAATAACCAATATTTCCCACTGCCTTTTCTCTGTTAATGCTATGGAAATGGTGCATTAGATACAGGAGATGGAGTGGTTCGAAGAAGGATAAAAAAATCTGTTTTTCTGTGTCTGTAAACATTTTCTCCTTGAATTATTTGACATGGTTGGATGTTTTAATGCCTTGGGCCCTGGCAAGTGGAGTGTCCACTGTAGCAGGCTCATTTCCCTGTCTCCTTCTCCCCAGGCTCAGCCAATTGCCCCAGCTAACAGAGAAAATGTAGCTTTCTTGTAGTGATGGAGGCTGGAGCAGGCATGGAGCCCTGCAGCTTGCCAGATAGTGCTGGGCAGTGCCACCATCTGAAACAAGCTCCAGAGGCAAAGGCAGGGGAGAGACCAGGTTGACTCATGGCCATTTCTCAGAGCCATAAGATTTCCAGGCAGCTGAGCCAGCTTTGGCTGGACAGTCAGGAACAAGGCCTGGCCAGAGGGCTGAGGGTGGCATTTCTGGTCCCTGGTCTCAGCGCCATGCTCTGGGCATTGTGGCTCAGGACTGTTAGGGCAAGCTGCTTTGTCAGTGTCCCCAGATCATTTGCCTTCTCTCTCCTTTTCCCCGAGAACATTCTGCCAACTACTAAAATTGCAAAAGACTGAGCACAGATGAATCCTTCTATAATTTCCTGGTGTCTGGATCAATGTAGCTCACATGATATGTGACCTTGAACAAATCATTCTTGTTTTTTGTAAAGTGAGGCCATCACATACCTGGCTGCTGCCTGCATCCCCCCTCTGCACTGTACAGAAAGGGTCATGGACCTGGAATGAGGCATCTTGGTTTCAGTTTCAGTTTCCGTTTTAACAATGCCACATAACAGCAAGCTTGTGACATCAAGCAACACTTTTAACTTCTATAAGCTTCAATTTCTTTATCTGTGAGATGGGTTTAATATTTGCCATGACTATAGGGTTTTGGAATCAAATGAGTTAACAGTGCTTTGCCAGAGGTGAAGATCTGTACAAGGGTAAAGTAGTGCTAATGATATAGACATGTGTAGCAAGTTTCATGTGAAATCCTTTGACGTCATCATCAGAAAGGATGTGTATAGGGGAGCGGCCATTGGAAGTGCTGTGTTGAGCAAGGAGATGAGCATGTCAGACCATAGTGCTCAGAGCTCCATGCCATCATTCACTTAACCATCTGAGAAATGATGAATCATTGGGGCTGCCCAATCCCTTACTTGTCATTCCTCAAGCCATGCCTATGAGGACATTTTGGGGAAGACAGAAGAGAAGAGAATAGGGAAGGACCATGAAGTGAGGGGGGCAGGAGCCCAAGCTTCTAGGTCCTGGAGATTGGCACCATCTAGTCCCTATCCTGGTGATCTTCCGAATCCATCAGCAGCTTCTCCAGGCAGGCCTTAAGCTAAAGGTAGGATTCACTTCCTAAAAAGGCTTATTCACTTCTTAAAAAGGGGACTAACTGGGTCATGGGAACCATCAAGACTTTGACTAGGGTTGACCAACTTTGAGCTAATTCATTGGAGAAAGCCTCATGGGTTGTGGATATTTCATGTGAAAAAAGAACCAAGCTAAGGGCCTGTGCATGAACAGAATTGCTTTTTAAGACATTATAGCATTGCTAGTGCTTGCCTTTGCCTTATCATTCAAGTGTGTCTAGGCCTGATCTATATCACATGGATAGGTATCTAGATTATATTTTAAAATATTCTGGGATAGGAGATTCCAAAATAGCCCTTGGCAAGCTACATAAGTATTAGCAAATTTAGCAATCCAGAGGCCTGGATCCACATCTCATTTTAGACTGTAGAAGAGGATATTCTTGAGTTTCCAGGAAGCAAGAAAAAAAGTTTATTGACCTCTCTTTGAAGATATACTATTATTTTTATTGAAATTTGTTCTCAAGTCTATTAATGTCAAGAGTTGTGAAGGGTCTGAGATTTTACTTTACATAAAATGTAATAGTTAGCCTGTTATTGTTCAAGTTGGTGGAAGACATGAGATTCCTGGATCAGAGATGAAAGACTTTATTACTCGATCATGGTGGATAAACTTTTTGATGTGCTGCTGGATTCGGTTTGCCAGTATTTTATTGAGGATTTTTGCATCAATGTTCATCAAGGATATTGGTCTAGAATTCTCTTTTTTGGTTGTGTCTCTGCCAGGCTTTGGTATCAGGATGATGCTGGCCTCATAAAATGAGTTAGGGAGGATTCCCTCTTTTTCTATTGATTGGAATAGTTTCAGAAGGAATGGTACCAGTTCCTCCTTGTACCTCTGGTAGAATTCGGCTGTGAATCCATCTGGTCCTGGACTCTTTTTGGTTGGTAAGCTATTGATTATTGCCACAATTTCAGGTCCTGTTATTGGTCTATTCAGAGATTCAACTTCTTCCTGGTTTAGTCTTGGGAGAGTGTATGTGTCGAGGAATTTATCCATTTCTTCTAGATTTTCTAGTTTATTTGCATAGAGGTGTTTGTAGTATTCTCTGATGGTAGTTTGTATTTCTGTGGGATCGGTGGTGATATCCCCCTTATCATTTTTTGTTGTGTCTATTTGATTCTTCTCTCTTTTTTTCTTTATTAGTCTTGCTAGCGGTCTATCAATTTTGTTGATGTTTTCAAAAAACCAGCTCCTGGATTCATTAATTTTTTGAAGGGTTTTTTTTTGTCTCTATTTCCTTCAGTTCTGCTCTGATTTTAGTTATTTCTTGCCTTCTGCTAGCTTTTGAATGTGTTTGCTCTTGCTTTTCTAGTTCTTTTAATTGTGATGTTAAGGTGTCAATTTTGGATCTTTCCTGCTTTCTCGTGTGGGCATTTAGTGCTATAAATTTCCCTCTACACACTGCTTTGAAGGTGTCCCAGAGATTCTGGTATGTTGTGTCTTTGTTCTCGTTGGTTTCATCCCTGGGATGCAAGTCTGGTTCAATATATGCAAATCAATAAATGTAATCCAGCATATAAACAGAACCAAAGACAAAAACCACATGATTATCTCAATAGATGCAGAAAAGACTTTTGACAAAATTCAACAACACTTCATGCTAAAAACTCTCAATAAATTAGATATTGATGGGACGTATCTCAAAATAATAAGAGCTATCTATGACAGACCCACAGCCAGTATCATACTGAATGGGCAAAAACGGGAAGCGTTCCCTTTGAAAACTGGCAGGGATGCCCTCTCTCACCACTCCTATTCAACATAGTGTTGGAAGTTCTGGCCAGGGCAATTAGGCAGGAGAAGGAAATAAAGGGTATTCAATTAGGAAAAGAGGAAGTCAAATTGTCCCTGTTTGCAGATGACATGATTGTATATCTAGAAAACCCCACTGTCTCAGCCCAAAATCTCCTTAAGTGGATAAGCAACTTCAGCAAAGTCTCAGGATACAAAATCAATGTACAAAAATCACAAGCATTCTTATACACCAATAACAGACAAACAGAGAGCCAAATCATGAGTGAACTCCCATTCACAATTGCTTCAAAGAGAATAAAATACCTAGGAATCCAACTTACAAGGGATGTGAAGGACCTCTTCAAGGGGAACTACAAACCACTGCTCAATGAAATAAAAGAGGATACAAAGAAATGGAAGAACATTCCATGCTCATGGGTAGGAAGAATCAATATTGTGAAAATGGCCATACTGCCCAAGGTAATTTATAGATTCAATGCCATCCCCATCAAGCTACCAATGACTTTCTTCACAGAATTGGTAAAATCTACTTTAAAGTTTATATGGAACCAAAAAAGAGCCCGCATCGCCAAGTCAATCCTAAGCCAAAAGAACAAAGCTGGAGGCATCACGCTACCTGACTTCAAACTATACTACAAGGCTACAGTAACCAAAACAGCATGGTACTGGTACCAAAACAGAGATATAGATCAATGGAACAGAACAGAGCCCTCAGAAATAACGCCGCATATCTACAACTATCTGATCTTTGACAAACCTGAGAAAAACAAGCTATGGGGAAAGGATTCCCTATTTAATAAATAGTGCTGGGAAAACTGGCTAGCCATATGTAGAAAGCTGAAACTGGATCCCTTCCTTACACCTTATACAAAAATTAATTCAAGATGGATTAAAGACTTAAACGTTAGACCTAAAACCATAAAAACCCTAGAAGAAAACCTAGGCATTACCATTCAGGACATAGGCATGGGCAAGAACTTCATGTCTAAAACACCAAAAGCAATGGCAACAAAAGCCAAAATTGACAAATGGGATCTAATTAAACTAAAGAGCTTCTGCACAGCAAAAGAAACTACCATCAGAGTGAACAGGCAACCTACAGAATGGGAGAAAATTTTCACCACCTACTCATCTGACAAAGGGCTAATATCCAGAATCTACAATGAACTCAAACAAATTTACAAGAAAAAACCAAACAACCCCATCAAAAAGTGGGCAAAGGATATGAACAGACACTTCTCAAAAGAAGACATTTATGCAGCCAAAAAACACATGAAAAAATGCTCATCATCACTGGCCATCAGAGAAATGCAAATAAAAACCACAATGAGATACCATCTCACACCAGTTAGAATGGCAATCATTAAAACGTCAGGAAACAACGGGTGCTGGAGAGGATGTGGAGAAATCGGAACATTTTTACACTGTTGGTGGGGCTGTAAACTAGTTCAACCATTGTGGAAGTCAGTGTGGCGATTCCTCAGGGATCTAGTACTAGAAATACCATTTGACCCAGCCATCCCATTACTGAGTATATACCCAAAGGATTATAAATCATGCTGCTATAAAGACACATGCACACGTATGTTTAATGCGGCACTATTCACAATAGCAAAGACTTGGAACCAACCCAAATGACCAACAATGATAGACTGGATTAAGAAAATGTGGCACTATACACCATGGAACACTATGCAGCCATAAAAAATGATGAGTTCATGTCCTTTGTAGGGACATGGATGAAATTGGAAATCATCATTCTCAGCAAACTATCGCAAGGACAAAAAACCAAACACTGCATGTTCTCACTCATAGATGGGAATTGAACAATGAGAACACATGGACACAGGAAGGGGAACATCACACTCTGGGGACTGTGGTGGGGTCGGGGGAGGGGGGAGGGATAGCATGAGGAGATATACCTAATGCTAAATGACGAGTTAATGGGTGCAGCACACCAGCATGGCACATGTATACATATGTAACTAACCTGCACATTGTGCACATGTACCCTAAAACTTAAAGTATAATAATAATAAAAAAAAATAAGTAAATTTATTAAGTCCTGCCCCCCCGCAAAAAAAAAAAAGACTTTATTACTCACAGCAAAAGCAGTAGCCAAGTTGTCAGCTTATTTGTGTTGGTTCCCTGGACCCAGTTCCCACAAGGTGGGAATGAAGATGGCCAGATAACAACCTGTACACAGAGCAAGTTTTATTGTAAGAGAGAAACCCCGAGCTTAGAGAATCCAAATCTTTTCTAATGGGCAGTAAACATTCCTGTTCTTCACTCTGGAGTGAGACCCCATCTTATCTTCCAGGGATGTTTGCTATACAAATACTCTTGAAAAGGTAATCTAGAACATAAAATAACACCTTGCTTTCAAGACATGCAAAAAGCTGAGTCCCATGGAGAAGTGTCTCCCAATATTGATCAGTTTTACTATGTTTATGTGAGCAAATTCCAATTTCTTTAACCTTTTTCCCTGGGCTCTATTTCCCTACCCCTTCATTTATTGGGCACTTATCCCAAGTGGTGCTCCATGGCTATTTTTGGGTCCTGTGGTTTCTTGCCTCTTAGGCAGCACCATCCAGACAGACTCTCTACTCTTCTATAGGAGACTTCAACAGATGAAGTTTACCTCCTTGTTCAGGGGTCCCCAAGGAAACTGCACCTGCAAGGTGCATTGCCATCATCTCTTCTGTTCTAGAAAGATGAAGACAAATTGAAGGCAATTCAGAGACAAGTAACTTAGGTGATTGGGGTGATGTCAGGGGAAAGATGAAAAGAACTGCACATGCAAGCGTCTGCTCAGGTTGTGTTGAAGAAATTGGAGAAAGGGGATGTAGGGAAGCTTCCAGTGCCTGAGCGGATCAGGCTCAGAGTTACTTTCAGGATACAGACATCTGACTCGGTTCCTCCCTAGCTTGGCCTCTTTGTGGATCTGTTTCCTTTTTCATAAAACAGGGATGAAAAGGATGCATTGTTGTTGGAGATTAAAGGACATACTGTACATTTATAATCACCTAGAATAGTGCCAGGCACATAGGAAGAGCTCAAGTAATGCATCATGTTTTTGGAACACAGAAAATTTGAGCTAGAAAGAATCTTAGCCTCATATTCAGCTTCTCAGTCTTCAGAGGAGGAAACTGAAGCTCAGAGGCAGAGGTGATGGATCCATGGACACAACACTAGCTACAGGAAGAATATGACTAGTCCTAAATTCATTCTTTCTTTAAGACAAAATAATATATTACGGCTCCCTGTCATTTTAAAGGTGTTTTGATGGTTAATGTCCAGACAGTGAGAAAAAGTGGCACATATTTATTAGGCTTCAAGTTCTTCTGAGTTTCTTTAGAGAGGGTAAGCGCATTGGTGGTAGCTTTTCTGAGATGAAATGTAGCCTTCTCCTTACAAAGGCCTACTGCTGAAGCTCACCTTCTTACTCTGAGTGCTAACACCATGGCTAAATGCATATGGGCTTTTACAACAACTTCGGGTGTTGACACCATGACTGGTTACATGTGGGCTTTTTATTCAGGTGGCTGAGTAGAGGCAGACGCCAGCTCCTTATTTTCCAAGTTCTCTTGTAGGTGTCTGTGGGTATGGGTGAGGAAATGTACTCTAACTTCACAAAAATAAATTAAGCTTCCTCTTGCAACATACGTGAAGGATTCCAATGCTTTTAACTTCTAAGTGATCTCACAAGACATTTTTTTCAATCAAGATACATTGATTAAACAATGATTATTATTCCATCTTATGTTAATCAAAATTTAGCTGCCAATCAGAGCTTCTGATCAGTAAACTGTCATTGCTATCCTACTGGGTTGACCTAATTCTAGGCCATAAATTGAAACATCATTTTTTTTTTTTTTTTTTAGTGTGCCCGGGCAAACCTGTCTCCCATAAAAATTTCTGTTTCATTTTTGGAAATACTGAAAGATGTCCAAAGAGTCCCATTATCACTTTCAAGAAGCGCTAGGGACTGCCACCATGAACCATAGGGTGAAGAAGCTAGGAGGGATCTCAAATAATCTAGTCAAACTCCTGGCATTTACAGAAGGAACAGAGGCCCAGGGACTGGATAATGGCCCAAAGATACTGGCAGAGGCCTCTTGGAGTGGCTTTGTATTAGTTCATTCTCATGCTGCTAGTAAAGATATACCCAAGACTGGGTAATTTATAAAGGAAAGAGATTTATTTGACTCACAGTTCATATGGCTGGGGAGGCCTCACAATCACGGCAGAAGAGCAAGGGACACCTTACATGGTGGTAGGCAAGAGAGAGCTTGTGCAGGGGAACTCCCCTTTATAAAACCATCAGCTCTCGTGAGACTTATTCACTATCATGAGCACAGCACAGGAAAGACTAACCCCCATGATTCAATTACCTTTCACTGGGCCCCTCCCATGACATGTGGGAGCTACAATTCAAGATGGGATTTGGGTGGGTACACAACCAAACCATATCAGGCCTTCCCAGCTCTAGTGATGTCCCTCATTCCTGAGAATGACTGCAGTATAGGGGGAGGCCTCAGGGTCACATCTGGGCTGTCATTCCTCCTGACCTGGACCCCAGAGATAGCAGGTTCTCTCTCCTGGCCTCGAGCTGAGCTTATCAGTCTCTTTCTCAAGAGTTTGACATTTGACACAGGGACTCAGGCTGAAGGTTTCTTGAGGGTAGGTCTGTGAAAGGTGGCACAATTGGAAGGAAGTCCATGCTCTCCTAATGCTGAGTGCTGGAGCCAGTCTCATGCTCTCTCTTCACGTGTCTTGGTTGTCCAACTCTTTCTTCAATTTCATACAGCAGGGGCCTTCCAATAAATTTTTCATAAAAAACAAAGATCATTTAGAGCTGGTTTCCATTACTGGTTACCAAGAGAATTTTAACTAAAAAGATAAAGAATTAGTAAATAGCAATATTATACCTAGAATCCAGGTCTCATGATTTTCAGTCTAATGCTCTATCTGGCACAGCACACTGCCACTCAGAAAAATCCATAAAGTCTTGATATAACTCATGCTTTGAGCGATATAATAATTATTAGACAATGAAAATTCTAGGGGGAAAAACGCAACCTGTTTTGGAATCTTTATTGAAAGCTCTTTTTCAAAGTATGAGATGGGAAAAACAAGTCACATATATACCTAAATATTTGATTGCATTAAACTAGAATAATGCATTCAGTTTACTTTAAAATGAGATATTATTATACAATCTCTAGGGTAGATTTACCAAAGCATTAATATACAAAATAGAAAGACATTCTCTGAATTTTGAAGTATCTTTCACTGGTATGTTTAATAATGCCACCTGGTTTTCTGTGAGTTCCTAGAGGGATGCAAATGAGTATGCTCCTATAGACAAATGAATATGCTTCTCTTCAAGGTTGTGAAGGAAAAAATAAGGATCTTCTATTTTACTCCTGTCCCTGTTTATGAATAGAGAAACCAAGGCATTGAGGCTGATTTAATTGCTTGAGGTCCACTGAGAGGAGGCAGTGGAGGGGTCAAAGGAAGAACTAGAATTAAAGCCCACGTGCTTACTGCTGTCTAAGCTTGGGCTTAGCTTCTGAAGTGAATTTTGAATGAAAGGAGAATGATGGCTTCGTTTGTCTATTACACATCTTTATACTTCCCATGCCTACCATGTAAACAGGCACCTAATCAATATTGATGGAAAGATGAATAGAGGCAGGGAGAGGAACTAAAAAGGAGGATGAAAGAAAAGTAGGAAATAGGGAGGGAAGAAAGACAAAGCTACTGATATGGTTTGGATTTGTGTCCCTGCCCAAATCTCATGTTGAATTGTGATCCCCAGTGTTGGAGGAGGAGCCTGGTGGGAGGTGTTTGGATCATGGGGGTGGATTTCCCCCTTGCTGTTCTCGTGATACTGAGTGAGTTCTCACAAGATATGGTTGTTTAAAAGTGTGTAGCACCTCTCCCTGCTCTCTCTTCCTCCTTCTCTGGCCATGTAAGACGTGCCTGCTTCCCCTTTGCCTTCTGCCATGATTGAAAGTTTCCTGAAGGCTCCCCAGCCCTGCTTCCTGGACAGCCTGCAGAACCCTGAGCCAATTAAACCTCCTTTCTTCATAAATTACCCAGTCTCAGGTAGTTCTTTATAGCAATGTGAGAACAGACTAATACAGCTACTGAACTGGAGAGTGTTAAAGGAGAGCTTATTTAAAAATTGCCCCAGGAAGTCCTGAGGACACATGTCCTGGTTAAGCTATGAGGCAGAGAAGTTAGGAAACCTCTAGCCATCCTGGCTGGAATGGGGATTCATATGTGGAAAAAGGGAAAAGATGCAGAATAGAGGAAAGAGAATCAAAAGAAAGCAAAAGATGAAGAGGTTGAGGTTGACTTTTGGGGAGCGGCTGTGCGGTGCATGGTGAGCTCCCTGTCCTTCCCAGATGCTAGGCTCTCTCAGCTCCCCCTGGTTATTGGCCCCCTCCTCGCTCAAGGTGCCTACTCCTCTCCTGTTTTTGATCAAAGCCAGCCTCCAGGAAGTGGAGGCACATTCACAGCTGAATAAAACACTGACCTCTTTTTAAAGTGTTACCAAGACATTTGCATTTTAGCAGATTTAAACCTTGAGCTACAGAAATGAATTTGTAATGACGCAGTTTGTGTCATCAGCTGGGGGACTGACAAAGTTTCACTTGGTGCCCCGAAATGAATCCCACTGAATGACTCTTACTGCTCAAGTCCTGCTTCTTCCCCAAATGCTCTTCCTCTTCCTACTTCCTGACTCAGCCCTCCTCCATGCACCTGGGCCCTACTCGTCTTCCATCTGCTCGGTTTCCTACCACTTGACTGGTAAGCCAAGCATTAAGGAGTTCTAGTCCCAAGTGCACACACAGGAAGAAATTATGCACTGCATCCAAAAGGGGGTGTGTGCTCTTCCTGCAGAATATGTGGCTTGTGCTTTGGGCCCAGGGTGGCATGTCCCCACTCCTTGAGATGTAATTTGTGCTCCCCAGTGTCACAGGCTGGCCCATGCCATGCCAAGAAAGTTTAGGTAAACAGGGGTAAGGAGGGAAATCTGGAGATGGTTTGAGGCAGATGAAAATAAGAAGAAAGATTAATGGATGAGGAGGAGTCCATTTGGCCACAGTAGTTCGATGCCATACTCACAGATGTCCACCAGGAGCAGTGTTTCCTAGAGGGTTCCTGTATTAGGGTTCTGTAAAGGGACATAACTAATAGGATATATGGATATATGAAGAGGAGAATTGACTCACACGACCACAAGGTGAAGTCCCCCACAATAAACCGTCTGCAAGCTGAGGAGCCAGGAAGCGTATCTGAGTTCCCAAACCTCAAAAGTAGGGAAGCCAACAGTGCAGCCTTCAGTCTGTGGCCAAAAACCTGAGAGCCCCTGACAAATCCCTGGCGTAACTCCAAGTGTCCAAAGGCTGGAGAACTTGGAGTCGGATGTTCAAGAGCAGGAAGCATCCAGCACAGGAGAAAGATGAAGGCCAGCAGACTTAGCAAGTCTGCTAATTCCACCTTCTTCTGCCTGCTTTCTTCTAGCCAGGCTGGCAGCTGATGAGACGGTGGCCACCAAGATTGAGGGTGGGTTGTGCCTCTCCAGTCCACTGACTCAAATGTTAATCTCCTTTGGCAACACCCTCACAGACACACCCAGGAACAATACTTTGCATTATTCAATCTAATCAAGTCGACACTGAATACTAACCATCACATTTACTGTTTTGGTGATCTGGGACCAGGGCCATTAGGGCCCGATGGGAGTCATTTGAATTTCACAGTTAGGAGGTTGAATGAATGGAGAACTTTAAGGGCAAGCAGAGTAGTTTAAAGGTATGAATAAACTGTGTGTGTGTGTGTGTGTGTATGTGTATGTGTGTTTTCCAAATTGGTGGGAGGCTAGCAATTAAGACTTTGTTGAAGAGACCACTATATCAAGAAACTGACATTTTAATAAATCCAGATCAACTTCTGTTTCAACCATTCTGAATGCTAATGCTCTGCTGTGGGTCTGAAATTAGAGCTTTTAAGGACCCATTATACCAATACTTGTCGTCTCTTGATGCCTCAGTTTCCCTTCCAAATGACCATTTCGTTATTGACACGCCTTCAGTTTTCTTTTGCCTTATCAACCATTCAGCAAAAACAATTTAAATTCATGCCTTAGTAAAATTGCAAGTTACTTTGGGTAATGGACCTCCTGGGTCAAAATAGCAAATGATAAGCCTGTAAATGCCAGTATTCTGTCTACTGTATAAAGCTGGGCTCCAGAGGGAAGTGGTTTGGTGGTGTTCCCACTCAACTCGGGTTCACTTACAACTCCGAGCTCCTCTGTTTTGAGATGAAGGGAATGAGGTTTTTTACTGAGAGGGGAATCTATTGGAGAATTCTCCTTCCTTAAGGGAAGGTTCTGGGGTGCACCATCAAGCCTGATGAACCAGCTGCTATAGTTTTCTATCCTCTCAGAACTGGGTAGTGCAGTTTGCAGCCTGAGCCTCGGCCGGCCCTGGGTGAGTTGCTGGTGTTGGGATCTTAGCAGGAGAGGAAGCAGACAAGAGGAGCCCAGCACGGAAGCTTGTGAGCCGGAAGAGGCAATAGCATCTGCCAAGTTGATAAAGAGTAATGTGCGGATCTTGAAATCGCTGAAAGTGCAGAGGGAGGGGCCCTCCGAGAGGGAGAGAGAGCACAATGTCCCACCAGGGAAGCCGCAGCACTTCCTCTCTGGTTTGATTCCCGTTATGCATGTCAGACAGACTTACTCAGAGAAAGAAGGGGGTGGAGGGGAGTAGAAAATCAATTGTTTTTCATAATTATTGATCTCTTTCAATGAATCGCTGTGGTAATGGAGTGGGAGGGGATGGAGGAGAAAGGGTCAGCCCCAAAGGGTGAGTAGCCATCCATTTCGGCACTAGGAGTGTCAGGAGCCCACCGAGGGTGCTGGGCAAGAAACTGCCACTGTGTCCCCAAGACGCTGTGGGAGGAGCAAGGCTCAAGTCTACCCAGGGTTGGGGGAAGGGCCTGAACATGCTTGTTTAAATATTTGGGGTTGGAGATTCATCCAGATGAGTTGGAGTTCTCCACCTCTGTGTTAGAAAATAATACACATCTAATTGCAGAAAAGATGGCTATAGAAAAGAGTACTGTAGTAGAAAGGTATGTAATTTCACGAGAGCATTGCAAACATTCCAATGTTTTCTCCACATATGGTTTATGTACTTATGATAGAACTTACATGTACAATATCATATCTTGCTTTGTTTGCTTATCAATAAGTTGCATTTGCTACACTATTAAAAGCTCTTTAGAACATCCTTTAAATAGGACTTTTTTTGGTATAAAATAACAAATGACCATTACAGAGAATTTGGAAATATGCAAAAAATATAAAACATAAGTAAAAGTATTCAAAATTTTACCACCTAGAAATGACTCCTGTTGATAATTTAGTATATTTCATTCTAAGCTGTTTTCTATACATGTATACATAATGTATTTACCTCCATGAAATTTTGATCATGATGTATATATATTTTTCATATTCTATTTTTTCACTTATGTGACCAAATAATTTTTAAAAACATGATTTTTAATGTTCGTGTAATGTTCCATCATATGTGCTCAGCAGTTTTTATTGTATTGATCCTATTACTTCCAGTGTTTGGGTTATAATAAACAACACAGTGATGGCTTCTTTACATCTATCTTTAACCTCTTCTCTCGGTACCTAGAAAATACTATTTTCGTGGAGATGGAGCTGGATTTCCCCTCAGCTTCAGGTAGAAACTCCACTTCCCCTGGCCTGCTGAAGCTTGGCCCATGCAAATTTCTAAACTTGGCTCAGAACCTGCTGAAAGCCTCTAGTGGTGGTTGTCCCTCACTGACAACCCTCAATTTTTTTTTTCAGTTTAGCGTTTTTCTAGAGCTTTCTGTCTAATACAGTAATACATATGTGGCTCTTCAGATTCAAACTAACTCAAATCAAACAAAATTAGAAACTCAGTTTCTTGGTCACACTAACTACATTTCAGGTGCTCCAGAGACACACACATGGCTCATGGCTACCATATTGGACATAAAGTCACAGAGCATTTCCATTGTGGCAGAAAATTCTATGGGAAGGTTACTCTGGGCACTTCTGATTGACTTGTCTGGGGGGGTCTCTCCAAGTTTTTGGGGCTGTCAGTCTCTACTTGCAATCCCCTTCCACCATCTTCTCAGGCAGACCCATGTTTCAGACTTCTCTTTTTCTGCTTGTACCTAATTTTTGCACCTAAGATGGAGCTTAGAGCAGGTTCTTTTTGTCTCTGGGTGAGTAAGAATTTACCCAGAGATCTGAATGATAAAAGCATAAGTAAGCTTTTCTAGTGCTACCTCCTCAGACTCAATGAGGAAGAAAATGGATATTCCTAGCCAAAAAAGGAAGTTAGCAGAGGTGGCATCTCACCTCTCCAGGCTGGGGATAGCTCAGCTGACAGAAGGGGTGAGCTGTTGTTCCTATAGTCACTGCTCTTAGAGAGCTGGAGCCTTTCTCCTTAGCACAAGGGAGGGCTAGAGCTGCTGTCAGTGTCTTCCAGGCAGGTTTCACAGCAGCAGCTTGGGCAGAGCAAGGCCATCAGTCACCACTTCCCCTTTATATAGGACTGGCCAGGTGTCATCAGACTCTGATAGCACGTAGCAAGCAAGCAGGGACTGAGGGCCCTGGCACGTCGAGGGAGACCAGGTGTTCAGGAGTGAGCAAGTCACTTAAACACACCAGGATGTTGAGAAGCATAGGGCGGGACACAAGTGACACACCAGCACTTGTGAAAAACATAGCTCCAAGCCATTTACATTCACATTTCAACCATGGTGCGAGGATCCAAATTCAGACTGTTGTGGTCTAAGCAGATGGCATCAGCCAGGTGTATAGAAAGGCCTACAGGCTTTAATTACTTGGGGGGCGTATTAGTCTGTTCTCATGCTGCTAATAAAGACATAGCTAAGAATGGGTAATTTATAAAGGGAAGAGGTTTAATAAACTCACCATTCCACCTCACCATTGTGAGGGGAGGCCTCACAATCATGGTGGAAAATGAAGGAGGAACAAAGTCATATCTTACATGGTGGCAAGCAAGAGAGAGCATGTGCAGGGGAACTCCACTGTATAAAACCATCAGATCTTGTGAAACTTATTCACTATCCCAAAAACATCATGGGAAAGATCCGCCCCCAAGATTGAGTTACCTCCCACTGGGTCCCTCCCATGACATGTGGGAATTGTGGGAGCTACAATTCAGAATGAGATTTGGGTTGGGACACAGCCAAACCATATTGGGGGACAGTCTAGTGGCCAAAGAAAGTCTAATTACAAAGTGAGATTTGTTTGAGAGGCAGATTCTAGACCCCAGAAGAGATTGGCTCCTCCCAAGACAGGTTCTTATCCCTTGTCCACTGCTTCTTTTCAGAAGACAGCAGCACTGTGGGGAAGGAAATGGAGATTGCTTGCCCAAGAGGAAGTGAAGAAAGGAGACATTCTCCAGGACTCAGGTTAGCTCCTAGAGTCTTAGCTCTGTCGAAGTGAGAGCAAGAGCCAAGTTTGTCCTGCTCAGTGACCAGTCCTCAGGGCAGGCACATGGTAGATGCTCCATAATTTTTGTTAAATGAATGAATAACAATGATTTTACAATTTGAATTTATCTGGCCTTAATCAATCTCAACATGCCCCCAAAGGGCAAGTGTATTTCAGGGAAGATAATAAGATTTGGGACCAGAGATGGCTTTCCCTCACATTCTTTCTTAGTATTTTAAATTTTAGTATATATATTTAATAAGTGTATTAATAAATATATGTAGAGTCTATATAACAAGGTAACAAATAAAGCATACTAATGAAACACACACTGCTGAAGCCACCACCCAAATTAAAAATCAGAGTTTTACCAATAAGATAGATGCTCTCTGCATTCTCCTCCTCCAACAGACTCCACGGCCCTGCTCTTCCATAAAAATAACCACTATTTTGAATTTTATGCTTATCATTCCCTGAACTTTTAAAGTATAGTTTCACCTCCTCATCTGTGTGAATTATTAAGCAATATGTTGTTTCATTCTGCTTGATTTTGAGTTTAAAAAAGACATATTGATGGTAGTCCTTTGAAACTTGCTTTCTATTCAACATTATGTTTCTAAGATTATCCTTGTGTCTATATTTACATTTACTTTTCACTGCTACCTAATTTTCCATTATGTGAAGATACCAGACTTAGTAGGCACTCTTTCACTGATGGGCATGTAGGTTGTTTCAGGCTTTTAATGGGAACATTATGGTTGTGGATATCTTGCATATGTCTCTGGGTACACATGTGTAAGAATTTCTGTAGGATGTGTACCTGGAGTGGAATCACTCACCCTACGGTAGGTGCAATTTTAACTTTCAAGGTGTTTCCATATTATTTTCGAAAATGCCTGAATATACTCCTGACAAAATAATTATACTTCTGACATAAGAATTCCCATGTCTCCACATCCTCACCACCACTTGTTATTCTCGAGTTTCTTAATTTTTGCCAATATGGTGAGTATGATATTGTGCTTCTAATTTATATTCTCTTGACTATTAATGAAATTGAACTTCTCTTCATATTTCCTCTCTTTAATTTTGTTTTTCATATTTCCTCTCTTTAGTGGCATCCTTTCTCATGCCTTTTGCTCTTTTTCTTTTGGGTTTTGTCTTTTCTTTGACTTTTAAGAATTATTTCTGTGTTCTAGATAATAATCCTTGGGTGATTAAATATCCTTTCAATGTTTTCTCCAGTTGCTATTCACTTATTTAATGGTATCTTTTGATACCTCAAAATTCTTCTTTCTTTTTGAATGGAAGTTCTTGATTTTAGAGTAGTCGACATGTATCAATCTTTTCTTTTTGTGTCCCTTTTTGATTTTGAGTTTGTAAAAATACTCTCCTTTCTTATCTTCTAAATGTTTTAAAGTTTTTTGCTTTTTGTATTTAAGTCTTCAGTGCACCTGGAATTTATTTTTATGTGAGATAAGAATAGTGATTCACACATTTCCCTGGATATCCCATTGGGATATCCAGTGGAATATCTTTGTGTGGATAGACAATTGTCTTGGCACCATTTATTTAAATTAATCCTATCCCCAGTGACCCAAAAGCCACTTCTGTATCAAGAATATGGGTCTACCTAATAAATCTTGAAATCTGGTAAGGCAAGTCCCTTAGTTCGTTATTCTTGAGTGTCTTTCTTTCATTCTTAATCTGGAGGAAAGATGGCAGTACTCGTGTCCAAGGTCATAAGTAGCAGGGACTTAGAACTCTGACAGTTTGTGTGTGATGCTTGTTTATGAGGGCTGCATCAAGTAGACTATGCCAAAAACATCTGTCTGTGGTGCTGAAGTCCCCAATTCAATTAAGGAAATTCCAAGTCTCATTTAGCCTTGGGCTATACTTTCAATATCCTTCTAAGTACTGAATTCCTAAGACAGTGAAACCATCTGACAGGAATGTTGGGGTTTACCCAAGGACAGGATATCAGTGTTTGGCTTGTAAACCAGATGCGGTGGATGTGACAGTCCTGGGAGGGAAGCAGCATGGTCTCAGGATGGCTTGCAGCCAGTGGTGCCGTCCTGTCACACATTAGGAAGAGAAAATGAAGCAGAAGAAAAACGCTGCCTGAGATGTTCTCAGCAAAGTGCTTTTCCATCAAAGCCTCTGCTTCTTGACAAACAGACTCTGAGATGCATCTAGGAATAGCTCTGATGTAGAAAAATACAAGGTCAGAGACACATCGGGTATGGGAAGAGTCCATTTACTCATCTATACAATAGCTATTTATTGAGTGCCTACTATGTGCCAAGCACTATTCTATGGGCTGGGATTCAGCCTTGAACAAAACAGACAAGTTGCTGACGTTTGAATGGGGGAAAGCAGACACTAAACAGCTAAACAAATGAGCCAGATAATCTTACCTATGAATAACAGTTATCTAGAAAGGAAAACTGCATG
The DNA here is from genome assembly GCF_000001405.40 of Homo sapiens. Lineage (NCBI taxonomy): Eukaryota > Metazoa > Chordata > Mammalia > Primates > Hominidae > Homo > Homo sapiens. The sequence goes on along the minus strand of NC_000007.14, from coordinate 132,650,187 downwards.
ATGCTCAGGGAAGGTTTCTCTGGGACAGTGTGAATGGCAGGAAGCGGCAGCCTCGGCAAGATCTGCTGTTCAACTCAGTCCTTCAACAAAGGCAGCTCAATAGAGCAGCTGGACCCAGGTGTTGGCACTTCTGTTCCCTTCTCTTGCAGAGACCTGGAGTTTTCTTCCATGCTCTTGGAGGTGGTCTTTCACTCACCAGCTGCCTCACACCCTATCCCCCATCCAATCCCTCCTGCGGACTGTGGTGGCCTCCTTAGAGAGCTGCTGCCTGACACTCGCTCTTCAGAGTTGCCATTGTGTTCTTCCTGACCAGCCCTATCTGCATGAGCTATGGGACCGTGTGCTCTCGGCTGCCCCAGCCAACCTGGCCTTGCCTGTTTTGCAGTGATGTACCAGGCTGTCTGGGGATTCAGGCTCCATTGCTGGAGCTGTCCTTCACTCATCAGGTTCAGAGAGCTCAGAACCAGAAACCAGGAGACCTAGGTTCTCATCCTAACTTGCTATGTGACCTTGGTTAAGCCTGTCTGGACTCCCATCTATAAAATAAAAGGACTGCATTAGTGATTCTCTAACTGTTCTGTGGGACCCAGGTCTTTTCTCTCTGCAGAAGTGATTCGAATTTTATCCAAAAACTATTTTTATGGTTGTAATAGAAAAAACAAAACTCCAATGGTTTATATGCCAAATATCAACAGTTTAAAACCCAACATGTTAATTTGTTTTGCTAGGCAAACTCGTTTTTGCACAGATCTTAGACTAAATCTCTTATTGCCATCTGTGTGTGTGCATGTGTGCATATATATATATGTAAACTATTTATTAAAATGTCATTGATTTGGATGCTTGTAACTCAGCTCTTATCTGGGATGTCTGCACCTAATAAACAGTACCAGCAAGTGCATGACTACAGTGCATACGTTCCCTGAGCAACTCACCACCAGGTCTGTGCTAGCAGCATGTTCTCAGTGAACATTGTAATATAGGCTAGGCCTGGCTTTTTTTTTTTTTTTTTTTTTTTTTTTTTTTTTTTGTAGTTAAATGTTTTAGTTGGAAGGAACTTTAGATATACAGAAAAGTTGTCAAGACAGTAGACAGTTCCTATGTATTCTTCACCAGCCTCCCCTAATGTTAACCTTTTACATACCCCTCATCGCATTGGCAGAGCAGGGAAATTAACATTGGTACAGTACTGTTACCCAAATTACAGACTTCATTCAGATGTCACCAGCTCTTCTACTACTGTTCCCGGGTCCCCTCCAGGGTCCCACATGGCATTTAGTTGTCAGGTCTTCTTAGTCTCCTCCAGTCTGTGTTGGTTTTCCAGTCTTGTTTTTCATGACCTTGACACCTTAGAAGAGTGCGGGTCGTGTATTTTGTAGAATCCCCCTCAATTTGGGTCTGTCTGGTGGATTCTCATGATTAGACTGGGGTTATGCATTCCAGAACCCCAGTCTAATTGTGAGATGAGTTTCAATGCATTCCAGAACCCCAGTCTAATCATGAGATGCAGACCACATGGAGACCTTAATGCATGGAGATCTTGCCCACTAGTAGCGTGGCCCAGCGTTTTGGGACACAGCCCAATCAGACCAGTATTTCCCCTCTGGAGCTGGATTGAGGAGGGAACATGGGGACTGAAACCTTGAATGCTTCTGCTTTAATTACCCCGAAAAGGTAAAAAGCATTGGGCGGAGGAGCCCCCTCATTAGGGATCACTGGGGATACTGAGCAGCATTACTGTTGAGAGTGTGAAGGCAGAGGAAAGCTGAGATACAGCTCTTAGTGATGTCCCTTGGCTGAAGCCCCATGGGAAATGGCCAAATTCTATATTTTATGTCACTGAAAAATTGGTAAGAGTTGGAAAAAGGGAAGGTTCTGTAAGTCACTAGTCTCAGTAATCAGGAATTATTGATACTGTTGGAAATGGAAAGCGTTTCTGTGCTTAGAAGGACATACACGATGTGTGAGTGTGTAAGTGTATGCATATGTGTGTGTGACACAGTGTACATGAGTATATGTGTGACTGAATGTATGCATAAGTGTGTGTGTACGTGAGTGTATGTGTGAGTGCATATGTGTGTATATGTGTATATGACACTGAGTTTGTGAGTTTGTGTGTGTGCATGAGTGTATATGTGAGTATATATATGACTGTGTGTGTGTGAGTATATGTGTGTTTGTGGGTATATGACTGTGTGTTCATGAGTGTTTATGTGAGTATATATGTGACTGTGTGTGAATGTGTATGTAAGTGTATGAGTGTGAGTGTATGACAGTGTGTGTTCGTGAGTATATATGGAAGAATGTGGATGTGTGTGAGTGTATGTGTGTATATGATAGTGTGTGTTTATGAGTGTATATTTTGAGTGTATGTGTATGTGTGTGACTGTGTGTGTATATGTGTGTATATGATAGTGTTTGTGAGTGTATATGTATGTGTGTAATTGCTTGTGTGAATGTATGTGAGTATATTGTGACTGTGTGTGTTTGTGAGTGTGTATGTGAGTATATGTGTGACTGTGTGTATGTGAGTGTATGAGTGTGTATGTGTGTATGATAGCATGTGGGTGTTTGTGAGTGGATAACAGCATGTGTTTGTGAATGTATATGCATGTGTGTGACTGCATATGTGTGAGTATGTGAGTGTACGTGTGTATATGATAGCATGTGTTTTTGAGTGTATGGAAGTGTGTGTTCATGAATATACATGTGAGTATATGTGTGACTGTGTATGTAAGTGTGTGAGTGCATATGTGTATGATAGTGTGATTGTATGACAGTGTGTGCTTGAGAGTGTATATGTGCATGACTGCATGTGTGTGTGTATGTCAGTGTATGTGTGAGTGTATATGTGTGTATATGATAGCATGTGGGTGTTTGTGAATGTATGACAGTGTGGGTTTGTGAATGTATATATATGTGTGACTGCATGTCTGTGTGTATGTCAGTGTATGTGTGAGTGTATATGTGTGTATATGATAGCATGTGGGTGTTTGTGAATGTATGACTGTGGGTTTGTGAATGTATATATATGTGTGACTGCATGTGTGTAAGTCAGTGTATGTGTGAGTGTATATGCGTGTATATGATAGCATGTGGGTGTTTGTGAATGTATGACAGCATGTGTTTGTGAATGTATATGTGTGTGACTGCGTGTATGTGTGTATGTTGGTGTATGTGTGAGTGTATGTGTGTATATGATAGCATGTGGGTATTTGTGAGTGTATGACAGCGTGTGTTTGTATATGTGTGTGACTGCATGTGTGTGTATGTTGGTGTACGTGTGAATGCATGTGTGTGTATATGATAGCATGTGTTTGTGAGTGTATGACAGTGTGTGTTCGTATGTGTGGCCGTGTGTCTGTGAGACTGTGGAACTGGCAGTGGCTTGGGAATTGGGTCCTAGTTCCAGCCTAGTTTCATGCATTCAACAACTCTACATCTCAAATATCCTCTTTCATAAGATGAGCCCACCAGTAGGGCTCAGACTGAGTGGCCTAAACAACAGGCATTGATTTCCCAAAGTTCTGGGGGCTAGGAAGGCCAAGAGCAAGGTATCAGTAGGATTGGTTCCTGGTGAGGGCCCTCTTGCTGGCTTGCACATGGCCACCATCCTCACTGTGTCCTCACAGGGCAGAGAGAGCACTCTGGTCTCTCTTCCTCTTCTCATAAGGACACTAATTCCATCACTGGGACCCTGCTGTCATGACCGTATCTAAACCTAAACAGCTACCAAAGGCCCCATCTCCAAATACCACCACATCGGAGATTAGGGATTCAACATAGGAAATTTAGGGAGCCAGAAACATTCAGTCCATAACAGGGAGGGAATACAAAAGAGACTTCCCATGAGCCCAGGTGTTCTGAGTGGAAGAGACTGAGGGTGGAGGAGGAGCTTGGTGAGTCCAGCCCTTCAGCTGTATCCTCGGATGACTCATCCCGAGAGAGTCCGTAGCTCTTCCAGGGAAAAAAACACCAAGGGACTGACAGAGGGGAGATTAGTGTGTTCTATGAAGCTTGTCACCTTAATGGCCTGATGAAAGGAGGTGACAGAGAAAGATCAGAATAATACCGTAGATCACTTAATGGATTGCCACTATCATTAACAGCCTTAATTAGTCCATAATATACTGTACCTCCACAGCAAGTGCCACTGTTAGAAATGGAAATCAGGCCAGCTGCTGGGGCGGCAAGCAGCAGGAATGCAAATGTCCATGACCCCTCAGATCCACACAAAGCCTTCTGACCTTGGAATTTAAGGTACTGGCTCAAGCACCAAATTCAGTCCTGAGTTTCTAATCAAGCCTGTCTCTGGCTCCTCTCTCTTTACAGTCCTGTTCTCTTCCTCACTGCTCTGACCAATCATTCTAGCTCTTACTGCTTTCGCTTCCCTTGATGGTAATGCCACCTTACGTGTGCCCATCACTTTGTGCTCTTCCCAACTTGTGTCTGTGAGACTGTGGAACCGGCAGCAGCTTGGGAATTGGGTCCTAGTTCCAGTCTAGTTTTATGCATTCAACAACTCTACATCTGAATTTCTTTACTCATAAGATGAGCCCCTACCAGTGGGCCATAGCAGCCACAGCTGCCTAAGATCCTCTCCCAGTATTCTTACAGAAACTGTATATTAGTCCATTTTCACACTGCTATAAAGAAACAACCAAGACTGGGTAATTTATAATGAAAAGAGGTTTAATTGACTCACAGTTCCATATGGCTGGGGAGGCCTCAGGAAACTTACAATCATGGCAGAAAGGGAAGCTGGCACCTTCTTCACAAGGCAGCAGGAGAGACAGCGCACGTGAAGGAGGAGCTGTCAAACACTTGTAAAACCATCAAGTCTCATAAGAACTCACTGTCATGAGAACAGCATGCGGAAAACTGCTCCCACGATCCAATCACCTCCCACCAGGCTCCTCCCTCGATATGTGAGGATTATGAGGATTACAATTCAAGATGATATTTGGGTGGGGACACAGAGCCAAACCATATCAGACTGGGACCATGAAATGAGGGCAAAGGAAGCGGCTGCATGAAACTTGACATCTGGTTACATTGTAGGTTCTTAATGGGCATCGTTAGTAACAGGTGGCTCGCCCCTGTGGCCCACACTCAGCTCTGCAAACTAAGCTGACACACCTGAGAAGGCATCCCAGTGCTTCCTGACCCAGAGCCACTGGGTGTGGTCCTAACCCGAGGGGAAACATCTGTTGGTCTCTCCAATACCCTCAGGCTTTCAGCTGTGCCCATCTCTCTTGACCTGTACCTGAGCTGGGCACACAGGGTTGGCAGTTGGTTTGGGAAGTATGAGAGAGAGAGGGAGGTGGGCCTTGAGATTTTTGTCTCAAGGTCCTAATTGTCCTTTTTGTCAAAGGTCCTAATAAAGCACTTTCTCTGCCTCTCAGATATTGATTCATCATTAATTTTGGACGGGGCATGCACATCATATATTCTTTCCAACCACAGATCGACTGCCATTATTTCCTTCATCATCTTCCTCTTTAAATATATCACGAAGGAATTACAGTGGCTGGGACCATCTATTTCCCTGGAACCAATGCTGAAAGGGGGCTGGGATAGCAAATGTCCTATTAGAGTAAAGTAATGTTCTCCCCTGAATTGAAATGCGCCTTTCTGGTCACCCAGCCCCTTTGATGGTGAAGAGGCAGGAAGCTGTGGAGCCAATTGCTCCCTGTGGAGTGAGAAGGAGGACACTGGGCAGAAGCTGCCAGGCAGAAGAGCCATGGGGCAGCCAGGAACACAGGCCACGACCAAGTCTATTGTTTGCTTTGGTGCCAGAGATTCTTGAGCAAGACGAAGGGCATATTTCTTGGTTGTGATAGTGATAATGAATGTTTCTTGAGTGCTAACCATTTATCAAGTGTTAAGCCAAGATTTCAAGCTAAGCCTAAGCACCTTGCAACCGTCCCATGAGGTGGGCGTTGCTACTGTCTCCATTGTACCATGAGAGGAGGTTAAGTCACCTGCCAGGGAGACAAAATCATAGATGTGGGGTTTGAACTAAGCTTTGCTCAACTCTGGAGCCATTTGCTCACTCACTCCTCTAGGCCACTGCCTTTCAAACACTTTTGGCTGCAACCCACGGTAATAAATATATTTTACCGATGACCCACTATCCACACACATATTTGAAATTAAACATTTTCACAAAATAATACTTATTTTTACTAGTGTGTGATATATTCTGACTTTTGAAAATTTCCATTCTTTTTTTTTAAGAGACAGGGTCTCCTTTCACCCAGGCTGGAGTGTAGTGGTGCGATCTTAGATCACTGCAGCCTCAAACTCCTGGGCTCAAGCGATCCTTCTGCCTCAGCCTCCCCAGTATCAGGAACTATAAGCATGGGCCATTACACCTGGGTAATTTTTTAAAATTTTTTTATAGAGATGGGGTCTTGCTGTGTTGCTGAGACTGGTCTTGAACTCCTGTCCTCAAACAATCTTCACCTTGGCCTCTCAAAGTCCTGGAATTACAGGTGTGATCCACCTCGCCAGGCCCTCATTCTTTTTAAAAAAGGCTTGTTGGATCACCAAATTGATTTCACAACTTACTGGTGGATTGTGAACCCTCAGTTTGGAAACCCTTCCCCTTGGTGCCTGTGAAAGTCATTTTAACCACAAAGAGCAGTTCTAATGCGGCCTCTGAGACTGGGCTGGAATTTCTAGGAGGAGGGAATTCCTCCAGCTTGATTATGCAGCATTTGGGTTTGGGGCAGACTCTAGAGGCTGCTTCGTGTGGGGTGGGGGCTGGGGGGTCAAGTGAGTCAGCACACCTGGCGGCTGGAATTAAGACAACTTTGCTGTGTTTCACGTGTGTGTTAGGCACTGTGGGGGCTCTGAACTTGCACTTGAAGATTCCTGCCCTTGAGGAGTTTATGATCTTTCTCAAAGAGCATCTCTGTGTGAAACAGCAGAAAAACAATACCAGACAGACAGGATCCTGCAGGAAGCTGAAGGAACATGGAGGAGCTTCATCATTACCTGTCCACATGCAAGCCTTCCCACAAACAGAGCCACAGTCTTACATGAGCTGCCCTTCCACTTAAAACATCTTTCTTCTTCCCCCTCCTCCTCCTGCAGGTCTGAAAAGATTCAATGGCAGACCATTGAAATTCTCCCTCCCACCCCATCCCCAGCCACCTAATACCCTTCTCTGGAGGTAACCAGCCCTTTTAATTTCTTGTGTATCCTTCAAGAAATAGTCTAGCACATATAAGCATGTGTAAATTAATTTTTTAACACAAATTATATCGTATCATACTCACTGTTTTGCATCCAGCACTTTCTATCTAGCACCTTTTGCATCTAGCACTTAATTTGTCTTGGAGATCACTGCATAGCAATAAAGAGTTCCATGTTGGTTTTTTTTGGAACTTTCTAAAAATTTCTGTTTGGGTGAACCGTAGTTTCTTTAACCAGCCCCTTATGGATGAAACGTTGAGATTGTTTGTAATCTTTTGCTGTTATAAAAACTGAAGCAGTGAGCAACCTTCTTGCACTCTGGGATGTGCCTAGAAGTGGTGAGGTGGGCCCAGGAAGGCCTCTGCCTGTATCTCTGCTCTGTGCCCTGTCGTTCCCCCCTCCCTCGCCCTCAACTTCAAGTCTGTCTGCCTCCTCCCTAGTTTCTCTCTCCAGGCCCCTGTGCATGCTGTTCCTTCTCCTTGGAATATCCCTTCTCCCTGGCTGACTCCTAACTCACCTTCTGGGTCTCAGCTTGAGAAATTCTTTCTTAAGGGCAACCCTGTTCATCCCAGCATTCTGTAGACTTGTAATCAATCACTTAATACTATACAGGGTTACCCTAAGGTTTGTATGCTGTTAGGAATTTTAATACATTTATTTCTGTAATACAAACTGCTAGATGGAAAATAGAGGAAATTTAATCATAATTTACTATATTTAATTACAGAAATGTTGGCTTTCGACATATCCAGCATCATTTTAGATATATTTGGATAGAACCATTCTGTATACAGAAGGGTTTATTACCTAGAAAATTAAAGAAAGAAATTAGAACAAATAAATCATTAAAAATGTCATTGAAATCTTCAGTAAATTCATTTTCTGTCACACTTTGCAATTTGCTTATATATTATATAGAAGCAAATTTATTAAAAACTCAAACTGCACAAGAATTACATGGATATCCTAATTTATTTATTTATTTATTTTACCATATTTCATCTAAAACACACACACATTTCCCCACATTTAACATTTCTGAAAGGGGGATGTGTCTCACTTTTAAATGCTATCTTATGATGCTGTGGGCTGGACAGCCACATTGACTGCTGTGATCATTGTCTGAGCATGCACAGACTTGGTCATGGGTACTTATGTTGTCGTCCCTCCAGTGGAGTTAGGTGCATGATTGACATTGCATATCTGGGGTTTAGTTTATATTTAGAATACCTCTTAAAAAACAATATCACTCTAATTTGGTACCGAAACAAAAAGTTTATATAGAAAGAAAACGGAATAGCAGGGTATCAATTTGATGCTAGCAAGCAAAGCAAATTTTTTATTATTCGAAAGATAAGATCACTATTCTCTTGCAAAGTGACAACAAAATGCTTTACAAGACTGTTGTAGCCTGAATTGTGTCCCCCTTAAAGTCACATGTTGGAGCTCTAACCCCCAATGTGACTGTATTTGAAAAGAGGGCCTTTGAGGGAGGTAATTAAGGTTAAATAAGGTCATATGGATAGAGCCCTCATCCAACATGACTGGTGTCCTTGCAACAAGAGACACAAGGGATGTGTGAGCACAGAGGAAAGGCCATGTAAGGATGCAGCAGGAAGGTGGTCATTTGCAAGCCAAGGAGAGAGGCCTCAGGAGAAACCAAAGCTGCCTGTACCTTGATCTTGAACTTCATTCCCCAGAATTGTGACAAAATAAAGCTCTGTTGTTTAAGCCACCCAGGCTGTGGCATTTTGTTATGGCAGCCTGAGCAGATTAATATAAGGACAAAGAAAGAAAGAGTCCACAAGGAGATCAAGCTATGTTACAGTTACATTAGTGTGCAAGAATTGTGTATCACAGGCAAGCATGGAAGCATCAACATCCGTTTGTATGATGAATGTCAAGAACTTGGAAGAAAGTCTTGGAAGCAATAGTGGAGCAAACTTTTAGAAAATACAGCCTCATCCATCATCCATCCGTGGTGCCATTTTCAAGTCTGAGTTGGAAAGTGATTCAGAAGCCTTTGACACTGAATAAGAAGTTTTAGGGACAGTGTAATTAATTTATTTTGCTTTTATTCCCCTTTTTGCCTGTATAAGAGCAACACAAAACTAAATGATTCTAAAAGAGTTTTTCAATAAGTGTAAGAGTTCTAAGTGATAAGAAGTAATTGTGTTTAATTGGCAGGGCCCCCCCCTTTTTTTTTTTTCAGTAGACATAAGACAATGGTGTGTCACAAGGTCAATAGTGTCCTGGATTTGATGAAACATGGTGTATTGGTCAGCTTGGGCTGCCATAACAAAATACTGCAGATTGGGTAACTGAAAAACATTGATTTTTCTCATACTTTTGGAAACCATAAGTTCACGATCAAGGTGCCAGCATATGTGGTTTCTGGTGACAGCTCTCTTTCTTGCTTGCAGATGGCTGCCTTTTCTCTGTGTGCTCTCATAACCCCTTTTCTTTGTACATGCAGAGATAGCAAGCTCTGGTCTTTCTTCCTATTCTTATAAGGACACCAGTCATATGACCTCATTTAACCTTAATTACCTCCCCAAAGGCCCTATCTCCAAATACAGTCACATTGGGCTTAGGGCCTCAACAAATTAATTTGAGGGGGATGCGATGCATTCCGTAACCTATGGCTATATGCATTTATTTAGTGTAAGTTTCTCCTACCAATTGAAAGATCCCTGAAAGCCATAACTTCTTTGGTTGTCAGTTCTATGCTGATCATGTCTTCTCTGGTCACTGTGTACCCCAGCACCCAGCACGTGGTCTGGCATGCAGTAGATACTCCAGGAACATCTGTTGGCTCACTGCCATCTCTTCCTGATCCTCTGCAAGAACAGAGCACCATTTCTGCTTTGGGAAAGAATAACAGAGATATCTCATGTATGCTTCAGATGCTGGTGTCAAGGCCAAATCCTGTCTTAGTTATAATTACTTATCATGAATGATAGCGCAACGCTAGAATATTGGAGCTCTGCAATCCTTAGAAATCTAGCTGAATCCCCTCGACTCACAGATGAGGAACCTGGACAGTGTTCTTACCCGAAGCCAGTTAGAGAAAGGGCTGGGGCTGGAGCTTGAGTCTCCTCTGTGGTGCCCTTTCTACCCATGACTCTCATCATGGTCTGGAAATTTACAAGTGTCACATGGAAGTGGGTGCCATGGCTTTAAGACTTTTACAATTTGAGTGTAGAAGCCAGGAAATTTATCATTGGAAAATTGCTTGCATTTGTTTCCTAGCTATAGATGAAAACTTTAACATTATTTTGGAGAAGATTAATCCTTTGTTCTGCAAGACCCCCTGAATGGCCCCTTCAGTTCCACCCACGCTGGGGAACCAGGTAGGGGTGGGAGGCGGCAGTGTTGACTCAACGCAGAGGTAAAGCCTGGAAAGATAAATGTTCTTTTTAGGAACATTTTACTACTGGTGATTGTGGGGGCGCATGGTTCTTGGCAGGGCTTCAGTGAATGAGGGACAAGCTGAGTGGCAAATATTATATTTTACTTTGCCTGAATTCTTGCTTTTTCTTATACACACAATGATGTCAGTGTATACATGGTCATGATGGTGAGAGTTTGGGGAGGTTGGGAGCTGCTTTCAGGAAAATAGAAACAGAGGACGCAAGAGCATGAGGTTTGATCTTCCCTTTGGGCTGGAAGTGGAAACTGAGGCACAGACTACCCTGCTATAGAAAAATTAGCACAAAGGCCTAAGGACTGGAAGAGTTATCACTGTCCCTTTTAAATGAGAAGCCCTGGATCTGGGCACCCAGGATATGGAGGATGGATCAGCACTGAATCTCAGACAGAGAAGCTATTCTGGGCCCACTGGCCTGGGTTATAAGCTCAGCACCGTGATGGGTGTTCTCAGTCCATCCTTGGATGGTGAACTTTGATATAACCCAGATGCTGCAGAGTTGCTGCTCTGGGATGCCAACCCCTAGAGCACCATGCGAGGGGTGCCCACTGGAACTGGGAAGTGCTGGACACGTGGGTGTAATTCCTGAGGACCTTAGGAATATCTGGAGACTTGAAAAGATAAGATGTCCTGTGATTAAGCAGGCTGGGGCTCAGAGTCATTGCTCTTTGTACGTTGAATGTCAGTGAGCATTTGTCCCCACGGGCTAAGACATTCTGGCTAGACACACACCAGAGCATGTCTTGCTCCCTCTAAGCTCAAGATGCTTCCTTACCATTAATATATATATATATTTTTATTTCATGTGATCAGGGTAAAAAGGGTAAAAGAGAGTGAAGATGTGATAGACCAGAAACCATGGGTACAAATGGTCGGCATTTTTTTTTCTTTTTTCTGTTTTTTGAGACAGAGTCTTGCTCTGTCACCCAGGCTGGAGTGCAGTGGTGCAATCTCAGCTCACTGCAATCTCTGCCACCCGGGTTCAAGTGATTCTCCTGCCTTAGCCTCCAGAGTAGCTGGGATTACAGGCACACACCATCACGCCCAGTTAATTTTTGTATTTTTAGTAGACACGGGGTTTCACCATGTTGGCCAGGCTGGTCTCGAACTCCTGACCTCAAGTGATCTGCCTGCCTCAGCCTCCCAAAGTGCTGGGATTACAGGCGTGAGCCACCATGCCCGGCCCTGGCATTTTCTTGTATAGGAGTTTTACTGAGATTGTCTCACTTAGTCTTCCAACCATCCTAGGCCTAAACCCGCTATGATGTGTGTTGATCTGCTCATGACCTCATGGGGTAAGCAGGGATGGGCACAGGGCTGTGCCTGGCATGAGAGCTGCCCGTGATAGAGGGACAGATATGGGGAAACCAAACCACAGTCTCTCTTGCACACACAGCTGTGTAGGGAGGAGGCTGTGCGCTAGGAGTGGAGGCTCCGTTGTGGCAGCACAGACCCTAGGGGTGGATGAGAGCCCAGGCTTCAGCCTGGGCCCTGGTCAAAAGCTGTCAGGAAGCACTGCTGTGGAAGACAGTGGAGCCTAGCTGACTGTGGGGCTGTGGGCAAACTCTAGGACTGACAGAGGCCAGGAAACTCCTGCTTAGTATCCATTTTTGGATTTAGGAGTTGGAACCAAGGAAGAAAACTTTATAGTGGGGAGAAAGAAACTGAGCCAACGTACAAGCTTCCTGTCTCAGGATTAGTTCAGGACCTGGGCAGGGAGTGGAGGAGGGAAGTCTCTGTAGTCAGCCCATAGGAGATGGGGAGGCAAAGGCATGGGAGATGAGGCAAAGCCTCCCACCTGAGGTTTTGGGATGTCCTGTCCTCATTTTCAGTTATTTGCTTGTTGATGGATTTTCTGCTGGAGTAACTACATCACAAGTGGGGAAACTGAGGCATAGGACAGGCCAATGCTAAGGCTGCCAAGGGTTTCTCAGACTTGGAAGACAAGCATGGCTTCTTTCAGTCTTCCAGAATTTTCTTAGGCAGGAGCTGGGATGAGGGGCAGCTGAAAGCAAGTCTGGGGGCATCTTTGCTAATATTTTGCTCCCAGTTAAAGAGCACTTCCAGTGACTGAGAACGTCGTGTGGCCTTCCACCTGTGCAGGGTGTGGAAAATTGCATTCTTCTGTGCTCAAGGCAACCAAGGAGAGCCTGGTATGTGCAGGACCCTGCTCTGGTCTCTTTGTCAAGTCCTCTGTGACAGCTGCAGATTCAGAGACCACACTTCAATTACGGACACAGCAGGTGAAGGGGTGCTTGGACAGGGCCATCACGTTGAGATCAAGAAGGTAATTCATCCTTTTCACAGCCACGGAAAGGGGGAAGGATTGTGCATACAAATTGTGGTCCTGGTCTGAGAGCGGAATGGGGGATGAGGAATAGGGGAGGGGATAGACAGAAAAAGAGAAGGGTGAAGGAGCTGAGAGCCAAGAGAATGATCAAAAGGCTCTTTGGGAATGGACTTTTAGAGCCATCTATCTCTGCATTCCCTCTCTCTCATCCTTGTCATTCCAAGCATTTCTACAAAGCACTGTTTCAGCGTCAAACAATATCAAGAAGACTTGAGGCAATAGCTTCCTGGGAGGGAGGACGTGCATATTGGGGGAGCTGGATGGAGCAGAATTCTTCCCACCTCCCCACCTCCTGCATCCTTTGCATGCAGCTAGCTGTGGTCTCTGCAACCTCATTCAAATAGCGAAGGCGAGGGTTGGCTTGGGTTTGCACAAGGGAGACCAGAATGATTCAGTGCCTGAGGCCAGTAGCATTTCAGGAAGAGAATGAAGCTCAGAGAACTGCTAGGCTGGGAAGTCCTTTCTCTGCTCAAACAAGGCCACCTTATTGGGCTGCAGTGGGGGAAGCATGTGGGGTGGCATCATATGAAATCTGACCTTCCAAGGCTTTACGTGAATCTGGAAGGGCAACAGCAGAGCAGGGTTTTGGCAGGTGACTGGCTGCTACTCCCTGGGCCTTGTATGGCTGTGCTTTGAAACCCACTTGCCTCAGGGCATTTGGGCATTTTCATAGCAACCATGGGATGGAGCCGAGAGTGTGGGATAATAACCAATCACTCCTGGGGGGGCTCTTCCTTGATGTGGTCTCTGAAGCTCACAGATTCTTAGAAAACCATACCCCAGAAGCCCCACCCATGAAACATCAGACTACAGGGGATCTCCCAACCCATGTGGCTAGAAGTCCAGGCTGCTGGTGCCTCAGCTTCCCTCCTTGACTTGGGGTAGCCCCTTCTCTCCTCTGCCCTCTGCCTGGTTTCTTGTGGTCCCCAATTCCTAGGCCCCTGCACTCCCAGAAGCCTCTTGGCTGAGGAGCTCTTCTGGCTTTTGGCTATGAAATCTTCGGTTTGCTTGGAGTTCTTGCGCAGAGCTGAGCCAACCTGGGTATTGGATGGGAGTCTTTGAGCTGAATGTTTCTTGCACTCATTTTCCATTGTTATTGCAAGATAGTGGATGCTTTTCCTCACACCTCCCTATGCACATTGGAGCCTTTTGGAGGGGATGCCCACTCCTGAAGCTCTCTACCCTCTGAGTTCTGTTGAGAGGGCTTCTCCTAACAGATCCCTGGAACCGCCTCCTCCATCCCCCAGCCTCCTGGAAGAGTTGCATCCTATCTTTGCTGCCTGCAGATAAATACATGCCATTCATTTACCTATTTCAAGTTCAATAACCCGGCCCTTGGAAAACTCCTGTGTTGTTAAGTATTAAACGTGGAACTTCCTGATGCTGTTGCTGTTGTGTGATTTTACATCTTCCGGAGTTAGTTGGAAAATTCCTGTGTTGTTAAGTATTAAACGTGGAACTTCCTGATGCTGTTGCTGTTGTGTGATTTTGCATCTTCCGTGGTTCGTTGGGGGTTTGAGGCCAGCCTGACAGAGGCATGGGGCAAGGTGCAGGGCAGTGGGGTCAGAAAGAGCCCGTCCTGGGGAGCTGAGGAATTGTCACGGCATTTCTTCCTCTTCAGTCCTCCAGGAAACCTCTTAGCAATGTCAGCTCACATTGTTTTTTCCTTCTAATTGCTGGGAACATCGTGTGTTCTATCTCTTGGTTATTTTGAATCTAGCACTGTATTTTGTCTTAGAATGTTTCATGCCTGTGGGTGTATCATCCTTCCAGCCAATTTACAAGCTCCTGGGGACAGGGGCCATATCCCTAAATCCAAGTATACAGTTCAAAAAATCTATTCAAGTTCTTACTCTGTGCCAGGTGCTGTGCTGGCATTGAGAGTGCAAAACTAAGTACGCTATGACCTTTGACCCCAAGGAGGAAGCAGTGGACACATGACTTCAGCAGAGCACAGTGACTGTATTAGGGTTCTCTAGAGCGATAGAACTAATAGGATACGTATATATATATATATATATATATATATATATAAAGGGGAGTTTATTAAGTATTAACTCACACCATCACAAGGTCCCACAATAGGCTGTCTGCAAGCTGAGGAGCAAGGAGAGCCAGTCCAAGTCCCAAAACTGAAGAGCTTGGAGTCCAGTGTTTGAAGCCAGGAAGCATCCAGCACAGGAGAAAGATGTAGGCTGGGAGGCTAGGCCAGTCTCGTCTTTTCTCGTTTTTCTGCCTTCTTTATATTCTAACCACACTGGCAGCTGATTAGATGGTGCACACCCAGATTAAGGGTGGGCCTGCCTTTCCTGGCCCACTGACTCAAATGTTAATCTCCTTTGGCAACACCCTCACAGAGACACCCAGAATCAATATTTTGCATCCTTCAAAGTTGAGACTTGGTATTAACCATCACAGAGGCCATCATGACAAGGCATGCAGGCACATCCACGTGTCCCAGACTACGTGAGAGGTGGTGGCCAGAAGGGGATCTCAGATGGGCTCCTTGAGAAGCTGAGACCTGAGTGAGGCCTGCAAGGGTGAATAGAATTAGGTGGAAAAGGGAGAGGGCAATATTCAGAGAGAACAGCATGTGCAAAGGCCCAGGGGCGCTTGTTCAGTGATCTAGAGGAAGTTCTATGTTTCTGGAGTATTGAATTTAAGGCAAAGAGTGGGATAGGATGTTGTGGATAAGTATGGCTTTCTGTATGTGTGTGTGTAGTGTGTGTGTGTGTGTGTGTGCTGGGGCAGTGTTCCTGTGTGTATGTGTGTTGTGTCAGACCCCTACTCACTCCAGTAGGGATGGAACCATGTCAGAGAGGCCAAAGAAGAGACCTGGAGCCAGTGAATGAGACATAGGGTTTATTGAAGCCTTACATATGGGCAGACTAGTGGCAGTGGGCTGGACAGGAGAACTGCTACTGTTTGTAAAAAGCATGCAGTTTACATAGCATTTTCACTTAGTATCCTCTACCCGGGAACCTCAACCTAGCAACCTCCATTTAACCCTAAATAAAGGGCCTTGATGCCCTGTGTGCCCTGCATTCCAAGGAATGGGCCAAGGGTTTAGATGACCCTCATAGATAAGGAATGAGGCTCCAGGCTGGCCACTCCTGGATTTCTTAGCTTGGAACTCCAAAACCAGCACTCTTCTTAGACCACAGGGCCAGTCTCAGGGTATGTTTAAGTTATTGCTGTCAGGTGCATCTGCCATACACTGTGTGTTTGTGTGTGTGTGGTGCAGTGTGGTGCATGTGCGTGTGTGTGTGTGTGATGTGCTGGAGTTGCTGTGTGTGCTGAGTGGGAGAGCTCAACTTCATTCCTTGGGTGACAAGGGAGAAGATACTGATGGGAGGAGGCGAATCACAGGTTTGCATTTCTGAAAATTTAGTCTGGAGAAAGACGGACAGGCTATGGGGACATGGAGCAAAGCTACTTCAGTGGTCCAACAAAGAGATGATGAGGGTCAGAGTCAGGGACGCAGCTGGGGGAAAAACGTGAAAAATACTTTGGAGATAAAATGGTCAGGACCAGATCCTTGCCTTTAACTATTCAGTGCCTGAATATATCCTTGATGACACAGTAGACTGAGAAAGGAACAATCTGCACAAGAATGAGAACCTTGGTGGGGGGTGGTGGCTTACGCCTGTAATCCCAGCACTTTGGAAGGCCGAGGCAGGTGGATCACAAGGTCAGAAAATCAAGACCATCCTTGCCAATATGGTGAAACCCTGTCTCTACTAAAAATACAAAAATTAGCCTGGTGTGGTGGTGGGCACCTGTAATCCCAGCTACTCAGAAGGCTGAGGCAGGGGAATCGCTTGAACTTGGGAGGTGGAGATTGCATTGAGCCAAGATCGAACCACTGCACTCCAGTCTGGTGATAGAGTGAGACTCCGTCTTAAAAAAAAAAAAAAAAAAATGAGAACCTCAAGCCCCACTGTTTTCTCAATCACCTGGAGCAAATTGTGTTTGTCCTCCTCTGTCTCAGGCAATTTTAGACCTTTGCTGTCTGCAGCCCACTCAGAACACTGGCTTCATTGATTTAATTTTTCTCTCCCCATCTCTTCGCCCACCTCCCCCTACATACTGACTGCCCTTGACCCAGGAATATTTTGAGTTGAAGGGAGTGTGGAAAGCCTGGTTAGAATGGAGAATGCCTTGGATAGGAGCAGACACAGGTTTTCGCTCCTTGTGATGTTCCCAGGGTTGAAGCTGGGGGTCTGTCTCCCCACCTTCCACTCCATGTCAGCCTAGAGACTCAGCTCTGTGTCCTGAGAACACAGAGATTAGAAGAGCTAATCTCTGGCTCCAAATGCTGTAAAAGGATCACAGTAGGTCCCAGATAATTTCCACTGGTCTTCAGCAAAATGGGGAAAATGTTGAGGCTGTCCTATTTTTCATAAGTCTAAATTTATTCCCTTTAAGTTTCTGCTTTTATCCTGAGATTATCTTCTTCCCATCTTGCGGTGTTAACAAGTCATTTAAAAAATGAAATGATAGTGATAATGGGATTTATTTTTAATGTGCTTATTTGGCAAAATATAAACTTGGCAATTTTGTGATTATCTACCCTCCCCCAAATTATTTTGAAATTTTCTTGGCAGGTGAAATCTCAGAGCCTGGGAGCTGTAGAGATGGATGCTACATTTCTATCCCGGGAGGTAGATAATGAGTAAGAGCCTAACTCTGGAACCAGGTGCATCTAAGCTCACACTCAGCTCCAGCATTTGCTCACTGTGTGACTTCTGGGCTTCAGGTTCCTGATCCGTAAAGTGGGAATAATATAGTAGCTACTTTATAGGGTTGTGAGGATCAAATGAGTTAATGTGTATCCTCTATTATTATTACTTCTAAAGATTTCCATTACATATATCATTTTCTTGCCTACCATGAGCTCTAATTTCAGAAATTCTACCTAAGAAATTTAGAATGCTCTTCCTCCATTTTTTTTTTTTTTTTTTTTTTTGAGATGGAGTCTAGCTCTGTTGCTTAGGCTGGAGTGCAGTGGTACAATCTCAGCTCACTGCAACCTCCGCCTCCCGGGTTCAAGTAATTCTCCTGCCTCAGCCTCCTGAGTAGCTGGGATTCCAGGTGTGTGCCACCACGCCTGACTAATTTTTGTATTTTTAGTAGAGACGGGGGTTTCACCATGTTGGCCAGGCTGGCCTTGAACTCCTGACCTCAGGTGATCCACCCGCCTTGGCCTCCCAAAATGCTGGGATTACAGGCATGAGCCACTATGCCCGATCTTCCTCCACTAATTAATCCAATCCCACTCATATTTCTTCGGCAGTTAGAGTTTTGTTGAGAGGAATGAGTAGAAAAGAAAGGAATTGAAAGGAGAGTGCTTGAAGTTGGAACATCTGACTATGTCCCTTAGTGTAAGATCAGCCCTACTTCCAAGCATGTAGCTTCTAGCATTGGCTTGGACATGTAGCATAGATTTAATCATCCCAGGAATAATGAGGAGAGGTGGGTGAGGAGCAGATGAGACCATGGGGTTGGGGGATGGTCTATGGAGTTGAGTGTTAGGGTGAAGCTATTTCAGTGAAAGGCTCATTCAGGGACACAGCTACCCTGGAATCTCAGGGCAAAAGATCAGATAAGAGCATTTGGAAAAACTTCCAGCCTGGGGTACCATCTAGAGCAGACACTCACTAGTCAATGTGTTCATTCCTCCCTCTAGAGCTTGGTTTAGCTAAATGATCTACTGGAAATGCCTATCTCCCTACTCCCCATCCAAATAATACCCTTCCTACAAGATTATTCAGTTCAGTTGATTCATCAAACACTTGTTAAGTATATTATCTTCTAGAAGCCAGCTACTGGGCCCAGTTTTGAGGACTCAATAGGACTAAGGCACCTTAAGAATAAGGGCTGTGCCTCTTAAACTGTATGTGTCTCATGGATACACAAAGTAATGAGATAAATTGATCAGTTTTTCAAAGCATCAATTTGACTTGAAGATTGAAGAAAGAAAGTAAAGGGAAGCAATTTAAATGCCAAGTAATTTAAAATAATATTCTTATATTAAAACAAACAGATCCATTATGGAACAGGGGCAAAATCTGCATATATTTAAAAAATAAAATGTGAGATTTCAAAGAAATTTTATGCAAGTGGTTGAGTCTTTTGGACTCCATCCCAGACACTTACGAATACACATGTTAATTCTCTGCCACTATGGGTGTTCTGGTTTAAAAGTTTGAAAGTTCTTTCTGTGTGTCATGGGAAGAAGTTGAAGGGTTTTAGTTAGGGAGAGTCATAATAAAGGTTGCAGTTTAACAATGTCATTCTTGAGGAATACCAGGTAAACTTACAGATCAAACACTTAATTTATTTCTACTTCCTCCGAAAACTCCACTGACATGACCATAAAGAGTCAAATAAAGGCCAGGCGCAGTGGCTCACGCCTGTAATCCCAGCTATTTGGGAGGCCGAGGTGGGCGGATCACAAGGTCAGGAGATTGAGACCATCCTGGCTAACACAGTGAAACCCCATCTCTACTAAAAATACAAAAAATTAGCCGGGTGTGGTGGCAGACGCCTGTAGTCCCAGCTACTTGGGAGGCTGAGGCAGGAGAATGGCGTGAACCTGGGCGGTGGAACTTGCAGTGAGCCAAGATTGTGCCATTGCACTCCAGCCTGGGTGACAGAGTGAGACTCATTCTCAAAACAAAACAAAAAAACAAAAAAACCCAAAGTGGACAAACAATGTTTACAAAATTGAGGAAGCTGGAAAAGCAACGGGGCACATGATAAATGACTTAGCAGTGCAGAGAAAGTGAAAACTCTGCTGGAGAAAAACCAAGAAGCAAAGTGATTTTCAGAAAGAATCAGAAGTCAGAGGCAATAGAGTCTGAAGTTTTCTGTTATAGATTGTGTGCTATGGAAATTGAATTGTGTTTTCCCCAAACTCATATGTTGAAGCCCAATACCCAGTGTGACTGTATTTGTAGATAGGGCCTTTAGGAGACAAGTAAGGTTAAATGAGGTCATAAGGGCATGGTCCTAATCTGATAGGATTACTGGCCTTATAAGAAGAGACACCAGGCCGGGTGAGGTGGCTCATGCCTGTAATCCCAGCACTTTGGGAGGCCGAGGCAGGTGGATCACAAGGTCAGGAGATTGAGACCATCCTGGCTAACACAGTGGAACCCTGTCTCTACTAAAAATACAAAAAAATTAGCCAGGCGTGGTGGTGGGCACCTGTAGTCCCAGCTACTCGGGAGGCTGAGGCAGGAGAATGGCATGAACTCGGGAGGTGGAGCTTGCAGTGAGCGGAGATTGCGCCACTGCACTCCAGCCTGGGTGACAGAACGAGACTCTGTCTCAAAAAAAAAAGAGAAGAGACACTAGAGAACACTGTCTCTCCATGCATGCACAGAAGAAAGGCCATGTGAGGACATAGTGAGAAGGCGGCCATCTGCAAGCCAGGAAAAGAGCCCTTACTGAAAATCAAGTTGGCCAGAATGCTGATCTTAGTTTTCTAGCCTCCAGAACTGTGAGAAAATAAATTTCTGTTGTTTAAACCCAGTCCATGATATTTTGTTATGGCAGCCCAAGCTAAGACACTGGCTGGCAATAGGAGAAACAGTTAAAAGTTGTTATAAGATGCAGTTGGATTCATGGTTCCCAATCCTCAGTATGCATCAGTTTCATCTAGAAGAGTTAAAAAATATGCAGGTCAGGACCTCACTCCAGAAACTCAGAGGTAATGGTTCAGGAGAGGGTCTAGGCATCAGTTTTAAAAAATGTTTCCGAGGAGATTAATGTGCACTCAGCATTAGAATAATAGAATAGGACCTACCAGATGCCCTTTACAAGTCTACATACTCAGGTATCTATCTATGACTTTAGTGCAGGAATGAAGCTTTCCTCTCTGGAGAAGTCGTACAAGAGAGTCTCTAGACTCAGAGTCATCAGATAAAATTGATGGTGAGGTTGAGTTAAAGCCAATTTACTGAGGCCTCTTATTCCCCTTCTTCCATTCAGCTTCCTGGAATGCTGGTAGTTAGGTTTATCTGTCCAAGGCAGGAGTTCTAAGTATTCCTCTCTGAGTAAAACAATCCACCCAAGAGAAAAGATCTAAAGGTATTACCACTTGGGGTCTCCTTACAAAAGGGCCTGGGCATACCTGATCAATCAATAGTGAGATCAACTAGCAGAAAAGACAGTGACAGAGCTTTCAATCAGCATTTGAGTGCCTCACTCTTGAATATAAATAGACAGCCAAGGACATAAGACATCTGAAGAAATATTTTTAACATGAGACAGAATTTGAACTAAGCAAATCAGAAGGAACTCAGAAGAAATGAATGCAAGGCGTAGTGTAGAAGGAAAACAAAAAATATCCTCATGATGAAAATGCTTTGAGATGTAAGACAGAATACTACATTCATAAAACAATAACAGAAGGTTGTAAAACAAGGAGTTTCAGAGAACAAGATCACAGAAATTAAAAATAAGAGAACAGAAATAACTCTTAACCAGAAAGTTACAAGACAGAGTTGAGGAAAGTCTAGAAATTAGATCAAATTAACCTAGAGACTGAAATGGAAGAGAAAAATAAAGAAAATCCAGGAGATCCAAAAAATAAAAGATGTTTAGAAAAAGAGAAGAGAGGAAATGAGGGAGAGAGAGAGAGGACATTTTTAGAAACAAACCCACAAACAAAAAGACATGTTCAAAGAATATAAGTTTCCAGACTAAAATGATCTGTTGAATGTTCAGCATAATCAAGGAGAAAAAAACACTCTAACAGAAAATATGAATTTTCAAAATGCCATATAAAGAGCCTAAAAGCTGAGAGAAAAAGAGAGAGAGAGAGAAACAGAGAGAGAGAGAGAGCGAGAGAGAGACAGAGCAAGAGAGAAATACAAAGGAGCAGGAGTCAACAGAGCATGGGTCTTCTCATCAACAACATTAAAAGTTGGAAGACCATGGAGCCATGTCTTCAGAATTCTGACAGAAAATGCTTTTGAACCTAGAATTTTATATCCAACCAAAGTACCTCAAATATGAGGATAGAATAAATTTTTAGGAAGGCAGATCTCAAAGTATTACCACCTGTATACTCTTTACAGTAAGCTGTTAGAAAATGTGTTCCACAAGGATGAGGACTATTGAGCAGGATTAGAAGGCTTCTGTCTATATTGGAAAAAGAGGAGAGAGAGCCTCAGGAGGAATGCCTCCAAGAAGGAAAATATTAAATGCATTGAAGACCGGGAATGTTTAAACATATTGAGAAGAAATATTCTGGTGGAGGGTTTGGAGAGATATTAGTGAGAGTATCTGAGTCCATTCTTGTTGCTATAACAAAATACTTTAGACTGGGTTATTTATAAAGAACAGACATTTATGCAACCACAGTCTGGAGGCTGGGAAGTCCAGGATCAAGGTGCTAGTGGATTCATTGTTTGATGATGGCTGTTCTCTGCTTCAAAGATGGTGCCTTTTTGCTGAGTCCTCATATGGTGGAAGAAGCAAATACTGTGCCTTCACATGGTGGAAGGGATGAAGGGCAAAAGGGCCTAGTGAGTTCACTTGAACACTTTTATAAAAGCACTAATCCCATATATAAGTGTGGAGCCCTCGTGACCTAATCACTTTCTCTTAATACTGTCACATTGAGTCTTAATTCCAGCATAAGAATTTGTGTGTGTGGGACATATACATTCAAATGATAGAAATGAAGGCTACATAAAAACTAAGCAAATAAGACAACCTTGGAAAACAAACAAAACTGTACAGGAAAAGAAATGTAATCATAGTATACACCATGGATCAGCTGTGAATAATGTTATATAGAATCAAAACAACAAAAGCCATGAAAATTGTGATATAAGAATCTCAGGAGAATGAAGACAGGAAAAGTGTGTGTGTGTAAAAGATCTAAACCTTCATCTTTCATAATAGGAAGTTGACAGGTATCTAAAACTGAAAAACATCAACAAATAGAAGCATAAGCATGTTATTTAGACATGTAAAAATAAATGGCAGAAGGTGATGGGATGGGTGTTGGGAAGGAATACCATTCTTCTTTATGAGCCATGAGTTATATATGGTTTCATAAACTGTAGTACTTCAATAAAACTAAAAGTTAAACTACAGAGATTTTAAATATAACTTTTGTAGATATTCAGAGGTGGGATTGATGAAGGGTTGAGCCAAGGTAGAGCAGGTAGTCAGGAGCCATTGAAATTTTCTTGTCATCATAGATTGGATTCCAGCATGCAGGCCCTTTATTAAGGAGGGTCCTTGGGATCAACATCTGTGAAAGGAAACGGACAGAGTACCATGTTGTTCTGTGATGCAGGCTCACTCACATTCTCAGATGACCCCATAGGGTGCTCCAGAGCTATATCCTGGGTTGGGCTGAGATGCATGCACCTTGAGTGAGACAGTTCTCTGCAGCTGAAGCAATCCCATTAGGGATTGACAGATGTGTTAGGTCATTCTTGCATTGATATAAGGAAATACCTGGAACTGGGTAATTTATTAAAAAAAAGAGGTTTAATTGGCTCATGGTTCTGCAGTCTTCTAGGGAGGGCTCAGGGAGCTTTTACACATGGTGGAAAGCAAAGTGGAAGCAGGCACATTACATGGCCGGAGCAGGAGCAAGAGAGATGTGGGGAGATGCTGCACACTTTTAAATGACCAGCTCTCACGAGGGCTCACTCATGATCACAAGGACAGCACCAAAGGGATGGTGCTAAACCACTCATGAAAAATCCATCTTCATGATCCAATCACCTCCCACCAGGCCCAACCTCCAATACTGGGGATTACAATTCAACATGATATTTGGGCAGCGACATATATCCAAACTATAGCAATAGCTGAAGGCTGAGCACCGACAGCACTCTCAAAGCTGAGGCAAAAGTCCTTCAGGCTAGATTGAGAGGGAATCTGGGCTGTGCATGACAGTGTCCACTACAGTAGGTAAGAAAAGATGATGTGATGAGGGCTTGACCTAGTTTGTGGCAGTGGGAATGTGGAGGAGGGAATAGATTTCAGAGGTACTTAGAAGGTAAAGTCTACAAGGCCTACTTGATTGGTGGTGGTGAGTGAAGGGAAGGAGAGTGAATTGGGATCATCTGGTATACCACCAGTTTTCTTGCTTGTAAGGCTGGGTTCTGTATAAGGGTAAGGGTGATGAATTCAGTTTGGGATAAACTGAATAGAGAGGCCTGTGAGGGGAGAAGACCTGCTTAAAGCTTCTATTTCAGACTACTCAGATCTTTTCTCTTAATTACTGATGACTGTTTTCTGAATTCCACAATCAAACCCTGAAATATATTTCCTACAAGAATGTAAACTCCGTGAGAGCAGGATTTTTGTCTGTCGTGGTCTTTGCTGTATCCCAGTCCCTAGGGGAGACACTGGTATGAAGTATGCAGCAATATGTGGATATTTGTTGTTGATCTACCATTCCAACATACTTCTTTGTGTCTGACTTCTTCAATGACAGTGCAAGTCTTTTGCAGTGATAGTATGAAAATTATTTTACTCCTTTACATCCTATAGCACTCAGCACAGTGCTGGTACACATGTGCCAAATGCATGAGGATGAACGGATTGATGAAAGCCAGGGGATCTCAGGCCTGTAACTGCCTAGGACTCCACACACTCCACCCTGCCTCTCAGACCTGCTTTCTGTGATGGTCTCTCTGGTGCTTGATGTGACAGAGGATCAATGCTCTACAGGATCTATGTGAATGGTGTGAAAAGATAGTACCTAGAGAGAGGGGAATATCCCCTTGAAATATTGCAGAATTAACCAGTTTTATTGGAGATGAACTCACATAATGTGTATTAGCAGGGTAGGGAGGTAGTTGTTGCATTTTAAGGACACAAATGTCAGAAGAGCAGAGTTAGGGATCCCTTGACCTTCATAATTCTGCTCCTTCAGGATCCAGCACTGTGCTGGGCTGGAGGGGCTTTCATCATGTGGTTGCATGACTCTCAACCCAGAGAGGCTTGATTTGGCACTCTCCACCTCTCTTGGGCTGAAGTCATCGGTCTGTACCCCGTCGGAGGGTTTAGGTTCTTTCAAATTGCCTAGCCCTCACTTTTGAGATAGAAAAAGTAAGTAGAGGACAAGTTTGAAGAACAAAGAAGAAAAAATCGTGAAGGCCAAATAAATAGCTTTATTTTGGGGGGCTCAGAGTCCTGTGGGTGAAAATGCATTCACAGCATTGGCCATTTGTGGGGAAGAGTTATTTTATCTACTTTATACAAGGAGAATAAATTGGGCAATCTAGAAGCAGAAGAAAGTCTGAGGACTTGGGTGGTTTGTTCTCTTTTACTCAGGACCCTTTGTACACTTGCTTCCTGTTCAGGCTTGAGGACTGACTTAGAGGTAGGTGAGCTTTTGAGATTTATGGTGAAATTGATTCTAAAGGTCGTGGCAGGTGGTGGGGAGCCTAAATAGGGCAGCCTTTGCAAAATTTGCTGGTGGGGCTGGTGTTTAACCCTAAGCTTACTGAACACTAAATCAGCAATCTGTGAGTTATATGGACCAAGTTCATGACTTATACCAGGACCCAGGAACTGTAGTTTTCAAGCTCATGCTTCCCTTTCCAAGATTGAGTAGCCCCCAGATGTGACTTTTCATATGAAGTAGGACTTGGGCTTTGAATTGGTTTCTAGGTCATGAGGATGAGTTTGTGCTGATCTGCTCATTCTCTCTATTCTTCCCACACACACACCCCCATGTGACCTCTGGCATAAACATTTCCACTATTTGGCATGGGCTCTGTGATCTATGCTCATGAGAAAGGATCACCTTTCTCAGTGTGAAGAGACAGAACCTGTAGCCATGGGAGCTAACCAACCAGGCATGTGCTTATGGCCAGGGACTGGAGTCTGTATGTGCTTTGCATATTGCTATGATCTTAATGAATAGTATGCTACCATCACCACGGGTACTACCATTATGATGGCAGCATCAGAGTCTCAGCAGTGAGGGTAGGATAAAGAGCCCGGGTACTTGGAGCCTGAAGATGTGGTTCCAGTCTTGCAACTGCCTTGGGACTAGCTTTGTGGCACTGAGCATGTCACCAAATCTCTCTGACATTCTGTTTCTATTAAATGACAATCTATCTTGACTACATCATAGTAGGTTCTGAATATTGAATGAGACAATATAAGGGAAAGTACTATATAAACTGTGAAATGCTATGTGGCCAATATGCTGTGACTATTAGTGATGGCAATTCAAAGACTAAGCTTCCTTTATTCTTTCATTCCCCAAATATTAAGTGCCTGATATGTGATGGATACCAAGCCAGGTACTCAGAGTACAACAGGCAAAAAGCAACTAAGCAGCTTGGCTTTATGGTCCAACGTTAAGATTTCCAGGTTCACATTTGGTGGTCTGCCACCTTTGGGTGAGGTGCTGTACAACCTGGGGGTTGCTTCCTGCTAGACTTTTGGATGGGTCACCTGTAAAGGCCTTTGGAGTGGTTGTTTTTAAACTGTTCTCTGTAGAGCCCCAGGGTCCCAGGGAGAAACTCACATGGGTATGGGGTAGAGCAAACAGGAGGGACTCTAGGTCCTCCTCTCCTTGTCTTCAGCCAGGCTTGCTCTCCTTTGACTGTTTTATTTGATTGTTTGAAAACTGCTGCTATGGTGGAAGGAGCTGGATAGTCTGGCTCCTTGATCTTTTCTAACTTGCATGTGACTTATGGGTGAGTCCTTTTTAAAGTCCCATTCCTTCTCATTCTTCCCAGGGCAGCCAGAGGCATAGACTGTTTGTTGTCATTATTGGAATGTAATCAGGGTATGAAGACTTTAATTTTAGTTTTTCTTTTTTCTTTTCTTTTTCTTTCTTTATTTTATTTTATTTTTTGAGATGGAATTTTGCTCTTGTCACCCAGGCTGGAGTGCAATGGTGTGATCTCAGCTCACTTCAACCTCTGCCTCCTGGGTTCAAGTGACTCTCCTGCCTCAGTCTCCCGAGTACCTGGGATTACAGGCACGTGCTGCCACGCCCGGCTAATTTTTGTATTTTTACAAAAATTAGAGACAGGGTTTCACCATGTTGGGCACGGCTGAACTCCAGACCTCAGGTGATCCACCCGCCTCAGCCACCCAAAGTGCTGGGATTACAGCTGTGAGCCACCATGCCCAGCCAATTTTAGTTCTTATACCCAATGGAGAAGGGGCTGGAAGGGTCACCTGGAGGGGTGGGTTGGTTTCCTTTCGCAGCTATGGAACAATAGCCTGCACAAATAGCTTTGACAGTCACCTGGCTGGGCAGCCGTGCTTCATGAGAAATGCTGGGCATGACTCTACCTCGGGCAATTTCTCCATGCCACAGAAAGTCAACTTCAACAGATAACCTGGTAACCATGTGGTAGCTTCACCCCTGGCCCTGAGCTCGAGGGCAGCTTCCTAATAGCAAATGGCATTTTAAATAGTCGTTGACCTCAGATGAAACAATTCTGCAGCATCTAGACTCTCTGCAGTAATTGACTCTGATGTCTGACAGGACATTTCCAAGGGAACAGGGTCCCTCAAGCCTGATGCGCTGACCAACAACTGGAGTCATCTGGGAAGTAGTTCTTAGGTCACAGTGGGGACCAGAAAATGGAAGAAATCTCTTTTCTTAGCTAACCTGTGACATAGGCCAGGGATTTTTTTTTTTTTCCTTCAGATAGCTCCTAATTCTTTAGACAGTTTGTAAGATGGAGTATTCTGTGCTGGGAGGTATACCTATATGCCCAGGATGACTCCCTGATTATTTTCCCAATGTTTTTTATAGCATTTGCAATCATTTTAATGAGCTAATCCTCACCACAATACTGGTGGTTGCTGTAATAATAATAAATAACCCCACAAATGCTTGAATAATTCTTGCTCACATTAAATCCAAAACAGTTGTTCAGGATTGGCGAATAGCTCTTTTTCAAGTGGTGACTCAAGGACCCAGGCATCTTTCCTCTTTCCTCTGTATTTCTGCCATCCTCAACATGTGGCTTCTACGCTCATCATGCTTGTTTATATCCAGCCAGTGGAAGAGAGGACAGCATGGAAGATTGTGTGCGGAAGGTTTTTATAGGCCAGTCCTGGAAGCGGTACACATCACTCCATTTACATTTCAATGGCTAGAACCCAGTAGTAAGTCTCTACACAACCACCAAGAAGTCTGGGAAACACAGTCTAGGTGTGTGCCCAAGGAAAAGAGATTAGGAGGATAGCTAGCTGTCTCTGCTACTACTATCTACTTAGGTAAAGTCTCCTATTTATGGGGAGAAGAGGGCAAGAAATAGAGTTAGAAAAATTATGTTAAATAGCAGCAATGTAGTTGACTTTCCACATTCAGAATACTCCTGGGCAAAATAAAACAACAGTGGGAAACCATTTTCACTAATTCGATTTGAAATGGTTTTAAAGTTTGATGATGATGGCAGAGGTTTAGGGAAACTGGTTCTTTCATAACTTGCTTGTGGGAGAGTAAATTGGTGCAGCCACTTCAGAATGCTATTTATCAGTATTTATGGCAATTTTAAGTGTTCATGTCCTTTGACCCAGCAATTTCATTTCTCACTATTTTTTCCTAGAGTAACACTTGCCCATGTATATGGTGGGCCTCAAATAAGATACCTTTGCAGCAATGTATAAAAACTAAGAGATTGGCCAGGTGCGATGGCTCATGCCTGTAATCCCAGCACCTTGGGAGGCTGAGGCGGGCAGATCATGAAGTCAAAAGATGGAGACCATCCTGGCCAACATGGTGAAACCCCGTCTCTGTTAAAAATACAAAAATTAGCTGGGCATGGTGGCATGCGCCTGTAGTCCTAGCTACTTGGGAGGCTGAGGCAGGAGAATCGCTTGAACCAAGGAGGCGGAGGTTGCAGTGAGCCAAGATTGTGCCATTGCACTCCAGCCTGGGCGAGACAGTGAGACTCCATCTAAAAAAAAAAACAAAAAAACCAAAAAAAAAAAACAAAAAAAAACCAAGAGATTAAAAATCACCTAAATGACCAGCAGTTAGGGACTAGGTAAGTAAACTATGGTTCACTTGAATTATAGAATAGCATGGAATGGTGCTATGGACTGAATGCTTTTGTCTCCCTAAAATTCATATGTTGAAGCCCTAGTGTGATGGTATTTGTTGGTAGGGCCTTTGGGATGTGATTTACTCATGAGAGTGGAGCCCTCATGAATGAAATTAGTGCCCTTATAAGAAAAGACATGAGAGAGATGATCTCTCTGCCCTGCGAGGATACAGCAAGAAGGAGGCCATCTGCAAACCAAGAAGCAGGCCTTTACTGGATACTAAATTGGTCAGAACTTGGATCTTGGACTTTCAGCCACCAGACCTGTGAGAAATAAATGTCTATTGTTTAAGCCACCCGGTTGATGGTATTCTGTGATAGCAGCCCGAACGACTAAGACAAATGGTTAAAAATATAGGGTAGAGTTATATGAGCGGATGTGGAAAGGGCTTTAAGACATATTCCAAATGAAAACAGCAAGTAGCAGAGCAAAAGGTATCCTATTACATCATTTATAGAAATAATAATGAGAACAAGACAAAAACTACAAATCTCTCTAAGTACATATACATTTATGTATGTCAAAGCACAGGGAAGAGTCTGGAAGGTTATAAACCAGGGCAATGTTGTTAGCTTGGGAGAGAGGACTGGGCTTGACATGGTAATTAAGGAGACTTTTGATTTTATTGTTTGGATTTTAATAACCCTAAAGCATCCTCAATGCACTAGTTATATAATTAAAAACAAATTAATAAGAGTAAAGATGTTATATAAAATAAATTTAAAAACTCAAATATTTTGGACTTTGCAAATATAAATACCAATGGCATTTATCATGTTTTGTTATTATCTTAACATTTTAAGACCTTGAACAAAGAAACAAAAACTAAACAGAACAACAAGAACCTTCTCAGAAATCCTAATCAGAGGCAGGCCGCTTATCCAGGGTCACCTCAGAAATCACAAGAGTAGGTGGGATTATGAGAACGTGCATACTGAATGTGTCATTATGTCTTTCAAGACTGGTAGGTGATCATGTGACCCTGTAGTCTTAAACATGGTACCATCAAAAAAGAGCTTATTAAGAAAAATGGGCCAGGCGCGGTGGCTCACGCCTATAATCCCAGCACTTTGGGAGGCTGAGGCAGCCTGATCATGAGGTCAGGAGCTCGAGACCATCCTGGCTAACACAGTGAAACCCCATCTCTACTAAAAATACAAAAAGCATTAGCTGGGCATGGTGGTGGGCGCCTGTAGTCCCAGCTACTCAGGAGGCTGAGGCAGGAGAATGGCATGAACCCGGGAGGCGGAGTTTGCAGTGAGCTGAGATCGCACCACTGCACTCCAGCCTGGGCAATAGAGCGAGACTCCGTCTCAAAAACCAAAAAAGAAAAATGGACAACAAGGAGTCCTGCTGTTACCTAGTAGTTCTCCAATTATGTTCCAGTAGTCTGATAGTTGGAGTGAGGCAGGTTCAATAGCTAAAATCAAGTAGTTGATCACACATCTTTGCTTAGCTTCTAGAATATGCCAGATACACTAACCAGGAACTGAAATGGAGCCATGAATAAGACAGTCATTGCCACTTTGTTCATGGGCCTTGTAATCTAGAGATATTTTCCTGATTAATACAAAACATTTAGTCAATTCACAGAACTTTCTCTGTTTACAGTTTTTCTTCCATAGATGTTTCCTTTGATTTTTGAGTTGCTTACATACCAGCAAGCACAAATGACAACAGCAATAAAGCTGATGAAACAGTAGCAAATAAGTATTAACAGAAAAATTCTGAAATCACTTTTTATGTTTAATCTGGCAGTTAATCTTTTTGGACAGGTATGCATGGTCGTGAGATTGTATTTCATGTATATGGTATAATCTTCTTGTCCCCATATAAAATTGTTGATTTGTAAGTGGAATTTAAAATATCTCTTGGGGGCTAGCCAGAGAATGTCATGATTTCCAGGCTTGATACTATCTGGAAAAGTTTGAGAAACATACACATATACTTCACTCTTTTTAAGGGTTCTTTTTCCTAAGGATTCAAAACAGGCGGAAATCTTGGTTAAGAAGGTTTTTTGGGATTTACACTTCGCTGACATTTTCCCACTGTTCTGAGTCATTTCCTTCTGAGCCACAACTTGTCTAGTTACCAGGCAGTGTCTGGGTCATAGAAATACAGTCTAATGAATTTAAAAAATTTCCAAATAATTTCTGTCCTCTTCTTGCATTTTTTAATTTCATGATGTCCATAGTGATACTTCTGAAACCTACTTTTCTTTCCTGTCCACTTCTCTCATGGAGCCCAGGCTACCAGAAATCACTTTTTATGTTTAATTTCACAGTAATCTTTTTGGACAGGAATGCATGATTGTGATATATTTCATGTATATGATATAATCTTCTTGTCTCTAATTAAAATTGTTAATTTGTAAATGGAATTTAAAATATTTCATGGGGGCTAAACAGAGAATGTCATGATTCTGTCCTCCCAACATAAACCTTCTGCTACTTTTCTGGCTGCTCCTTGCCTCACAATCTTGCATTACAAAAGCCCAAAGCAGTTGTCTGGCCTGAATGAGCCTGGCCTAGAGGACAAGGAGGAAAAACCGGAGAGGCAGACCAAGTTAGGCAGAACTGGAGGGAAGCAGGGAGTGAAAGGCAGAGAACAGTCAGAGGTTAATTACAATTATCTTTTCACATAATCATTTGTGAAATAGTTCACTTGGTCAACACATATTTATTAAGAACCTACCAAGTGCCAGGGCCTGGAGATGCAATAGTAAACAGACAGAATGAACATGGCCTCTGCCTTCATGAAGCTTCCCCTAATGGGACATAGAGAGGAGTAAGCAGGTATTCACCCAGCACCGTGATGAATGCTGAAGAATAACAGTATAGGAGTTCATGGGCCATGGTGAGGTAGGAGGAAAAGCTTCCTGAGGAAGGCCACATGGCTTGCCAGGAAGCCAGAGGCTGCTAGGTGTCCACTAATATTCCTTTAGTAATAGCACCTAAATTTATCTGACCAATGGCTGCCCAGCTAGGGACTGCATTTCCCAGGCTCCCTTGCAGCTGAGTTTGGCCATACGACTCAATTCTGGCCCATGAGACCTGAGCAGGAATGATGTGGGCAATTTCTGGTTTGCACCCATAAGATGAAGGGTCTGCCTTCCTGCTCTGATTCCTGCCTGGAAAGTGGGCCTGGAGGTGGTAACTGGAGCAGCCACCTTACATAGTGAGAAGGAAGCTCAATGGTAAAGGTGGCAGAGGAGAAAGAATGAAGCAGAAACAATACTGTTCAGCAGAGTTGCCCTACCAGCCCAAGACCTGCAGAGAAAAAGATTCTATCTGGTATAAACAACTCTTATTTAGTTTCTATTCTGGTAGCTGGAGAAACATTTTAGGTCATATATCAGGTTTAAGAGAGAGTTCTGAATTTCTAATCTCCTCTTCTTATCCACTTGGGATCCCACAGTGTAATTCAGTAGCAGTCCTTGGATCAACCAGACTGGGAGGCATTTGGGAAATGGGTTGTCAGTGTTTTAGATTTCATGGGAGGAAGCCTCAGTGATGTAGATACTCTTCCAATTTAATTACTGTGAAAATTTCTAAGAGACAGTAATTACTGCCTTATTTGCTGAAAGAATGGCCTAAAGGAAAATAATTTATGTATTTGGTCTGAAATCAAACTCCTTACCATTAGGAAGACATAGGACATGCAGAAACAGGGAATACAGAGGCATTTTTCACTCTCTGGCTTGAAGCTCTGTAGCCCAGGGTTCAGGGATGGCCCTGGGATAAGAGTGGAAAGCACCCATCAGTTCCTGGAGCAAGTCTACCCACATAGTGCCTTCCTGATCAGTCTTCAGACTCTGAGCCGTTTCTTACATTCTGACCCCATCCCTCAAACCACCCCGTGCTTTTCCTCTGTGGCACTGTGGCTCCCTGTCACTACTGAGAAGCACCCTCTCAGCATGACAGCTGGGAGGGAGCAAGCCTCAGAGAACAAACCCATGCCCAAGGTGGCAATCGGGTTCTTTACAAATAGGATCAGTCAAGAGAAGCTAGGTTGTGCTGATGTAACGAAACCCCCCATATCTTAAATCCAACATGGCTGCTCACTTTAGCCACTCAAGTCAACCTGGATGACCATCTTATGACTCTACCATCCAACATGAGGCTTCAGGGTTCTTTGTGGTGAAGATGAGAGAGGGCATGGGAAGTTCTTGATGCTCCGAATCAGAAGGGACCCATTTGCTGGACAGAGCAAGTGATGCAGCCACTCCTTACTTCATGGGTTGGAGAGTAGGGTCCTTCTGTCTGTCTGGAAAGGAAGGGCAACTGGAAGGGTCAGAGAACCGCACAGTCTACCACAGAGATGACCCGTGAAAGGGCCGGTGGGTAAACGCAGTGTTTTCAAACAGGTGCATATTCCAGGAGGTGCACAAGAGGATCCACTGGGCGCAGGAAGAACATAATAGAATGTTGAGTTATATTTATTCTTTGTTTTCTCCTTTTACAGTTTCTATATTTTGAGTATGTCTGTTACATCTACTATAATGTCTATTTGTAGTATAAATAATGTTAGACATGTAGTTTATGTGATTATAATTTATAAATAAATATGTATATACTGGGGGTGGATGCTCAAAAAGTTTTATGGATGAGTCAAGCAATTAAAAATGTTTGGAGGCCACTGGGCTGGAGAACAGGACACAGAGCCTCTTAGGTTGTAAGTGCTGAGGGCTCTTGGAAAACAAGGCTCCTGCAGCCCTTGACCTCAAGTGACTCAGTTTCCTTGGCTATGAAATTCCCATTATGATTCCCTTTGCAGAAGCTTTTAGGATCAATACCCCAAAGGCCCTTAGAGAACAGGCTGAGACAGGCTAGGCAGGCAAGGTAGACAGAGGAAGCTGAATACATTTTCTCCTCTCTTGCCTGCAGCCAGCAAATGCAGAAGCACTGCGAAGAGGCAACGTGCTTTTTAAACTGTGCATGGAACATGGAGTGGGTGTGTGGGGTGCATGGTGACCATGTGTGTGTCAGGTAGAGAATGCAGCCTTGGACTGGAGAGCCAAGAGAAAGCATGACCAGGGAGTTTGGGCGTTATCTGCCATTGCTTTTCCTGGTGTGGCTGGAAATTTTTGAGGGATCCACTCCAAGGGAAGCGTGTTGCTAGCTAAGTCTGGCTGATTTGGGGATAGGGCGAAAGCAGGCGGTGGGGAATAGAGAGAGAGAGAGAGAGAGAGAGAGAGAGAGAGAGATCCTTTATCTGTCAAAAAGTGTGTTAAGTCTCCAGAGGGGAGAAGGGAGAGGGGAGAGAGGAGAGGGGAGAGGGAGGGATAGCGGTGGGGAGAAGGAGCGAATGAATGCATGTGTGTGTGTGTGCATGTGCATGAGTGTGTGTGTGCACCCACGTGCACGTTGCTGAAAGCTGATGTGGACAGAGTCTGTTAGTTTTTCTTCCTCTGGCTCAAATGGGGTCTCCCAGCTTTGGGACATGAAAAGCGTCACTTCCCTGCTCACTCCAATGGGCCGCAGAAGGGAAGAAGAGCAGGGAGGTGAGCAGAAGCAGGGAATAAGGTATAAGGAGCAGGTGCTACAGGGTGCAGGAAGGAGAAAAAGTGTCAGACAGATCCCGAAGTGGACACCAGAAGTGACTCTTCGTTGCGTCCAGAGCCCTCAGCCATCAGCCAAAGCCTGCAACCCAGAGCCCCAGGGACGCTGAGGCCGGGCACTGCGGGCCGCCTGCGGTGGTGGGAGCAGCCCCAGCCCCCGTCCCCTCCGCCAGGGGCGGGGGCTGCAGAAGTCCCCACGGCGGCAGTCCAGGCAGACAGGACGCGAGTGGGGTTCGTGCTGCACAGGCGTCAGTTTCCCTTAGGGCCCTGCTCCCTCTGCCACCACTCCCCTCTCTGTGAAGGACATCATCACTTTCCCAGCCACAGGCTCAAAACCTCAGCCATCTCCCGAACCCCCCTCCCGCTCCACCGGTAACCAAAGCCCTAGAATCTCAGCTCTCCCAGATTCCTCCCTTCCCGCCCCTGTGCCGGGTCCCTAGGTAGGGAGGCAAAACCATGGCGTGTCCTAAAGCCTTGTGCTGATGGTATTTCTTAAGACCTTCTAAATCTTTTGTTCTACGGAATAGAAACCAGTGTTCTGAAAGAGGGCGAGGGCTCGGGGGAGAGAGATTTATTACAGTTTAAGGGCAAGGGACATCTTGGGAAGCCAGGGGGCAGGATTTCAGAAGAGGCTCCGGAAGGCTCTGGAACTTGGAAGCCGGCGGGACACAGGCGACCTTCCCAGCCACTCCTCCATCTCCGCCTCTCTGCACATCTGCTTCCTCTTTCTCTGCAGCTTGCTTTTCTCCGCGGCTCAGTTCCGCGGTGGGAGGTGTCTCCGGCATTTCCCAAGTATTTACATCTCCTCCATTCAAGAGACCTGAATAAACTGAACTAGTACCAAATTTCTTGGAAATTTCTCATTAGTCAAATTGGGCCAGGTGCCTCTGTCCCGTCAGCTGTGGCCAGGCATCAGAGCGCTGCACACAGCTGTGGTTGCTGGGGCCTGCGTCTGGTGCCTGCCAGCCTTGCCTGGGCACCCTCCCTGTGGGTCTGACATTTATAAACCTCTGCTCCAACACTGCTCCCTGAGCCTTCAGTGCCTCCCCACCTTTGAGCTTTATTTCCATCAACTTACGTGCTGAAAACAATATTAAATACGCTTGTTCCAAGTTCACCCGCTGTCTGCTGCATCCTGCTATCTTTCAGGGTGGGCCTGCTTAAACCCACTCCCGCTATGGCACTAGACCTGTCCAGTATGAGGGCCTCTGGCCGCATGTGGCTACCGAGCACTTGAAATGTGGCTAGTCTGAATTGAGATGTGCAGTGTGTCAATC
The DNA here is from genome assembly GCF_000001405.40 of Homo sapiens. Taxonomy (NCBI): domain Eukaryota; kingdom Metazoa; phylum Chordata; class Mammalia; order Primates; family Hominidae; genus Homo; species Homo sapiens. Next base: position 132,614,296 of record NC_000007.14, on the reverse strand, counting down.
ACACATTGGATTTTTAGCGTTCTGAAAAAAAGAGTGTAAAATACCTCAATAATCGTTTATATTGTTGATCTGTTGGAATAACATTTTGGATATCCAAAATATTGAATATTAATATTGGGTTAAATAAATAAAATGTAATTTTAAAAAGTTAATTTTACCCGTTTTTACTTCTCTAATGTGGCTACTAGAAAAATGTGACTCACATTACATTTCTACAGGATAGCACTGGGTGAAAGCACATTCTCAGCAAAGTCCTGGGCTTTCTCACTTACTGCCTTTACTCAAGCTGTTCCTCCCTCCAGAAGGTCTCCCCATCTTCCACCTATGCAACTCCTATGCATCCTGCAAAACCTCCTTCCAATGTTGCCCTTTGAAGCCCCACGCCCACAGGCAGAAGTAACCTGCCCACCTTCAGAACTGTGGAACATTTTTTTCTTTTACTTTTTTTTCCTGGATTTAAAAATACACTCCTAGCAGACTTTACATGTAATTATTAAAATATATTTTATCTTCTGTGTTATACTGTAGGTCCTTGTGGCCGTGTTTTGTTTATTTTTTTATTTCAGGTATAGATAGCCAACAAATGCGTATAACTGACTTGGAAATATTAAGTCTGTGCAAGAATATCACACATGCTACTTTGCGTTTGTCCTGGTCTGTGTTCCAGTTTTCTCCATCACCCCGTCGCCCACTCACTGACACACCACAGGAGCACACTGTCTCACCCCCATTGCCATATCCACTCAGCCACCAGATACTTAATGGCACTTTCCTGTGCCAGGTGCTGGTGGAATATGGGTGAACAGCAGTGAATAAAGAGACATGGCCCCTGCCTTCACAGAAGCCAAAATCTAATGGGGACAGTGATAATTAAAAAGTAAATAGATTCACATGGAATTATGAACTGTGATATGGAGGATTCAGAGGAGATGTCGGGGGGGAGGGTGGCTTTATTCAGATTCATGGTCAATTGGTGGCAGTGACCTTTTAGTAGAAGCTGGTGGCGTGAGGAGGCAGCTATGTACAGAGCAGAGGAGAGGAGGCCCAGGCTGAGAATGTGATGCGAGAAGATCCCGAGTTGGAAAAGTGCAAGGTGTGCTAAGCCCAGGGAGGGAGGAGGAAAGCTGCATGAGACCAAAGGGCATTTTCTCTGCAGTCCAACCTTTGTGTGCGTGAGAGGAATCGCTAGTAGGTCAGTTTCCTCTCTGTCTTCCGAGTTTACTCTTTGGAACTTCAGAAGCGTCAAGGACTACACTGGTCTCTTAACATCTTTTCAACAAAGCATAAAGATTAAGTCCGTTTTTTTTTTCTCATAGTGTTACATCTAGGTGACTGTGTAATGTAGTAAATGTATATATATTCTTACGAAGATCATGTGTATAATCTCATTTTGATGCCCTTTTGATAGAAATCAGTGGTTCTCACCCATGGTTGATTTTGTCTTCCATGAGACATTGGGCGATGCCTAGAGACAGTTTGGGTTGTCACAACTGCTCAGGGGTGCTGCAAAATATCTAACAATACACAGGACAGGCCCTCCCTGCACCCAATAAAGAATTATTTGCACAAAATGTCAGTAGTGCTGAGAGGGAGAAAGAGTCAGGATGAGGACTTTTTTTTTTTTTTTTTTTTTGAGATGGAGACTCTTTCTGTTGCCCAGGCTGGAGTACAGTGGTGCAATCTCCTCTCACTGCAACCTCTGCCTCCTGAGTTCAAGTGATTCTCCTGCCTCAGCTTCCCAAGTAGGTGGGATTACAGTTGTGCACCACCACGCCTAGCTGCTTTTTGTATTTTTTCAGTAGAGATGGAGGTTTCACCATGTTGGCCAGGCTGGTCTTGAACTCCTGACCTCAAGTGATCTGCCCACCTCAGTCTCCCAAAGTGCTGGGATTACAGTCATGAGCCACCGCGCCTGGCCAGGATGAACACATTCTTTTGACAGGTAGAAAGTTGAATCTGTGACAGAGACTGCCAGGTGCTACATCACATCTGTTGTTCCTTCCATTCTTAGTAAAAGAAGCCCAATTTTTTTCGAGGTCACACAATGCATGTAGCTAACAGGTGCTATTTCCCAGTGTCCTCTGCAGTTAGGTGTGGCCATGTGACTAAGTCCTGGCCACTGAGATGTAAGCGGACATGTGCTATCCTTTGGGAAGTTTGCTAAAATGGAGTTGACTTGGCATGCATTGCTGTCAAGGGGACATTTTGCCTTGTTTTTCTGATTTCCTGATCCCTAGAAGATGGTGTAATAGCAGGAGCTCAAAACAGCAATCTTGACCTACTGATGACCTTGAGAATGGAAGCTGTGAAGCAGCCTTAAGGTGACCTTGAAGATGGCAGAACACAAAGTCAGCAGCCTTGGTCTCCAGTGATTTCATGGAGCCCCTGGACTCTTTCCCTCCTTCCAGCCTTTTTTAGGGGAAAGAATGTGCCCTGCCTGTTAAAACTTCTGTTACTTTAGTTGCTCATAATATGCAGCTGCATCTCTTTTTAGCTGAGAGCATCAAGGTCACAGAGAAGGCTGAAGGTCCAGGGCCCTTTCTACTGGTTCTCTCTCACTACAGGTATCTGGACTCCTCTTTTGGTACTGGTCTCCCTTGCTAAATTGTCAGCCTTAGATACAGTTTTCAAATTCTAGGCCAGACTCTACCTATGGGGAGATTTGTGTGTAGCCCATCTTCCAGGATCATGCCCCAGGTTGTTTAATAAATTCCCCCACCTTTGGGTGCACGTTATGACGTGGGCACAGCACAGTAGCCTTGCTGCCCTCTGATCTTTCTTGGAGACGTTCAGAAGTTGTGAAGGAGTTGGGTACTGAGAAGTGTGCACCGGGCTTGGCCCCACTGCTGTCACTTTTGAAGTCTGAAGTTCTGTGTCGGAGCGTGGATTTGGAAGCGTTAAGATATGTTTGCCAAAGGCTGGAGTTTTGATGTGGAGTGGAGAAAGAGCTGTTACTTTGAGGGGGAGAAAAACACCTTTCATTTCTTTAGGGAAAGATAAGTAATGCAACTTTGCAGTTTCTCACTTCTGATCTTCTGGGGAGCAGATGTTTCTTAAGGAATGGCAGGTCCAGAGGCGACATATTTAAGTTCGCAAACACCACACATTTAGATGTTAGACATTTCAGTGTTGCTAAAGAAAACCACCAAATGAAACAGCCAACTCTCCCTCTTAGTTTGTCAAAGAGAGACTTTTAAAAATTCACTTGGCTGCTGGCCGGGGGGACTGGCTCACTTGCCAGTCTCAGAGATGGGGAAAGGGGGTGACTGTGTGATTGGGGTTGGGGAGACCAGTGACTGGAGGAGAAGAGATATGGGGGTGCCTGGGCACACAGAGAAGCTTCCCTTCCTTGTGGGGACAGACAAGGAACTGCTCCACGGGCCAGACACCCTCCTGCTCATCCACATTACAAGTGGCAAACCTCTGCTCCTCCAAGAGGCAGTATCATGGCACTCAAGGTGGAATCCTTCGCTGTGCTATATGGGTGGTTATCTCCTAAGATGCTCTCTCCAGGAGGCAGAAACTGGGAGGAGAAGAGGAGCCTTAGGCAAATGAATGGAAAGGATTCCTTCAGATAAGAATGAATGACATCTGGGGTTTAAATGATGCACTTTGGGTTGGGTAAATGGCTTCCCTTAGCCTGATGACCCTCTTCCCATGCATGCACGTTTTAGTCTTGAAGACATTGTAGAGGCTGAATGTTAGGGCAGGTTGCTGCAGACAGCAGAGAGAGAGGGAGCTTTAAGCACCTGTATTCTAGCTATGGTCTGAATAAGATGAAATTCAGCCTTTTATTTTTAGCAGGGATGGGGGGACTAGGAAGAACCTTTGAGAGGGGACTGAAGAGCTTCCTTCAGAGGACGAGGATGAGAAGCTTAGGGATGCCCTCCAAATGCCTGCCAGTGCAGCAGCAGCAATAGCAGAGCAGTCCCTTTGCACACAGCATAGCTCCACTTCCCAGTCTCAGAGGCTCCTACTGCCAGTGCTCTGGTGGAGAAATTGAGGCCCAGGGATTGTAGTGACTAGTTTCCCATCTTCCCAGAAATTCCCCAGGAGGAGCAGGGCCAGGCTGGGGCTCCTGCCATCTTGTGTAAGGGTTTTGTCTGCATGATTGCTTTGCCTTCATTATTTCACTCTCTGCTCGGGTTCTTGGAAGTGTTCCATAAATGCCCTGCTATGTGAAGCTCTTTCTTAAAATAGGAAGAGGATAAACTCATCTAAAGGAAGGGAAGGACCTTGTGAAGAGAGCTGGGCATAATTACAACTCACCCTGGTTTCACTAGTTCAAGCAGGCAGATGGTGGATAGAACTGAAGCCAGATAATTTGCACTTACCAAATTAGCACCCATCTGTTAGAGTCTGGAGAAATGGGAAAAAATGGGCATCTCTCTTTTCACCATATAAGGTAAATAAAAGCCAGTGCTCATGGAGTGTTGGCCCTACAGGACGCAGAGTCAATGTTGTCCCAGCTACTGCTCTACAGCCCACAGGCTTCCCCCTCCCACTGCCAATGGGGGGCAGCCCAGTGTAGCGGGAAGAACTTAGGCCTGGGAGTCAGACAGCCAGAGGTTCAAATCTTAGCTCTGGTACTTACTAGCTGTGTGGTCTTGGGCAACTTAACACCAGAGAGGCTGTTTATTCACCTATAAAGTGAGGATAATAATATCTATTAGTCTAATTCAGTAAATAAAAGTAAATGAGCAGGTTGTAGTTGGCCATCTGCAGTGATAGCTCATTGGTAATGGCCACCAACCCCCATTCAGTCATCACCTACATATGACGATAGCCACAAGAAGGGTGGTGGAAGGGACTAAGGGGAAGGCTGGTCCAGGGCAAATTCCCCATCACTCCAGGACATTGCCCACAAACCACATGCTCTTGTGGTTAGCCATATGTGAAAGAAGGATGAGGCTTTTACTCTGCAGGACTTACAACCACATGATGGAGCAACTCACATACTTCCAAGCAGCCATGGACACATTTTGGAAACAGTTTGTCGCTGACCACTCTTTCCACCATCTATTACTGAGTGGCCCTACTCAATGTCAGGCACTGCTCTGACATTGAGGAGACTGGCTCTGCACTCAAAGAATTGCAAATCTGGGAGGGAAGGGAGATACAGAAATGTAATTATGACAAAACGTGTAAAATGCTATAATCAAGGTGTGATGAATCCCACTGGGAATGGGACGGAGGGGGCTGTGGCATGTCACTCATGTGGACACTGAGCTGGGCCTTTAGGGATGAGGGGCATTTCAGCAGGTAGTGACAGGGTAGGAAGGGCCCCCCAGGTAGAGAAACAACATGTGAGCAAGGCCTCAGGGGTGGCAGTTCCTGGCTGTCCCAGACAGAGTGAGCACCACAGGGTGACCAGTGTCAGTCCCACCTGGGCACGGCAGAGCAGGACTGCATCTGACCCTGAAGGGCCTTTTCTGAGTTTGAATGTGGTCCTTGAGACAAGGAGAGTTTTTAGTCAGTGGAGTGAGTAATCCCTGAGGGTTGCAGTTTTGGGAAGATCCATCTGGCTGCACCAGGGAGAATGGACCACGAGAGGCAAGAGTGGAGGCAGGGAGACAAGTTTTTAGGCTGTCGCAGGAGTGCGGGGGTGGGGGATGCTGGGAGGGGTTGAATGGAAGCAGTGGCAGAAGGAACGGATTGAAGTCTCCATGAGAGGAGAGACTGGGCAAACTTGGTGATGAATTGGCCACAGGGTAAGTGTCAGAGGGCAAAGGGTGAATGCCTTATGACTTTCTTGGGCAGTTAGAATCTTGGGCCAGCTTTCTCTGAGAGCACTTTCACTGTAATGCTTGCAGTGTACTTCTCCTTTGCCATTGGACTGAGTGTTCCTCGAGTGCAGTGACTCTGTGTTATTCATTCTACCTGTAGCCCTCATGCTAATACAGAGTACGGTCCCAACAAGCATAGAATTAATATGTTGGTGAATAAATGAATGAACTATTCATTCTGCCTTTTACTGCACACTTCTGCCTGGAGAGTGTGTGCCCAGCTGGCTTCTTACAGCTCTCAGCATGGGGTCTCATTATCCCCATGGAATAATGAGGATGATGGTGATGGTGATAGTGATGATGATCATGGTGGCCATGGTGGTGATGGTGATAGTGATGAGAATGATGGCGGTGATGGTGGTGATGGTGATAGTGATGATGATGATGGCAGTGATGGTGGTGATGGTGATAGTGATGAGGATGATGGTGGTGATGGTGGTGATGGTGATAGTGATGAGGATGATGGCAGTGATGGTGTTGATGGTGATAGTGATGAGGATGATGGCAGTGATGGTGATAGAGATGAGGATGATGGCAGTGATGGTGGTGATGGTGATAGTGATGAGGATGATGGCGGTGATGGTGGTGATGGTGATAGTGATAAGGATGATGGTGGTGATGGTGTTGATGGTGATAGTGATGAGGATGATGGGAGTGATGGTGGTGATGGTGATATGGATGATGATGATGGCAGTGATGGTGATAGTGATGATGATGATGATGGTGGTGATGGTGATAATGATGATGTGATGCTGCTCACTTTCCTCTTTCCAGAACATAATGCTTCTGTTCTGAATTTCCTTGGGGAATGCAAGAGGCCTAATTAATTAACGTGAGGAAAGTGATTTGATTGGCACTTCTAGGCTGCAAAAAGGCACAGGCTCAGAGAACATCTTCTTTACACAGTGATCATTGCTCTCATAGCCCCTCATAAGGGGCCCCATTAAGGTGCTTCTGTCAAAGGTAGATAAAACTCCAATCCCTTTAGCCTTGTTATTACGTTTCAGAACTATCCATCTCTCAATCTATAAAGTTTTTCCTTGATTTCTCATCTGCTCAGTATGGATTTGCAGCTGCTCTTTTGTTGTGCTCTGGGCTGCTCCTAGCTAGGTGCCAGAGGCCCTGTCTGCTCTCAGGGACGCAAAAGGAGATCCAGGGTTGGTGAGCAGTGAGGCAGGAGGGGGAGAAGGTGGAAGGAAGGAGAGAGGCTGCTTTTCCTTAGACAACTTGAGCCATATTGGCAATTTCTCTAGAATTTGAAACCACGCTCAGAAGGCATGTCTCTTGGGTGTATGTGTAGGTCAGCCTCTGGGAACTGGAATGCTCTGGGTGCGGGTTTTTTGGTTAACTGTGGATTATTGAAAATCTTTGTTTTGGTTAGTCTCGTTAAACTTTTTCAAAGGCTTCTGTTCATTTTCCTTCCTCAGATGTTTGAATGTTGAACATTATCTACTTTTGATTTGGTGATTTAGAAAGCATCCAGGATCATGATTCAGAAACCCCATTCCAAAAATGCCAGTTTTTATTATGCTTGACCATAGGTGTGGAAGGCTCAGGGGACTGTGTGAATCTCACTTTGGGATGCATTCCTGATTTTGTTTGGCTAAATTCCAGATATCAGCTTGTTTCCCGTGATTTGCTTCTACTGAAGTTGAAGGCAGAGAATTCTAAATATATGAGAGCTCGAGCTGCTTTCTGATGAATGAAATTTTTTGCCATATATCAGGTGCTCCCTCCTCCCTAATTTTTCTCAGGCTTAAAGTCAGGGGTGGCCCTGTGAATCTAGAGAGTTACGTGTAAAACTGTGCCCAGCCCCATTGCTAACTCTCTGTGTGAGTTTGGTGGTTCAGTTAGTTCTGCTATAATGCTTGTTTTGGAAATGCAAATCTGTTCCAATGCAATTGATGGATTAGGGAATGATTTGAGCATAACACAGATTTCACATTTACTTATGTGCGATTTAGCCTACGAGAAACACTAGGTGAATGCAGAAAACTGCATACAGCTGAACTGAGTGGCATGAGAATGTATAGAACGTGTGCTTACACACTTCAAAGGTGACCCAGTGACCTTGGTTGGTTTCCCTTTTGTTACCCTAACCTGCTCAAGGAACTAGGTTTTTCTGATGATGACTACTATTTTCCTGGGGCTGACATAACAAAGTACCACAACCTAGGTGGCTTAAAACAACAGAAATTTATTCTCTCACAGCTCTGAAGGCTGGAATTCTAAAATCAAGGTGACTGCAGGGCCATGCTCCCTATGGAACTCTCAGGAGAATCCTTCCTTACCTCTTCCTGGCCTCTGGTGGTGGCTGTCAATTCTCCGTGCTTCTTTTCTTTTATTTGAGACAGAGTCTTGCTGTGTCGCCTAGGCTGGAGTGCAATGGCATGATCTCGGCTCACTGCAACCTCCGCCTCCCAGGTTCAAGCGATTCTCGTGCCTCAGCCTCCCTTGTAGCTGAGGTTACAGGCGTGTGCCATTGTGCTCAGCTGATTTTTGTATTTTTAGTAGAGGCGGGGTTTCACCATGTTGGCCAGGCTTGTCTCGAACTCCTGGCCTCAAGTGATCCACCTGCCTCAGCCTCCCAAAGTGCTGGAACCACAGCCGGCCTTTGGTGTTTCTTGACCTGCATCTGCATGGCTCCAGTCTCTGCCTCTATTTTCACATGATGTTCTTCCTGTGGGTCTCTCTGTGTCCAAATTTCCCTCTTTGTATAAGAACACTAACCATATTGGATTAGGGTTCACCCTGATCCAGTCTGATCTCTGCTCAATTTGATTACATCTGCAAAGCCTCATTTCCAAATAAGATTACATTCACAAGTACTAGGGCTGAGGACTTAACATTTTTTTGTGCATGTGAGGGGTGGGGGTGGTGGTGACACAATTTAACCTATTAATAATAACCAAACCAAGTTCCAACTCTGCCTGGCTTTCTGTGTCCCCAGAATTGGCCCAAATCTACCAATGCCACCTACCCACTTCCTAACAGGCCCCCCAAGCACCATCATGCTTCCAAGCCCTTGACCTTTCCACCACTTATCATGTCACCCACCTGTTCTCCAGGACCAAAGTCTAGTTCTGCCTTGTCCCCAAATCCTGGGGACAAAGATCTGTTGACTCTATCACTGGATCCCCTCTCTAAATTCTTACAGCTGTTTCTCAGACATAGCCTCATCAGTACAGTAAATAACAAAAGCAATGCCTAGTCCAAAGGGTCTCATCTACCGGGGCTACGAGGCAAAGTGCATGGCCTTGGCACACCGCCGCATGGATTTGGATCTTAGCTCTGCCGTTTCCTAACTGTGTGACCTTGAATAAAATGACTTATCTTCCCCATGCTCCATTCTCTTCATCAATAAAATGTGGATAAGAACAGTGCCAATCTCGTAAGTTGTGAGAATTAAATGAGATGATTCCTGCAGAGTGCTCAGCATGGGGCCTGCACATTTGTTAATTTTATTGTGAGTGCTGAGGACACTTGCCTTTTAAAAGCACTGCTTTTTAGGTTGATGCTGAGCCTGGGCTGGTGTGCACTGCTAGGACTGGAGTCAACAAAGGAAGAGCCATCAAGGGCTGGGACAAGAGGGAAGTGCAGGACCAGGAGGGTTGAGTCCCAGGGAGAGGCTGTGGCTAGGGTCAGAGTCCGGTGCAAGCGGAGTCATATCTAGGGGACAGGACTGAGAGATGTCACCATCTGCACATGGGAATAGAGGTATGTCACGGTCCCTGCATCTGTACAGAGAAATGGCTTATCAAATGAATGAGTTATTGAATAATGATAAGTTTAGTTCAAAGTAGTTGTAGGATATATAGATAGGGAAGATGTCCCAGTAAGTAATTATATCAAGTCAGATAGTTGGCTGGGCAGGGGTGGGGTGGGGCAGGAGAACCTGTGGCATCTCTTGGCCAATTCTCTTATATTACATAAGTTGATGTTTACTGTTTATTGAAAAACAACTGTTTACCAGATTATTAAGACTCTTTTCTATTTCATGTAACGAAACCAGCACAAGCTACTTTTCACGAGACAGAGAACCTTATTTTGAGGATGCAAGGGTATGAGTTTCATGGAACCCAGGGGCAGAGATGAATTAGAAGCAGAGCCTTGAATGATATCTACCCTGTCTCCTGTTTCCTGTCCGTATATCTATGTTCCTCTTCTCTCTCTTCATCTGAAGACTAGCTCCTCCCATTGTTCCAGGCTGGTTGGCAGAGCACAGGGTCCCCATCAGCTCCTGAGCTAGTGGGAGTTCATGGGCCACTATCCAGAGAGAGACTGATTTCTCTCAGCACTCATCCAGTGCAGAATCTTGGGGAAAGGCATGCATATTGGCCTGGCTTGTGTTAGGTGCCCCCCGCCAGAACACAGAGGGGTAGTGGAGTCAGGTACCTTAGCACCCACCCTTGCAACACAAGGAACTTCACAGAAGAGGGGTGTGGACAGTGGTGGGCACAGCTGGGCAAATAACCCAATTGGATAGTCTGCTAGGCACTTTAGGCATGTTATCGTTTAAATCCTCACCACAACCTTGCAAAACATGCATTAACTTTCCCAATAAGGCACCATCAATACATAGTGGATGCAAGGTTTTAATTTAGATCTATTTGAAACAAAGGACCCCGCCCCAAATTAAGTGATTTGCTCAAGGCCAGAATTAATTGGTAGCTAAATATGCACTCATCAGTGTGATACAGTTTTTAAAATTCAAAACCATACTCAAGGAAGAAATATAAATATACACCGGTCCTCACAGCTGGGAGTCTAATATACTTGGTTGAAGTCCAATATCTGACTCCCAAGTCCTAAGGTTGGCCCTGCCCTTTTGCATGCTGTATGAGCTGGCTCCTGGGGAATGCAGGCCCCCTCCCATAGCAGAATCTGTACTTTCAGCAGTGGCTTCTCTACTCAAGATGTTTACCTGTGAGACTGAATCCTGGCCAGCAGGTGGTCAAAAAAGCTGGTGCATATTAGAGGCTGGGCTCGTCCACTTCTTCCTGCAGGCAAAGCTGGTACCAGAATCCTCTTAGGGGAGGTCAATGAATCTTTTGCTTAGAGACCAGACACAATCACTGTCTGGATTATCTGCAACTCAGGGCTGCCGAGTAGCTGGGCAGAAGTGATTTACGGAGGAATAGTTCCTGACAAGGGATTCTGGTGACCTTATAAACCAAGAGACTGAAGCAGCTCGGCTCCTCTCTTCCCGGGGTGGAATTAATTCCACCTTAATCTCTGCAGTCCATTTGATATTTTTTTTTCAATAAAGAGAATACAGATCCCAGCAGTCTATGTTGCTTCTTGGAGACATTTAAACAACCAATCTCATTAGTGTGGGAGCTTCTTCAAGGAAAATTGAAACCAGCAAACTGGCTATGAGAAGAATAGAAACATACTATGGAAAGGAAGGAAAATAGGGAAACTTTTAAATGCTTTTATTTGCAGGCTAACAGCTCTTTTCTGGGTACTTTTGGTATTTCTTTCATTTTTTAATTGATTGATGGGTTGTAAGTGGTTGATAGGGCATACTTAATGGAAAGTTTTGGTTATGGTGGGGGAGAAGTTCTCTTTCTTTTTCCATGTTTCTTCTGGTTCATAGAATTGTACTAACACTTCCCGATGGCATTAGAGAGATCTTTCCACTTCTCAGTGACTCTTCCACGGGTAGAGAAGAATCCATTGAAAGGTGAGACAATGAGAGTCTGACGACCTTCTCACCATGTCTGTGTCTCTTCACAGTGCAGATCTGTATCAATGGCTGATTCTCATGTCTCTGATCCCTCTTGTACTCTCTTCCCTCGCTAAGATGGGAGGCAGGTCCTTGTCATCCCTGGTAACTATTTTGGTGGCTGGGTAAATGTCTTTTCTGCAAGCTCAAACCTTCCTTGTGTGTGAGGATCAGGGTTGGGGCTTGGAAAGAAAGACTGGGAAGCTTGTTTGGGTCTTGAGTGCAAACTTTTCTCCTGGTCACAAAAGCAAATATTTTTTAATGTAAATCAGGTGATTTTGAAGTTGATTTTGAGCAGAACACTCTGAGAAACTCCCCATAACAACAAGGAGACCACGGGGCCATAAAGGAGCTGGTAGACAGAGGCAACATGGTCTCTTGGTCGTATAGGTTATAGAGCATGTAGCTGTCATCTGGGGAGCTTGCTCTGGACTGAGCTCCAAACCTCCCTGCAAAGCCATGACTGAGAGAGTGGACTCCAAATGACAACTCATGAAGGAGGTGAAATAGCCCTTTGAGAGTCAAGCTCATTAGCCACAAAGGGTGGACAAAGTTCTCATATTTTTGTCCAGTGGTCTTTGACCTTGAAAAGAACAGGGAGTCTAATTACCTCGCTACCTAGAGAGTCAAACCTGAGAAAAATCATACCAGAGTCTGAAAAATTTGAGGCTTACTTGGATTTTGCCCAGGCAGTCACTAGAACTGAAAATTATTCAGTGTTTACATGAGTAAACCTAGATTCTTCTATGGTAAAAACCTTTGGGACTGGGCCTCATTGATTTAGAAAAGGCAAACTTGTCCAGCAAATTGAGATCTGAGTAAGAATGAGAGATAAATCATAGTCTCAGCTCCCACATTGCTTTTCTCATGTGTGAAATGGGGATTTAACATCAACTTCTTTCTTAGATCTTTGTTGTGTGTGCAAGGACATCTTTCAGAAAAGGATCAACAAGTACCAACTGAATCAATTACTAATCTATTCCCTCTATTCTAATCATTTAATATGTTCAGCTACATGTGACAGAAACCTCCCTCTTGCCACCACAGAAAAAGACCCCAAACTGTGCCTTAAACAACAGAGGAGTTCTTTCATAAAGAAGTTCAAAAGCTATCATCTTGGGCTACCATGAAAGCTTCCGGGTACAAGGAACCCAGGCACTTTATCTTGTTCTTCTGTCATGTAAGACTTCCATTCCCAAGGTCACCTCCTTATCCATTTTAACTACTGGAACCCTAACCATGAGATGCAGATTCAAGAAAGCAAGACTAAGAAAGGGGAGGAAAAAAGACACATCTTTTCCCTTTATACTTTCTTAAGTTGTACCCACCATTTTCACTTGTATCCCATTGACCAGAAGGTAATCACTTTGTCTTTATTTCAGATGGTTGTGTGCCTAGCTAGAATTAGGGGTTCTGTCACTAAGGAAGAAGAAAACAATGGGGGGAATCTCTCACGGGCTCTACCACACTATCAGAAATGTTTACTGTTTTTTTTTTTCTTTTGACTCAGAAGGCTCAATTATATGACCTCTGGAGGTTTCTTTAAATAGATATGTATTTTTTTACATTAAATATTCCTTCAGGAAAAATTCCCTCAATATTTACTGAACCCTCCCATGTGCTAAGTGGTATAGTAGGTATTTTGAGGACTATGAAGATTGACAAAACATATTATCTGATCTCAAGGTGTTTACAATTCATTTATTCAATAAATATTTGATAGAAAAAAGTTTCTGTGTACTAAGTATATGCTAAGCTCTGGAGATAGAAAGTCAAAACAGAAGTATGGGATTAAACCAAAGAAACAAGAATACATGAAATAATAAATATAAGGGCAGAAATCAATACAACTAACAACAAAAGAAAAATAATAGTAAAGATTAATATAACCAAAAGTGAATTTTTTCATATTATTGGTAAAATAGACTTCTGAAGACACTAATCAAGATAAAAGAGAGAAGATACAAATAATAAAATATGAAATTTAAAGAACTATAGACAAATCAGGAAGTAAAATAATAAGAGTGTTATGAATAATTATAGGCTAGATGTAATGGATACATTTTTAGAAAATACAAAAAGTCAAAATTGGTACAAGGAAAAAATGAGAGGCAGGGTGCCATGGTTCATGCCTGTAATCCCAGCACTTTGGGAGGCTGAGGCCAGGGGATCCAGGGATCCCTTGAGCCCAGAAGTTTAAAGCCAGCTTGGGCAACATGGTAAGATCTTGTCTCTACAAAAAATAAAAAATAATTGGCTGGGCATAGTGGCACACACGTGTGTTCCTAGCTACTTGGGAGGCTGAGGTGGGGGATTGCTTGAGCCCAAGAGATTGAGGCAGCAGTGAGCCGTGCTCACACCACTGCACTCCAGCTGGGGTGACAGAGTAAGACCCTGTCCCAAAATAAAATGATAAAATAAAATAAAGATCATAATTAGACCAAAAATATTAAAGAAATTGAAGTGATAACCAAAGACATCTTATCTCCCCAAACTCTAAGCCCAGATAGTTTTAAGGTTCATTCTATCAAACTTACAAAGAACAATGAAATCCTACCTTTTACATATTATTTTCAAGAAAAGAGAAGGAATAAAAGTTGAAGTTAGTATAGTTTTTATTTCAAAATGAGGTAAGAGCAATGTAAGAAAAGAAAACTATAGGCATATTTCACTTATGATAAGTACAAAAATCCTAATTAAAATATTAGCTAACCAAATTAAACAATGTATTCAAACACATCATTATCAAGTAGGATTTATTCCAAGTGAGCAAGGATGGTTTAACAAAAGAAAAATCTATTAACATAACTTATCGTATTAATAGGCCAAAAGGCAATATTCATACAATTATCTCAATTGATGAAGAAATACATGATAAAGTTCAACAGCTGTTTATGACAAAACTCTTAGCAAATTAGGAACTATGGAAATTCCTTAAACTGGTAAAAATACACCAAAAAAGAAAAAGTAAACATTATCTTTATTGAAAAAAATTTGGACGTATTTACCTTAAGACTGAGAATAGAATAAGACGGCCGTTATCAGTGCTATTGAAAGACAATATAGCTGTGTTTGACTATAAAAAAAGAAAAAAAAAAGGGGGAGAAGTCTAAATGCTGGAAAGGAAGAGATCAAAGTGTTATTGTTTGCAAATGATATGATCACTTACCTAGAAAACACAAGACAAACTACTAGAATAAATGAAAGATTTCTGGGTATCAGATCTACCTAAAACAAAATGGCATTTTTCTACAACAATAACAAAATATAAAATATTTAAAAATAGAGTGTTATTCTCATTAGTAATAAGAACTAACCAGGAATTAATTTAAGAACACCTGAGGTCCTTCCAGAGAAAAAGTTAATATGTAATAAAGTACATAGAAGTTGATCTGAGTAAATGGAGACACATGCTATGCTCAAATATAGATTTTTAATATTTTAAAGATATCAATTAGTCTCCAATTAACCAATATGTGTGTTGCACCTTTGAATCAAAATTCCAGTTGATTTACAGAGCTCAATGCATCTACTCTGAAATTTACATAGAAGGATAAAAACCCACCAACAAAGCAAAGATCATAGGAGGAGTGAGTAGGGGGACCTACCCTTCCAGACTTTAAGACATATTAGAAACACGTGGTAGCAAAAACTGGGGTGGTCAGGCAAGAACAGCCAAAAAAATCAATGGAACAGAGTCAGTATAGGGAGCAAATATACAGTTAAGATGAATTATGAATTAATGAGGGAAAGATGAACTATTTAATTAACAGATTTGGCTAAATTTACTTACCATACAGATAACCATTACACTAGTTCCCTACCTAATGCCACATATAAAGGTGACCTAGAGACGGATTAAAGGCCTAAGTAGGAAGGACTAAACTATAAGGTTAAAAGAAGATTTCCTTTGAGACCTAGAATAAAGGATAACTTCTTAAACGGAATTTTAAAAGCACAAAATATAAGGAGAAAAGTATTTTATTTACCATAATCATATCAAAATTCAGGATTTCTATTAGATGAAGGATACCATGGACAGTGAATGAGCTGATGACAATTGGGAGAAGATAGTTTACTGTGTCTAAAACTGACAGAGCACTGTTATTTAGAATTCACAGGAAATTCTTGCAAATCAACAAGCAAACGATGAGAACTCCAAATGAAATACAGGGAAAGGTTATGAATAGGTAACTTATAAAAGAGGAAACCTTAACAACTAACAAGTATATGCAGAAATAATCCAAATCTCTTTAAAATGCAAATTAAAATGTTACTTTAATGTAGTAGACTGACAAAAATGTGGAGGTTGAATAATGTTTGTTGAGGCTGCAGGAATATGGAAAATCTCATGCCAATAAGAATATATATTTTGGCCAGGCGCAGTGGCTCACGCCTGTAATCCCAGCACTTTGAGAGGCCGAGGCTGGCGAATCATGAGTTCAGGAGTTTGAGACCAGCCTGGCCAACATAATGAAACCCCCTGTCTCTACTGAAAATACAAAAATTAGCCAGGCATGGTGGTGAGCACCTGTAGTCCCAGCTACTGGGGAGGCCAAGGCAGAACAATCTCTTGAATCCGGGAAGCCGAGGTTGCAGTGAGTTGAGATCACACCACTGTACTCCAGCCTGGGCGACAGAGCAAGACTCCATCTCAAAAAAATACAAAAAAAAAGAATATATATTTTGTCGTAGACATTCTGAAGGGCAACATAGCACAAGTTAGTCACACATATTTGTTAACCATATGACACAGAAATTCCACTCCTGAGTATATATTCCATAGGTCCCTAACGGGATTGCACCCAGGTGCAATCTGGGTGCCTATCAACAGGCAGTAACAAATGTAAAATGTGGTAGAAGCATACGATGGAGTGCTATTGAGAAGTTAAAAATTACAGATTGGATGTATATATATATATAGAGAGAGAGAGAGAGAGAGCGCAACATGGATGGATTCTTAGAACTTAATATTGAGTGAAAAGAGTAAGGAACAGAATGAAGCATATGACATTATATATGTATGTAAATTAAAATTCTATATGCATGAAATATACACATATTTTACAAGAATGCATACAAACAAAAGACCCTCATTAACCTTAACAGATTTGTAGTCAGTGGTCAAGGTAACAGGATTGGGAAAGGGAAATAAAGGGAATAAATAAATACATGAATGAATGAATGAATGAATGAATGAATGAATAAAAGGAGAGAGACGATGCATGATTGAATGTGTCATGAACTAGGAATATGGTTGACTCAATTCTCTGGCCTAAAGCCTAGTCAAATAGAAAAGAAAAAAAGAGATGATTAAATATGGCCACTAGGTCTTACAATTTAGTAAAAGGACATAGACATATTTCATTTAAAAAATAGGTTGGAATTATTGAGATATTTTGGAACAATTCTGCTTGTGATAGAATAGTGACACAAATGATGATGTAGTGACTTCTATCTGAGTGGGGACTGGGGAAATGAGAAGTGGCCTTATAGAGAAGACAACAAACTATTGGGGGAGACCGGCATGAACAGAAATAATGTAATTCAGAGAATGATAGGGAAAAATTCAAAGTGAATTATCAAAATGAATTCAATGGGAATGCAAGGAAAGGCATGATAATTCTGCAGAGGGAATTGAGGAAGGCACCTTGATCCTGAGCAAAGCCCATAGCACCGGGCTGGTGACTCAGGCAATCAGCCAGTCTGGGGTCACATCTAGGTCCAGAAGTGGCTGCTGACTTTAGCAGACTATGCATGGAAGCCCAAATCAAAGCTCTGCACAATCGTACTCCCAATGTAGTTAGTGTGACCTAAGAACCAATCAATTAGTAATAAAATATAAACTTTTATTCTGCTTCTTCAGTGAGGAGGTGAATCATTTTAAAACCAGGTTCCATGCTGTTTTTTTTTTTTTCAGGACCATGGCATTTAGATTCTGTTTCCAAGTTTGTAGATGTAATGAGATGATTTATCATGGGAAATTATTGCATGATCATCAAAAAGTAATGAAAGTTGTCACAGCCTTCCTTCTTAATGGTATTTCTCCCTGACCTCCTTCTTCCTACCCCTAAAATGAGCTCTAGGACTCTAGCATGGAGCCAACCTAGGGGTCTGATGCTATTTAATTCATGCAAGCAGTCAACCATAAATGCATTTTTCAGAAGTAAAGACAACTTCCGTAACTTTTTAATTAAAGCATAAAAGCCATTAATTAAAAAGACATAAATCACTGAGAAACCTTTAAATCTTCATAATCTTTTGTGGCATTGTATGTGTGTTTCCAGCTGTGCTCACTATAGTTTCAAAGGCAGCAGAGTCCAGAAAGGGCCAGCACTGTTCTCCAGCGTCCTGGGGCTGTGGCTTGGCAGGACCAGGCATTCAGTGGCTCTGTCATAGTGGAGGTGCTGGTGTGGACCTCACTCAATGGAGAGAGAGGCCTGGAAGATCTTGGAACAGGAACATCCAGCCCTGCTTCTCTCTTAATCTCAGCCCACACTCAGAGTGTTTAGTAGGTCAAGATGGCAGCCATTTCTAGGGGATAGAGGGACAAGTCAGTCAACACCAGAAACAAGCAATCATACAAATCAAGAATATACAACACTTACAAAACTATCAGCTTGGGTTCATCAAAAAGTCAGTGTCATGAAAGAAAAAAGTTGGAGGACTGTACTGGATTAAAAGAGAGTCAACAGACACTACAACCAAATACAATGTGTGAATTTTGATTGGATCTTGGTAATTGTAAAAAAACCCTATAAAATATATTTCTTAAGATGATGGAAAAATTGAGTAGGGACTTGATGTTAGATAATATAATGGAATATTATTAATTTTATTATGCACAATAATGGTATTGAAGGTATGTAGGATAATGTTTCGTTCTCAAAAGAGGTTTGCTGAAGGGTCCAGAAGTGAAATTTCATGATGTCTACAAATGTGACAAGATGATAACAATTATTGGGTATAGGTGGAGGGCACCTAGTGTTCATTTTATTAATCTTAAACAGTTTATATACATTTGAAGCAACTTTGTCACAATACTTGGGGGAAGAAAGAATGGCAGCTTCTTTGTAACTTCTATCTGATCTTCCTCTACATGTGGGTCACCAATGTACTGACTGAACGAGAATCAGGTTGGGCCAGTGTATCTGGACAAGTTTTCCTCTGTTGTGACTTAGTGCCTGGGTGTTGTGAAAGTACCCCTTTTCCAGATTTTAAAATAATATGGGTTTTAAGAACAAGGTAATTATTCAGGTCTTCCCTCTGGAGCACTCATTGGTGATCCACCCGTATCTGGGGATTTAAAACTTATGCGCACAGAATTCCTTATTCTCCTGGATCTCCCAATTTAGCATGGGAGACGGATGAATAGTCAGGCAGCCAGTCTCCATGAGGCATCATCCCATGCAGAGGCTTCTGATACCTGTGTAATCGAGTCTGCCATGATGCCTGGTGCCCCTCCAATATTGGGGATACCATGCTCCTTCTTTCTCTGTTTAAAGATAGACAACAAGGGCATCATATACATCTCAAAGTGGTGTTTATTGTTCTGTGAGGCATTGGACATCACTGCTGGGTGCTGGAGGTCTCTGTGGGAAGATGGGGAAGTGGTAGGTCACAGAATCTTTCAAGTGGTTGGGTTCACTGTGGAACTTGAGATGGTGACTAGAGTCTAGAGTGGGACCGAGTCTCTAGGATCTAACAGGATCTAAGCCTAGCAAAGCTCTCTATCTATCTGTCTGTCTGTCTGTCTGTCTGTCTATCTATCTATCTATCTATCTATCTATCTATCTATCTATCTATTATCTATCAATTATCTATCTATCTATCTATCTATCTATCTATCTATCTATCTATCTATCTATCTACCTATCTATCTATGTCTGAATGGAAACACCACTGGACTAGACCCAGAAATCTCCATACTTTCTAGCTCCCACATGAAGTAGCCACCTTCTCCCAGGGCTCAGTGCCTGAAGAAGCAGACTGGAATTACGTGGGATGGAGTCCAGCAGGGTCCCATCAAGGGATCAGCCTATCCACGCAGCTGGAGAAGAAAATGTCCCCCCATACAGCCTTCCCTAAATTTGGAACCGTTCTTTGTCAAAACTGAAAAGGGCTTTAATTTAGAGAGTGAGAGCTGGAGGGACCTTGGAGATCACACCATGGTTTTCAAAGTGTGCTGCCACGAAGTTGCGGGACTTCAAATGGAAGTTCAAGTGGAAGTCAAGACTCAAACAGTTTGAAAGCTGCAAATCAAGTCCAACTTGCTCACCTTATAGAAAACGAGCCCATTAGTTTCCTAGGATTGCCATAATGAAGTATCACAAACCGAGTGGCTTAGCAGAAATCTACTGTTTCACAGTTCTGGAGGCTGGAAGTCTGAGATCAGGGTGTCTGCAGGGTCGTGCTCCCACTGAAGGCACCAGGGGAGGTTGTTTCAAGCCTTTCTCTTAGCTTCTGGTAGTTCCTTGGCTTGAGACAGAATAACTCCATATGGAGAACATGGTATTCTCCATGTACGGGTGTCTGTGTCCAAATTTCCCCTTTTTATAAAGACACCGGTCATGTTGGATTAGGCTCCCATGCTCCTCCAGTATGACCTCATCTTAACGAATTACATCTACAATGTCCCTAATTCCCAAAAGGTTACATTCTGAGATATTGGTGGTGACCACTTTCACATATGATTTTTGCGGGGGACACAATTCAACCCACAACAGTGAGTAGAGAGGCATAGACTTGCCTTAGCTCAGGTAGCCTTGCCTGGTCATGGCCCCATGCCTGGGTCTGGGTCTCTTGGTTCACCACCCGGAGCTCCCTTCATCACTGCAAACTGCTTCCCACCTGATGCTCGGGCTGAACAAGGATGCCCAGGCACACTTTTCTCAGCCCTAGCATAGGAACCGCTTGCCAGTTTTGGGGTGCCTTCATTCAACCTCTTTTTGTGAGTGCCTGGTCTCCCATTTGGGAAATCCCCTATTGTATGGCCCTTCCATGGCAGGCAGCACTTGTTTCCCTCTCTGGGGACTGAAAGGGCAGACCCTCTTTCTCCTGTCTTCAGGGAGCCCATGTGGATATACGCCTTAGGCTGAGCCAGTGAGACCTGCTGCCTGTGACTTGGTCCCTGGAATGAGTGATGGCACGACGTGGAGGCCACATTTGGGCCCCAGTGCTGCAGCCACGCCTGCACCCACCTGTCCTGTAGGGTGGCCTCATGGGGCCTTCTCCTGAGCCATCCTCCTGGACTCCCTGCCTTCTCACTTTTGCGAGTCCCTGATGTCCTTTTAGTAAGTTCCATCTTTGCCTAGGAGAGGCAGATGGCATCCATTTCCATGATGGACACACCCAGGGTGTCACTGCTTACCTGGGGTGGTGTCACAAAATTCATCTTGATTTTAGGATGAGCCAGGACAAATCATGAGACCCTAAAGATGACAAATGACCATTATGTGGATTTTTTTTTTTCCTAAGTGAGACCTGAGACCTGTTCTCTGAGGGTGTGACTAACCCAACCAGCTTGGAGCTGGGGTAGGCAGGGAGAGGAGCTAATTTAGATTCCACAACAGCCCACGCTGCGCGTCAATTGTGTGGGTAAACAGCTTCCCCACTGGCAGAACACCAGGCCCAGCGATTTTATCTTGTTAAAACTGAGCCTAAACAAAACAGATAAGCGCTATATCATCCTCACGAATTAGTCCACCTCTGGTTTATCTTGTGAGAGGCTTGCCACCCTGTCATTTGTGTCACTGTAAACATAGGTTGGGTAGATCACTCTTAACTAATTTAATTTGCTTTGAAATGTATATGTGTGTGGGGGACCTCCTCTAAACCAAATTATTTGGAAAAATAACATCAAGGTGAATGAAGAAATGCATGTGGCAAAACAAGGTCTTCGGGTTTTTTTTTTTAAATTTTTTTTGCTTCTGGAAAAAAAAAGGCACGTAGGGGTTTATTTTTGATTAACTGCCTTAGCCTTGCTTTGGTATTTATCTTTCTGTGGCAGCCCCTGATCTAGTCACAATGTGTAATTCCATTAGCATTATCTCTATTCATTTGAGAGGGGCTTCAGCCTGGACAGCCACAGCATGAAAGGGCTACAGCATTCTGGAGGCTTATTTCTTATTTCTTCAGCAAGTTTATTCCTTTATCGGCAGCTCGTTTAAAGGGAGCTAAAGGGGACCCCGTCAAATCGTTAAACGAGAATTTAATGTGGGTTTTTAAAGGCAAACCCAAAAGCTTTTCAGAAAAAAAAAAAAAGGTTAAATTAAATAAATGAACAATGGCCCACAGCAAGCATAACTGATGGCTGAGGATAATGCAGACGGGCCTCAGATTTATGAAGGAGGTTTTATCTTTGTCCTTTTAATGAGAAGAGTGATTTTGATCGGGTGTCAGGACTCCTGGGTGCATTCTAGCTGAGCCGCTAAGTGACCTCATGACTCTGTTTCTCTCCCTGCACCGCACTCCCATCTTTGTCTCTTGTCCACCGCAGAGGTGATGCTGGGAGGAAGAAAGAGAGGCTCTTTCTAAAGTGCTTTGAGTAGCTGCAAAGGAAGATGAGGGCAGATGGAATGTAGATATGGGCAATTCTCATTTGTCCATGCTAATGGGAGGCAGGGTTCCCAGGGAGAAATGAATTGCACAGAGAATGCCCAGACCTTGAGTTTTAACTCTCCCTTTCCTGAGGGGACTTTCACCTCATGAGCTGGCGGGTCACCTCTCTGGCTGGCTTTGCTTCTCCTCCTCTCCTTGCTCTTGTTCACCCCTTCACAGAAGTTCCCACCAGCCAAGACACATACGGAAGATGAACAGCAGGTGGAAAGAGGAGAAGATGCTGGGGGTTGTGGTAGCGATGTGATAATAGCTCCCGGGAACTGCTTGTAGGATGCAGCGCCTGTAATCCTGTTTTCTGGGAGAGGGATTTGAGGTGCCAAAAGAGCACATAATACGCAGCATTCTGAGAATGGAGTTGGGAAGGACTGTGGCAGATGCCGACCCTTGCCATTAAAAATGGCAACACTAATGCATCTGAAAGGGAGATGGAGACAGCCTTTGCTGAGGACCCAAACGCTC
This sequence comes from Homo sapiens, assembly GCF_000001405.40. Classification (NCBI taxonomy): domain Eukaryota; kingdom Metazoa; phylum Chordata; class Mammalia; order Primates; family Hominidae; genus Homo; species Homo sapiens. The sequence continues at coordinate 132,591,703 of NC_000007.14, read as the reverse complement.
CTAGTCCTGTGCTAAGTCCTTTATATGTGTTATGTTTTTAAGAAAGTGTTTCCAAGCATACAAATAAAATCTGGACCCTTACCAGTAAATTTTTTGAGCATTTCCAACATATACACATGTATGTATTTATAAGATATATATAGTCTATTGTTGTAATGCATTATGTATATTATATGCACAACTGTATATATTTTAAAAGAATGAGAAAAATAAATAGAAATAGAAGCTACAATACTTTTGTACTGCATCCTTGTGGAGTCGTGGGCAGACATTAGGCACTCATAATTCACTCTGGCAATTTGTGCTCTTCACAGCCTGCTTGAGAGATAAGATAGGTGTTGTCACTTCCGTCGTATGGATGAAGAACCATGGTGAAGATTGTTTGAGTGATTTGATGAGGGCTGGGATAGTAACCCGTGTCTTCTGAATCAATTACAGTGCATTCGCTTTTCTTCCCTCTTGTCCCCAACATGGGCCCTGTGTTTCTGTGGCCCACCCTTCCCTCCATCCCCTGTTCCACGGCTCTCCATGTTGATTGCATCTGCAGAGGATGACACCTTGACTCTTGATTAGTCCAAATCAGTGTTAGTGATCCCATGCCTCCTTTCCAGATGCTCTTTTTCCCAGCCTCCCTTGCAGCTTGGAGTGTCCACATGACCCAATTCTGGCCAATCAGACATGCAGGAGCACTCTGAGAAGTTTCACTTGCTGTCAGAAGGGAGCACTGGGGAGGAGATGCAAAGAAAGTAGGAAGAGAGACTGGGTCCTTGATAACTTCACTGAGTCCCTGCACCAAGCCCGGAGCCACCTACCTCCAGACTGCTCTCCTGAGATATTAAATGTCTTACTGCTTGAGCAGCTAGATGAGTGTGATGGTTAATATTGAGTGCCAACTTGACAGGACTAAAGGATACAAAGTATTGTTCCTGGGTTTGTCTGTGAGGGTGTTGCCAAAGAAGATTAACATTTGAGTCAGTTGGACTAGGAGAGGCACAACCCACCCTCAATCTGCGTGGGTACCAGCTAATCAGCTGCCAGCACAGCCAGAATATAAAGCAGGCAGAAGAACGTGGAAAGACCAGACTGGCTTAGTCTTCTGGCCTACATCTTTCTCCTGTGCTGGATGCTTCCTGCCCTCAAACATCAGACTCCAAGCTCTTCAGCTTTTGGACTCAGACCTTTCACCACAGACTGGAGGCTGCACTGTCGGCTTCCCTACTTCAGAGGTTTTGGGACTCAGCCTGGCTTCCTTGCTCCTCAACTTGCAGATGGCCTATTGTGGCACTTCACTTTGTGATCGTGTGAGTCAATACTCCTTAATAAACTCCTCTTTATATATACATCTATCCAATTAGTTCTGTCCCGCTGGAGAACCCTGACTAATACAATAGGCATTTTGTTACTTTCAGACAAAGGCCTTCCTAACTGACTTAGTCTCTATTTCTAATCGGCACCTTCCTTCCTCAGTTCATTTCCTCAGTTACCTTCTGTGCCTGTGCCTTAGTTCACTTTTATGGAACCAGGCTTGGTTCATATAGCATAAGAAGTCAGATGACCCAGAGGTCTTTTCAGAGCTACAATAGATTTTCCTAACTCTTTTCTGTTATCTTTCCCAGTTGAATTGTTATGTGTGTATTTGCATGTTCCATTTCTTTCCCTTGCATAGTTCTACCCACATTGACCCTTTCATGGTTCTTTGGAACCAAGTATTTTCCCTCCTCTGTGTCCCACCTGGAACTGAGTATTTTCTCTCTTCTGCGTCCCACCTCACAGCCTTTGCACTGGCCACTCCTCTGTTTCATCTTCTCTCGTCTGCTGGCTCCTTCTTTTCCTTCCAGTCCCAGTCCAGATGTCACCACCTCAAGGAAGTTGTTCCTAGCAGTGTATCTCCACTCTTCACAACACCATGTTTTAGTTTTCTTCATGTGAATTACCACTGCAAGAAGTTCTATTGCTAGTTCATTTCACTCATTACATCTCACCCCCATCCAGAATGTATGTTGCACAAGAGCTTTGATCTCCACTTTATCTGCAGCACCTAGAGCAGTACTTGGTATAAACTAGGAGCTCACAGTGTATTTTTATAAAAAATGAATAAAAGAAAGAATGAATAGATATGAGGTGTCTACTCACCTGAGTCCTTGGTTTTCTTCCTCAAGGGTATATTTGAGTGTTTATAAATGGGGATACTAAAAGCTAGAATAATCAGAGCTTCCTGTGCAACATGCTAGTTAAATAATATGCTATCATCAACTTTCTATAATTTAAAATCTTAACTTAGAAGAACATATATAAACATTATTTCTTACTGAGTCTTATTTTTGAAACATAACAGCAGAGACAATATTAATAAAAATATATAGTTATAATTTAATATAGTGTTATGATCAGAATCAAGAAGAATTGCATTCTAAATCGACACTCTCTCCCTCACAATCCCACACTACTGGGAGAATACTTATATCTTGGCATTAACAACAGACTACTACAGCTATTTGTTTACCGTTTTGTCCCCTACTCACCTGAAACCCCCTAAGGGTAGTGACTATGGCTGAAACAACTTTGATCTGCAGCATAGTGACATATGGTAGGCATTCCATAAATGTTTTTTTCAATGGATGATTCTAAACATGATATGAGTTACATAAAATATCCTGTTGGCATATTTTGCTCTACAATTACAATGAAGTTTTCTAAAATAAAAAATCTTTATAGTCCCATGAAAATCTGTACTATCTCTTTTGGTTTTTTGAAGATACCTTTATTATTGTCATCATCACTCCTCTCTCTATTTCTTTCTCTCTCCCTTCCCTACCTCTTTCCCCCTTTTCTTCCCTTTCTCCCTCCTTTCTTGTTTCCTTCCTTCCTTCCCTCCTTCCTCTTTCTTTCTTTTTCTTTCTTTCTTTCTTCTTTCTTTTTCTCTCTTTCTCTTTCTTTCTTTTTCTCTCTTTCTCTCTTTCTTTCTTTTTCTTTTTTTCTTTTCCTTTTTTCTTCCTCTCCCCTCCCTCCCTCCCTCCCTCCTCCCTTCCCTTCCCTTCCCTTCCCTTCCCTTCCCTTCCCTTCCCTTCCTTCCTTCCTCAAGGTGTGTTCTCTCTTCCTGTAGTTTTTATGTCTGAATATGCATGAAGAATTAGGGAGGGAAATTATGATCATGCCTGAAAGATATTGATAAAGCCACCAGGGAGGAAAATATGGGTGCTTTAGTTTTATTTTCTGGCGAAGAAAGTGATGCCAGTGTTGATAATACTGATTGCAGTACAGGAGGAAGCATAATTGGGAATGGCAAAGAGACATTTAGACAAAATTTGGAACTCCTGCAGAAGAAGTCAGCACACATTCTTTCACAGACAGGTGCATTGATGACAGAATAATTTCTCCCAAGGGAGAGATAAGAATGCCATTGTTCAGGTCATTTAAGACAAACTAGAGGAGGAAAAAGCAGTAATTATTTTTAGTTTGCAGAATGTCCACAGTGTAGTTAGGCATAGGACAAAAACCTGTCCAGCCTCCAGGTTCACAGTCCATAGGATGAGATGACACTACCTGACACTGAGTTCATCGCCTGAGGCCTCTGTGGGACATTAAGATCCCTGTTCTAGCTTTCAGGACCTTATTAACTGTTGAAGCCTTCAGAGGGTTAAGGGAGTAGGAAGAGAGAAATGGAAAGGGTCCCCCAAGGAAAGGGAGAGACCACCTAGAGAAAAGGGAGACAAAAGGAGTCTGGACATAGAATGAAGAAAGACCAGGAACTCTGGGGAGTGTGGAATGGGAAGAAGATTTGAAAACCAAAGAGAAAAATAAATAAAAATTCAGAGCCCTGGATTATATGAATATCTAGTAGACAAATGGAACATGGAGGATGAATTCATATGGACCAGCACCAAGCAGAAGATGGTGCATCTGATGAATGAGGTGTACAGTGCAGAGTGGGGAGAGGCAGGGTTTAATTGAGTTCTGTACCTGCCTCTTCCCTTCGTCCCACCCTTGGCCTTATGTTTCTGGCTTCATCCTTGACTTCCCTCCTTAGTAATGGTCTTGGGTGGGATATTGGTTCTCTTCCCTAGGAATTACCCCCAAAGCATTCCGGTTCCACCTAATAAATATCTACTGAGTCAATGCAAAGCTTATGGCACCATAGGGCATACAATGATAAATACAGAACAACAAACGTCTCAAACCTCTAGAGACATCAGAGTCATTCAATCCAAACTCTAGTCTTCACTTGAGTGTCCCCTGGTTTCTGCCTGACCACACGAAGTGATGGAGAACTCACTACCACTCAAGACAATTTATTTTTTCTTTAGAGAACTCTATTAGAAAGACATTCCTCACATCAAGCCAAAATATGTCTAAATAAGATAAGTTCCATTCTCTGATCCTACTTTCACATCTTGAAGTTACACAGAAGGAATGCAGCAGCTCTTCTCTTTGACAGCCCTTCAAATATTTGAAGCTGTTATGTTCCCTTGAGCCTTACTTCTCAAAGCTGAACATCACCAGTTACTTTGATTGTTTCCAATTAATTCCCTTCTGGGCTCGGCCACTCTCTCCTGAATGTGCTCAAACTTATCATAAAGTGCTGAAAGTGTGGGGCCTTGAGCTCTACACAATAATGCACGTATAGTCTGCCTATCTCAAAGTTGAGCGGGACTGCTTCCTTTGGGACTCCATTCTCTTTTAATACAGCTTACGATCCCATTGACTTTGGCAGTATTTCACTATTGATTCATATTGAGCTTATTGTCAACTTCAGCTCATACTTTGTTTTTGGTTTGAGACAAGGTCTCACTCTGTCACCCAGGATGGAGTGCTGTGGTGCAATCATGGCTCACTGCAGCCTTGACCTCCTGCCTGGGCTCAAACAATCCTCCCACCTCAGCCTCCTGAGTAGCTAGGACTACAGGCACATGCCACCACACCCAGCTAATTAATTTTTTTTATTTGTTTGTTAGAGATGGAGTCTCACTCTATCACCCAGGTTGGAGTGCAGTGGCACCATCTCGGCTCACTGCAACCTCCGCCTCCCAGGTTCAAGTGATTCTCCTGCCTCAGCCTCTTGAGTAGCTGGGACTACAGGTGCCCACCACGATGCCCGGCTAATTGTTTTGTATTTTTAGTACAGAAGGGGCTTCATCATGTTGCCCAGGCTGGTCTTGAACTCCTGAGCTCAAGAAATCTGCCTGCCTCGGCCTCCCACAGTTCTGGGATCATAGGCGTGAGCCACCATGCCCGGCCTGAGTGCCATATATTTTCAAATGCAGATCTGTTAAGCTCTCTCACCTTTTTTATTCCTTAGAATGATACCTCAAGACAACACCAAAATGCCCGTCAACACCCAAAATGCCCAACATTCAGCAAAAGTTTCTTTTTCTTTAGGATGGAGCAGGATTGCAAATACTTACATTTAATATGTTTCTTTTATTGCAATCATAGACAAATCTGATGACCATGTCTCCTCTATCTTTATCCAAGTCATTAGTAAATGTGTTGAATAGGATTAGTCTGAGAACAGAGCTCTGACATATACCCTAAGAAAACCGTCCTTCATGTTGTCTTTGATGCATTAATGAACATCTTTGGGGTTTAACCATTGAGTCAATTAATTCACCAGCCTACATTGCCTGGTGTTCTACAAGGATTTTATTAAAGAGTCTATTAAATGCCTTGATGCAGTTCAGATATTCTCTCTTACGTTTCCTTGATATAAAAGCCTCACAGCCTTGTTGAGTTAGAGAGCAACACCAGCCTAACCAAGTTTGTTCTTCGTGATTGCTATGGACTAAATGTGTCATCCCACTCTCAATTCGTATGTTGAAGCACTAACCCCCCAAGTTGGGGCCTTTGGGAGGTAATTAGGTTTAGATGAGGTCATGAGGGTAGAGCCCCCACCCATGATGGATCGAGTCCTTATAAAAAAGAGGAAGAGTCACTTGAGATCTCTGTCTGATTGAATGAACCAAGGAAGAGCCATCTGAGGACATAAACAGGAAAGGAGCCATCACCAAGTACCTGACCATGCTGGCACCCTCATCTCAGACTTCCAACCTCCAGAACCATAAGAAATAGATATTTGTTGTTAAAGCCACCCAGAGAGTGGCATTTCATAACAGCAGCCCCAAATGATTAAGACAGTGATTCCAGACTTACTCCTAGTGATCAATCACATCCTTTTCTAAATAATTACCACATCTATCTTTTAGTGATCCAATGGTCACTTTGGGGGCCAGGCTCATTTGTTTGTGTTTTTCAGAACTCACATTATTTTCCCCTTTTGCAAAACTGGAATGCCATTTGCCTGTCTCTGGCTTTTCTTTGTCTCTCCCTACACAGTTCCTGATAACATTAATAACACTATGGAGCTTTCACCTGTTGCTATCTAAATGTTTCCTGGCATCATCCTATTTTTGGCCTGTACCATGTCTGAGTGTTAGTTTCCATGAGTTTACTGACTCCAATGTAGAAGGATATTTCCTTTGACTTGATCTAAAGCTGCTTGCTTTAGCATAGAAAGGAGGTGCTGGAGCATCCCTGGAATATCCCTATAATCAATCTAGTGCCAAACAGAAGTTCTCTGGCCAAGTAGGATACTGGCTGGTCTTTAGGAAATGAGAGATGAAGTCTCATTCTCTGGGACGTTTACCAGATCCACCGAGCTGTCTGCCTAGGCAGACAGGCTGCTGCGTGACCTTCACGGCAGCCCACAAAAGAGGAGCAACAGGGTGCATCTAGTAGGAAACTAGAACAAAGGCAAGCTCGAATATGATACAGATGGGGTGGAGGAGTGGTTGGCTGGATTTGAGAAGAGAGAGTGAGCAGAGGACTGGCGGTGTGACAAAGATGTTTTTAGCAGCAGTTTTTTTTGTTCATTTTCAACTAGCTTTTTGAAAAATGGAGAACGTAGTACTTGCACGTGGTAAAACGTCAAAAAGAAAAAAGAATATACAATAAATTAAGAAAATACATATCGCTCTGTTTCTCACTCAGGTTTCTGCTGTTAAGTTTTTTGTGTATCCTTCCAAAATGTCCTATGTATGTACAAGCCTATTTTGTATATTCAAAATATGCAAAGATATACACGAATACACTGTTCTGCATTTTGCTGTTGTTTTTCAGAGCAGCATACATAGATTTACTTCATTTTGTTTTCATTTTGTTTTACATCTGCACCATGTTCTGTGGTATGGATGTATGGTAATTTTAGTGCAGTGCTTTGAGGAAATGAAAATAGAATTTCTGCCAAACCCAGTGCACTAATCTTAAGTTTGAGGTGGAGGGAGTAAATGACAGGTGTTACCAGATGTACACTTCAAGCTTCCTACACACCCATGGGTCACGTCAGCATCTCTTGGCTCAGTTTACCTAGCAGGAAAGAATAACAATTTGATTTTAGTGTCAAAAACCACGAGTAAAGGCTCCTTACCTACAGGACTTGGAAAGAACAGTTAATAGAAAGAGTCCATATTAATATTTTCTTTTAATTAAAAGGTGGGGTATGGACAGAAAGAAACTCCTACTCTGACCCTGAACTGGGCTGATGCAGTTCATGTATCTGATGGGTTCCCATGCAGAATCATTTGAGAACTGGGCAGGCCTGGGCTGACCTGTCTTATCCAGGCCCATCAATGACCCTGCCAGAAGTGTGCTGGCAGGTGTTTAACAACCAGCTCTCCACAAAATCAAAAGTCCCAATTTGTAGCATGTGCCTATTCCCATAGTGCAAATACATCCACAGTGGCTGATTTCCAGCAGCTGGCCTGGCATCGCTGGTTGCAGAGTTGGGAAGATATGGCACGATTGGCCCTCCCCAACCCTCATGTGCTACCACACACCTCTGTGGACTTCAGGCTTCGAGGGTCCCTGCTCTCTCTGGACTCCACAAGGGACATCTCACATTTGTGAAGGTTACAGTCAGCAGGCGTGCGTTAGGAGAAAGCCCTTTAAAAACAGAGGAAGAATATAGGGCCTGGCCAGGAAAATAGGGCCAGAAGGAGAATGGAGCCAGGCCACAGAGTCCTGGAGGCAGACACTAAAGTGGAGAGAGGTCACCTTGGGCCTAAGCACTGTCCTCAGAATCCCTAAGGCAACTGTCTGCGGCTCTTTCTCTGCTTTGCATAGGCACTCCTGTCCCTTCATTCTTCTTCTTTGCCTCTTTCTTCCCTTCTTCTCTCGTCCTAATCCTTGTATATGCCTTGGCCCTGCTGATAGCTTGCAGGCTCCACTGAGCTCTCTGGAAGCTGCTGAGGGCACAGGAGAGAAGGTGATGCGAGAAGTCCTCAAGGAGAATGGTGTGGAGGGAAAGTGGACGATCAGCTTTCAATCACATCTCGCTTCTAGTCTCTTTTTACTCTACCTGCCATCTATAGGAAGCATCCTTGGGCCTCCCTCCTGCCCTGTGGTGTAGCACGGGTTAGGATCAGATGTAGGGAACACTTTCAGCACCACTGGGCCTGGTGCTTGGTGGGTGCAAGGACTCACCCTGGAGCCCCATTCAACCTCACCTCCAAAAGGCTCTCTGGCAGAGGCAGGTGCCAGACAGCTCGTGAAAGTGAACAGGACTCGGCACAACTTTCTGCCTCTCTCTTGAATGTCTCTGATGGCCAATACTCTGGAACTGAACTGACGATGGCCCATCTTAAGTGAGTGCTGGATTTCAGTATTCTGTTTGTGGATGCTTTCAAGCCTCTTCATTGGGTTTTCTCATTTCTGTGTAACACACTGAGATGTACTAAGAGGTTTAACCCCGGAGCTCTGAAGGGAGTGACTGGCAGGACATCTATTGGTGCCCAGTCCTGCCCAGTATGAGACTATCATGCATCAAGCATGCCCCACTTTGTCCTTCTTATTCTACAGCCAAGTGGGCTCAAATAATAAGCTTAAGAGGTTAATGAGGTCAAGGTCAGAGGAATGATATCTTCCCTGCAAATCACTGTGTTTATTATCTGCTACTGCATAACAAATCTCTGGCATAAAACCATATCTTATCTCTGCTCCATGATGTCTGGGACCTCAGTTGGAAACTTCTGAAGGCTGAAATCATCTGAAGGCTTAACTGGGGCTGGAGGATGGGCTCCTAGGGTGGCTCACTCATGGGGCTGGCAAGCTGGCACTGGTTGTTGGTGGGTAGCTCAGTTTCTCAACACATGGCAGGTCCAAGGGACTAAAGAGACCAAGCTGGGAGCTAAAATGTCTTTTTTTGACCTAGCCTTGGACACTGTCACTTCATGGTCACTTAAGTCAGCTCTGATTCAGCATGGGAGCAGACTGTATGAGGGCATGAATACCTCTGGTTGAGAGTCACTGGGGCCATTTTGGAGGCTGGCAACCACAGTCACTTAGAACAGCTTACACTCAGACCACCTGGCAACCATCTTGTAAATGTGTTACCAGGCAAGAGCATTCAACCCATCAGCACGAATCCATCTTCATCACAAGGAAAACAACTTGAGGCCTTTTCTGTTATGTGCACCCCAGTCAGAGGGGCCAAGTGACTCATTTAAACTACTTAGCCAGTGTACTAGGCAGTGCCAAGAGAGAGGTGCCATGTGGGAGACGTGAATTGTATCCAGTCCTTGTAATGCAGGCATACTACGGGACCTTGTGCCTCCCAGGACTTAACCCCAAGAAGGGTTACACTGAGGTATTTCTCCTTTCTTGTTGTAGCAAGACATGGCTCTGGCCAGATCTGGGACTCTCTTCTTTCTGGCCAATGGAGTTAAGTCACACCCCCTCCCTCCCTCCATCTCCCCTTACCTCACAATATCCTCTAACTTCTGGTTTCTGCGGTTAAAAAGACAAGTTTTGTTTGTTTGTTTGTTTGTTGTTTTTGTTAGTTGAAAGAGAAGGAAGCATTCTGGAGAGGGGGCAGTGGATGAAAGGGTCTGGGGAGGAAGGGGAGTAAGACTTGGACCATGGGAGGCATGGGAGTTATTTTGGTGCCCAGAGGATCAAGATCCACAGTGTGTGTGTGTGTGTGTAGGAGGAGAGGGGTGTCCTCCCCACCTAAACACCAACCCCCCGGTGTGGCTTGGAAAGCCATGGCACGGCAGCAGAGCTTGCCATGTCCAGCAGTGCAGCCGGGTGGAGGTGCCCTTGCAGAGGGCAACCACAGAGCTGGCAATGCAGAGATGTCCTTCCATCAAATGGCTCATGGGCAGTGGATTTCCAAGAGGGTACTTGTGGTGAATGAAATGGTCAGACTTGTTCCTAAGCACACCCACCAGTGGCGGTCTCTGACATAATGGGAGGAGACAGGGAGGGGTTTTTCAGTGGTGGCCAAAGTTTTATCTGAGCAGAAAAGGCTGGGAGTTGAAATTCGGATGTTAATATCTCTGTGCTGATTTGCACCCACATGCTAGGGAAGCCTGGAACAGTTGGGTCTACTGAGAATACCCAGCCACCAAGTTCAACTTACTAGTAGGCCCTGTGGTGACACAAGGATGTTCCTCCCCTCATCTTCCTTGAAAGGCAGTCACTTCTCCTTTCTGTTTTACTGTTCCATGGTCCAGTCTTGAAGACAGAACCCTTGGCTTAGAGGTCCACTTAGTCCCTTAGGAGACAGATGGAAGAATAAGTTAGTTTGAATGGACTGAGAATCTTGAGAGCTGCTGCCCATCCCTCGAAATGGCAGCATTCAAGGAGGATGCAGATTAAAGGCTGCTGGAGTGTGCTGTGGACATGTGGTGACACATGCAGAAAGCAGGGGCCAGAGGGCACCCTGGCCTCACCTGTGTCACTGCGGAAGGCTCCTCTTGCCTCCTCTGCTGAGCTGTGGGATACTGATGATATTCCTGCTGTCCTGCAGGTGGCGCCACAATTTAGGTTTTTAAGCTGCTGACTGCCTGCCTGTGGTTTTTCTATCCAGTGCAAGGTACAAGACCCAGCCATGGGGGCAGCTCTTGGGGGAAAGAAAATGTCTCTCTAGCACCACCAGGCTCTGGTGATTTATTTAACGAGCAAATCTGGCTTTTATCAACTTAAATAGCAGCACTGTTCCTAGGCTAATAAAATGGTGGTAGCTAAGTGAGGGGAAACTTAAGAGTTTCTTCTCCTCTTTCCTATTAAACTGGTCCTTTTATTCAGCTGTGGGAGATGAACCAATACTTTTTCTGTCTAAACCCAGCAATAAACCCCAACCCAAGTCCCACAGACATAGCTTCTTTAGAAAACAGGACTCTCTGAAGCAATGTGCCATTTAGCTTCTCCCTCTTGTGGCCATGGGTCCAGACAATGACATAACCAGTTTCACGACCAGGCAAGAGGTAGAGGGAGTGACTCACAGAGCCATTGTCAGTAGGGGACACCTAGATGGTCCTACTTGTGTCTCCCTTAGCCCTCACCAAGGGAGAGGGGGTAGAGGAGGTGTGAGAGCCAGAAGATCTTGTACCTAATGCAGAAACACATTTTGAACTGTGGTAAGATGCTGCTTTTGCCTGTGTATTTATTCTTGGGGTGGGGACAAGATAGCAGAAGGCCTACCCTCATTGTATCATTCTATTTGAAAAAAATAAAAAGATACATTCATCTGGAAAGCGACTCTAATTCCCTACATGTGTTTTGTACCTACCTTAGAGTTTCAAAGCACATTAATAAGATGGTATGTCCTTTGAATGTCATTGCAACTCTAAGGGGCGAATGTGTCAGGTGAGAGATGAGGTATCATTGAGAGGACGTGACCCGCTCCAAATTGTAAAGCTGGCCAATGACAGAGCCAGGAGTAGGACATGTGTTTTCTAACTTCCAATGTAGAGGCCCTACTCATCCCACCCCATTCCATTCTCCTAACTTAAGGGAGTCAATCCAATGGGTCATCACTGAAAAAAAAAAATCCTCTACTGCAGCTAATTTGACCCTTTCTACTCCTCCTTCCGATAATATGATAACTGCCCCCTTTGGTATGCCTTTTACCGTGTTATTCAGTGGAAGGCAACCGGGGAAAGGCAATTTGAGATATGGCCCCTGGCCCCATTAACAACGGGAGAGCTCGCTGGGCCCCTCACCTGCCCGTGGCTGGTCCAGCTTTTTGCTGTGTGTCTTCCCTGTCATTTGGCTCTGTTATTACTCTTCAGGCACCACATGGCATTCATTTCTTTGAATGAAAATAAATGACACCACACACTAGGCAGGAGATAAAGAATAATAAACACATTTTATTTGCCACCTCTGGAAAAAAAAAAAAAAAAAGGTCTTTGACTTCCCGTCCATCCATCAGGAAATGGGCCTGGAACTCAAGCCATATTCACACACACACGCACACACACACACACACGCACACACACACAAATACAACCGATATGAGGAGGAAAAAGACAATCAGATTGTATTAAAAATACATGCTAGAATGACTGAGAATTGAGACAGAGTTGTTTTCTCACCTTCCCCCCTTCCTTTCAGCATTTTATGACATACCCTGAAAGCTGAGTGGCCAACAGAAGTTTGAAAGGAGTCTCCCCCGCGCCTTTAATTGAACGATATTCCTTAAGTAACCCATTAGGGACTTTCATGGGGCTATCCGGGCTGTCACTTCTGGAAATGGGCCGTGATGGACCCATGCAGCAATTTTAAAAGGGACACCTAGAAGCAGTGTCAGGATCAGGTGATGCAAACCTTACATGGACCTTGGGGTGACAGGGCCTCCTTGGATTTTGTATCCTCAGTGCCCGGCTGGCCTTGTGCTAATCCCAGTCTTGCAGAGAGAGGCATTTGGCCCTGGGCTTCCTCCACCCTGGAAGGATGTTCAAGAGGCAGTAGCATTGAGTGATTTTGTTATGTGTGTCTCTGGACTTCTGAAACTAACCTGATATTGTGTGCTTTATCTAGAGTCTGGGATTCAGGGTTTCTGGGAAGAGTGGAGTCAGATCAATGTATTCATGTAAGCTTAATAAGATAACTCCTTGCTGCTTTCTGGGCCATGCAAGACTCAGCAGAGAACCAGAGACTAAAAGGGCTCCACGCTGTCTCCTGGAATATCCTTTAACCAAAGAATCAAACATGTGGTTTCCTCCTCATTCTGGCTTGGTTCATCTTCTCATTGGTGAGAGCAAAGTTTCAGCAGGGTCCTCTCTGGGTGGGCCAAGCCTGACCTATATGTGCCGCTCACCTTGGGGCTTGTTTAAGCTGTCATCTCACAGCTCCTTTCAAAGGCTCCCCAATTCACACAACTTCGATTTCTGTGAGAATATAACCCCTATAGGGAGGTATAGGCATTTAAGCCATTATCAGTCATGTCCACCTAATAAGGAGGCTCTGAGATGTTTCGATGGGAGGGACAGTAATGGGCGGGAGTTTCTGGGTGTGAGGACAGTGAAAACTAAAGAAGGGACAGGAGAGAGGAGGCCAAGAGCCATGGGCTCCTTTAGAGGGTCGTCCTTGCTGGTTGCCTATCCCAGGGAATGCTTACTGGACTCTGCTGAAGGTGCCACTTCCCTCAGACTATGGTGGGAGCGGGTATGAGGATGAGGGTGGCATGCACAGAGTTGAGTTAACAGGTGTGGGAATCCCTTCGGTTTCTCTTGGTGGGTGGGCCCATTCCTAGGGGGATCTAGGCAGAGGTTTGGGAGGTAGTGCCACCCACTCCCCATCTTCACTGCCTAAACCAGAGCTACATGGTGATTTCTTTCTTTGGGCTTCAGAAACCACCCTGATGTTGGCATGGTCTGTTCTGGATGTAGTCTAGGATCTAGGGTTTCAGAGAAGAGAGGAGCCAGGAGAGCCGCTCAGTATAAACATGAATGGAAAAGTCAGGTTACCAAGCCAGCTCTGGGGCACTGGCCACTCATGTTCTCTCGTGCGGGCCTTGTGCCCTCAGTGTCCTCGGCCTCCTTGGGTGCCATGTGGGGGTGACTTGGTGGGGTGTTGGGAGGGGTTCTGACTAGCAATGGGTGTATGCCTCAGAGTCAGTGTGCGCTTGTGTCAGCTCTGAGCACCTGAGGGTCCCTCCGACGGCCAGCGCCCAGAGCTGCAAATTCCGAGGCGGCTGAGCGCCTCCCTCTGAGCGCGCGCCGTGCGCTCCGGTCACCCATGTATGCCCCTCTCTCCGCCCCACATCGCCACCGCCAGGGTAGCTCCGTGCGGGCCGAGGGGACCCAGGGGGGTGTCGGCAAACGTTGGTGCGGAGGAGAGCCGGCAAGCCGGGCGGCGGCGGGTGGGAGCATGTAGGGAGGCGCCCCCTGCCCCCTCTGCCGGCCGCTCTCCCTCGCTCTAGATGTCAGCCGCGAGCTCCGAGCCAGCGAGAGCGAGCCAGAGAGGGAGCGGCGGCGGGCGGCGGGCGGCAGGGAGGAGAGGAGGCGAGGCGAGGGAGGGAGGAAGGGAAGCAGGGAGGGCGGGAGGGAGGAGAGGAGGACCCAGAGAGCGCCAGGCAGCTGGAGTTTTTGCAGCGCTTGGCCGGGCTTCAATGCACAGCAGCAGCGAGCCGCGGCGGCAGCAGGCAGCCCGGGAGCTCCGGCGGCGGCCGAGCCAGCGGCGGCCCCGCTCCCTGCCCCCTGCAAACTTTGCGAGCAGCCCGCCCGGGGGGCCGGGGGCGCGCCCGGGAGGCCCGGCTCGGCCCGCGGCCGAGCTCTCCGCCGCCGCAGCGCCAGCCGCCGCAGCCACCACCGCCGCAGCCCCGCGCCTCCCCGGGGAGCAGCCGGCGGCTCCCGCGGCCCCCCAGCCCCGGCCCCAGGGCACTGCCCGGCGAGTGTCTCGGCAAGGGTGGGGGCTGCCGCGGCGCGGCCGGCCGCGGGCTGCCGGGGGGCGGCCGCCGCTACCCAGAGAGGCGCGCAGAGGCGCCGAGAGCGCTCCCCGGCGGGTCCCCCGCGCACTCGCCGCGCCCGGGCAGCGGCCCGACCGGGCGAGCATGGGCGGCGCGGAGTGACGCCGCTGTGCCCGCTTGGCATCAAGGACATTCAGCCCGCGGGGGTGGGGACGAAGGGGGGCAGCCCGGCGTCGCCACCGCAGCCCCCGAGAGCCGCCGCCGCTGCTCGGGCTCCGGGGCTGGGTGGAGGAAAGGGGTGTTCGGAATCGATCCCCATTTTCCGACCTTTTTGTTGGACATTACGCCCACCTTGGACGCCGCAAGAGAAGCTGTCAAGCCCCGCAGGCTCTGATTCGGCGCCCTCCGCGTTCCTCGGCTGCTCCCGGCTTCCCTGTGCCTCGGTGGAGTATTTGCGTTCGGGGCTGGGGCTGGAGGAGGCAGCCACACGCGCGCACACGCACACGTTCAGAGGAGGGCGAGAGGCAGCGGCATAGGCTCCATCTGCAGTGTCAATGCGGCGCTCCCGCTGAAGGAGGGAAACGCGGCGCGTCCAGGTAAGGAGCCGGCCCGCCGGGGAGTGGGGCCGGGCGGGCGGCGAGGGCAGCAAGGTCGGACAGACCTGGGCCGACCCGGGAGTCCTCAGTGTCCCGGAGCCAGCCCGCGGCACACGCACACGCACACACGCAGGCACACACACAGATCCACACCGGCACACACGGCGCTCGCGCACCTGCCCACGTCCCACCTGGACGCCCGCGGAGGTGCAGCGGCCGGAGCAGGGATTTCCCGGGTGTGTTCTCCTCTCACGCTCCTGGACTCAGACTTCTCTTTCCCGGGACTTTCGGGGTGGGATTCTGTGTATTCCCGGCTCTGCCTCCCACCCGGGGAGGTTGAGGGAGCAATTTTTCAGCTCCCAGCCCCTTTCGTCCCTAGCTGGGCTTTAAAATGGGAGAAGTCCTGAGAGGTTTCCGGAGACCTACCCAGTGTCATCGCGGCCCCGTGGCCTTTGGACACCCTGGGATTTCAACGGGAGACAGACCCACAGATATTCGGACGCATATTTGGAGAGAGTGGTGGCCCAGCGCCCGGGGAGGAGGCCAGATAGGCGGTTGGGGCTGCAGTTCTGTAGGGCGGCGCATATGAAACAGACACTGCGTTTCCCCAGTAAGAGGCAGCACAAACGCCTTTCTGAAGCGTGGCACTGCTTCCCCGGGAATGCGCCGAGATTTCAGGCAGAAAGCGGCTTAAAGCATCGCCGCGTATGTTGCTTGTCTAGGGAAGGTACGGGGGTCAGATCCTCCTTAAAAGGTAAGACCTTATTCACAGCCTCAGTGCCTGCTTAGCAGCAAGCAGACAGGACTTGGAGACACAGGACTTGGGTCCCCTCTCACCTCCCTACCCTCCCTGGGCACATGGGGCTGCCTTCCCCGGTGCCTCCGGCTGGCGAACACCTGTCACATGCCTTTCGTGGTGTGTGTCTGAGAAAGAGAACTAGAAGGGGGAAGCACGAGGGATATAGTCCTCCAAAAGAGGAGGCTCCCCTCCCTCACGACCGTGGCGGCACTGCCCACCGGAGAAGGCAAGGCATTCGTGGGTCTGCCAGCGTCCCCCAGAGCCCAAGCCTGCTCCGATTGTAGAATCACTCCCCAGACGCCCGTGCTTTAAGGTCCTATTTCCCGAAAGCATTTTCATTCTTGTTCTCTCTGGCTGGAATTTCACAGGCTGCTCATTTTAACTTTTTCTGGAGGAGGTAGGAAGTGGCTGGGGTTCTAAGAGGCTTTTCCATAGTTCCCTTCTTGGGGTCTAAGAGCAACTAATTTAGGGTCTCAGTTGTCATAGGGAGAAGAACATGAGATCCAAATCAAATTCGGAATTGAATATATATGTACAAGCTCCTGTGTTTCTGGTGCTGTCACTTTGAGGTAGCTTTCTAGGCAACATGATCATATCATTTTCCCACAAAACTGAATAAGCTTGTACCCTCTGTCCAAGATCATGTGTTCAGAGTATCCCACAGACCCACCAGTGGAAAAAATATGTTAGGAGCCTTACAGAACATGATGGAAGAGGAGCAAACATTCTTTTGAACAAGGAGGCCTCAGTGCTAGGCTCAGAATTTGGGTTGTTTTTGTAAATCCTGAAGATAGGGGCTGAATGAAAGGGCTTTTTCAGCACCCTGACTCCGCTATTTCCAAACTTTTTTCAGCTCCTGCAAAGGTCTCTGGCTAGGCTGGGGAGAAGCGCAGACACCCCGGGAGGGAGATTGTATTCCCGCTGTGTGCTGTGTGAGCTGCCCTTTGATTGATTGAAAAGCATAGATGGAATAAAGCAAATCTCTCACAATGGAGAGACCCCAGTAGGGGGAAGAAACCTTATTTGCTTTTTAAGAATGGTGGGCGTGTGCACACACACACCCAATATATATACACACATGCGTTCTCAGAGTCTGGCTAAATGTGGTCAGCTCCCCGCCCCCGCCATGTGTGACAATGGGGTCCACCTCTGTCTTCCGGGCTGTGGAAGAAATGGAACATTTCTCCCCACATGCCCCTTGAGGGCGTGGACAGGCAGATCCCACCTACGCGTACAGCAGCACATGGTTTGCAAAAGAAATAATGAGCTCCAGCAACAGTGGGTGCCTCCCAGGTAAACAGTCCCTCATGGGACCTGGAAGAGGCAAAGGGATAGGGTACAGGATCTTCCTGAAATGTCTGTGTCTTCCCTGTAGACCTCCACTCCTTTCTCTGCTTTCCTCCCTACCCTCTTTCCTTTCTCATGTATTCGCAGCCTCAGGATCCATCATTTTAATGCAAAGCTAGTATCATTATGCTGGTTATAAGCTAAACATCTGGGTTCAGAAAATCTCTGCACTTTCTGCACTTAGCATTAGGTACCAATTTGGTTTCTAGGACAAGGCAGGCATTAATTAACATCTCTGTAAAGCGGAGTATACATTACGTTTTCCTGGCTCTCTTGCCCAGCCCTGGAGCATGCCACGCTGTCATTCACCCTCTCTGCCACTCTTCTGTGCCCTTCCTTTTAAGTTCTCTGAGGTCTTTCTCACTGGGAAGGGAGTCACACTAGAAAAACCCCAGCCATGAATGCTTCTTTTCAGCAGACCCTCGCTGCCTGGTAGACGGTGCTTAAGGCAGCTCTCCTGTGAGCACTAGGCATGGGTCACCTACAAGCTGCTCCTTCTTACCCAATCACGCCTCCCCGGGCTCTCATCTGTCCTCCCAGGACTTCCTCCTGGATGCCCACTGGGACACTGCAGACATTTCTGGAGGACTCCAAGGCAGTCAACTTGTTTCCTTTCTCCTTCTCTGTGCCTTCCTGTCGCCTGCTGCTGCTACTCCCTGCAGACAGGGAAATCTGCACGGCAGAGTCTGCCTACATACACTTGGCCTCGGGATCCTTTTCATCACAATGAGGGCTGCTGGGAATGAAGTGGGGGCTTTCTAGGATGGCAGCAGTCCCGAAGTGGGAGAGAGCTAAAGGGGCTGGGTCATTAACCACTCTTGATTCATAGTTATCATCAGGCTTTGATGCAGAGAAATCGCTGTGGATCTCTCTCCTCCTAGCCAGCTAGGGGGCATTTCTTAGCTGCTTCTCCCCATCCTCACCTAGAGAAGGCATACGCAGACAATGCACATCAGAGACCTGTTGGAGCGGCTCTGTGGTGGGTTACAAGGGGGCGGCAGCAATACAGAAAACACGACCATGATCTTGGCTCTCATTAGACTATGCAACAGATGTGCCAGCGTCTCCTCTCTTCTTATTTGTGTCCAGTGCTACCCAATGTGAAACTGGCTCAGACCCTGGGCTATTGAGTAGGTTCATTTCCCTCCCTTGACACCTCCCTTCCTTTTCCTCCAACCCCCACTTCTCTGCCCCCACCACTTGCTAATCTACCTCTTGGCTTTGTGCGCACATCCGCCAGCCCATTCGCCCTCAAATTTGCGGCACTCCAAGAAATCAATATAACATGAATTTAACGACAGCTGGATGATTAAGTGTTATTTATATTTAAAAGCGGCATTTTAAAAAGACGTCTCACTAATAAATGGCTGTTTGGGAGATGCACATGATTAGGGTAATTGGCCTATAGGCTCTATCGAGCTATGCTTGGTCCACACAGGGCCCTGTGGACAGGACACTGTCTCTTTAAAAGCTGCAAGCTCCACTGCTCCCTCCCCAGACTCCCACCTGATCCCCTCTAGCTGCACAGACTTTTTCTTTCTTCTTTCATGTTGTCCTCACTGCCCAGGCTGTACCATTCAAGTTGCGGTAGGAAGGTGGAGCCCACAGGGAGACTGAAGGGGGCTCTGCTGCTGAGTGGTAAGAGATGGATTTTAAAACGAAAGGCAGGCAGGGGTCCTGATTCCCCTGGAACAAGAGCCCAGGCCTTGTTCCTGAAGGAGGAGGCTGCTTCCCTGCATGGCATGGAGCAGCCTGGAAGAAGAGTTTCCTGAGTCCCTATGTGAGTCTGTGTATGCCCCCACACACTTGTCCGGTCCTGTGGCATCAGCCTCCCAAAGGAAGAGGCTGTGAGGATGTTAGTACTGGCTTCAGTTCTTGTAAAAACAATGGAATGGAAGATGATAATTAATGATGATGGTGGCCAATATTTATTGAGCACTCATTTGGTTTAGATACCATTTAAGTAGTTTGCCTCATAACAACCCAGATAGGCTATTACGGTCCCTATTTCCTCCAGGAGGAAACTGAGATGCAGGAGGTTAAAGACTTTGTCCCAGATCACACAGCCACTTAGTGATGGAGCCAAGTCTCACTTGTGAGCAATCTGACCTTTCTCCTCATCACTGTGCTGGTTTCCTCCTTAGAATATATGTGCTCACTGTACTGCTGCCCCCTTGGGAGGTTTATGGGTGAGTGCTTGGGAGGAAGTTTAGAATATCTGGTCCCTAGTCTCTTGCACTACCTCTGTGATGCCAGGCAAATGTATTTATTCACTGAGCCTCGATTTCCCCATTCATCAAGGGGGATGAGTCTTCTCCTTGGCTGTTGGTAGGTTATAAAATTGCATGGATCATTCTAGCAGAATGCTCAGGTCCTGAGGGTGACTGTCACCTCATTTGGCAATTCCCATTTTCTCCCAGGAAAAAATGAGTAAATGAATGAATGAGTGAAGTTCCCATCTTTACTTTAGACTCTATGAGGCTCCAATTCTGATAGGAGTCTAATTCTCCCTGGTGACTGCTTCAAATTGCTAGTATTGTGGAAACAACACTTCCTCATTTCATCTTTAAAATAGCTGTGCAAGGTAGGTATTGTTTATTCCCATTTTGATAGCATAGAAGCTAAGGCTGAGAAGAGAGTTTAGGTGAGATGTCCAAGGCGCCAGGTTGCTAAGGGATGGATGGTTTTTTCACTCTTGGGCAAAGATTCTTACCATTACACCACTCACGGTAGGTACTTGACACTTGTTCATTCATTCATTTATTACTCCTAGAGTTTCTGACTTCAGGATCCAGAAGCAGGGAAGAAATCAGTGCCTAGGGACATCATGCGGTGCTGGGTGCCTGGATCCTATGGTGGTTGCAGCAGAGACTCATCGCATGTTGGTGCCAACGGACCATGTCAGGGGATAGCCATCCTGTAGCACTTAGAGGAATTTTGATAGGTCCCCATTTGCATGAAGAAAATAATTCAGACCTGAGATGGTGCAGGCTAAGGCAAGGCATTAGGAATTACATCCTGATGCAAAAAGGTGTGGGTGTGAATCCCTGAAGGAGCCCATGGGCCTGGTTGGGTTCTGTCCCACTCCAAAGCCAGGGCTAACCTCAGTCCCTCTGGTCTGAACATTTTAGGAAAAAGCCACAAGTGAGGCACTTTGGTTACTTGCCTTTTTTTTTTTCTTTTTCTCCAAAAGACAAACTTTTATTCCATGCATTATTTCTTTGACTTCTCTACACTGTGAGGTGAGTAAAAGTTCTGTCCAACTTGAGGTGGCTAGAAGGGGTGCACGTGGAATTTCATCACCTCCCCTCTGAGGCAGCAGTAGGAATGAGTGGATAAAACATTGGGAGGTAAAGTCCTGTGCAAACTGAAACCAACAGGTGTTGGAGAGATCTCAGGCATCCTCTCTTTTCCTTCTAAGCTTGGATCTTCCCCTCCCCCTCTATGGTGTTTCCTCCATGAACCAGGATTCGCAACAGCAAATTGGATTTTGGGATGTTTTGTCACTCCAACACAAAACAGATCACTAGCTAAGAGGATAGTCTCCGCAGTCAATGCGCTGAACACAGCCTCGCTGAATCAATTCCCGAGGTCTTACAGGGTAGAGTATTTTCATTATGAAGTATGAGGAGAGAAGCAGTGGAGGAAGAGGTCGCTGGAAATTTAGGACAGGAAAACCATGGCAGTTGAAAGGCTTTCCTGGTCTTCGCTCAAGATCAGTTCCTTATCTGACATACTCACTGAACTCTTCTCGAATGAGCACAGCTGGATTTCCCTTTTGGTAGTGTGGAGGCTCAAACTAGAAGGTGAACCAATCATTCCTTGGCTTTGACCCAGAGGCCAAGAGGAAAGAAGTAAGCAAGGCATAGCTGGTGGATTGCTTCCGTTCTTGTGGCGGGGTTAGAGAGTGAGAGAGGAGACAGTAGCAGACGTCAGGATGTGCAACTGAAGCAGCCTGCCTGGAATGTCAGCTAATGTTGCTAGAGTCAGTTGGAGTTCGTTTTCTTCCTCTCCATCTCAGGCCTGCTTTCCTGAAAGTAATACTTAAAATAGACTAGAGTTTCCCAAAGTATATTCTGCGGGGGAGTCAATAGGCATTACATGCAAAAAAGTTTCCGCAGTCAAGTAAGTTTGCAAAACCCTGGGTGTAAAGCAAAGCTAAAGATACTCCTTGCTGCAGGACTTCTCAGAGCCTTTAATACACTCACATGGATTGTGAAATCACAAAAGTATATAAACTGTGTAGTGGACCTGGAATCCACTGAGAAACACTGGACTAAGACAAGCACTTTGCTATGACTACTGTCAAATGTGAATAAAGGGGTGGCTTCTACAGTGAAAATTTCCACTGAACCTTTGCATTACGTAAACCAAGTACTGGATTCTGGTGATTGTGTGAGCAATAGATTCTCAAGCAGAATTGTGCCAGATAGGTACAGAGTCCACCTCTGGCCTCAGCATTTGCTCAGCCTTCTTCAGAGCCTATCCTGTCCCTTGTCTTTCCAAGGAAAGAGACAGCTACTTAGGCACGTGTCCATTTTCTTAGGTTCCTAGATGATTCCAATATGTCCCCTTGCTTAAAAACCACTGTTGTGGAAAAAGCTAGGCTTTGGATACAAATAGATGTAGATAACTCTAACTAAAGCATTTTGGGAAAAATCATTTTATGTTTCAGTTTATTGTTTATAAAATGAGGAGGTTAGTCTAGATCGGTGATTAAACATATTTTAACATGTATACAGTGAAAATCTTTGCTCCAGTGAAATTTTATATGGAATTCCAGTGCACAGAACAGATGCAAGCAGGACTATTCTTGTCAAAACTATGGAGGGCCTGGGCCTTGTGCCCCTGCCTGTCTGTCCTTCACTCCAGTCACAGCCTGGGTTCCCTAGAAAGTAGAGCTCAAGGAAGAAGCTATGTGTTATGACTTTATTGAGGGGTGAGATCCCGGGGAAGCAAAAATGAAGCAAAGGAGGAGAGGTAGGGAAGGAAGGAGAACAAATAGTGTATTACCAAGCTGGCCCTGCCTTCCCAGTGAAAAGCAGCTGGTGGCTCAGTCACTCAGGAGGTATCCAGGGAAGCCTGGTGTGAACAGTATGTCTCAGAATAGTCTGTGGTGGTGAGGCACAGCCAGCAGTTAATCCACAGGTCCTTCTGGTCTGCTGTAGCTCACTGGTCACAAGTCACCCCACGAGGCATGAGTCAACTCCCCTCACTTTGGGGTTGGGAATACCAGGTCAAGCTAGAGCCTCTGTGGGTCAGGCCCTGGGGCTGGGGCTTCCTTGGCTCTCCCTGCAGAAGGTATGTCAGGGTTACCCCTGCAGGAGCCCAGCCTTTGACTCTGAAGGAAGAAAAGACAGCAAGAACTTTAGGGCCAGAGGAACAGCAGAAAGCGTCACTGGGGGCCTCTTGTCCATTAGATACTGACTCTGTTTTCCTCCCTAAATACATATGCTTGCCCCTAACCACTGATTGATGTGAGCAACTCACTGACTTAGAGACGTGGGTCTGCGGTAGGGCATCTGCCTGAGAGTTGCGGCTCCTAGAGGGTAGGGTCAGCCTCTGCTTCCAGCAGTGTCTTGTTTAATCAAGAGCTCAATTCCTGCTTTTTAATAATGGTGAAGAAGCTGCTCCTGGCAGTGGCAATGATAACAAGGATTCAACAGGAAAATGGCTGCAGTTCAGAATTGGGGTGGGGTGGCGTGATGTCAGGTGGGACTCAGCAGATTTGGGCAGATACATAAATTGGGAGTCTGGGATAATGGTTTCCATGCAAAGAACATAAAGTTCTTCAGAACAGAGTCAGATGGCAAGACAGGGCAGGGTACTCCAATTAGGAGCCCCAGAATTCACGAGTCTGTGTCAACACTAGTCGACTACACTATTATCCCATTTAAACCCCAAATAGAAACCACATTAAGAATGGGTGCCAATCCGATTTCTGAAGACTTTTCTAATGTTTTGGGGCTTACTAAGCAACAGCCAGCCTTCCGCATAGTGGTGTGTGACTATTTCAGGGATGGCACGGCTGCTGGGAAGCAGGGGGAGGTCGTAATGACCTCTGCCACCCTCCCAGTTTTAAGAAATAATGAAAGCACTGAAATATAATGCAACAGGGGACATTTCTGCATAAAATATTTCCTGTAAGTCATTGCTTCTAGCTAGTCCTGCCCCTCATCAACGTTTTTTACTACTCTTGTGCTTTGAAGGCCCTTTAGGGTCAGGCTGGGGAGAGGACTAATGGTCATGCTGTGCTTGTGACCTCTTTCCCTGCTCTCTTGTCCATTAGATACTGACCCTATCTTCCTCCCTAAATGCACTTGCCCCTAACCACTGATTGATGTGAGCAAATCACTGACCTAGAGACGTGGGCCTGCATTAGGGTTTCTGCCTGAGAGTTGCAGCTCCCAGAAGGTAGGGTCAGCCCCTGCTTCAAGCAGTTTTTTGTTTCATCAGTAACTCAATTCATGCTTTTTAATAATGGTGAAGAAGCTGCTACTGGCAGTGGCAATGAAAACAGTGGGAATCATGTATTTCTTTATGTTTTAGGTTGAGAGGGATCATTTCTTACTTCTTGTATACTCATTGCCCAACCCAGAGCCTATCTTACTGGAAGCAATTGATAAATATTTGCTGTAAAAATAGAAGGAATAAATGGAGTAGGATAAGGTGGAGAAGAATGACCTTAAAAATATCAAGGCTAGGGTGAACCAGACTAATATGGTGGGTTCTTACTCTGCAGCAGGGACAGAGTAGGGATCACATCAAGTCAGACTGACTGGCTATTCCAGAGGATTCAGATGAATCCAGATGGGTACAGGCTGAGCCCCTCAGTTACCCTCCAGCATCCTGGGTCATAGTGGTTGGGGACAGGTAGGTGCAGTGGTCTTGCACATGGATGCACATGGAATTAAATTATTTCTCTCTGTGTAAAACTCACTATGGGTTTTGGCACTGATAGATTGCGGCGGGGGGTGGGGGGGAGACCAAGCTGAATTTAGCAGAACATTCCAAAGACTAGTCTATAAAATCCTCCATGGAAAGAGCATTCTGTGACCAAGTAAGTTTTGCAAGCATCCTCTCTTTTGTCCTCTTCAGGAGATGCATAAGGGCGAATTAAAGGTGAAGAAGACCTGTTGTTGGGAAACCTATTTATTCTTTGCCCACTGCTTTTCAGGTTATTGGGCCATGGGGATCCGTTTGTGTGGGAGTATTTAAGCCTATTGATGTCTCCTGGAAAGACGGTTCCATAGAAAGGCATTTTGGGAGATGGTGACCTTCAACTGGAAGCTTTCAAGTTTTGGTTTACTTCAGAGGTGAAAAAACCAGAAGAATGAATTCACTGTACTGATAAAATAGGGACTTGTAGGGACTTGTGACCCCAACTTTCAGAGGCACCGCCTGCCTCTTGTCCTTGTCATTTGCTTTTGAGACTCCCAGAAATGACTGCGAATTCTCACAAAACTTTAGCGACAGTGGCCTTGTGATCTGCCTTCAGGTGTATATTTCATAAAGAAACAAATTCAAAAAGTGTGAATGCCACTCTGACAGGTTTGTGGACATGTTTCCCACAAGTGGCACTTTTTGGTTGCACATAACAGATCAAGATGGATGTTTGCAAAATATGTGAGTAATGACATTCACCTTCTCAATTTTTTTTTCTCCAACTGCTTGAATAAGAGGCTTCAATATAACTGACAAAGATAAATGTTCTTTATCAAATTAACAAAGGAAGCTTGAGTTATTAAGACACATCTCCCTAAACTTTGGACGGTTGAAACAAATTTTCTCTTGGGAAGAGAAAACTTTGCCATCCAAGAAAAGGCTGAGGATTTCTAATTAGACTGTAAATCCATGGTTTCCACCACTGGGTAGTGACCTGGAGAGTGAAGTTAGGCATTTCCCATGGAAAGCGTTTTCACTGCCTGGCATTCATCTCACATAGGTAATGATTGTATGTGTGTGTGTGTGAGAGAGAGAGGGAGAGTGTGGGAGTGTGTATGTGGGTTGGGGTAAAAGGGGGTACCCTCTCAGTGGTATTTGGGTTTGAATCACTTGGGGATACTGGTAATTCACGTGCCCAATTATAGAGCCCCCCCATGCTTGGTGCAGGCACGGTGCTCCTTTCCAGAGTGAATAACAGTTGCTAACACACACTAACAAAATTCCCCTGACGCCCATTCATAAAGCATTGCACTGGTGATTCTATCAGCATTAAACTGTTTGGTGACTGAGCTTAGAATTATAGGAATCAGAGAAATGAATTAGCAGTAAATCAAGTCCCAGCTGAGTTCGAACCCAACTGCAGTGAGTTTTAAATTAAAAATATCTTGCTATGATGAAGCAGTTGTAAGTCAAGCACTGGAGCTCTGTCGCTCTTGACTTTGGAGAAGTGTGGCAGCCACCCTTTGAAAGGAAAACCCTGACAACAGCTTGTATTGATTCCCAGCCATGCTGGGAAATTGCCACTTCATTTCTTCTTCATAAACCATTGGCTTTCATTTTTTTTTCTTTTTTCAAAAAAAGGAATCCTATTTGCAAGGATATAGCAGAGCTTTGGGAGGAAGACAGGTGGGAGAGGGCTCAGGCCCACGGGGGACTATTCATGGCATTCTCTTTGGTCCTCAGAAAGAATCATGCGGAAGGGGAATCTGGGTCTGCGGATGTCATGTGCTTTGTTTCCCTGCTTGGACCATATTTGATTCTTCTTTCTGGAGGATCTTTACAAAAAACAACAAAGAGAACACTTCAAGGAAGCTGCAAGACTGTCGTGTTGCAGTGACAATTGCGGTGTAATAGGAAATCATTTATGTAAGTTATGGTGCCCTCTGAATGGAGCTTGTCAGAAATGTGGCTGTGGTTTTTCCAGGCCTATTTTTGTTTCCTCCTGCAAAATAATCCTGAGGTTTTCATTTTCAGAGCAATTGAAGAGGTATTATATACTGGCCAGGGAATACAGAGACCGAGCTTCTAATCCTAGGTATACTGAATGTCTTTCAGCAAGTCCCCTCTCTGGGCTAGGCCTCAGTTTCTCCTCTTTAAAGCCAGGAATAAGCCCTTGCTGTTTCGCGTCTGCAGCCCAGGAGGTGAGGATGAATGTGGCCTTGCATATTAAAGGGTTGGGTGAGCATCAGAAGAAAGAGTCTATTTACACACAAGGTGAAAGAAAATCAAGACAAAGAGAATGAAAACTGAGCTTAGGCCTCACATCACACCTTGCCGGCTCCCGTGTGTTTGCTGATCTGGTGAGGAGGTGTAAGGGATAAAAACCACATGCAGAGGGTCGGAAAGGAGAATGCAGCAGGGATGGCAGGTCGGAAAGGAGAATGCAGCAGGGATGGCAGGTCGGAAAGGAGAATGCAGCAGGGATGGCAGGAGACAGTGGCAGGGGATGGTCAGTGCAGGAGTCCAGAGGCCTGGGTCCCCGGGGGGATCTCCATCCTGGTAGTAGTAGGTTCAATTGGGGACTGCAGAAAAAGAAAAGGATTCGTAAGATTCCTCGATGCCTACATTTCACCAAGCGCCATGCACATATATTTGCATATTTTAGTAAGAGAGGTTGATATGATGTTATGAAATATTTAATCAATTGATCAAGCAATCAGTCAATTCAAGCAATATTTATTGAGTGCCTACTGTGTGCTAGGCACTATGTGAGAATTTGTGTGGAGATGAAAGACCTACTTCTGTCAGCAGGGAGTTCACAGCTTAGTGTGGCCACAACATACGTGGGAATAGAGAATTTACATGCAATGTGTCAGAGAGTGAGACTGGGGCATGAAGAGGGTGCTCTGGGAATAGGAAGACGGGCACCCATCCAGTTATGAAAAGCAGGACATGAAGAAGGGCTCCTGGAGAAGGAGGGGGAGGAGCAAGAAGAGGGGGAGGAGGAGGAGGAGGAGAAGGAGGAGGAGGAGAAAGAGGAGAAGGAGGAGGAGCAGCAGAAGGAGAAGGAGGAGGAAAAGGAGAGGAGGAGGAGCAGCAGAAGGAGGAGGAGGAGGAAAAGGAGAGGAGGAGGAGAAGCAGAAGGAGGAGGAGGAAGAGGAGGAGGAGGAGAAAGGAGAAGGAGGAGGAGAAGAGGAGGGAGAGGAGGGGCAGGAGGAAGAGGAGAAGGAGGAGGAGAAGGAGGAGGAGGAGAAGGAGGAGGAGAAAGAAGAGGAGGAGGAGAAGGAGGAGGAGGAGGAGGAAGAGAAGGAGGAGGAGGAGAAGGAGGAGGAGAAAGAGGGGGAGGAAAAGGAGGAGAAGGAGGAGGAGAAGGAGGAGGAGAAGGAGGAGGAGAAGGAGGAGGAGGAGAAGGAGGAGGAGGAGAAAGAATGGGGAGGAAAAGGAGGAGGAGGAGGACGAGGAAAAGGAGGAGAAGGAGGAGGAGAAGGAGGAGGAGGAGCAGCAGAAGGAGGAGGAGGAAGAGGAGAGGAGGAGGAGGAGCAGCAGAAGGAGGAGGAGGAGAAGGAGGAGGAGAAGGAGGAGGAGAAGGAGGAGGAGAAGGAGGAGGAAGAGGAGGAGGAAGAGGAAAAGGAGGAGAAGGAGGAGGGAGAGGAGGAGGAAGAGGAAGAGGAGGAGGAGAAGGAGGAGGAGGAGAAGGAGGAGGAGGAGGAGAAAGAGGAGGAGAAGGAGGAGGAAGAGGAGAAGGAGGAGGAGAAGGAGGAAGAGAAGGAGGAGGAAGAGAAGGAGGAGGAGAAAGGATGAGGAGAAGGAGGAGGAGGATGAAGAGGAGAAGGAGTAGGAGAAGGAGGAGGAGGAGAAAGAGGAGGAGGAGCAGCAGGAGGAGGAGGAGGAGGAGAAGGAGGAGGAGGAGCAGCAGAAGGAGGAGGAGGAGAAGGAGGAGGAGGAGGAAGAGGAGGAGGAAGGAGAAGGAGGAGGAGGGAGAGGAGGAGGAGGAGAAAGAGGAGGAGGAGGAGAAGGAGGAGGAGGAGGAGAAGGAGGAGAAAGAGGAGGAGAAGGAGGAGGAGGAGAAGGAGGAAGAGAAGGAGGAGGAAGAGAAAGGAGGAGGAGAAGGAGGAGGAGGATGAAGAGGAGAAGGAGTAGGAGAAGGAGGAGGAGGAGAAAGAGGAGGAGAAGGAGGAGGAGGAGGAGGAAGAGGAGGAGGAGGAAGGAGAAGGAGGAGGAGAAGGAGGAGGAGGAGAAGGAGGAAGAGGAGAAGGAGGAGGAGGAGAAGGAGGAGGAGGGAGAGGAGGAGGAGGAAGAAGAGGAGGAGGAGAAGGAGGAGGAGGAGGAGAAGGAGGCAGAGAAAGAAGAGAAGGAGGAGGAGAAAGAGGAAGAGAAAGAGGAGGAGAAGGAGGAGGAGGAGGAGAAGGAGGAGGAGGGAGAGGAGGAGGAGGGAGAGGAGGAGGAGGGAGAGGAGGAGGGAGAGGAGGAGGAGGAAGAGGAGGAGGAGGGGGAGAAGGAGGCAGAGAAAGAAGAGGAGGAGGAGAAGGAGGAGGAGGAGAAAGGAAGAGAAGGAGGAGGAGAAGGAGGAGGAGAAGGAGGAGGAGAAGGAGGAGGTGGAGAAAGAAGAGGGGGAGGAAAAGGAGAAGGAGGAGGAGGAGAAGGAGGAGGAGAAGGAGGAGGACGAGGAAAAGGAGGAGGAGGTGAAGGAGGAGGAGGAAAAGGAGGAGAGGAGGAGGAGGAGGAAGAGAAGGAGGAGGAGGAGGAGAAAGAGGAGGAGAAGGAGGAGGAAGAGGAGGAGAAGGAGGAGGAGGAGGAGAAAGAGGAAGACAAGGAGGAGGAGAAAGGAGGAAGAGAAGGAGGAGGAGGAGAAAGAGGAGAAGGAGGAGGAAGAGGAGGAGAAGGAGGAGGAGGAGAAAGAGGAAGAGAAGGAGGAGGAGAAAGGAGGAGGAGGAGAAGGAGGAGGAGGATGAAGAGGAAAAGGAGTAGGAGAAGGAGGAGAAGGAGGAGGAGCAGCAGAAGGAGGAGGAGAAGGAGGAGGAGGCAGAGGAGGAGGAGGAAGGAGAAGAAGGAGGAGGAGAGAGAGGAGGAGGAAGAGGAGGAAGAGGAGAAGGAGGAGAAGGAGGAGGAGGAGAAGGAGGCAGAGAAAGAAGAGGAGGAGGAGGAGAAGGAGGAGTAGGAGAAAGAGGAAGAGAAGGAGGAGGAGAAGGAGGAGGAGGAGAAGGAGGAGGAGGAGAAAGAGGAGGAGGAGAAGGAGAGAAGGAGGAGGAGAAGGAGAGAAGGAGGAGGAGAAGGAGAGAAGGAGGAGGAGGAGAAAGGAGGAGGGAGAGGAGGAGGAAGAGGAGGAGAAGGAGGAGGGAGAGGAGGAGGAAGAGGAGGAGAAGGAGGAGGAGGAGGAGTAGGAGGAGGAGGCAGAGAAAGAAGAGGAGGATAAGGAGGAGGATAAGGAGGAGGAGGAGAAAGAGGAGGGTAAGGAGGAGGAGGATGAGGAGGAGGATAAGGAGGAGAAGGAGAAGGAGAAGGCAGAGGAGAAGGAGGAGGAGAAAGAGGAGGATAAGGAGGAGGAGGAGAAGGAGGCGGAGGAGAAGAAGGAGGAGAAAGAGGAGGATAAGGAGGAGGAGGTTAAGGACGAGGGGGAGAAGGAGGAGAAGGAGGAGGAGGAGAAGAAGGAGGAGGAGGAGGAAGAGGAGGAGAAGGAGGAGGAGGAAGAGTAGGAGGAGGTGAAGGAGGAGGAGAAGGAGGAGGATGAGGAAAAGGAGGAAGAGGAGGAGAAGGAGGAGGAGGAAGAGGAGGAGGAGGAAGAGAAGGAGGAGGAAGAGAAGGAGGAAGAGGAGGAGGGGAAAGGAGGAGGAGAAGGAGGAGGAGAAGGAGGAGGAGAAGGAGGAGGAGGAGAAGGAGGAGGAGGAGGTGGGGGAGGAGAAAGGAGGAGGAGAAGAAGGAGGAGGAGGACAAGAAGGAGGAGGACAAGAAGGAGGGGGAGGAAGAGGAGGAGGAGGAAGAGGAGGAGGAGGAAGAGGAGGAGGAGGAAGAGGAGGAGGAGGACAAGAAGGAGGGAGAGGAAGAGGAGGAGGAGGAAGAGGAGGAAGAGGAGGAGAAGAAGGAGAAAGAGGAGGAGAAGGAGGAGGAGGAGGAAGAGGGGCATCCAGTTGAGTTTTAGAGGATGTTTTGAAGGATCCCTCAGATTGGCTTTGTGAACTCATAAGCAGAGGTCCCACGTGGAGGAAGCAGCACAGAGAGGTGAGAGCACAGCCCTTGGGGTCTGCAGGAGTTCAAGGCAGAGGTGGGAAGTGGGGCAAGGGGCAACACGGCAGAGGCTGCACCAGGACCAGTGTCAGTATCCAGCTAAGGGATTTATCCATCAGGCAGCAGTCAGGCCTTGGCGATCTCCAAGGAAGAGAATCAACAAGACCAGATTTGTACTGTAGCAAGGTTCAGCGGGGGCCACGTGGAGAACAACTGGAAGCAGGCTATTGCAGTAAATCAAAGCATCCTGAGCCGGGGCTGATCAAAGGGGGTGGCAAAGGAGAGAAAGGGGCTGATCTGAGAAGTGCATCGTAGGAATTAGCGCTGACAGATGATGGTGGATATGGCGGTGAAGGTGGTGGGCAGCAAGGAACGGGCAGTGGGGTTGTCCTGCAGGTGTCTTGCCTGGGCAGCTGGTGGGAGATGATGCCATTAGTGGAGCTGGAGAAATCTGGACTGAGGCAGGCTGTCGGGGGAGTGGTGGGGCAGGAGTGCTGCATTCTTTTCTGAACAAGGTGAATTGGGGCATATGTGGATTTGCAGGCGGAAGTGACCAGGAGGCCGGCGGATACAAGGCTCTTGTGTCCCCGGCAGCTTCAACTTCATGCTTACCTAGTGCTGTTTACTTCTGGACCCAGTTGCAGACTTAGGAGTTCCTTTTGGGATCTGGCAGAAACTTGACAAAGAAGCAAGAAGATCCACCTAGAGATTCTTGCATTTTTCAAGTGGTTCATGTTTCGGCGTAAACATACTGTCTTGGACAATGTACTTGAAATTGTTCTGAAAGCATCCCAGGTATTCACCTTCCCTTAGGAGAGTCCCACTACTTTCCAGTGGAAAAAGAACAATCCCGGGAGGTTGAGTAGCACCCAGAGTGCTATAGAGCAAGCTTGGAACAGAGCGCACCTGGGCCTCTGTTCTGCTTGTTCCCTTCCTCGGTGCGTGCCTCCAACTTCAATGAGCGCATGCTCAAAACAGTGTGGTCTAGGGAAATGAACTCCACCATGAGCTAAGAGATTGGTGATTAAAATATTGACCTTGCCCATTAGGAATAATGTCCTGTTGGTCTAATCCCACATTCTGGGAGGTAGGACAAAGTCTGCACAATCAAAGCCTGCAGGTAGGACCTGGCGACTAGATAGGGTTGGCTTGGTCCAGGCGTGTCAAGTGCCAAGGAAAAATTTTTATCATGGGAATGCCTTTAGGTGGGGCAGCCCCTCTCCAGGTTCTACCCC
Source organism: Homo sapiens (assembly GCF_000001405.40). Taxonomy (NCBI): domain Eukaryota; kingdom Metazoa; phylum Chordata; class Mammalia; order Primates; family Hominidae; genus Homo; species Homo sapiens. The sequence goes on along the minus strand of NC_000007.14, from coordinate 132,559,933 downwards.
CTGTTTCTCATATCTTTGCTTCACACATCTATGATGAAGGTATTTTTAAAATAGCAGACACAGTCTAGGGCTTAGTAAAACCCAAGCAGTATCTGTTCTCTCTCTTTCCAATACATGGGGAAAAAATGAATGGGTTAGCATATTAGTGACAGATGCTTTGCATTCTGCAGGAGAGCTTTATAATTTAGTGGTCTTCATTTGTTGTAGGAGATGTAGACATGGGCTCCTGTGTTCCATTACAGTGTTCATGTCATAGGAACTGCAGAGAACAGGCCATTGGTTTGAGCAGAGTGCTAGAGAGAGAGATATGCTCAACTCCTTCAAGTCTTCCCAGACACTTTCAACCCTCTGTGCTGCTGCGGAAGGTAGTGAGACTTGGGGATGGGGAGAGGCCCCAGACAGTGCAGGGCCTCTGACTAGCCCGGGCATCATTTATACCAGTTATTCAAGACTGAGGGACCCCGGGAGTTCAGGCCCAAAGAATGTCTTTAGCTGCAAAATTGCAGTACAACATCAAGTGAAACGATGGATCTACCCTCTTCTCTGGATTGCTTCTGGGTATCTCAGAGCTGCTAATAAAATTGTCTTGTGCTTTGGGCTGTCTTGTGGGGAGAAACAGGGGGCAGGGTAAGTGTTTTTGAGCTCTAACCTTTCAAAAACCCCATAGAGGTGGCAGGATTTCTGTTCATTCCTCCTCATGCCTCTTTTCCCAGCCCTTGTACATTTTATCAACTGTTCTCGGCATGTAATACATTTACGGAGCTGCACTTTTGGTCTCAGGGAATTCAGCAGTTTCTCCAAGTTTATCTGGTGGCACATTGTTTCCTTACTAGGAGGCAGAGGTCAAGGCCTGGGGCTCTAAGAAGGAAAGTAACCTAACCACAGTGATCTGTGGTCAGGACTGGAATAGAGCAGTTGACGCCACCGGGGGTGTCCTTGTTACATCCCCTCACCATGCCCCTGTCCACTGCGGGTAAGGCCTTTGGGATTGGTGAGCTGAGCCCTCTCCAAGGCTGTCTCAGAGCCTGCAACAAAGGTAGGGAATCCCTACACTTTCCCCTTTTCTTGTACCACCTTCTTATGTTTCATTTTAGAGACTACTTACTGACCTGGGGTATCAGATGTCCTCAAAGGGGCTGCTGGCTTTATGCTCGGATGAGAAGATCTAAGAAAGCAGGCAAAGGCGAAAGAGGCGGGGTACTGGCCATGTGCATGATGTCAAATTGGACAAAGAATCTTGGCTGTCATTGGCCCCAGGCCGATTGTTGGGGGTGTGGAGGAGAGAGAGTGAGCTTTGCTAAACCCAGGCCCAATTGCATGAAGTTGCTGTAGCTCATTTCACTCTCCTTTGTTCCTTCTCCCAGGACTTAATACTAGCAAGACCGAAGCCTTCTTGGCAAATACTTAAAAATAAACTAATTAAATAATTTTTCTAAACTGTATTTATATTTCTGGCAATCATTATTGAGTGAAATGGTATTTTATTTACATCTAGGATTTGTGGCAATGTAATAGAAGTTCTCTTGTTTTAATTTGATGATGCTCATTTTTGGAATGTTCTAAAGAGCCTTTATAAAAAAGCTTACAGAATATCACATGACCAAATATAGAAAATTTGCTTTGAAAAAATGTCATTTCTCCAGCACATACTGTTTTGAAAGAATGGCATTTTCACCTAAAACTTATATTTGAAAACTTAAAAATATTGGTAGGCATGGAACAGCATTTAACCAGGTAACAAATTTTACAAGTAGACTTAGCCACATGCCAGGTCTGGGCATTTTTGTGTGCAGACAGTAGTACACGTAGAGACTTTCTGAAAACTCAGCCTGCCAAGAATTTCCTGGTAATATATGATTTATTGGCTTGTATTTTCAGTATTTACATCTCATATTCCCACTTAATTGCAAGCTTCTTGAAAGCAGGCATTGTCTTAGACACATTTGCAGTTCCCTCTGGACCCAACATAAGGTTGTTTGATTGTCTCTCTCTCTCTCTCTCTCTCCCTACCTTAAACTTGGTTTTCTGAGCTTGAAAAGAGAAGTATTTGAATGGTAGGACAGTAGAGGGCATTACACATCCTGAAACAGCTGCGGATCTACAGGAAGTGGGAAGTAGCTTCCTGGCGAAGTCTGCAGGCAGTGATGTCCATGTCTTGGTGATTATTCTTCCATACAATTATCATTTTTCACCAGCTGATGGTAAACAGAGCACCTAATGAGTTGGTCTCTAGACCACAGACGTACCATATTGCTTGGTAGGCACAGAGGAGCTGCAGATAACATCTTTTTCAAAATGAAAACTCCATTAAACTTGGCTGACTTCCTGTTGTCTTTGGTCAAAAAGTCCAAAGGTTTTGCAAAGGTGAAAACTTTTTTTTTTTTAAAAAAAAGATAAATTAAAGGAAAATTCAAGGAAATAAAGAGATTTTTATTCAAGGGCTCCTTGGTAATTGATTGCCTATCTTTACGTCCCCCCCTGCCGCCATTTCCTCCATCTTCTGTGAAGAAAATCTTAAGTTGTAGGTTTTGATAAACTCTCCTGCCACCTCTTTTCTCTGAGCCAAACATCCTGGCTGTGCTGGCAAGTTGGGAGCCTTTGCAGGGGATGGGAACAACTCAACTTCAGTAGCACGTGATAGAGGGTTCCTTCTCTTTTAACTGCTTTGCACATTGATGGAGAGCTCATTGCTTCTCATGGTGCAGGTAGGTCTGACTCCACATCTAATTTTGTGACTGATCACAGGTGCAGGTCACCATCTGCAGGAGGTGTGGATAGCAAAGCCCAATGTCAAAATTCATTCATGTGGCAGGGTTTCTGGGCAGCCCCCATCCCACTGCTGGTTCGTAACCAGTGGGTCTCTAAGCTTCTCCCACCCTCATTATATGTGTGTCTTACACAAACTTCTGCCACCTGGTACTTTATTCATTAATATTTTTTGAAGCCTAAAATTTGAATTTATGTTTGTCACATTCAATTTCTTTTTGGGGTTCCAGTTTTGACCCTGTTTCAGGCTGCTAAGATAGTCTTAAACTTTGTTTCATCCTCATCAATGGGTTGAGTCTTACTCTACTATTAAATGACTTCTCTCATATTATCTCATTTGACCTTCACAAGTCCTGGAATCTGTCCGTTGCAAATTTGATAAATGTGACTCTCAGTCTTCATTCAACTTACGGATAAAAGTATGAAACAGCACAGCGCCAAGGACGGAACCCTTTGACATGGCATTTTCTGAAGAGCTTCCCTTTTGGGTTTGACAAATAACCATTGATTCACTTTCTTTAGGCTCCAGAAGCAGGGGAGCACCCAGGACCCAGGATAGACTTTGGAGGCAGACAGGTCTGGCACTGCAACCCAACTTAATGCCAACTTGGCCATGCCCAATGGGCAGATTATGTGGGGACTCATTTCCAGTGATTATAGGCAGGTGAGAGCTATGGGCCTTCTCCTCCACAACCTTCCTACAAAAGCAAGTTGCAGACTCAATTCTACCCTACCTACCAATATTTGTTAGTAACCAGGCACATAAATAGCCATACAGCCTGTTTTTGAAGCTCAGTGTGGATCCTGCTGTCTGCCTCAACTAGTGTGCCGGGGAAGGGTATCAAGGTTTGCTGATATAGCGGGTCACCTCAACCCTGCAGGTGGACAGCCAGAGGGCACGAGGGGCATGCAGCAGCAGAAGCTCCCTCTCTGGCCCCAGGGTGTGGTAAAAATATTATCACTTTCTGCAAGTGTCAGGAAGTGAGAAAGTTTGGGAGGCACTGACTTAGTAACTCTTACAAGTTTATTTCAAGGAAGATTTATTTGAGGCAGATGTGGCAATGTGGTTGCAGGTTTCAGCTCACCTTCTAGTGGGATTAGAGGACAGCATCCTTTGAGAGATGAAATAGACCCTAGTAGGACCCCTAGGCCAAGAATGGAGCCACAGAGGGCTCTAGGCTTGCCAGATTCTTGTGCCCAAAGGGCAGAGATGCCTGGATGGCATTTCTAACCAATTATGCATATTCGACACTGCTTAATTTCCTGCTGATAAATTGTTTCCAACATCTCTTATGTTTTTTAACAAACAGTGTAGACTCTGATGCAAGGCTTTCAAAGGCTAAGTCACCAGCCCTGGTTAGTTACAATACTTCAGATGTCGACTAACCATCCTTGGGTAAGGATTGGAACTAACTTACATTATACCACTCTGTTTAAGCTGATGCATTTTAAAGTAATTTACAGACATCATCAAGCCTTGGCTACTCAGCTGTGTGGCGTCAGCATGTTACCTGTCTTCTCTGAGGTTCAGTGTCCTTATCATTAAAAGAGTAAAATAAGGGACTGCTCTAACAATTAAGTGACATAATACGTGGGAAATAGCTTGCACACTGCTTGACACATATTAAATGCTCAATAAGTGGAGAGGTAATATTATTGAAAATTGTTGCCTGTTCTTCAGATTCCTAAAGCTTGTCAGTTCTGCTTCTTGCCACCCTGTGTTGGATTAAAACACTTCAGTTTTCTTGGTTTATAAATAGTCACATCTGTTTCTAACACTGGGCTTCAACAAGTCTACTGCCTTGAGGTTCTATAAGCAAATGGGAAGGGAAGAAGAGCAGGTGGCTGGTCCCATTGCATTAATTCTGGCTCTCTGTCAGAGTATGACCTCTTAAAAAAAGATTTAAAAATATTTGTAGGGATTCCTTTATTTTTGGAAGACTCAGAATTTTCTCAGAGTCTAGAATTAACAGCCACGTTTATATATTCAATCTGTGCTCAGATCAGCCATCCACATGTAAACATACGTTATTTTTATAGGACCTGGAGTGATATCTTAGATAATGTGGTTTTTTTGCCAGGCCATGGTGATGGTTACTGTTTTTTTTTTGTTTTTTTTTTTCCTTCAGGTTTACCACCCAAGACTCTGAATTTGGTGTAGGGAGAGCAGATAGGAGACTCTTGGCTCAAAGCAGTGGCTAACCATTAGTGAGTAATTATTGCCTGGAGCCTACCTGATAATTATGCCAAGCATTGCAGGATGGGGCATCTGCTAATGTTTGCCTGCAACGAAGTCAGAAAGCTGAAGTGGTCCATCAGAGACCAGAGAGGTGTGTTCAGTGTACATGGTGTTTGCATACTTGGATGTCCTCACTTGCCTCCAATAGGTGATATTTATGAACACTGCCCATCTCAGCTGTCTTCAGCCCCAGGCCCTGGTTTCCTGGAAAGATAGCCTTAAACTGGTGAGTAAGGGCCTCTGGGATTCTCCTGTGTAAAGCCAGCCAGCCAGTGAGAACCCTCTGCCCTGAGGCACCCTGGTTCAGAGCGTGCTCGATTCTTCCAGGCACCTTAGCTTTGAAATCAGTGAAATCTCTGCATGATGACAAACGATTAAGCTGGAAACATTGCATTATTCCCAGCAACACTCGGGCTGAGAGAGGAAAGAACCACTGGTTGACTGTGGAGAAAGGTGATTTGCCCCTGTGGAGAGGGAACAAAAGCTTGGAGACTCTGGAAACGGAGTGTGTCAGTGTATTTTGAAGGTGATGGGACATCTGTGAGCAGAGAGTCCGGCTCTGGTCTTGTGGAGGTGGTCTTTCCACCACATAGCACACCATGGGGAGATTTGCCATTGCTTCTCTGTCCCCTAAAGGAAAAGGGGCACCTCATTGTCACACTGTCCCCCCAGGGTCCTTGTCACTGCCATCCTCTACTCTTCAGCCCTTCTACAGTGACCACAGGCCCTGTGTTCACTAGAACAGCCTGTGTTTCAGATATTCTGTGCCATTGCTTGAGTGTGTGTCCTGATATTTTTGGTTTGAAAATAGTCATGTATCTATATCTATATCTATCTCCAAATGGGTATCCTTGGGCAAAATTGAGAAATAGTTGAATTTTGCCCCAAGTACTTGGGTATCTCCTCTCTATTTCTCTCTTTCTTTCTTTAGACAGGGCTTTTGGTGATATACACTGTAGTGTGTATACCTGTGAGCTGGGAGCAAATAAGGGCTGAAATTCTGCTCATGTTTTATTGGCCAAGGCTTGGTGTATCTCTTTGCTCAGGAAGAGTTGCCCTTTTCTTCCCCCAAGATGCCTTCTGTTTACCAAGTTCTGGTCAACCAGAGAGGACAGCACTCCCTAATTCTCAGCAAATAGCCATGTAGATCAGTGGGGACCCTGCTGTTTGCACCCTCTCCACTCTCTTCTGTTTATCCTTGGGCCACAGAAAAACAGAGGTGATGGAGGAGGTACACTAAGGTGTAGGTTGTTGAAAGAGAAAGCATGATGCTTGACCCAAAGAAACCATGTTCCAGTGGCAGACTTTTAGCACGTCAATGGAGGGAGTAAGATATGGACTGGTGCAGGGGTGCTTTGCTAGGACCTCTCAAACCAGATGGGAAGGTCCTATGTGTGGCCATTCTCTAGGTGCCTGTGCTTCAGATTGAGCTGGGGGACAGCTGTCTCTGGCCCCTCTTTTGCACTTAATTTTCATGTACCCTGTCAGGAAGCTCTCCCCCTGGGCTGATGACCATCACCCCTTGGCTTTTCTGATGGGTCTGGGGAACCTGGAGATCCTTCTGACTGTTATGAACCTCCTGGGGGCAAAATACCATTCGCAGTAATGTGGAAAATAGCCTAAGGGCTGCTGAGAGCTGCCTCCTGCCATGTCCCCACACTTCCTTTATGTGTGTCCTCCCTGTCATTCCAGGAAATGCTGACCTCAGGGTGAGCAGGTTGCAGGCCATGCCTGGGGCTGGCAGAAACATATCTCAGGACGCATCTGCAAGGCTTCTAGATCATCCATGTGTGGATGCCGTGCCAGAGCTAGGCATTCAGAGCAGCAGGTTTTCTGCCTGTGAGGTCCACCCAGAGATACTGGCTTTTCCAGCAACCAGAATTAGGAAGAACTTCAGTTTCATGGCATGGGAGCCCATAGCACCCCAGAATCCTGAGCCAAGCATTCTAACTGCTAACAAGCCAATCCCCTGCCTCCTGGCAGAATCACCCCTAAGAGGGCTTGTAATGGGCAGTACTGGCCCCAAGGCAAATTTTTTTTTTTGAGTTTCTTTTATCCTAACACAACTTCTACTTCAACTAGCATCACTGAGCTGGCTTTGGGGTGAGGGTCTCAGGCACCTAATTGATTTTATACAGAAAGGCATTTCTCCTGATATTAATCTTTAGGGAAATGAAAGTCCACTTTTCTTCTGTCCAGTGTTTTGTGGCCCAAAGGGGGTGTGTCTCCAGATGAAGAAAATGGAGTATCAGTGCTAATTTGAGATCCAGTGAGCAGCGGCTCGGGTAATCAGATACCACTTCAGCTGGAAACCTCACACTTGCAGAAGGACTTTTTATTCTCACCTTCCAGAGCCTTCTAGCTATGGGGTGTGCTACAGGAAATTGGGAGCTGATGAAGAAGCGGGCTGCCCCATTCCCACCCCCAGGGCTGCCTGTAGAGAATCCAGGCCCTTCATTTCCCAGTGCCTAGCATCTTGGGGCAAAGGTACTTCCAGCTACTGCTTGTGAACCAGAATTTTTGAAGGGGGGTAAGAGTAACAAAGAGCCCCAAACAAATAACTCCCCCTGTGACTTCTTTTTGACCAAGTGTTTGCTGAGAACTAAATCAACTCTCGTAAGTGTGTTCTTTCTTAGTGTTTTAAAACAAGGTCTAGGAGTCAGGGCTTTAGCACTGAGGTTCTGGGTAACTCTGCCAGCTGTGATCCTGGACACCATCTCTGAATGGCTTTTCCTGCCCCAATTAATGTCTTCCTTGCTCATCACATTAACTCTCACCGGGAGCTTTCCTGTCAAAGGAAGGAGGCGGAGCAAGCACTTAGCTTTCCATCTACTGTCAACTTCGGCTGCATCTTGGCTGCATGTGCAGCATTGATTTTACATGTCCCTCCTCAGCAAACCTGCTAATAAGATTCTTTTCCCTCCTCTCCTTCCCCCCACCCCCTTCAACCTGGCCCTGACTCCTGGTCAGACCTTGATTACATGTCTCATTGATTCCATTCAGCTATTTATTAATACACTAATTAGTATGTTCATTTAAAGGAGAGTGACACCGCTTTTTAAAAATAGATGTACAGAGGTGTAGGTTAATGGAAATCTCTGTTTATTTAACATCGATGTCTGGTGTGAAGAGGATTAGTTTTGGATGTTAAAAGGACACAGAGGTTTTTCCGGGGCTTAAATCACTTTAGCTGACAGTCACTAACACCCTTTGAAAGGTGACACCTAGAATCATATTTCATTTTCCTTCAGTGATCATAGACACTGCAATATTGGGGTGGGGAAACTAGAGGGCAATTGAGAGAGTACAGTACAGGGCTGGTGGTATTACGTCTTTTGCAGAGAGCTCTGATTGTGTATGGGGACTGGCTGGCCCTTGCAGCCTCCAGCGAGGTATACTCACTACTCTGGCTGTAGGACACGACCGGCATTTTGTAATGAAAGGTTTGTGAATGGAAAAGCATTGCTTTTCTATTATAGGTTTGTTCTTTTTGTTCTTGAGTTGCTCACTATTAATCATGGCTGGTTAATTCTGTAACAAACCACCACAGTTCAATATGGGTTAGTATGTGGGGGGATTTTGCTCCATACAGTCATTCAGGAGCCCAGGTTCCTTCCATGTTGTGGCTCCACCATCCTGTTAAGGGCTTCTCAATTTCCCACTGGCTCTTCTGTATCTGGTCAAGAGAGAAGGGAAGAGAAAATGTGTGAAGAAAGCTGCTGAGTGCTCTGGGGACCTGGGTGTGCACCTAAGCTCGCTGTCTCCAAGTTCGGCATGCCAGGACTGCACTTTGAGTGTTGGGGAATTGTCAGGAGGCTGCTGCTGTGGTCCAAGGGAGAAATGATGAGGACTGGGCCTGAGGTACTAAGTGGAAGGGAAGGCAGAGGCCCAGAAGTGGGTCTTGGTGAGAATTAGATGAGGCAGCTGAGGGGCACGGAGGACCGAGTGGGTGCTTGTGCTCTAGCAAAGGGAGAGAATGCAGGAGAAGGAAGAGGTGGGGCTTGTTTTTGAGGAGCTGGGTTTGAAGTGTCTATGGGACAGCATGGAGATATACTGGGTGTGTGAGTGGCCAGGAGGTCAGGGAGAGACCAGGATTAAGGTCTGCACTGCAATAAGTCCCAAATTGGATGAGGGACTATAGGTGCAGATGTGGTCATTGCAGCCCAGTGGGGTAGGAGGACTATTAGGGTCATCAGCAGCAGAGGAGCTGGACTCTTCCTTTCCTCCTCCCGCTGAGTCTGTCAGACAGAAGCCTTGAGGGAGGGGAGGACAGGGGAGGTTAATTGTGTATAGCAGACCTTGGTGCCTTGCAAATACAAAATAAAGTCATATTTTGGTTAAAACTCAAATTATGCTGATTTTTTAAATTAGCTGAGCTGTGCTCAGATCCTCTTTAAGTGTCTACTAATTGCCTCCTGCAGCTGAAGAAATGCTGACCCCTCCCTCTCATTGCTATTCTCCCTGTTAATCCTAGCCTGGAAGAGGTCCTTCCCCAGATTCCTTCCAGCACAAAGAGATCAGGCTGTATGTCTGAATACAACTTTTTTTGATGGATCAAGGGTAATAAAGGAAACACAGAGAGTAACTTAACACTTCTTCAAAAGGTAGCCACTGTAGGCATCTCCAGGCTTAGACCTGTCCTCACTTGTGGGTGCCTCATGCCCCACTCCTGGGCATCCTGCTCCCTAGAGGAAGGGCAGGCTCACCACCATGCTGTGGGGGTCAGGGGTACTCTGAGTTGCAATGAAGACCCACATTCCAGCCTTCATTGTCTTCCTAGGGAACGTTCACTTCCTTCAGGGTAAACCTTACCCTTGGGCAGCAGGTGGGGTATAGCCCTAGCCTTATAGAACCCACAGAACAGCCACAGCAGAACAAGGTTCCAACCCCAAAGTCTGGGTTGGTGCTCCAAACTGCAACTGGATCCTGGGCTCAGCCTCCACCTTCTTGTAAAGTGAGGATCTCACCCACCTGTGCTGTCTTCTTCTGCCTAATTTTCAAACTATAACTCTACCTCTCTCTACCTAATGTTCAAACTGTGGTTTGAATTATAACTTGTCTGCCCATCCACAAAAATAAGCTGAGCATTCTAAAGTCATTTTAAGAAAAAAATCCTAGCCCCCATGCTGCTCCCCAAACAAACAAACAAACAAACAACTCACCCCAAGGGAATATTAAAGATGTAGCAGTAACTTAACCCAAATAGCAATTGTCATGACTGCTGAGGAATCCTCCCTGCATTTGATGTACTTTGCCATTTTCCAGAACACTAAGGAGGGTAATGACTCAGGGAAATGACCCTCCCAGAAGCACGGAAATCTGCCCCCAGGAAGATTTTAGGGTCCACTCACTTTTAAGGTTTTTCCTGCATTGATGGTTCCAGCTTTCAAAAATCTTGGGAGGGCCCAAATGTGTCAGCATCACCAGGGTTGGGACCCAGGATTTTTTTTAAGTTCCCTAGGTGATTCTCATGAGTAGCCAAGTTTGGAATCACTTCCAATGTCTGAACTAAGTGGTTCAGTTCCTACCAAGACACCTCAAGGGTGTGAGTAGTTAATAAATATTTTGTACGAGGGGAAATTAGGTTCCCTGGGATTCCTGTTTTCTTAGGTGGGATGATGATAGGGGCCTTACCAGAAAAGCATCCTGATCCAGACCCCAACAGAGTTTTCTTGGACCTCACACAAGAAAAGAATTCAGGGCAAGTCCATAAAGTAAAGCAAACGCAAGTTTATTAAGAAAGTAAAGGAGTAAAAAAATGGCTACTCCATAGGCAGAGCAGCAGGATGAGCTGCTTGATGGAGTATACTTACAGTTGTTTCTGGATTATATGCTAAACGAGGGGTGGATTATTCATGAGATTTCCAGAAAAGGGGCAGAGATTTCCCAGAACTGAGGGTTCCTCCATTTTTTAGACCATATAGGGAAACTTGTGGATGTTGCCATGGCATTTGTAAACTGTCATGGTGCTGGCCTGAGTGTCTTTTACCATGATACTGTATTATAATTAGCATATAATGAGCAGTGGGGACGACCCGAGGTCACTTTCATCACCGTCTTGGTTTTGGTGAGTTTTGGCCAGCTTCTTCACCACATCCTGTTTTATCAGCAAGGTCTTTATGACCTGTATCTTGTGCCAACCCATATCTCATCCTGTGACTAAGAATGCCTAACCTTCTGGGAATGTAGCCCAGTAGGACTCAGCCTCATTTTACCCATCCCCTATTCAAGATGGAGTCACTCTGGTTCAAACACTTCTGACAGGGTATATTTTACTCTGCAAACTAGGAAATAACAGATTAAGGTTTAAAAGCTACGTTGGGTATTTATTGGAATGTTTAGGAGAATCCTTGGTCTTGGTCTTGGGTGAGAACATGCCTAACCTTGGGTCAGAGCACATTTCTCTTGGCCCAGGGCTAGGAACAGAGAACTCAGACTGCCTGGCAGCGTCTCTCACTGTTATCAGTGTTGTCTACCTCCATGTCCCACTCCTGGGCTCTCTCCACAAGCAAAACCCCCAAATACATACAAAATGGTGGGACATTTTTTAAAAAGCCAATAAATAAAGACCTTACTTGCACTTGAAATTGCCCTAGCCTCATCTGCTTATCATAAAAATCCTTTCTCAGTCATCTCACAATTAGAATTAAACTCTACTCATTGATTTGTAATGAGGGCTAGGGGAGTCTAGAACTCCACTTTCTACTATGACAACTAAGTGCTTTTCAACAAGCAGGACTCTCCAAACCCCTCACAAACCCCACAGGATTTGGGACGTGGCATTCCTAGAAACTCTTTTGAGACTTTCCAAAGCCAGGCTTTGTCTCTTTTCACTCTCTCCCCACTTGCAGCCCTGGAGTGAAGCCACCAATTCAAAGGGCTCTGTGTGGCTGGGTGTTTTCTTCGGTTTCACGTTTTGTTCAACAGCATTAGATCTACTCGTGTTCAGACTCCCCAGGGCCTGTGTGTGCGTCACTGAAGGCTTTCTGTCCTAATTTGGTCATAGTGGTCTTGGGATCTGTAGTTGTGGCTACAAAGAGAGGTGCTTTCTGCTTTCTTGCCATCCCCAGGGCTCTTTTGCAAGCTGCTGCGTGAAGCTGAAATACAGAGTGGTCCAAAGAGTAAAAATCTAGGCCACCAACAAACTCTCTTGTTGCCTCCGCAGACCCTGATTTGATTCTCCTGGTGGGTATATTTGTGGGGTCCTGATGGCTTTGACTGCCTCCCTGTTTTCTCTGTGGTTCTGGTTTGCCTGGCTGTTGGAATGTCTGTCCCTTGATTCTTCTGTACAGTAGGCCAGAGTTGGAATCCCTGGAATAGTTCTGCACCCCACCAGGAGATCCCAGGAGGAGCCCCAGACAGCTCCCAGCCTCTTGTCTTGACTCCTACTACTCACTATACACTTACCCATGCCTGCATGCATTCAGGAGCACCCTAGCGAAGAAATGGGTGCAACCACATTGGCATGGAGGGGATGCTTGTTAAGTGACATACAAAGACCTAGAAACTGAAGCAGAGATGTAGGTGTGGGGGGGTTTAAGAAAGCAACATACTGTATAGACTTCAAGGTAAAGACTCCGAAATCAGATTAAAGTTCAATTCACATCCCACCAGTTTGTAGTTTGGGCAAATGTACTTAAATCTCCCTGAGACAGTGACTTCATTTGTAAGATGGGGGTGATGATGCCTTCCTTACAGATTACGTGAGATGACGTGTGTGAAGTGGTCAGCATCAGTACTGGGCCCAGAGCAAGCATCATTGAAGAGCACAGCCTATTGTATCTTCCTTTTGAAAAGGATTTTTCACTTTAAATTCTCTCTGTGAACTGGAATCAGGGAAAATATCACCATGGAGCTAGCTTGCTGTAATTCAGTTTACTATTTCAAGAGAGGAAGTATTTAAAACATAGATGTATTTTTCAGGCCACTTGTAACAAATTAGCATCCTTTTGGGCTCCCTTTCCTGGAATAGTGAAACCAGATGGGCCAGTTTGGCATTTGACTTGCATATTTTCATTTTGTGAATCTCATGGGTTGGACCCATGATTCCTAAGCCTTGTTTGTCCTCAGATTCACCTGAGGAACTTTTGAAAGTTACAAAGTCCCTGCCCTTGTTCCAGACTGATGTAACCAGAATCGACAAGGGTGTTAGGAGCAAGGGTGGGGATGGAGAACCTTCTCAAAAGGGAGGCTTAAGGTGGATCTGATAATCAATCAGTTTTGTAAGCCCAAAACAAGATCACTGTCCACTAGTGGGGCATTTGTTTCAATCATTTCCATTAATGCTGTTTCTTCTCCCCTCTGCTCTCCAGTGTATTATTAAAAAAGCTTAGCACTCAAGGGATTACCAGCACCTGCCCCCTTCTGTTCCTGAGTCTCAGTGAGTGTCTGGTTGTGAATTAACAGTGCCCACTGTTTTTGGCCACACAGATATATTAGATTCTGGAGATATGCTTACAAATGGCTTTCACCAGAGTTCTACTTTCTCTGGACTTAAAAAAATTTTACTGGTGCATTGGGATTTTTAGTCTCTCAGTTCCTACCTCCCAACAGGGTAGCATATTTAACCCACTAAAACTGTCAAAGCAGGAGGGAAGATCAAGACCATATGAAAGGGATCCCTAATACTTGTCCTTTCTTAGATGCTGCATTTTTTGTGGTCCTGGAAGCATCTATTCCTGCATTTCCACATCCTAGCCCTTTTTCTGCAGTGCTGCCATTGTTTTTCATTCTGAAGATTAGTTTTAGGAGTAGGTGAGCTACTATTCCTGAAGCTCTAGCTAGAGACAAAGATCCCAAGTACTTGGGTGATGGCCAAAACATCACAGAGGGGAACCAGATGTAGGTCAAGCTAGTCAAATGCACCCTTCTGAGCATTTGGGTTGGTGTTAAAGCCAGTCCCCTGTTGGACTCACTAATGATGATTGTGGTTATCAAAGGTGACTGACTACTCAGCACTGGTCAGTTTTGGGGGTTGGTTGGCAACTGCTGGTCCTCTTCTTAGCCTTGAATGTGCATAGTTATCCTATCAGTCAGCAGGAATACACCCAGCCACCTCCTGCAGGGTCCAGGCCCGCAGGTGCCTGATGACTTTGTGGTGGATGGTGTCAGTCAGTCAGTCAAACCTCTCCCTACTACAGCAACACTGGTTTTTCTTAGCCTCCTCTACCCTATTACACTTCTTAACACCTTAGTTCCAAATTTTCTTAATCCTCATTTTTTTTTTCTTTTCCTGCAAAAAACAAATGAAAGTCATCCACTCACTGTTTTGCTTTCTTCTGGAATAAAGGCATTTGGAGAGAAAAAATGAGCACATTTATAGGGAGGATTCTCTTTGGGGCTGTTTCATGAAAGAAAAACCTTGGGTCAACCCATTGCCCTGCCTTTGGGTGGCAAATGTACAAGGATTATTTGACAAGAAAGTGATGCCTGGCTTGTTTTTCTCATCCCAGCTCTCTCAGTTCAACAATTCAACAAGTATTTATAGTGTGTTTTTTTATGAGCTAGGTATTGTGCCAGGTGCTGGGGGTTCAGTGTGAGTGGCAAACATGGCCCAACCCACAGGGAGCTGAGAGTCTATCCCTGGGATGTTTTTGTTCAACCTCATTCTCCTTTGATAGGTTTCCCAGGCCTCTACACAAACCTACATCTTGACTTCCACTGGGATAAATTAAAGCTGCCCACAGGAGCATGTGAAGTAACTGCAGGAGGTAAGGTCCTTTTGAGAGAATTAGTAGGAGCTTTCTTGGGGCAGACAATAGGAGCACAGAGGACACTGGGGGAGGGGTGGTCATCCTGTTAAATTCCAGGTCTGAAGCCGGAGAGGAGTCCTGGTACAGAATAGGGAGAAAAAAAATACATTTGCTACATTTGCTTTTTGCAGATCTTATTGATTTGGTGTAGACAATAAGAAAATGAAAAGCAAACAGGTTGTGTGGAGAGCTTTGCCTGGTGTGGCTGTACTAGTCCCCTCTATTGTAGCACAGGTCCAGTTCAGATCAATGTCAACCTCAGTCATTTATTTGTGAAATTTATATAGCCCTTTCCCAAGTTACATTTTACTTTTATTTTATTTCATCTCCAAGATCTTTGCAATGAAAGTGAAAGTTTTCTATTTTTATTTTTTACAGGTACCTACTTTTGATATTCACTCATACACATGGAAGGGAGGAAAAAATATCTGTAGTGCATGACAGACATCTAGGCCAAGAAAGCCATAATTATTTAAAGGTTTACATTTCCACTCCATTCGGACCCTACCTAAAAACCTGGGAAGTTAACCCTAATGGGCACCTTTTCATCACTCAGTAGAACCAATAGTGAGAATCCTAGAAGCCCCCATGGATCACCTGTCACATAGTGACAGGGTGTGCCCCCCTCACCCTCTGCACACTTAAGTCTATTTCTGTGTGCTCCTTCTTTTCTATGGAACTTCCTGGCTTGTAATCCAATGCTCCAGGACCTCTGTTACTAACAAGTGGCTCTGGGAGCTTTCTCCTTCCCCAAAACGGGAATTGTGCTGTCAGCCAATTTCACTTAGAGAATCTCTAATATCACAAAATGGGTTGCTCTCTGACTCTCCAAGAGGTTGTCCCACCTGCCTGATTGTAGTGACACCATGGGTAGGTTCTCTATTCTCATATGAAATCATCTCTCCTCTGGGAGGGTTTTGGGTTGGAGAGTGGCCACTGTCACTTACTTGAAACAGATCTTTTCTTTGAGCTGTCTCATGACTAAAAAGAGGATGGGTGGGTTGTGGCTTAGCCCTCATAATCTCTTTCCCTTGTCTGAGCTACCCATGTTCAAAACCTCAATATCATCTTTGATTCTTCTTTCTCTTTCAATCCCACTCTCAGTTAATGGGCAAATCATATCATTTTACTTTTCTCCCTCTGTCCTTCATCTGGTTTTCTTTCCATATTCTGATTTCTGTTACCATCTTCTAGTTGGTGTGCCTCACTCATGAAATAACCCTGTACTTCCCATCTGTCTCTGTCTTCCTAGTGTTGCCACCACCATAGCCCTAGCTCAGATAGTTTGCCTTCTTCTCTGAAAGTTTGATAAAAGGAGTCAACTCTCCTTCCTGATTTTGGTCTCATGCCCCTCTAATCAGTTTGGCACGTAAGTGTCCAATTCATCTTCCTCAAGTATAGCTCCCAAGGAGAACTCCTTTGCTTGAGAATCTTCAATGGCTCCCCATCGCTTATTAAAGATCCTTCCTTTTTAGCCTAGCATTCAAGTTTATCCATGTTTTGGAACTGGCCTATTGTTTGGGTTTATCTTTTATTTCCTCCCAAAAGTAAATCCAATGTTCCAGTCAAATCAAATACCAGCTGGGAGGTTTTTGCTTCTAGTAAAGGCAGACTAGCTAATTCAATTGACTGACCTTCCTACTGATAAAAATTCAGAAAGTGGAGAAGATATTTTCAAAAGCATGCTTGAAGACATATGAAAGCTAGTAAGGTGGTAAATATTGATAGGGCCAAATTTTGGAAGAAGCTGGAAATCAAGAGGTTAACTAATCAGAGGGATTAGACTTTTGCTGGCTTCTAAAGAGGCAGCCGAGGGTCTAAGCAATGCATTTGACAGCATCAGGGCATTACAGGACACAAGCTGGAGTCCAGGGCCTATTAAGCATGGGAACATTTTGGGTTGGAACTACAAGTAAACCAGCCTTTGCAAGTTGTGAAGTCAGGCTTTGAATCCCTTGAGTAGCTAAGAAAAATGACAATTTCTGAAATGGGATTAATGTTACACTATGTTGCAAGTCAGTTACCTGGTAGAAGCAAACAATACTATCTGGAGGAAGATACCTTATCCTAGTCATTGTATTATTTCTACAAATAAATCTTTGAATACAATGTCCAGCATGTAATCAAAGATAAGCTGACACACAAGGAAATAAGTCAACATGACCGAGAACCAGCAGAAATAATAGACTCACAGGTTTCCTGGATAATTTCCAGTGCAATTATCAGACCATGGATTTAAAATAACCATGCTTACTATTTTTCAAGTAGAAATAAGACAAGATTACAAGTTTTGGCAGCAAACTAGAAACTATAAAAATGACATAGTAGATTTCAAACAAGAACCAAAAAGAAATCCTGGAACTGAAAAAATACAGCAACTGAAATTAAGAATTCAATGGATGTATTTTAAATAATTTAGAAATAGCTGAAGAGATAATTAATGAAGTAGGGCAGTGGGCAAATGAAATCATCCAAAATGAAGTATAATAAATACAGAAAACTTAGGTAAGAGACATCGAGGATACAGTGAGAATAGTCTTATCTATCTAATTGGATTTCTACAAAGAAAGAAAAAAAATGAAGAAGTATTATTTGAAGAGGTAATGGCTATGAATTTTCTAAAACAAGGAGAAAATATCAATACAGAGATTCAAGAAGGTCTGTAAACTCTAAGCAGGTTAAATAAGAAATCTACATTCAGACCTGTCACAGTACAAACATAGAAAATTGAAGACACATTGTAGTATTTGTTATTTCCTGAGCAAGTCTTTAATTTTCTTGCATCTGTACCTTGGCCTATACTATTCCCCCACGCCCTCATCTTCATCTGTCCAGATGTTACCCATTATTTACCAAGCTTTATCTGATAATCCTCCTGTCTTTACCTCCAACTGGATTTATAATTAAAATTATCAGTAAAAACTTAATGTCAACCATATTAATCCTACTTGTTTGACTACTGCTATCATTATCAAGTGCTTACTTAGTTCCAGGCACTGTCCTGGGCACCAGTCATGTATTATTTCTTTTAATTCTCATAAAACTCAGTAGAGGTTGTTACACAAGAAAACACAGAGACCACCCACCTCTCCTCTGAACTTGTCTAGTATTTTACCTGTCATGTACCACCTATTTCATTTTTTTTAAAGCACCTCTTCTTCTAAACATATATTAGATTTTCCTGGAACTGTTATAATTTGTATGTAAAGCCCATTTCATCTAGAGGAAGTGATTCGCATCTGGTTTTACTCATGCATAGTAGGTGTTCATTCATTTGTTGAGTGAGTCTCTCACGTGGCTTACCTGGCTTGTCCCTGAGATGCCTTAAATGCCTGCGGATCTGTTAGAATCTGAGCAGATGCACCAATGGAAACTGAGCCCATCCCCACAACTTATCATCTCTGCCTGCCTTAGCAGCTCCTGTTCACACGTTAAATTGAAAGCAGCAACCCATGCTCTATTTAAAGTGTCCTCGAAAATGGTGCTCAAGTGTGTAACACAGCTATTTCACTGACGTGGGCAAGGTATTTATGGAGAAGTTGTTTTTCCTTTGGATAGGGGGCTTTATAACCAGAAGCCATTATATGACACCTATGTGGATGTCAAAAGGAAAACAACGAAAAAACCTCTACTAGTTACTTCCATCTCTATCAAGACATAATCTCCCTGGTTATTTTCTCTATCAAGCCGTCTCTCTTCCATCAGCATCCAAAGATCACAAAATATGACCTGGGGCCAGTAAAGTTGAAGCAGGAATTGTCCAGAGCAGAAAGAATAATTGCGGTTTTCACCGTTAGCATTCCAGCAGCACCGGCTCTCTCTGGGTTTGTTCACCAACTCAGCTTGACAGCTTAATGGTTTGTGGGGCAAGGAACATTTTAGCACAGTCAGTTGCTACTCTTATGGGGAGGGGGAAGCTGGTGAAAGCACTAGGTAGGAGTCTCTAGGGAAAGGGGCTATGTATGGGAAGAGAGGTGTTAAGTTAGGGGAAATGGCCAACTTCATCCAAGCCACATTTCATCCAGTGCTTCGGGAAACCTGTGAATCGTGCATGCTTTTGTGTGCTGCTGTTACTTTTCTCCCCTCTGGCTCTCTGTCTGGCACTTTTTCCTTGGGAATCCTTTGAAATAAATCTTTATTGATTCTACTGATTACATTCACTCCTGGCATTTTTGACAGCCAGGATTGTTAAGTTTCTGAACAGTACCAACATTCTCCTCTCATCCTTACCTCCGTCTCCCTTTCTGAGTAACAAATAATAAATAGCACAAAGTTTTTAAGAACGGTCCAGGCCGGGCGCGGTGGCTCACGCCTGTAATCCCAGCACTTTGGGAGGCCGAGGCGGGTGGATCATGAGGTCAGGAGATCGAGACCATCCTGGCTAACAAGGTGAAACACCGTCTCTACTAAAAATACAAAAAATTAGCCGGGCGCGGTGGCGGGCGCCTGTAGTCCCAGCTACTCGGGAGGCTGAGGCAGGAGAATGGCGTGAACCCGGGAAGCGGAGCTTGCAGTGAGCCGAGATTGCGCCACTGCAGTCCGCAGTCCGGCCTGGGCGACAGAGCAAGACTCCGTCTCAAAAAAAAAAAAAAAAAAAAAAAAAAAAAGAACGGTCCACACTACACCTTCTGCTCTCTTGAGCCAACATCCATTTCCTGTATGAACTTTGGGGAAATTTGGGGAATTCCTACTAACACCGTGTTGGAAAATGTTTGCCTGGGCCCACGGAGCTGGAGATCTAGCCCAGGTTTGGGAAGGGGTGATTGGAGCTAGGGCAATTGAAGCAATTGCATGTTAAATGAGATTTGAAGCAATTGCATGTTAAATAAGACAATGAAATGTCTAGAGTGAGAGCTGGCCCTCGCAACATCCACAGTAGGACTTGAGCAGGAGACGTGTCCCATGAGACGTCCAGCCCTCCACAGCAATTGTTGTGATTGTTTAGCGTATTCTCTAGGCAGAGACATGCTGCATGCTCTGGATAGCTCCGAAACTCTGGGTTGATCAGTGTTTCTCAGTGGAGATGTCACTGGCATTGTAAGTAGGATGCTTCTTCATTATGCAGAGCCATCTTACACAGTGCAAGAGGAGCATCCCTGACCCTCTGGATCCTAAAAGCCAAGAGCACTCAGTCAACCACAAAGCCTCCATACATTTCTAGATGCCCACGGGGAAGGGAAATGGCCCCAGAGGAGACCTTTTGCAAGTCAGAGAGAAGGAAAGGCATTGTTAACACCTTGCCTTCAGTTAACACTGCTCTGTTCTCTGGGGAATGGCTATTAAGATATCTTTGATAGCTGAGTGACCTTGAACGATTCCTTTCAAAAACTCTCTAAGCCTTCACTGAGATCCTTGATAGTTGCCTAGTGATCGTGGAAGAACTCATCTCTTAGGTTTTTAGGAAGATCAATATTAGCAAATATTTATGAGTGCTTACAATTTGCTAAGCACATTCTATGCAGGGTCTTATTTAATCTTTGTAACCAACAACCCTGTGAAATAGGTTCCATCATCATTCCCACTTAACACATGATGAAACTGGTTTTGGTCCCACCTTACAGATGGAAAGACTTAAGTGTATTACTCAAGGTTGTGCAGCTAGCCGGACTATAACAGGTCAGTGGCTTTTCAAACTTCAGTGTGCTTCAGAGCTTCCTGGAGGGCTTGGAAAAATCAGATTGCTGGAACCCAGCTACAGAGTTTCTGATTTTGTAGGTCTGAAGCAGGCCTGAGATTTACATTTCTGATAAGTTCCCAGGTGTTGCTGCTCTGGGGACCAATTGCAACTTGAGAACCACTGACTGGAGCCCTCCAATTCGTAACTGCCGGTAATTTGGAATGTATTGTGAGCTCTGGGAAGACAGGTGGAGGGTCTGTCCCTCTCCCCATGTACACACAGCACACTCATCAAGGGATATTGTATGGCTCTACGTGGCCTTGGACAGGGCACGGTCTTTGTGGCAGGGACAGAGTCTCACTTGGGTTGTACTCCACTGTCAATCTCTTGAGACTCCCTGTGTCCCACAGCCCTGGGATGGAGAGGCAGGATCCTAAGTAGGCACAATAGGTCCTGGGGCCTTGTAGCAGGGAGAGAGAAGAGCAAGGAGGGTGAGAGGGTGGCAGCAGTCACAGGGAAACAGGCAGGGGCTGGGATGTTAAAAAGTCATAGAAGATGTGAGTTATTACAGGATCTGAAACCTGTATTCAGGAGCTTTAATTATTTCTACTGTGTTTGTGTTTTCTGTGACTATCAGATTTTCATTCTCTGCTTTTCACAATGTCAACTTGGTCAAAGAGGAGCCAAGGAAAGGGATTTTCTTTCCCTCGTGCTTAGGGCAGGATGTTAGGAGGGGAACAAGGTCTGCCTCTGGTTGGTCATGATGGCAGCAGCTGGAATCAAAGTGTGGGAAGCCGGGAGATAATGGACAAGGGGTGCGGCAGCAGCCTACAGCATCCTGGCTCTCCTGGCCTGAAGGTGCTTCCAGCCATAATATGATACCCACTGCTTATCATGTGCAGGGGCAGATGCTAAACACCTTATAGTTGTGAGGGATGGATTCTATTTTTGAAATCCATTTTATAGATAAAGTAAGTTTGAGAGATTCAGAAATTTCAAAGGTTTACACAATGAGCAAATAACAGAGCCAGGCCTGGAGTCCAGGGCAGCCTTAGGTATAGCCCCCAACTTTAATGCTTTTGCAGTAATGCTCACTTACAATCTTGGTGCTTGCTCTGTCTGAATTCCTGACGGTGGGGACACTTCAGTTCCATTCACCTTGCCTGGAAGCAGGTATTCCCTTCCTGTGAAGCTGGTGATGCTCCAGGCTTCAGACTGCCTCTGCCTAAGACCTTGCCGGTGCATTTGTGCTGATCATATAACTTCATGGGGCCCGAGTGTCTCCGCTTCGGGAGCACCAGGACTCCTTTCCTCTCTTGCTGGGCTGCTGTGTGGACACTGACATGTCTCTGGGCTCATGAGAGGAAGGTGGTGCAGGTGCTCGTGGAAGCAGGCAAGGGCTCCACTGCCACCCTGTGTCTGCAAGCCTGGTACACATTTCTCCTCCATGTGGGTGGCAGCATTGGGAGGACTGGAGAAGGGGAAGCAAGAGAGGACAGCGATTGTCTGATCCTTTTCTTGGAGGACTTGAAATGTGAGCAGGTTTGGGGTCGGGCAGGATCAGCGAAGCTCTACATTTTGCAGAGGAGTTGCTCTGTGCTGGGGGATTTTCCCCTCTGCTGGTTTGATAAATGATCCCAGGCTGTGTGTCCAGGCTGAGCGTGCGGGTTGTGGTGGCCCCCACTGCCCGTGCACTTCTCCATGAAATTGACAACAGAAGGTCATGGCTTGAGGAAGGGCTTGATCTAGATAAAGACTTTCTTTTTTTAAGAATTTCCCAGCTCCCATTCTTACCAGAGGCTTTGCTGTCATTGTGAATTTGACACCTCACTCTCAGAGGGCCTGGCTTCACTTCTCTCTTCCTGTCTGGCCTTCCTCACTCCCACTTCCATGCAGCACAGTAGAGCATGTTGAGTAGATGCCTCCCACCCTCTTCCGGGTCTGGTCAGGCACATGTGCCTCAGTCCCGAGACACCCTGCAGTTCTGCTTCTGGTGTTTGTCTCTAACTAGAGAATCCTAGCTAAAGCCCTTAAAGCACATCTTAACTTTTTTGAAATAGGAACTTGGGTGCTGAAAATGGCCCCTTCAGGGCAATGTATGGACTTAGAGGATTAAGGCTTCTTCCTAAGAGGCTACTTTCATTGTGTCAGGCCAAAAAAGAACCACCAAATCTTATCATTAGATTGTTAATTCCACCAAAGTTTTCATTTGTCGTGCTTGGTAGGTGCCAGACACAGCCAAGAGCTCATTTTAGGCATTGCTTGCTCCAACCTCCTGCCTTAGAGGGGAGTCTGGTGCACACGAAAAGGACACCTGGCTGCTGCCTGGATATGTCTGGGGTAGCTTGACCCATTGCCAGGCTGGCCCTGTGGACGGCGTGGTCTCAGACAGGATCAAGATCTCTGTCTTCTGACCTCCACTTGCAGGCCCTGCTTCTGCCCTTTGGAAGAATCCAGAAAGAAAGCTCGCTCCTCCAGGCAGCAGCCCCCAAGTGCAGTTTATACGTAACCTGTCGCTTCAAGGCTTCCCGGACTTCTCTAGTTGCTTGCTTCCTTGCCATCTTTTAAATCAGCCTAATGCTCCTGGGAGGAAGATCAGCTTAGCAACACTCCTTGGCAAGAAGCAGAGGCTGACACAGAGTGGGGACTCAGCAGTTCGTGCTCAAAATAATCTGCTTTTCTTCAGAAATACTTTCCTCATGACTGTCTCTTTCTGCCCTAACTTCCTGGAGTTGGGACCTTCGACTTGTAAAAGTCAGCCATACGTTTAGGGCAGCATTTCCTCGCTTAGGGGTGGTGTATGAGTTGCTGCCACTGCCATAGCTGCTGGACCAGGCATAGCTCCGTGGCTGGCTCTAGGATTACAGCCTACCAGCCTCTCTCTGCAGCTCCTTGTGGCTGGTCCTCTGGGCTGATTTGCCCAAGGACTGGCCTTCTAATTAATCTCCAGGTGTCTGGAGCCCTGGTAGATCAGCCTATATCTGGCAGGTTTGCTCAGAGGAGAAGCTTGGCGGTGCCACATGGGGGCCCTGCAGGGGCTGAAGGAAGCCTTGTTCAGAAGCCTCCTTCTCCTTCCTTCTGCACCACTGAGGTCGTCGTTCTATTTGTTGAGACCTCTATGTGTCAGTGGGGTGCATGCAGAGGTGGAGGTAGGCTTAGGGAGGGGAATTTAGTCTTTGTCCTCTGTAATGCACAACTTCTCCCTTGGTCTGTTGCAAGGATCAAGACTAGGATAAAAGGATAAAAATTAGTCACTTATAGGGAACGACGGGAAGAAAAACTGAACTTACTAGGGAGAACAATGTAACACAGTCATGATGGCAATAATAACCGCAAACACCAATACAGCAGCTACTATGTGTGCAGCACTGTTTGAAGCATTTACACTTATTAACTCATTTAATCTTCACAAAAGCCCAATGCAGTATGTCCTATTATAACCCCATTTTATGCACGAGGGTCCGAGGTTCAGAGAGTAACTCGTCCAAGGTCATAAGACGAAGGTAAGTTTTTCTCCAAGTTTGGCATGCCCAATTGCTGTGGGAAGCAGGAGAGAGGTGGGAGCAGAGATTCTGGAGCCTGGCTTTGAGTCTGGGCTGCAGCCTTTAAAATGATCTACTCTCTGTAAACCCCAGTTTTTCCCTCTGTCTAATAGGTAATAAGACCTACCTTGTAGGGTTGTGGTGGGGATTAATGGAGATGATGGGGGTCAAGTGTTCAGCCACGTGCCTGGCCTGTGGCAAGTTCTCTGTAATTAGCTCCTATTGGTGCAGGGGAAGATGCCTTGATTTTTCAATCATCGGGAAAAGATCCTGCCTGTGTGGCCTGCAGAGGGGATCTTGGCCAAGGTATAATGCATGAGCCTGGGAACAAAAGGACCTGGGTTCTATTCTCTCGGGGTCACACTTTCCTTTTGGCTTTCTTAGTGAATTGGTGGGACAGTGAGGTGTGGGCTATGGGGCGGCTGCCATCGAGGTAAATGAGATGAATCAGGGTCCTGAATACCAAGGGACCCCTTTCCTTTCCTCTGGAGCCCCAACTCTGCAGCTGATATGAGGAAGAGGGTAGGAGGGGAGATACGCTCATTGGCCTCAGCCACAAAAGGCCGTTACCAAGGGCTGGGTCTTGAGGTTCCTGAGTGTGGCCCCCTCTTGCTGTTCTCCCATGGAAACCCACCAACCAGACCACAGCCCCTCCTCTGCCTCTGCAAGCCAGGAGAACCCTCAACAAAGTTGGGGAATGACGTTTGGTCTCTGATGTTTTTGGCATGTGCCCCCATCCATTGGGCATTGTCTGTAAGTAAATCAGCGCTCATTGGGAGGTTCATCATTAATGATGGTGAACATAAATCCAGATATCAAAATAGTCTTCATAGTTTTGATTTCTTTTTTATTTGGAGACGGGTTGATTTCTGGTCTGATAAGTTGGTCCTGCAGCTTGTAATATGGATGATGAAGATCTATACTAGGTGTGGAAGGATCACATCTTCATTTTCTTATTGATTACCAGTGCCTGCATTATTTATGTGTTATTTTCTATCCATATTCTCCTGATAGGAAGGCCTTAAAGCCACTTGCCTAGTTTTTAAAACACTGGATTATTGAAGTGAAATAACACAGTAAATCGTAAGTTTCCTGAATTGGCTCAGGTATACTGTCATATCTTGCTAAATACTGTGGCAGGTTAAGGAATGGGGGCGCCGTGTCAGCCTCAGCATCATGGTGCCATCTGCTCTCAGGCACCTGTAAGATCCATGCCCCTCAACACGCCCAGTAATGGCGCCCATTCTTCATATCAAATATTAGTAGAGCTGTTATGTTTCAGTCTTTTGAGGTACAAATAGATTTAAATAGAAGTTCTAGTATTTTCTTTCCATAGCCCTTCTTTTGGAGACTACTAAAATAAAAGGCTTTGAGTGCCAGCCAACCCAGTGTCCATCCTATTTGCTCCAGCTCCCGGCTGCTCTCAGGCTAGAGGCTCTTTGTGCCTCCTCACCCCATTCCGCCACTACAGAATCTATGCACACACAACACTCACGGGCAGGCACCCGTGGACAGGGCCCCTGGAGCCAGATTCTCGGTCTCTGCATCAGGCTTAGATATGTGGACGCCAGGGTAGGGAGGGCTGGGGTGGAAGGAACCTCAGGTCTCTCACTTGGCTCCTCTCACTTGGAAGTTGCTGCTGTTTCATGGGCCCTCTCACAGAGGGGAGGGGGTCTAATGGTGGAAGTAGTTAGTAGGGGCGGTGGCCCTGGGGCTGGTGACTTGGGGAGACTTGGAGCAGAGTCAGGGAAGATCTGGAATTGCTGATTGGATTTCTCACCAGGTATCCCTGTTCCAGCCAAGTAGTCTTGTATCCTCTCCTTGTTGAAGCTGACCGGCTTTCTGTTTCAGTGTGAATTCCTGTTCCCCTCTCCTCTTTACTACTACACACACTCAAGCTGCGGCTTCTTCTTCACTGGCCTTTTTTCTTTTCTTCCTCTTTGCTGGCCTTGGGAGTTCTCATAAAGCAACCATTTTATTTCCCTTTCTTCAGCCTTCACTCAGCCACCAAGGAATGTCTTTGAATCTCATTGCCTTTGTTGCCTGGTGACTTGTTAACATAATAATAGTAATAATAATAATAATAATAATAGTAATATCCTTATTCTGTCCTTTAGAGCAACCCCACAGGGGTCTGGTTCTGTGGGAAGTGGTCCCAAACCAGAGTTCTTGGTTCTAAGATGAGAGGATGAGGTGGCCTTGTTCAAGGAGGTGGGTTAGTGTGGGATAGGTGATGGCTCCAAGATGGGCGGTGAAGGGAGGAAGGGCTGGGTGCTGGCAGCAGGCACAGAAGGGAGAGCAGAGCTCTCTGGTCCTGCAGGCTGTGTGCTCAAGAAGCCCGGCTTCCACTGATCAGAGCTCCCCGAGGTGGGCAGGGCAGCTGCAGTTTCTTAGACTAGCAGAGCAAAAGGAGAACAGAGGCCCAGAGCATCAAATAGAGAAAAATGGTTTTCTTGTGGAGCCAAGGTTTTTTGTTTTAAGTAAGCACAGGGGAGTCCTGATGTGGATGGGAATCCTTGAATTATTAGAAGGTGCTTGGGTTGGAAAATTGGGCTAAGGCTGGCCTCTGTGGATTCCAGGGAACCCTTTGAACAGGTGATGTCTGGAGACAAGTTAATTCTTTTCATGTTGGGGGCCTTGCACCTCTCCAGTTCCTGAGTTTATGTTCCACCCAAGGATTTGGCTACCTATGATGGGACCTCAGAGCACTGCAAGGGCAGCTCTAGGAAGCAATTTAAGGTAAAACAGTCCTGATCATTTGTTCCTCCTACTTTGAGTGGGTGTTTATACTGTGCTGAGTACTGTGCATGCAACTGAAAATAAGAAGCATATCTTCACCTTAATGGGGTTTCCTTAGCTGCAAAGGGAATACAGGTATAAACATTATGGCAAGTGCAAAGTAGAACATGATAATGATAATGTGTATACAGGTTCTATTATTCTGGAAATTAAAGGAAGGACAGAAATCCCTTCGGTTTGGAAGTTAGGAGGGATTTGTGGTGGTGGCAACCAGTTCCACTGATTGCTCTACTTATTCCTCATCACAACCTACAAGGAAGATCCTACTGTCATCTCTGTTTTATGCTTAAGAAAACTGAGGCCTAGAGGGAATAAATAGTTAGTCTCAGGTCACATTTGTAAGTGTAGAGATGGGGAAGGAAGGAGGAAAAAGGAATCTTAGGTAAAGGGAACAACTGGGTGAAGGCATGACAACAGGAAAGCACAGGACATGCATGGGCAATAGAGAGTAGTTCTATTAGAGTGGAAACCATGAAGTCAGATGATGGAGGTCTTTGAATACAATGCTAAGTCTGTCCCTCACTGTGTAGGCAATAGGGAGCCATCGAAGATTCTCGAGTAGCAGAGTAGCATGATCAGAGACGACAAATGGTTTGGAAAGAGGAGAATCTGGAGATGTATAGAACATTACAGGTGATGGTAATAAAACATATGAAGGATAATGCATTGTGCATAAAGGATGGTATGATGTCATATTTTTTCAAACAAGGCAGGAAAGAAAATTTTCTTTCACTTACATAAGAGGCAACTGATTTCATAAGAATAAAGAGGAAGTGACCCATATTCTAGTTCTTCCCAACTGCATCAACGCATTTGTACCTGGAAACTTTCTAGAAATGCAAACTCTCATGTCCCACTCCAGACCTGTGGAACCTGTGTTTATAAAAGGCCACCAAGTGATTCTGAAGCATGGTCAGGTTTTAGATTCCACTGTGACAGAGTCCTGACCCCCAAACTAGGCTCTAGTTATTATTGTCCCTTCCTTTTTCTGTCTTCTTACTGCGTTTCTTTGGCACAAGTGCCAGTTAGTTTTTTAGATCACTCTAATGCCAGTTTGTTGGAATGGGTAAAAACGTCTTTTATGTCTTCAACCTGTGTTGGCTTTAAGGGAGGTTGTGCCAAGTTGACACCTGGAAGCATCTGGAACACTGGGGTGATGGCTTTATGCTGTAGTGAAAAAAACTTTGGACTGAGGCTCTAGGCCCAGCCAATAACTAACCCCTTTTGTGGTTCTAGGATTTACAATGTCGGATTTTGAGTTACCGCATCTGTAAAATGTGGATAATAATGAGATTCTGTATATTAGTGATTCTCAAAGTGTCCTCCCTGGGCTATGAGTGTTACCTGGAAACTTGTTAAGAATGCAAATTACCAAGCCCTTCCCAAGACCCACCAAATCAGCCTACTCAAGATGGGCTCCAGGTGAGAATCACTCCAGGCAAGAATGCACTCAGGTGATTCTGATGCATCGTTAAGTGAGAGAACCACTGCTCTTTGTTAAGAATGACTGCTGCTTGTCACAGCACTCGAAAGTTCAGGTTCTTAACTGAACTCGATTTTGGCTCTATTACAGCGGTTCTAAAACTTGACCATGCCTCAGAATCACCTGGCAGTCTTGTCTAAACACAGCTTCCTTAGGTCTGGAGTGAAGTCTGAGAATTTGCATTTCTAGGAAGTTACCAGATGAAAAACACTATTCTATTACATACTAACTTTGTGGTCTGGGACAGATTTCCTGCTCTCTGTGACTCAGTTTTCTTGTCTATAAAATAAAGATCATAATAATATCTACCTTATAGACTATTAAGAGAAATAGAATAGGTAATTCATGTAGAGTTCTTAGTGCATTATAGTTTCATAAGCCTTTTCCTTGTTATTAATTAATCTGTAACATGTTTTACAAATACAGACAGTAATTGTGAGAGTTGGATGGCAGAGGACTACAGTGTGTCTGTATTTAAAAATTCTTGTGGTGGTAGAGTACATAAAACATAAAATTTTCCATTTTAACCATTTTAAGCGTAAAATTCAGTGGCATTAATTACACTCATGATGTTGTGTAACTAAAGTTGTCATCCATCTGCAGAACTTTGTCATCTTCCCCAACTGAAACTCTGTTGCCATTAATAACTCCCCATTCTCTTCTCCTCCCAGCTCTGGGTAACCGCTGTTCTACTTTCTGTGTAGGAATTTGCCTATTCTTGAGATTCAGATAAGTAGATTCTTACAATATTTGTCCTTTTATGTCTGGCTTATTTCACTTAGCATAATATTTTTAAGGTTCATTCATTTAGACATATCAAAACTTCATTCTTTATATGGCCGAATAATATTCCATTGTAAGGATATATCACATTTTGTTTCTTGGTTCATCTGTTGATGGACACTTGGGTTGTTTCTATCTTTTAACTCTTGAACGTTGTCTGCAATGAACATTGTTGTACAAATATCTGTCTGAATTTCTGTTTTGGAATATACTTAGGAGTGGAATTGCTGGATCATGTGGTAATTCTATGTTTAGCTTTTTGAGGAACCATCAAATAGTTTTCCACAGTAGCTGAATAAACCATTTTACACTTTCACCAGCAGTATCCAAGAGTTCCCATTTTTCCACATCTTCACCAATACTTGTTACTTTCTGTTTTCTTGATTATAGCCATTCTAGTGGATGTGAAATTGTATTTTGTTGTAGTTTTGATTTGCATTTCCCTAATGGCTAATGAAATGCAGATTGACCATTTATATATCTTCTTTGGAGAAACATCTCTTTAAGTCATTTGCTCATTTTCAAACTGGTTTATCTGTTTGTTGTTGAGTTGTAGAAATTCTTTATATATTCTGGATATTAGACTCTTATCAGATAGTTGATTTGCAAATATGTTGTCTCTTTATGTTTGTTACCTTTTGGGTCTATTTTTAAATACAGTTTTGTTGAGATATAATTGATATTCCATAAACTGCATGTTTAGACAGTTGAATAAGTTTTGACCTGTGAAGCCATCACTATAATCAAGGTAATGAGCATATCCATCATCCCTAGAAGTTTCCTCATGGCCCTTGGTGAGTCTTCCTCCTGTGCTTCCTCTCTCTGTCTATTAATAATAATGATCTAAATACCCTGGAGTTGACACAGAAGCATGATGAAAAGATACCCAGTCTGGGGCTCAAGAGATCAGACCCCAAGGGCCCTGGCTTTCTTTCCAGCAGATGCGTGATTTTGAACCCTGGGACTGCTTCCTCATCTGCACGTGACAGGGTTTGCCTATCAGTGGTTCTCATCCACTCTGGCTGCATATAAGAATATCCATTAGGGGGGCCAGGCGCGGTGGCTCACGCCTGTAATCCCAGCACTTTGGGAGGCCGAGGCAGGCGGATCACGAGGTCTGGAGATCGAGACCATCCTGGCTAACATGGTGAAACCCCGTCTCTACTAAAAATACAAAAAATTAGCCGGGCATGGTGGCAGGCACCTGTAGTCCCAGCTACTTGGGAGGCTGAGGCAGGAGAATGACATGGACCCAGGAGGTGGAGCTTGCAGTGAGCCGAGATCGCACCACTGCACTCCAGCCTGGGCGACGGAGCAAGACTCCGTCTCAAAAAAAAAAAAAAAAGAATACCTATTTGGGAAGCTTTTAAAAAATATTGATGTCTGCCCTAGACCCTTTAGACCAGAGTTACTGGGGGTGGGGTGCTGAAATCTGTGTTTTTAAAAAAACTTTCCCAGTGAATCCAATGCATAGTAAGTTGAAAAGATTTTCAACACAGCCTTCATGTCCCAAATTCCATGATTTCTGTAACACCTTGTATTTTTGATATTGATTTAATTTTATTCTTTCCAAAATGCCACGAGGTGGGTAAGAAAGATATAGCTCATCTAAAGACATGAAAATAAGTATGCAGAGTAGGGAGGATTTGAGGAGATATGAGGTAGAGTGGGGATGAGAAGGTAGCAGGTGTTTTCTGCTATTTCTGTTATTCCCTTTGATTGCTGTTAAACAAGGTGACACCAACCTGCAATGGGAGGCAGCCAGTGGCTGCCAGGTAGGGCCTTCCAGGGTGGGGTTATTATGGACTGGGGCTGGCTTTGCTGGTGTGTGTACCCAGAGATGAACAGATTCTCAGGACTAACTCATTCTAGTCCCAAGGATATTGATATTTAAGATAAAATGCCATCTTATTCATTGCTGGAGTCTGCTCTTATCCAGCTAATGAAAGAATGGCTGTTGCTGTCCTAGACACCCTTCATAGTCTTCATGGCAGCAAAGTATCATCAGCGAGCACAGCTGTAGCCTGAGGGATTACTGGGTGAGTCAGTGAGATGCTTTCGCCTTCTGGTAGGACCCAGTAATAGTGTGAACCATAAGTGAATGGTGGCCTCACACAAGAAGACCCAAGTTGGGCGGCTCTAAAACTGGTCATTCAGCAGCTCCCCTGCATCATCCTACTCCTGGCACTTCCCTTCTCTCTGTTCAGCCATTGCAGGCACATCAGTGGTGCCTCTCTCATGGGCACAAGAAGTCTGCCACAGTTCCAGGCATTGTAAACAGGTGGACAAGTAAGGAAGAGAGGTGCTCCCTCACATGAGTCTCTTTTAAAGAGCAAAAAAATTATATTCCTGAAGCCCCTGGCAGGCTTCTCATTCAGTCCCATTCATCAGGCTTGGGTGGCATGGCTGTTCCTAAACTCATCACTGGCAGGGAGAAGGAGACCAGCATGACTGGCTTAATCCAATCACAGCTGTTGGTTGATGCTGGGAATCATTGGCTTATTCCAATCATGGCTGCCTGCTTCTGGGGTGCGGCCATGTGTGGAGGGTGAACTCCTGAATACAGTTGGGAATATTCCAGTAAGAAAGACACATTGGTGGGTTGGCTGCTCCTTGGGGGAGCATGGATCGGGACTAGGAGGCTGGGTGTTCTTGAGAACAATGTAGTCCGCACCATGGAGAAGCCTCGTGTCCAACTGCTGCGC
The DNA here is from genome assembly GCF_000001405.40 of Homo sapiens. Classification (NCBI taxonomy): domain Eukaryota; kingdom Metazoa; phylum Chordata; class Mammalia; order Primates; family Hominidae; genus Homo; species Homo sapiens. The sequence continues at coordinate 132,528,247 of NC_000007.14, read as the reverse complement.
CTCCTGGGAGTTCACCTTCCTGGTGAGTCAACCACAACTCTCCCTCCCTGGCTGGCATGAGATTAAAAACCAAGCACTCATGCTGCTTACTCTGTTCTCCGAGCCGACCATCCCGAGTTGGTTAATACCTTCTTTATTCAAGCTGTTTAGATTATAGCCTTCTTAAGTTATATTCTTGTCCTGGGGAAGAAACCTTGTCACCCTGATTGGGCTTCACTTCCCTGCTTTTTCAGTGGAGACCTGGGGACACCTTGCCCTTGTAAGGTGGTTTCTGCAGATATCTGGTGCTTCCATGCAGATGTCTTGATTGTTACTAAATTAACTCTCAGAAGGTCACCTTATCTCCTTGTTCCAGGGGCTCTGTTCTCGTGCCTCTGTGTGCAGGCTCTATCAGTTACCTCTCAGGGCTGTTGGAAGATGCTCTTCAGATTGGATCAGGTGGGCACGTGCGTGGAGGTTGAGTCTGGCATGTGGGCAGTATGCTGGCAGGTGGCATGGGGAATAGGTCTGGGCAAATACAAATATGACTGTAATGCAGTCGGGTGTCAATTCAGCTGGGAATACAGGTTATTGGTCCGTTGCCTCATCGATTTTTGCAGGCTGAGCCTTTGCGTCATTGATTTTTCACTTTGGACTGAATCTTGTTAGTCCGTTCACTAGAGGTTGCTTCATTTCTTTCCAATTCTTTTTTTTTTTTTTTTTTTTTTTGAGTCTGTTTCACACTGTGACACATTGTGCTGCCCTTACTCACTGTAGTTTCCTGGGAAAATCTCTACGACGTGGAGAAAGGCATTTAGCCTCTTTAAACTTCACTTTCCTCATCTGCTCAATGGGGATGGTAATTCCTGCCTAAAATGCCTACAAGTTTTGAAGGCAGTTGGGTATCTGGGAGAGTAGCTCCTGAGAGGTGGATGGCAAGATTTTCTCAGTAAGGTAACTCTTACCTTGCTGAGCAAAATAAAACTCAGACTCTAGACTTGGCAATGGAGGAAGAACGTCTACTTGAGGAGGTGCTGAGGTCCTGCAGCCTCAGCTCTTGTCTAAAGATTTCAGTTTCTTCTGCCAGTAACTGCAGCTTTGGCCACATTGGGTCCAGAGAACGGAATGCATCTTCCCAATAATCTACATCCTAAGTTTGGATTTACAACTGTCCATTAACTTCTAAGAGCATGGCTAACATAAGGCTGGACATTTAACAGGATTTAACCCGGGGCCTGGGGGTGATAAAAGTGAAATAAATAGAGACAGTTACTATAACAAGTCAATGGGGTTTCCAAGTTATGGTTTATTTTGCTTCATCAGTGTCTCTTGTAGAGTGGCCCTGTTTAACACCCATTGTGCCACCGTGGGGCAGGGTCTGTCTTTGACCACTAGCCAGACCCTCAAGACCCCTTAAAGTTTAGGCATGAAGACTATGCACCAAAGAGGGATGGGAGGGCCCTGTCCTACCTGTGAAGGTGTGCCATCAGTCCTAGTGACCTATTTGAGAGCCACCTGGATGACTGCCACCATAAATGTTCACCTCCTTCTTGAGAAGCCATGTCCAACCCTCACAAGCATAGCCTTACCCCATAGGGCAGGACAGAAGAGTCATTATCCCCAAATAAAACAGCAGCCCCAACAGGGGCGCCAGGAGTACATGCACTACAGGCAGCAAGGAAGTGAACCATTCAGGCAGGGCACCTTAGAAGTCAAATCAGCAATTTGGGTGTGTGGGTTGGCGGGGCCTTTGAGTCTGGGAATGAGCTAGGAGGGGATGAAACTGAAACCTACACTTTGTTCCGATAGACTCATTTTATCCTTCCTCCTTTCTCTACATTTGTTTTCCTGTCAGATTTCTTATAATCTGAGAAAATTGTGACCTCTCTCATCTGTGCTAAGAGGATCAGGAGAAGGCAGTTGTCACAGGCGTGCAGGCATCTGCCAGGAGATTAACGGGAGGGCTGCTATGTCTCCATGGGGCCATGGTGATGGAGGATGCAATGTGTTCCATGCATGAGCCTTTGGTGGGAAGGGAATATCAAGGAGTGCAGTCTATACCACTCGCACCCGTTGCTTCTCCTCACCTAGAGATTTTCCTTCCAGTACTAAATCTTGAGAGCTTGGGTTTTCTTTTCAATAAGTGAAGCAAATTGCTCTAAGTTTCTCAATTTACTTGACAGGGTTTTTATAAAGACTCAGTGAGAAAATAGATGTGAAAGTGCCTTGAGGAATGGAAACCAACATGCCAGCATTTCCCAAGGTGTGTACCATGGAACAGTGTTCCCAGAGGTCATAATAGGGTTTAAGCAAGAAAAACTTCCTTGGTCAAACAAGTTTGAGAAACCCTGTTTCACAAACCTTCCATGGGTTTGCTTATCAAAGCACCACCTCTGAGGACTTTTAGTGAGCTGACATGCATCATGGCTCCCCAGGAGGGTGATGCAGTGTTGCTCATACTTGCTTAATAGGGGACCCTTTCAGGGCAGAGCCTTGGGAGGGACTGGTGTTCTTCTCAGTGCTATATTATTATAATCCTGTGGGTCTGGAGATGCAGGTTGGTGAAAGGGACATGTTTTCACCCAAAAAGGCTTGACAGGCATTTGTTCACAAGTTTTCTCTAGGTCTTCCCTTTCTCACCTGTGTCCATGAACTGGCAACTGTAAACCAGAGTTACTTAAAACCCAGAAGTTTCTGGTGCCCCCCACAAAATGGATCTTTATTAAAAACCATCTTTCATGCCTGTAATCCCAGCATTTTGTGAGACTGAGGTGGGAGGATTGTTGGAGTCCAGGAATTTGAGACCAGCCTGGGCAATATACTGAGAATCAACTCTACAAAAATTTTAAAAATTAGCCTGGTGTAGCAGCCTGTGCATGCTGTCCCAGCTACCCAGAAGGCTGAGGTGGGAGGATTGTTTGAGTCCAAGTGTTAGAGGCTGCAGTGAGCCGTGATTATGCCACTGCATGCCAGCCTCGGTGACAGCGAGACCGAGTCTCTCAAAAACAAAACAAAAAGACACCATGTTGTCTACATGTTACCACATGAATGAACCTTGAGGACATTAAGCTAGGTGAAAGCAGCTAGACACAAAGGAAAAATACTAAATGATCCCACTCATATGAGATACCTAGGATAGTTAAATTCATAGACATAGAATGTAGAATGGAGGTTGTCAGGGGCAGGGGGTGAGGGGATGGAGAGTTGGTATTTGATGGGTACAGGGTTTCAGTTTGGGCAGATGAAATGGCTCTGGATGGCAGTGATGGTTGCACCATGACATGGGTATACTTAATGTCACTGAACTGTACGCTTAAAAGTTGTGAAGATTGTAACTTTTATGTAATGTATATTTTATCACGAGTTTTAAACATGTTAATATGTTTTTTTTGAAAAAAGTCTTGCCAGGCACAATGGCTCATGCCTGTAATCCCAGGACTTTGGGAGGCCGAGGCGGGTGGATCACGAGGTCAGGAGATCGATACCATCCTGGCTAACACAGTGAAACCCCGTCTCTACTAAAAATATAAAAAATTAGCTGGGCGTGGTGATGGGCACCGAGCTACTCAGGAGGCTGAGGCAGGAGAATGGCATGAACCCGGGAGGCAGAGGTTGTAGTGAGCCGAGATCATGCCACTGCACTCCAGCCTGGGTGACAGAGTGAGACTCCATCTCAACAACAACAAAAAAAAGTCTTGCTCTTAGTGTGAGTTATTTTGATTTCAGCCTAATTTCCTTCAGGCTGGCCTTTAGCCCTTCACTGTTTTATATAATGGGGAACCCAGGGCACTCTTTATGACTTGAGAGAAGAGAGGGCTCCTTGCTAAGAAGTATATGATCAATGCTGTTTCCCCTTTTCCATTTTCAATCCTTTAATGTTATTAACTTTGGTTGGGAATTTGTGAAGTTTATAAAGTAGCCTGTACTGCATAAGCATCAGTAATTTCCCTTTGGTAAAATCAAGTTTTGCTGTGGTAGTTCTTCCTTCACAAAAAAATAAGCATCAAATTCTAGGTTCCTAAGTAAAATTCTTTCATTGACATCCCGTTCTTCCAGCCAAGGACCCTTGGTACAATCTCTGCATCTACCCAGGGGCCGTCACAGTTACAAGGCCCCCATCTCTATGGGGCTTTTTGCAGGGTTAGGTTGATATCTTAGCCTCACTTCGTTGTAGTTATTGAGAATCAGCTTGTCTTCCAGAGAATAAGGATGACATTAGCATCCTCCTAGGAGCATTTACATGAGATGCCTTCCGCAGAACACACAGTGTGGTTCTCTGTGAGTCACCTCCCTTGATTGTTCTCTTGAGCATCAACCTGGGCCAGGTGGGCCCTCTAGACAACCTCACCTTTGACATCCTAAAAAGAACTCTTGCCTTCTCTGCTCCACTGCCCTGATTTCCCCATATCAGTTAAATGGTACCAGCACCCACCCAGATCCTCAATCCAAAAATCAAGGAGGTGTGACTAAGTCCCTCTCTTCCGCCCCCCTTGTTTCCACATCACCAGCAACCCCTGCTGGAGCAACCAGTCTCGCTTTCTGACACTGTCACCTGAGTCAGGCTGCTGTCACTCCTCAGTGAACTCCTCTTCCACCCAAAAACCATTCTCTACACAGCAGCCAGACTGAGCTTGCTAGCCATAGACCCTGACCATGTCATTCCCTTGCTTAGAAGTTTTTCATGGCTTTTCCTGCCATTTGGAATATACCCTCCGGCATCTGCTGTCTCTCTTCTCTCCCACCCCATCACCCATCCTTCCGTGCTCTTCTGGGCCTTCCAGCCCGTCGGCCTTCTGCCTTTTCCTTGCCAAGTCTGCTTCAGTGTCTTTGCATTTACATTTCCTTTGGCCTAGAAAGCTCCTCTCCCAAATCTTTGCATGGCTGGCTCCCCCTGGCCATTCAGTCCCCCTGCAAGTGTCACCTCAGAGATACAAACCATGGCTATTCCAACTAGAGAAGCCAGGGTTGGTCTCTCTGAGGTCACGCTTGCAACAGTTATCTTGTAGCAAATGACTTTGCTTCTTTTTTCTTTTAGGTCTTAACACTATCTGAAAATAGTTATTTTTCTTGTTTATTGTGTATCCTCCCTATTAAATGTAAACTCTGTGAGACCAAAAACCTTGTTGTCTTACTCATTGCTGCACCCCCAGAATGTAGGTTCCCGGTGTAGAGTCTAGGGAGCTGAATAAGTGTTGGTGAACGAATGCATGAAGACATGGGCCATCTTCCCTGCCTGCTGGTTAGTTTCTTCTGACAAGCCCTTGGCCCCCGAGAGCTTGCCCAATGGTGCCACCTCCTTGAGCTCCATTGTGCACAAGTTTTCAAGGCCTATCAAGGTGACAGGCCAGAACAAGTCAGAAGGCTTTTCTCTCTTCCCAGTTAACATCTGTGCATTTATCATGGGCCTTCTAGACAAATTTCCCTTCCCACTTTTGCTATACAATCCCCAGTGATGACTCTGGTGAGTGGCTTTGGGGTTTGTTTATTTATTTATTTTGAGCCAGAGTCTTCCTCTGCCACCCAGGCTGGAGTGCAGTGGCACAATCTCAGCTTGCTGCAACCTCTGCCTCCTAGGCACAAGTGATCTTCCTGCCTTAGCCTCCTGAGTAGCTGGAAATGCAGGTATGTGCCACCATGCCTGGCTAATTTTTGTATTTTTTGTAGAAATGGGGCTTCACCAAATTGCCCAGGCTAATCTCGAACTCCTGGGCTCAAGCAGCAGTCTGCCTGCCTTGGCATCCTAAAGTGCTGGGATTACAGGCGTGAGTCAACACACCCAGCCAGCTTTGGAGTTTATTAGGAAAGTATTGGATCAACTGAAGATCTGAGGCATAGAGAGAGGAAAGGCATGACTTTGGGAAAGTTAATGAGATTCTCTGACATCCAAAGTCATGCCTCAGCAATAATCCTAATGGGTTGGGTTGGGGTGGTCATATATGTTTGGAGCCATGAGTGGCTTATTGCCTATGAAGGAGCTTAGAGAAGGCAAAGCATTCCACCAATGAGAGGTGGTGATGGTTGTGTTTATGATGGAGTTTTGGGTGGCATAAGAGTAGGAGGGCAGTGGGAGCTGGCAGGTGTTGTCCCCTCTGCATGGAGCATGCTGTGTCTGTGTCCGTGGAACTGATCCACAGAGTGGATTCAGAAGAGCTGCTGAGTCTACTGAAAGGCCTCCTGGGTCTTGCAGTGGATCTGACCCTTTATCACACCCCAGTCCACCTCATGGCCTCTCTTTCCCCATGGACACAGCTTCTGAGCAGGTCCTGAAAGGGGGATGTCAGTAGCATCCAACATGAATCTCCCCTCTGCCAGGCCCTGCCCTGGGCCCTCTACCAACATGCTCCTTTCTGTATTCCTGTCACCTGAAAAAGGAAGAGGGCATGACCAAGTCATAGGGGTGCCAGGGGAGGGAATCTGTTATGTCAGCAGCCCTGGCAAGTTAGGACCTGGTGTTGATTTCAGAGGTAGAGGTCGGCTTGTTGAGGACACATCTACTTTACAGTCATGGGCACCTGAGAGGATGGAGTCCCCGGTGCTTCACCCTTCTGTGCCCGGTTTTGTGAAGTTGGGGAGGAAGGGGATGAGACTTCCTGTTCCTTGCCCAGGTGTTGCTGGCACAAACACAGAGATAGGGTGAGGTTTCATCACAGTCCAGGGGTCAGGGGAAAAAGAGCTGGGAGATGAGGATGTGTTAGTTAATTTGGAATCATTGCCAGAAACTGCACATCTTCTTGGCCATTTGACTTGCAGGTGTGTGCCCAATGGGAAAGGCAGGATGACTCGGAGACTGGGACCCAAATCCTTAAAGCACGTGTTAATTCTTGGGAGTAAGGAATGAGTGGGACCAAAACAACCTCCTTATGATGTATGACATGTTCTTCTGGCATGTACACTATATATTACACTTGTTACTTGATCTATACTAAATATTTCTTAAATTTAGTGTTGTCATGGTGATAGAGATTATTTCCAAACTTTATGTCCTAAAATCCTCTATTCTGCTACCCCCTTACATATTCTCAGGTAGTAGTGCCTGGCCCCAAAACTTTGTTGCCGTCATTCTGAATTTTTTTTTTTTTTTTTTTTTTTTCAAGGAGCAAATATATCTCCGTTCAGCTTCCGGCTGCAGTGGAGATTTCTGCCAAGATTTTCAGCACACAGCTGAAATATGTTTTGTATTTTATGAGCTTTGGCTCATCGTGGAATTAAATAGCACTAATTACATGAATATAGACCAGCAAGGGAGACAACTGTTCACTTCCTGATTTTTCGGGGAATTGAGAAAGAAGAGAGGGGGTAGAGGGACAAAAGGGGCCTGGAGTGAGGCACTCCCACTAGATGTTGGTGACAACAGAAGCCCTGCCATTTGGCTGAGTGAGCCCCAAATAGCCTGCTCCCCCACAGTGCCAATGTTTGGTGGGATTATGGGCTTCCTCGAGTGAAGACTCTGTGGGGCCAGAAGGTGGGTGGCTGAGCTGTTGGGGCAGCTGTGACAGGGGCTGGTGGGGGTGGTCAGGCTTTTAGGAGTGGAGGGGCGGCCGGACAGATGCTGAGGTCCAAGGATCTGAGTGTATGGACTCTCGGCTTGGTTTTTCCAAAACCTTGCATGTATTATCATTTCTAGGCCCACTGACTGTTTTTACAGTTAGAAAAGTCTAGCTAGAGATTTCACACCAGTCTGCAGAAGGGAATATTTCCATTTCTTTTTCTTACTTGCTACATGTAGGAAATGAAATGGGTCAGATCATGCTGGCAGAGTCAACCTGTCGAGGGGTCTAAATTAAGCCCTTGGGTGGGTGGGGCAGTTTCAATGCTTGGAGGCCTCCTGCTGGCCTCCTGCTGCGGACCCAGGTCCTCAGAGGCCGGAAGAAGCAAAGGCCTTTCCCAGAAAGATCAACTTGCTTGTCAGGCTCAGTGAAATGGACCAACACCTGAGCTGTTAAGAATGTGCTTGGTCCTTTTTATCTAAGGGAGAAAATAGACTCCAAAGAGTGTGACTTACATCCACTTAACAGATGAGTATCCTGAGTTCTCTGAGGGCAGACTGTGGAATTCAACCCTGGCAGGCATTCCTGAGGCTCTCCACAATCTAGATTCAGGCAGCTAAAAAGGCAACTTAAGCAAAGATGCAAAGAGTCTTTGGAGAGAAACTTCAGCACCAGCTTTTTGTCACCCAGTGAACACCACCCCTGGGTGTTGTAATCATCACATCACGTGGCTCTGCCCTGCACCTCCACAAAGGCTGTTTGTGGAAACTTCCCAACCTCAATGATAGCCTGTGTTCTGTGAAGCCTACAACATTTCACTCTCACTTCTGGATTTAGCACAAGAAGAAACTGGGTGATCTCTCTTCCCCATCCTATTTCCAGAAACGCCATTTTACAGATGGGGAAACTGAGGCAACAAGAAAGAAAGGCTGTCACTTAGCAGGACGTGTCTGGTTAGAATGACCTGATGCCAATAGTATCCTTGGCCATGGCAATTCTGAGAGGAGGCTTTTATGGGTGACACTGGCTGATGCATGACTGGCTGTGAGCCAAAAACATCCCACTTCTTCCCTTTACCATGAAAGGAGAGCAAGGAGCTCATTTGGGTGAAGACCACTGAATGTGGCTTTGCCTACTGGGGCCAGGCCAGAGCAGCTAGAGAGGCTACAGGGAGTGTAGGTTAGAGTGGCAGGCAGGGATGCAGTGAGCCTCCTCTCCTGGTGAAAATGTCAGCTGGACAAGCCTCAGGCCACATGCACGAGACAGGGATTACTGGAGAGGTGACTATCCCCAGCCTGTGGTGACCCCCAAGCCCCTTTTCTGTGGTTCCCAAGGTCCACTCAGGTCTTGGGGCAGCAGACGTGACAGCAAGTCTCCCTTTGCTACAGCTTAGCAACTTCCCATGGTGTCCCCCCATTTCTGTGCACTCAGAGGCCATTGGGTCCCCTTTGAAGACCAGGAGCCAGTACCCCTGGACAGACCCTGGATAGAGTGTTCCTCATGGACTGGGTAGGAGACAGTGGCCACATAGGTGCCAGCCTGTGCCATTTTGCAGAGCAGGTCTTGACACCAACTCCAGCTGGGGCATCTGACTCCAAATTCCTGGCTGGCCTGTTTCTTTAAGTGAGATGCTGGAAAGAAGTTTAGGATTCTATCCTCCCCAAGCCAGGATCCTATTGAGAGTGCTGTGTTTTTAAAGCCTTGCTGCCACACTTGGAGTAAAGAAAGCCATTGCCTAGTGACTGTCCCAAGGCACAGTGCCTGGAATCTCAAGGCGATCTCCACGTGGTAATGGAGAGTTTCACATGGGGCTGCCTGGGCCTCGGCTGGAGCTCCTGCTCGACTCTACTGGGAACGGCAGACTTGGCCAGGGAGACGTGGTTTTGTACCCTGAGGGAACACCCTCCAGGCCAAGGACAAGGAGGCCTGGGGGAGGGAAAGGAAGGAGGGCGTGGAAACCATGTATAAACATCTCAGAGGTCCGGCTGGGACATGATCTCTGAATGGAGAGGCTCACAGGCTCAGCCTCCTGCAGAGGCTTCTTCCAGGCTGGGTCCAAAGGCTCTGTCCATGGTAATCACTTCTCCTCATCCCCTTTTAATAAACTAGGAAGTAAGGATGAAGGGAGCCCCGCGTAGCTGAGCTTGGTGCTGGATTTCCCTGGGACCGGGCTGGTTGCCTGGTGGCGCCAAGACTCTACATCAGTGCCTGGCCCTCCATCGCTCCCTCTTCCCCATCTTTTATACTTTTCTCCAGCCCTCCCACCAGTCATCAATTTCACAGTTCCCATCTCTCAGAAGAGAAGCAGAGGCAGAGGGAAGCACACCGGAAGGAGGGCTCCCATGGCCCCTGCTGGACTGCTGCTTTCTGGACTAAGGCTGTGTTGTGGCTGAGCTGACCCCACCAGGCCCCACCCACACTGAGACTGCCCAAAGCCAGCAGTGACCTTCTCTTGGGAAGACAGTTGCTTTGACTTGACTTTTCCCCCTAGTGGTAGTGATGGGTTTTGCTGTGTCAACCCTACCCTCTGGCTCTTTCCTTTGATGAATGTGACACTCATTTCTGAGATAGCTAGCAACAAGGGGCAAGGGGACAGTGAAGGCCGGGACGAATGGAGCTGCAGTGAGGTGGCCAAGTACATGGGGTCAGTTGTCTGTCATGGGCCCCAGACTGTAGCGAGCTGCATGATTGGGCCCTAGATGGGTGTAAATAGAATTCTCCAGGGAAAGTTGTAAAATAATTCATGGCTCCCACTTCTAGAAACCAAGAGTTTAAAGTAAAAAAAATACAGACATGAAAAAATACTGACCTTACTGAAGACGCTATGTTGAATGCACGGATTACAAATTGGAGTAGAAATCTACAAATAGCATGTGTCCATTTTGTTTGCATGGATCAATAAGTGTTTGAAGTTTCTTAGATGAAATGGAAATGAGGCCTGTTGCTGCTCCCCAACTCCCTCACTGCCCTCAGCTGCACACACACTTACCTCCCTGAGCCCCAAACTTGGAAATGGCCATTGAGCAGGAAGATTTCTCTATCCTGTATATGTTAGCTTGGCCATCTCCTCTATCTCTGGGCTTACCCACTTGCAATCTGGCTTTGGAAACAAGGGAGGGGGCTGCTGACATCTAAAGAGAACTCTTCCTAGGGCCAGAGCCTGATGCACCACAAAGAACAGAGGCCTGGAGCCCCCCAGCATTACGTTTGAATCCCAGCTCTGAGATGCAGTGAGCTTGCTGTGTTTCTGCCTGTGAGTTAGGGTGAGGTTAACTGTTGTCACACACAAATCCACAGTTTCAGTATTATCACAGTAAAGGTTTCTTTCTTGTCTGATGTTCCTGGTGGGTGCACGAATCTTTCATCTTGAGGCTCCACCATCCTATAGGGCCTCAGGGTCCTCTTTATCCAGCTGGGTGGTGAAAGAAACCGTAGAGAAAACACACTTATTTCTTCCCTGCTTTGGCATGGAAATGTCACCATGACCTTGCTATTCACACAGTCACACCTGGATACCATGTGGAAATGGAGAGGCTGGGAAATGTCATCCATCGCTGATGGCCACCTCTCACTGACTTCATACCAGCAGCCTCACGCATAGGGAAGCGCATGTTATTTGTGAAAAGTTAGCTTCCTCTTCCCAATCCACCTGCACAATTGAGATTAAATGACCTGTTGTACAGTGTTGTAGGAAGTTCTGGGTTTCTAATAGAGGCTGGGAAGGGGAGGATCTGCAGAGCTTGCCAGTGGGACAGCTAGAGGGGCCTCTAGAAGACCCTCAGCCCCTGGAGAGCAGGGACACTGGTTTTGTTTGTTTGTTTGTTTGAGGTAGAGTCTTGCTCTGTCACCCAGGTTGGAGTGCAGTGGCACAATCTCGGCTCACCGCTGCAACCTCTGCCTCCTGAGCTCAAGTGATTCTCCTGCCTCAGCCTCCCGAGTAGCTGGGACTACAGGCATGTGCCACCATGCCCAGCTAATTGTTTTTTAGTAGAGACAGGGTTTCACTATATTGGCTAGGCTGGTCTCAAACTCCTGACCTCAAGTGATCCACCTGCCTCGGCCTTCCAAAGTGCTAGGATTACAGGCATGAGTCACCACTCCTGGCAGGGACACTGTTTTTTGCTCTGGAATGTATCTATCCTTTGCACCCAGCCCAGAACTCATCATGTGGTATGTGCTCCATCAATAGTCGTTGGCTGAATACAGGAGTGCATGCTGACTTCTAGCAACTGGCATCTCCTGCATTGTGGCTGTTTTCTGTTGTTGTCTGTTTTCCATGCTGCAATTTTATTTTCAGGCTCAGCTTCTTCTGTTCAACCAGGTCCATACTGATTTCCTTTGCTGCATAGGATGGTGGTTCTCAAAGTCCAATTTGCTAACACAAGACAGCTTTTTATGATATTCCAGCTGGTGGACCGGTTGGTCTCCATGTAAATCATATACGAAAGACGTAGTTTCTCTGATGCATTTGAACTCATGTCCTAATAAAAATTAAAAAAGAGCTTTACCTTTAAATACAAATAAATAAATAAATAAATAAATAAATAAATAAATAAATAAAAGGACAAAATGGAGTATTTTAAGTATTTATAAACCCTGGTTTAGAACAGGGTACAACCAGTTTTTTAGGTTGGTCCCTGTTTGAATTGACTGGCTCAAAGATTTACTTGAAGCACCAAGATTTACTTTGTACTTCAGCTGTACATGATACCCACTGCCATCTCATATACTCTGCTATGGAGCATTCATTCATTCATTCATTCACGTGTTTCCAAACATCTATTATACACCTACTGTGTTTCAGGCTCTGAGCTTGGAACTGGAGAAAAGAGGGGCAATATATAATCCTTGTCCTCAAGGAGCTCATATTTTTATGCTAGGAGACAGCATCAATGGACAAATATAACAGAGTTTGTAAAATGTGAGACTCTGGTGGCACTGGTTCCTGCACTAATATATAGTAGGGGCATCTTAGACCAGTGGCTTGATCAGAGAAGGTTTCATTTGAACAATGAGTCTAACTCAGGGCCCGGAAGCATGAATTGGTGAAGACTTCCCAAGAGCTCTGCTGGTGCAGCTCCTAAGGCAAATGCTCAGCAGATAGGGAAGTGTTGTGTTTGATTCTGAAAGTTGGTACATACACGTGCACACACGTTCGAACATCACCTGGGATTGTGCCTCGCTATCTGTAAAACCATAGTTTATCTCTGTGGGCAGTGGAAGGCACAGATCTGTTTGGCTTGCTCACTTGATCCCATGGAAAAATAGTGTATTAGAGAGGTTGTGGTGGGAGACACTGTACTCTTTGGGATTTTTCTGTGTATAGGTTAGGATCCTTACATCAGCAAGTGCCAGAAAACCGAACCCAAACTGGCTTCTGCAAAAGGGGAAAAATTTTTTTTGACTTGCGTAACCGGAAAGTACAGGCATAGAGCTGGCTTCAGTGGACACAATTGAGACATTTATAGGATGTCGCCAGGCCTGGGACCCAGTACTCTCTATCCTTTGGCTTAGTTCTGCTCTTCTCAGTACTTTGGCTTCATTCTTCCAGGCTCCTGTCCCCTGCTCTCACCCCTGTGATTACAAGATGGCACTAGCGGTTCTTAGGCCCTTGCCTCTCCAAGGTTACATCTGGTGGAAGAGCTAGAACTTTCTCCCCTAGTATCCCTATCCAAAGCCTGTTGCTTGTCGGAGACCTGATTTAACCAGTTTCTCATTCCTGATCCAATCACTATGCCCTCCCGACCCCCGTTCTGTGCTGAGTGGCTCAGGCTTTGAACCAGAGGTGGAGTCAATTCCAGCAGAAGTGTTTGGGCAAAGGCACAGATGCCCAGAGGATAAATGAATGACAGCAAAAACAACAGGTATGCACCGTCTCTGAAAGTGTGTTTCAAATTTTTTTGACCATGACTATATTAGTTGGGCTTCTTCAAAGAAAACAGAACCAAGAGGATGTGTGTGTGTGTGTGTGTGTGTGTGCATAGAGACACAGAGATTGATTTAAGGAATTGGCTCACACAATTTTGGAGGCACCAAGTTCAAAACCTGTAGGGTAGGCTTGTAGATGGGAGACTTAGAGAAGAGCCAATATTGTACCCAAGTCCAAAGGCCATCTGCTGGTGGAGTTCCCTCTTGCTCAGAGGAGGCCAGTCTTTTGTTCTATTCATGACCTTCAACTGATTACATGAGGCCCACCCACATTATAGAGGGCAGTCTGCTTTACTCAAAGCAGACTGATTTAAATGTTAATCTTATCCCAAGACACCCTCCCAGAAACTTCCAGAATAATGTTTGACCAACTATCTGGGCACCGTGGCCCAGCCAAGTTGACAAATAAAATTAACCATCCCAGGGACCCAGTTACATCACACATATTTACATCACATTCAATATGTAGTTTGCTATATAGTGGGTAAAACAAAAGTCTCACCGGCCAGGCACAGTGGCTCATGCCTGTAATCCCAGCACTTTGGGAGGCCGAGGCGGGCGGATCATGAGGTCAGGAGATCGAGACCATCCTGGCTAACATGGTGAAACCCCGTCTCTACTAAAAATACAAAAAATTAGCCAAGCATGGTGGCGGGCGCCTGTAGTCCTAGCTACTGGGGAGGCTGAGGTAGGAGAATGGCATGAACCCAGGAGGCAGAGCTTGCAGTGAGCTGAGATCACACCACTGCACTCTAGCCTGGGCAACAGAGTGAGACTCTGTCTCAAAAAAAAAAAAAGTCTCACCAAACAGTGCTTATCTTTTCTATGTGACATACTAGTATTTTCCCTTCTATTTTATTTCATTAAGAAGAGTACCTGGCCAGGTACAGTGGCTCATGCCCATAATCCCAGCACTTTGGGAGGCTGAGGCAGGCAGATCACTTGAAGTCAGGACTTCAAGACTAGCCTGACCCAACATGGTGAAACCCCATCTCTACTAAAAGTACAAAAATTAGCCAGGCATGGTGGTGGGCACCTGTAATCCTAGCTACTTGGGAGGCTGAGGCAGGAGAATCACTTGAACCCCTGGGAGGTGGAAGTTGCAGTGAGCCTAGATTGTGCCACTGCACTCTAGCCTGGGTGACAGATGGTGACTCCATCTCAAAAACAAAACAAAACAAAACAAAACAAAAACTAAAACAAAAAACACCTGTGACTCACCTAATTCATGGTGTGTTGTGACGTGAATTTTGAAATGCCATCTTAGGGCACATTTTCTGAGAATCCTATTACCCCATAATAAAAGGTCTGAGGACCAGGACTCTGTCCAAGGGGCCAGGGAATATATTGTGAATAACTGAGTGAGGCCTGAAGAGCTCAGCTCTCCAATGCCCAACGTGACTATGTGTGACCTTAGCCAAGAGCTGTACCTGTTCATGCCTTGGTTTCCTTATCTTTAAAGAAGGCATACTTATAAATACCTCATCTACCTAACAGGGTTGTCATGAACAAGAAATTCAGAACAAGGTAATATCCATGAAAACACTTTGTAAACTCTAAAGTAATTTCACAGGGTAATTGCTATTTTAAACGACTCTATAATAACTTTCCTCTCTACCACTCAGGAATCTGAGAGGATGGTGCTATTTCATGAAAATTAGTTTCAGTTCTTTGAAACTTGCTGCCTAAAACAAAGACAACCCCAATTTCTTTAATCAAAATGATGATCAGCTTCTATAAATGAGTCCCATCTCCCCTGAGACTACTCAAAATTAAAATCTGATTTCAAAGAAGGGAAAACTGTAGCATGTTTGAGTTGGGTTACGGGGTCTTTCAGTTCTCCTGCCTTCTTACCCACTCTACGTAGTTCGATGAATCCTTTGGGGCAATCGTGAAGGTTATTTGGTCCCATTACTTGCCTTTAAGAATCAGAGTTGGGCTGAATGTAATTTCTAATACTTGGTTTTGAAACTAGCTAAATGGTGACTTGAGAGCGAAATGGTGGGTAGGCTCTGATATTGGGGTGGGGGTTTCCTAGGTTGGGGTTACCGCTTACAAGAATTGACATCCTGGAAGGGAAACCCCCCTGGAAACTCTTGCTTTGCCAGATTGGAGCAGCCTTAGACAGCTCAGGGAGACAGGGGGCTGGTGGCTCTGCATATCTGTGGGTCCCAAGCTCGGCGGGGTGTCACCTCTGTGGTGGTTCCTGGTGGGGTCTTTGGTGAGGCAAGCTGGAGCTCACATCCTTATTTTCCCCTTTTCTCTTCCATTTCTCTCTTATTTGTTTCCTAATCAGTCCCTTTCTTAGTGTGTAAAATGAAAGGCTGGTTATTCCCAGTACATGTTATTGTTTCTGTGGGCCCCCCTCCTCTCTGGGTGTAGTAATCTCACCATCCCCAGATGAGGGTGATAAGTGTTTGAGATGCATAACTGTGTCTCCTTTCAGTGCCTAATAGAAGATGCAGAATGAGCCATGGCACCTTTCTGCTCAGTAAATTCGTAATTATAGGATTCTTCATCTCACCTCTTGCAGACTAGAGAGCTGCTGATTGGCCATGGATCCATGTGTATGTACAGTAAGGCAGGTCGTGGGGTAGGCACACATTCCCCAGCATACGGCAGGTTGTGATACAGAGACTGTGCGAAGTTCTCTCCTCAGAAAAGTTGGTGGCGGAGCCCCGACCTGCACCTGCCTGTCTGGAAGGGGGATTATCAGCCCTGCTGGAATTTGGTTGTTGGCAGAGACGTTTTGAGGGCCCTGTTAGCCGGCAGAGCATATGGTGCCCAAAGAGCAGTCTCTTTCAGACAAAGGCTGGAAGCAGCTGCTGGAGTGAATTCACATAAAGTCAGAAGAGAGGCCGGGGTGGTGGAAAGAGCATGGGATGGACAGTGTGAGACCCAGTCTTACACTGTCTTCAACTCAATGTGTGACCTCTTGCAATTTCATCTGACCTCTTGGATTTCAACTTCCTTGTCTCTAAAATCAGGGATTGGGAATCACTAAGCTGGATTATCTCTTTTAGATCAAAAACTTATAGATTCTTCTTTGATATTTGAATTTGCACAAGCAATTCAAGGTGAACCATCTTGACTCTTCATCACTCATCTTGAGATGTACCACCAGGAACCATCTCATTATCATAATCCTAATCTTTCTAATCCTATTTTAATCTTGCTAACGATAACAACGACAGCAACTATCATTTCCTAAGCACTTAACTGTGCTAGGCAGAGGCTCTGTGCAGCTGCTGCTTTACAGTCATTAATACTTTCAGAGGTAAACCACAGAACTCACCTGATCGGTGTTATCTACCAGCTTAGCCCCTGAAGGTCAGAGAGGACTTTGTTTTTCTCATGATACTGGTAGGTGATATCCCAGGATTTCTGTTTGGGGCTTACATGAGTTAACAAGGGCTTCTAAGTGCTCTATCTTCTGGGCTCTGGAAATGTGCATTTCTAGAAAAGTATGGATTTTGCATTGATTGAAACCTGGACTTCAAACCCAGTTCTGCTACATCTTAACCAGTGTCCTTGCAGAGCTAAAGTTTCCTCACCTGAAATAGGAATAAGACAATTCTGATCCCAGGGAACAGTGGTGAGGATTATGTGAGCCAAGCTATGTGAAAGTATTTGCATGGGCTCTGGGGTGCAGTAAATACTCCACAGATATTGGTATTCGTCTATGCTTCCAGCCCCTCTTTCTGCCAGTCAAGAAACAGTTGTTGAGCCTCCTCTATATGTGCAGCTGTGAATGTGTTGACGAGCAAGACAGACCCAGCCCTGCCCTGTGGAGTTCACAGACCCTCAGCTCCAAACTCTCCTTCTGCAAAGGCTAAGGCTAAATGGAAAGGGAGAGGCTCCTCTCTGGGGGCCTTTGCTCTTTTCCTCTACAATTTCATTTCTGTCTTCAACACTGTGCATTTCAGTCTCAACTTCCCAGTGACATCCTGGCAAGGCTGAAGCTCTCTCTTTTCAGCCTCATCTTCCACCTGATTCATTCATGAACTATGTTCTCCAGACGTACTCTTCCTTGTACACACCCTCATGTGATATGCCCATGCTTCTGCTATGTAGACCCCTCCCCTAGAAGGTCTTTCCCTTCGTGCTCTGACTGTCTTCTTGAAGTTCACAGCTCAGCCCAAATTCCATGCCCTCCCCAAGGCCTCCTGCAGCCTGCTCCTTGCCCTCTCTCACCCTAAGTTAGAAGTCTTCCTCCTCCTAGGAACTTTCAAAGCACTCTCTTGTATGCCATGTGACTTTTTGTCGTGCGTATCAGTTCAGGTTCTGGTGGTATCGGCCTGATTTGACTACGCATTCGTTGAGGATCTGCTCCTTGGGCCCCACAGTGTCTTGCACATTTTGTGTGTGTTCTGAGCAAACATTTGCCACATGGGTGAATGAATGAAGGCCCTTGGCTTTCAGCACTGCTCTTGGTTGTGGTGTGTTCCACTAACCAGTCTTCCTCCTCTGATATTGACTGGAGAAGGCCTGTGCTTTTCATTAGGATGCTGGCTGACAATGCAAAGTCTTTATTTGGTTTTCTTCCTTCTTCTCTTGGTTTCCATCTGACCTAGCGTTTGCTCCCTGCTGGGGAATTTTCCATTGCTTAGTGATCTACCTCTTCTCATTCTCTACTTTTGAGGTGTTTGGGGGTGAATGAGAAAAATTCCACAGAGCTGAGATGCCCCCAGATAGGATGTTGGCAATTCCTGCCCTGAATTCTCTCGAACTGGAAGAAACATAAAGCTGTCCAATGGGAACACATGCAGGAAGCACCTTGAATAGAAAGAGACCCTCAGGATGGGGAGTGATCTTGTTCCTCGGGGAGTTTTGTATTTATTTGTTTATTTATTTGCTTGACTGCTTCTTAAAGCATTTTTTCTCTCCCTTTAATGAAAACCTCTCAGAGGAGGCCCTGCTAGGGGAGGAAGCCAAGATCTGCCTTGTTAAAATAACATTAGGGCTCAGGGTTGGGCAGTGAACCCAGAGGACCTGGTTGCAGCTGCAGTGTGACGAGATTGAGGATGTGGGTTTTTAATTTGGCCTCTTCATCCAGCAGAGGAGGCACAGAGGAAAGTTTCTCCTGCAGTAGTAGGTACAGACACAGAGAACTGGAGGTAGTGGCTGTAATGGACAGCCCCGAGAAGGGATCAACCTTAATTCTTCTGCTGCATGGGACAGGGACCACGGTACAGCCCCAACTGTGCAAGGTTGGGGTGAACTGAGATGGTTTAGCAGTTAAGATTGCGAACCTGTGCACATTTACACTACTCATATTTGGAGCTACCTCTACCACTTATAGCTATGCAAGTTACATGACTTCCCTAAGCTTGCTTTCCTTAGCTATAAAATGTGGCTACAATAGGATGTACTTCGGAGGTCTACCAATCAGGGTCCCAGCAGGTAATAGACAGCACATACAAATTTGGTCCTTTGAGAAAAGGTTAATAAAGGGGCTATTCATAAAAGTGTGGCTCTTTAAGGGGCAATGTAGTATGGGTGGATAGTAATAGTGAGGTCTCTGTTACCACCTCTACGGCCAGATGGGGTCCAGCAGGAGGTGGTTCACAGAGCCTGGAGACGGAGAAACTGTGTGCAGAGGCCTGCTGTGGGGAACACCGGACAAAGCTTGCAGCCAGTGCAGGCAGCCCCGCCTCCTGCCCTTCCTCCCTCCCTCCCTCCCTCCCTCCCTCTTCTCCTCCAGCCAGTCTTTGCGGATGCTGCCTGCTGGTGGCACCTGACCCGGGTGACAGTGCTGGACAGTGTCTGACACAAATTCAGGCACTCAGTAGATAATGGCTGTTAATCATGATCATCATCATCATCACTGCTATTATCATGTCATTATCATCACCACCATTATCGTTACTGATGTGTCCTCCTGGGGCTGCTGCCACCCGGCTCTGACTGTGTCACATGCCCGTGGTGGGGGTTGACTCAGTCAGCCTCCAGCACCCCCCAGTGCAGTTCTGCTCAGTGTGTGCAGAACATTTTGAAAGTCCAGGCAGACAAGCTGTGGGGTGAAATGAAGCCACTGGCATTGTTATCCAGCTCATTGTCTTCCCTTTCTCCAGTAGGGGAGACTGCATTGCTGAGTCCTGGCCCTCTGAGGGGACGACTGTGCCTGAGTGCTGCTGTGCCACTGGGACCCGCCTCTGCCATGAAAGCCATGCCCTGGAACTGGACCTGCCTTCTCTCCCACCTCCTCATGGTGGGCATGGGCTCCTCCACTTTGCTCACCCGGCAGCCAGCCCCGCTGTCCCAGAAGCAGCGGTCATTTGTCACATTCCGAGGAGAGCCCGCCGAGGGTTTCAATCACCTGGTGGTGGATGAGAGGACAGGACACATTTACTTGGGGGCCGTCAATCGGATTTACAAGCTCTCCAGCGACCTGAAGGTCTTGGTGACGCATGAGACAGGGCCGGACGAGGACAACCCCAAGTGTTACCCACCCCGCATCGTCCAGACCTGCAATGAGCCCCTGACCACCACCAACAATGTCAACAAGATGCTCCTCATAGACTACAAGGAGAACAGGCTGATTGCCTGTGGGAGCCTGTACCAAGGCATCTGCAAGCTGCTGAGGCTGGAGGACCTCTTCAAGCTGGGGGAGCCTTATCATAAGAAGGAGCACTATCTGTCAGGTGTCAACGAGAGCGGCTCAGTCTTTGGAGTGATCGTCTCCTACAGCAACCTGGATGACAAGCTGTTCATTGCCACGGCAGTGGATGGGAAGCCCGAGTATTTTCCCACCATCTCCAGCCGGAAACTGACCAAGAACTCTGAGGCGGATGGCATGTTCGCGTACGTCTTCCATGATGAGTTCGTGGCCTCGATGATTAAGATCCCTTCGGACACCTTCACCATCATCCCTGACTTTGATATCTACTATGTCTATGGTTTTAGCAGTGGCAACTTTGTCTACTTTTTGACCCTCCAACCTGAGATGGTGTCTCCACCAGGCTCCACCACCAAGGAGCAGGTGTATACATCCAAGCTCGTGAGGCTTTGCAAGGAGGACACAGCCTTCAACTCCTATGTAGAGGTGCCCATTGGCTGTGAGCGCAGTGGGGTGGAGTACCGCCTGCTGCAGGCTGCCTACCTGTCCAAAGCGGGGGCCGTGCTTGGCAGGACCCTTGGAGTCCATCCAGATGATGACCTGCTCTTCACCGTCTTCTCCAAGGGCCAGAAGCGGAAAATGAAATCCCTGGATGAGTCGGCCCTGTGCATCTTCATCTTGAAGCAGATAAATGACCGCATTAAGGAGCGGCTGCAGTCTTGTTACCGGGGCGAGGGCACGCTGGACCTGGCCTGGCTCAAGGTGAAGGACATCCCCTGCAGCAGTGCGGTGAGTACAGGGAGGGCTGCGCGCTGGGATGGTTGGGAGTGTAGGATGAGAACCCCAGCCTGTAGCCCCCATGGGATGTGTATCATCCTTCCCCTTTTGCAGATGAAGTGAGTATATCCCATCCCATCTCTGAGTCTCATTGGACCCAGAGTGTCACCAAATATTCTGCAACTATGACATTGAATGTATAAGAGTCAGAGTGGGAGCTGAAACATAAATTCCCATCAGTGTACTTTTCTCTGCCTCATATTGGCTCACTAGTTATGACGGGGAGTGCTGGAAATAGGTAGGAATTGTGTCAAATGGATGTCGTAGGGACCGGGCATGGCTGGAGTCTAGATCACAGTGTGCTGTAGTGCAAGACACGTACATGCCCTTTGTACTCACCAAGCCTGCAAATAACTTTCCTGGGAGCTTAGAATAAAAACCATATGGTAGAAGGAGAGGAGAATGTGAGGAGTCATCCTACATTTGGGATAGATATGGAATTTCAGGAGAGGTGTGTTTTTAGCCCTTTGTATGTCTTTAGGAAATGCTAAAATGAGAGCACAGTCAGGTAAGAGTGCAGTGAACACATAGAGAAAGCAAAGCTAACTTAGAAAAGGGATGGGAAGGGACAAATTGTGTTTATTGAGCATCTTCTGTGTGCACAGTGCCTTGGAAGAGACATGTGAGAAAGTCAGGAAGCAGCCGGAGAGCAGCATGGGATGATGGGAGAGCTGTGGG